>NC_000003.12:144955574-146205574 GCF_000001405.40 Homo sapiens
GTGCACGGTTATTCAATTTTTTTCCTCTTCTCAAATCTATTTTATGCTCCTCTCTGCCATGTGCTACTCCCTGTAGATTGAGCTTTACACATTGTGTCCCTGTAGCTATTTTATTATATGTCATCTATAGAAATTGGACAGTGGAAGCCATTAGCAGGAAGTAAGAGGGTGGGAAAACAGAGCGTTAACATTAATCCACCATCTCCCCAGCCCTCACTGAGTTCAGGAAGTAGCCACCCTCTTTATGGATACTGCTCTTTTGAATGTCCCCTTTTCTAAAACTCTAGTTGGTTCAAGATTCTAGCTCATTTTGAACTTGCAACTTCCAGTGTTTTTAGTTGCTTGCTTTGTGTGTGTGTGTGTGTGTGTGTGTGTGTGTGTGTGTGTGTGTCTGCGTTGCGATTTGGAATTGTTGGTTCCCTTAACTCTGTCCAAGCCACCAAACCATTTTAGTTAAGCCCTTGAGTATGCTGTCAACTTTCTTCTTTGATCCTGACTGATACAAGATTCATGAACATGAGGTTTATAGAACTAGACCATAAAATCTAAGCTAGAAAAAGAGTAGAATGAAGGCCCAGTGGAAATGATGTTAGTCATTTCATGGGAGGTCTTTATGGCATTAGAAGTGGTTGGAGTGTTGATATTATAAGGAGTAATCTGGAATTTTAAATGAGGATAATCAAAGAATGATATGATTGAAACTGAGATTCTGGAGTTGAGGCAATTAAAGGTAATGAAAAGATTCAGGAAATAATGATGTCATTGTTTCCATGAAGTGTGGATAAAATTGATTAAACCAGAGGAGTTCAGAGAACTGAGAAGCCAGGTGATGGCTTTTACCATTCTTTTGATTTTGAAGACATCACCTGTTCACTGTCCTGTCCACTACATCTAAATATTCCTATCACATGTAGACTGTTCAGATGTGTTTGAATGAATGAATGATTTCCGAGGAAAATAATAGTGAAAAAGTTTAGGTCTGTGTCTGAATCATAGAAGTGTTCAAAAAGTTATATTGTCTGTTTTTCTCAAGAAATAATTGAGAATTTCTTTAATTCTTCCATGTCTATGAGAGGCTATGGGACAGAATCATGCATATTAAAAATAAATTTTGAAATTGAATCCCCTAATCATTTTATGCTTTAGATATTTTCAGATCAGCAACAGTTATTCTTTTCATTAATAACAGAGAAAGCGACATGCATTTTGGTGTTTGTCAAGACCAGCTTTTCTGAGATAATACAGCTCTTAAGACAAATTGGAGTTGAAAAAAATCTCATCTCTTATACTGTTTCTCCACCAAAGGCCAAAAGGCTTAGTTTCTATTTACAGAATCTAGGATATGTATATGCATGTGTGTGAGTGTGTGTGTCTTCATATTTTTAAGACATGCACACTTTCTCTTATTCCATTATGAATCAAAACTTACTATGACCTTACTAGAACAAAATGTTTCTAGGTGTAAGAGTGTAAAGAACAGCAACTTTCACCATGTTTGGACACATGAAGTGCTAGATAATCTTACTCCAAGTAGGTACAATTATAAAAGCAGAAAAAAATTCAATTATTAATAATCATAGAATAAATAGCCACAAAAGATGAAGTTGTAATTTTAACGAATTTTCAGAGTAAACTTTTCTGCTGTGTTAATATCTTCTCATTCATTCTGCTCCTGATGAAAGTTAAAGTAATTTTTTTTTCCAGAAACCACAGACAGAAGCAAATCCCCAGACTTAACCGATTCTTTTTTTATTCCTTCACCCTTCAGATACTTCATTCAAGATATAAGTTTCAATCATATTGATTGAACTCTTCAAAATTAAAAAAGAAAAGCTTTTAAAAAATAATCCTAGCCTAACATCATGAGAGCACTGATTGGCAAGGAGATTAGTGAGCTGTTTCTAATGCAGGCATTTCTCTTCTTTCCAGTCCCAGATGAGCACTCTTATACAAGATGATGAGAATATTGTAACCAATGCTTCAGTGGGGCTGGTCTGTCTCTTCATAAATGGACTATAAAATGTGCACTTAGGAATCCTCTCTTGCCGCAATTCTACAGCTGATGATTTAATGGAAAACAAATATCTAAATGTAATATGGGAGCAGTATGTCAACTTTCTTGATAGTAAATGGGGTGCCCTTTTAGAGAAAAGCTATTTAACACTTCATTGATAATAGCTTCATTGTCATTCCTCAAAATATGAGTAAATGCATTTGTTTAATACCTTTTATTTAAAAAGTTATGATCGGTTTAAACTGTGAAGCAGCATTCATTTAATCTTTACTGGAGAGCAATATTTTCTGAGTCAAATTAACACAGTAGGGGCATCTGCCAGCACCAGCTACTTTGCCCAGAGGATTTATTAGCACTTTGGATAGACTATATCTTCTCCCAAAGCAGATATTTTAGTTATTCGCTAACGTAAAAGCCAGGCTTCCCAGCAGATCTGCACAAGTCACACACAGAGAACTACTAGCTTGACCAGAACCTATGTTAGTTTTCTTTAAGGTTTCATAAGTAAATCTTCCGTTCTTGGGTTTGCTGAGTTTCTTTTTGTGTAATGTTTATCCACCCAGGCATAAAAAAGCCTTTATTATACAACATTTTCTCTGAAATAATGTGTATTTAACTTTATTTACACTGGTGCAGCACTGTCACTGTAATAGATAGATCTGCACAGCTCAAGTATCTATGTATTTATTTATAATAAATGATCCACTTTAATTGCTATGTATGAAAAATAACAACTAATTGTTTGAAAAAAATAAACTCATAGACTCATATCCTAATACATGCTATAGTATGGTAATAAAGAAAGCAGACATTCACATGAGGATACCTGTGCTCAAATATTAGCTCTGCTATTTACTGTGTCACTGATATGGGAATTAAATGAGATCAAAATAAAGTCCTTAGCCCACTGCTTTAATGGTCTATAAATGACACAATGGATCTTGCTATAAATTTTTCATTTATTTTCACCAAGAGACTAATAATAATATCAATACTATCTAAGGGAATGCTCTTTTTCAGATTTTAGTATTCTGTTAGCTTCTGAAGATCTTTTTGTTTCCAGCAGGAGGAGATTTCCTACTAGAATCATTAATAAGAAAATAATATTATTCGCTTATAAAAATTAAATACAAATATTGTATCATTTAATTATTTCAGAGGCTGGCTTTCAGTTCAATGTTACTAGAAGAATATCTGCCTGGTCCTTCTCAAGTTTGTCTGCTGACCCCAGACAGCATGACTTCTGAAGGTGAGGATGACTTAAGTATAGACTTAGACCACTTCTTCTACTTTTCAAAAAACAAATCAGATCTATCCACGGGATCTTGGTCTCTTAGTTCTTGGCTTCTTTGATAATCTCTAGTCACTGAAATAGAACTACAAATGTTTACTTTCTGATTTTTAAATTGGCATTGGCAGGATATGTGGTCAGATGCAAGATAGTTTATCATTCAGAAGCACAATTTCCCTGCTGTCTATTGGGTATCAATTTTCCTTAAGTCTGGTCATCAGAAATATTTTCTGATTTTTCATTTCAACTACGCCTGGAAGTAAGCATTCAGTAAATAATTGATGTACGACTGAATGAATGCTTCTTGCAACTCTGTTTGCTTACATATAGTAATCATTCTCTACAGAAAGTATATTATCACCAAAAGTAAGCATTTTCTTTTCTGAAAACTATGATTTTGTATGTAACTTTAAATATATAATAAAAAAAATTTTTGCTTTGAGGTCTCAATAAAAACAGTTTTCCCTTTTATTTGGGAATCTTGAACTCATGACCAGCATTTTAAACAGCATTCTATACTCCCTGGTCTGGAATAGCTACTTCTCATACTCTTTATTATTTATCTGTCCATGCTAAATGGTGACGGAAGTACCGTAGAGACTACCAACGATAAGGTTACCTTCACCAGCTGCTGCTCAGAGGACTCCATCTCCAGTCTTTTCTATGTGTAAATATACATACACACACACACATTCACATAAACACACACAAATATATACTTACTTGTTTACTGGTCCTATATGAAGAATCATTATATCACAGAAATTTTTTTTTGCAGTGGAAATTAACCAGTTATTAAATAATTATTGAATCAGCAAAGCCCACTGGCTCAAAGTTTAATGAGATTACTTTTACCAAAATAGTATCTATCATAAAATAGCATTTAACTTCTTTTTAAATTTGCTACAAATAATTTATAAATAGACATTACAGCCAATAAATGAGAATTATATAATAATATTCTAGAATAATTATCCTATTAGGCCATTCTTTCACTGCTCTAAAGAAATATCTGAGACTGGGTAATTTATAAAGAAAATAGGTTAAATTGGCTTATGGTTCTTCAGACTGTACAGGAAGCATGTCGCCTGCATCTGCTCAACTTCTGGGGATGCTTCAGTGAGCTTTTTACTTATGGTAGAAACAAAGAGGGAGCAGGCATCTCATGTGGTGAGAACAGGAGCAAGAGATGGGGGAGGTGTCATACTTCAAAACAGCTAGATTTTCTGAGAACTCACTCCGTATAGCAAGGGCCACACCAAGCCACAAGGGATCCTCTTCCAAGACGCAAACATCTCCCATCAGGCCCCAACTCCAACACTGGGGCTTACATTTCAACGCGAGATTTGTGTGGGGACAGATATCCAAACTATATCAGTTGTACAGACTATAGCAGAGGTTTGAACACAGTCAACAACTTACAGTTGCTCTCACAGATTGTTTTCTCATTGCGCCATGCCTTAGCCCATAATGTAGCTTCTGCTTCTTGTCTCTTTTTTCTGGAAACTAGAAAAAGCAATCACCACTTCAATAAAATTTCTTCTAATAATTTTAATTAGCGTTAATCATTTATCACTTTAATCCACTCATCATCTGTTTCTCCAACAAATTGTAGAATTTTCCAAAACCAGGATTATGTTCCATCAGTTTTTTCCCGTGCCTGCATAATGCCTGAAAATGGTTGTTACCTAATGGATACTTATATGAATAAATGAAAGTTGAGAGTAACCCTTGTCTCAGCCCAAACTGTGCTGAATGAACAATGAAGACAGGAGCAAAAAGACTTTCCTTCTGTGTCTGTTATCTCATTTGAGCATTGTCTAGAGCTCCTCAGTCTTTCTGAGTGTGCTCTGGATCTTATTTGATTGTCTGCCAAGTTATCGTCTTCATCTCTGAGCCTAGAGCTAGAAGGGTGGGTTTATCAACATTCAGTGCCAATGACTTCAAGTTAACATCTGATTCTTGATCTGCTACTTAAATTACTAATGGAATACTGGATTCTTCTATGATTTCATCATATACTTTTGCTTTCTGATATGTCTAGCCTCCCATCTTGAAAATATAATATCTACTGAATTATCCTATTTAACATTAGTTATTCTCCAAATCTGTGATTAGGAACTTTGAACTATTGGTTTTATCTGTTCTTCCATTTCCATTTCTATTGTAATTTTCTCTGATTAAGTCTTTACATTTAAACTATTATGCTGTTTCTAAGTCTTTCTAATGTAAGCATTTTTCATTAAGTGTAAACCTTATTCTTCTCATGTTCTGCAGTCATATTCTTCAGTGACATCACTGTGACTTTACTTTCCAGAAATTGTCAATATTCCTTACATTGGCTAGCAAGGCTATCTTTCATTTGTTCCTGCTTACTTAACCCAAACATCTCTTAACTCTTTTCCCCACCCATTGCTCCTGCCAAAATAGAGTCCTCACTAAGCTGCAAATGTATCTTATCCATTTCCCCCACTAATTTGGAGGGCACTATCTCTGCTGTTGACTCATCCCTTTATTTTCTCTCTTTTCTTTTTTTGAGACTGAGTCTCACTCTGTTCGCCAGGCTGGAGTGCAGTGGCATGATCTCAGCTCACTGCAACCTCTGCCTCCCGGGTTCAAGCAATTCTCCTGCCTCAGCCTCCCAAGTAGCTGAGACTACAGACACCCACCACCATACCCAGCTAACTTTTGTATTTTTAGTAGAGAATGAGTTTCACCATATTAGCCACGCTGGTCTCAAACTCCTGACCTTGTGATCCGCCTGCCTCGGCCTCCCAATGTGCTGGGATTACAGGCGTGAGGCATCATGCCCAGCCTATTTTCTCTTTTAATATTTGCTTTTCCTTGTGGTTGTTTATTCTTCCCCTTAAATCATCCCCCAGTTATTCTACTTGGTTATTAGTTATTGATATGGTTTTGCTCTGTGTCCCCACCCAAATTTTATGTCTAATTGTAATCCCCAGGTATTGAGGGAGGAACCTGATGAGAGGTGATTGGATCATAGGTGTAGTTTTCCCCATGCTGTTATCATGTTAATGAGTGAGTTCTCATGAAAGCTGATGGTTTTATAAGTGTTTGACAATTCCTCCTTCACATGCTCTCTCTCACCTGCCACCACGTAAGACATGCCTGCTTCACTTTCTGCCATGACTGTAAGTTTCCTGAGGACTCTCCAGCCATCCACGTGAAACTATAAGTCAATTAAACCTCTTTTCTTTATAGATTACCCAGTCTTGGGCTGTTTTTTGTTTGTTTGTTTTGTTTTGTTTTACCCCGAGAGAGAGTCTAGCCCTGTCACCCAGGCTGGAGTGCTCACTGCAAACTCTGCCTCCTTGGTTCGAGCAATTCTTATGCTTCAGGCTCCAAAAGTGCTGAGATTACAGGCATGAGCTACCATGCCCAGACTTGGGCACTTCTTTTTTGCAGTATGAGAACAGGCTAACACAGTTATGCACGTACAGTCTTTAGTATTCAAAATAACTTATTCAGTGCCTACTGATTTCTGCACATTGTGAAGAATTGCACATTGTATATTGTATAGAATTTCTGCACATTGTATAGAATCGAGAGAGAGAGAGAGAGAGAGAGAGAGAGAGAGAGATGAGCATTGAATTTTATTAGCTATGACATGTGCCCCAAGATACACATCAATAAGCTACCTGCCAGGGAAGCAAGCAGGACTGGAATAGCTTCTGTTTGTGCCATTTCTCTGGCTTTACTTCCTATATATCCTTCTGTTGTTTTAAGTTTCAGGAAAGAAGAGTGCACTACTTATGCTTCTCATGTTTTCCATATAGCACCTGGCATATTGTAGTAACATAGAATGTCATTAAAGATGTGTTGAATTCAATTGTGTTTGATGCTTGTTTTAATTATCAACTTAAAAAAATCACGTTGCATATGATGACTAGTATGTTAATATATTTCCAACCCTTTTTAGGTGAACTTCAACAACGACATCCAAAAGCGCTAATCCTAAAAATGCTTAGATGCCTTTAAAATGAAATATCATGTTTACCCTTGAGCATAAGTGTGTCTTACAAATCAAACAGTGTAACACAGGCCCAGGCTAAGAGGAACTAAAATGCTGTTCAGTTCCTTTTCTCATTTGCAGCTATTCTCTCTGCTTCCCAACCGACCTTTAATTCAACCAGTTTGGTTACAGGGAATGATGTTGCTCAAACTTTGCCAGGAGCAGAAACATTGGCAAATTTTCAATATGTAAATGAACTTCATTTTTGGCTGCGTGCAATGGCTCACATCTGTAATCATAGCACTTTGGGAGGCCTAGGTGGTTGGATCCCTGGAGCCCAGGAGTTTGAGACCAGCCTGGGCAACATGGCAAAAACCATCTCTACAAAAAATACAAAAAATTACTGGGCATGTTAGTGCATGTCTCTAGTATCAGCTGCTTGGGAGGTTGAGGTGGAAGGATCCCTTGGTCCCTGGAGGCAGAGGTTGCAGTAAGCCCAGATTGTGCTACAGCACTCCAGTTTGGGTGACGGAGTGAGACCCTGTCCCAAAAATTAAAACAAACAAACAAACAAAAAGAATTTCTCCTTTGAAGTGCAAGAATTAAAAATAAGAGCAGGAATTACCAGATATTAAAGAAATAAATGCCAAAATGTATTCAGTTACTTAAGAAAGCCATTTAGTTGAAAACCATAAGTCATACTCAGATAGACTGCAGGTACCAGTATGATTTCGCACACCCCTGAATCTTTGTTTCCTCATTTGATGATTTTAGTGTAATATCAGACTGTAGGTTAAGACATATGAACAACAATGCACACATTATTATTAAATTCTGTATAATAGTATATTGACATCATGCTATTTCCTTATTTTTTGAGAATGTAAAATCCATAAGGCAGGTATTTTGTCTAACTCCTTATTCTATATCTGAAGTCTAAACAATCATGCCTTAAAATAGTCAATAGATGTTTCTGGAATGAATTAATGGATATTTTGTATGGTTTTGTAAAGGTTTTGTAAATGGTGGTATTATAAAGGAGTAAATGTGGATTCATTTTGCTTGGTTATTAAATCTAGTAAAAATCAGAGTTGCTTTGCATTCAGCTGGCTTATTCACTGTTTTTCAAATGTTTTGCATTTGCAAACTTTTAATGAGTTTGGCCTCAAGGAGTTTTTCTCCATTCCATATGTTTCTGATTCCCTTAGAGTTAGCTCTTACCAAAACTATTTTAATTATTTATTTGAGTCCCAAGGAGCCTTTTGAGATTTCATTAAGGAACTTTTTATGTCTGACTTTTTATAGTAGAAAGTCTTATTTTTCTCAAAAGTTTCAGACTATATTTTCAAAAATCCATAACTATTGTTAGATTTATGCTAGTTCCCTATTTCTATTTCTGATGTCATTGGAACAAAAGTTTCTTCCTATTAGTTGAGTGAACAAACTGCAAGACTCTGCATCGTCTGCATTTCTGATATGGGTATTGCAACAACTCATAACGCCATAGTGTCTCACAATTCACCCACAGCATTTCTCTTAAACAGGCATAATTACTATTATTATTATTATTATTATTATTATTATTATTATTATTTGAGATGGAGTTTCAGTCTTGTTGCCCAGGCTGGAGTGCAATAGCGCAATCTCAGCTCGCTGCAACATCCGCCTCCCAGGTTCAAGTGATTCTCCTGCCTTAGCCTCCCACGTAGCTGGGATTACAGGCACCCATTACCACACATGGCTAATTTTTGTATTTATTTATTTATTTATTTTAGTAGAGACGGGGTTTCACCACGTTGGCCATGCTGGTCTCGAACTCCTGACTTCAGGTGATCCGCCCACCTCCGCCTTCCAAAGTGCTGGGATTACAGGCATGAGCCACCTTGCCCAGCCCTTAAACAGGCATAATTATAATCTTATCAGTGTCATGACTGTCCAGTTACTTTATGTTTAAATTTACTCCATCACAAATAAATACATTCTGTTGTTTTTGAGAGAATGTTTAAAACACAGAGGCTATCTCCTTTGTTCTTATTTTCAGTAAAATGAATATATTTAATCAATTTAAGGATAAAAATTAATAATTTCAATGCATACATCTCTGCATTAGGTCAACTATTGGACTTTATGTATTTAATTTTGTAAAGATTCATTATGAAATGAATTGTGTGCTGGGGAAGGGTTGTATGTAATTAATTTTTCAGTAAATTCTAAAACTATGCTCTGACTGATTTTAATAAAGTAGATGTATTTTAATTAATACCACTGATGAACTTAATGCTAAAAGAGGAGAATTAGGCCCTTGTTTTGTCTATTTTTATGGCTCAAGAATTTTGTAGAACATTCTCTACATTTTCAAATTTTAAAAGTTTATTTTACTGTGATCTTTGAAGCAGCTGGATAAAATAGAATGTCTCTGTACAAACTGCTTAATTCTCATATTTACGTATTCCAATGCAACATTACATAAGAAATAAGGACTATTAGAGGTATTAATTAGATAATTTGGTAAAGTAAAATAAATAAAATCGCAAAAGAGTACCTATAGCAGCCATGTACCAGTATGAAGTAATTCCTATTTTGAAATTTTTTCTTTGAAATAAGAGAATCTCTGAAAAGTAAGTAGTCTAACTTTTAATGATTTTGTAGAAACTTATATACATTTGTACTTTATGCTCATAACTACTAAATATTAGTAGTGTATTTTTAACAAATGCAAACAAACCAAAATAGACGAAGCATAAATCCTTATGCCTTAAATATGGATGTAAGATTTTAATTTGTTTAGTGCTGTGTTCCAGAATGTGGAAACACCTTCTAATACATCATGTCAAAAATTACAAGCTAATGCTTACATTCAATGCAAATGCTCATTTTATAAATAAAAACATTTTTAATATGATGGATTTTCCTGGAAACTTCAGAGCATAAAATAAGCTTGCCATGTGCAAGTAAAATGGTGAGAGAGGGAAGGATCAAGAATGGATGCAGTTCTGCTCTTCTGTCATTTGACAGAAAATGCCATATTTACACCATTGTGCAATGATACAACACTGTGTTTATAACATAATTTTCAAACCAAAAATGCAAACTTTGATTTAATATATGATATCAAGGTGTGAGTTTGAATATATATACTTATATATTATATAAATTATATATAACACAAAACATATTTTATGTAAAATAGAAATATAAAACTTCAGTTTTCCTAACAACAACAAAACAGGTAGCCTGTTTTTGCAAAATAATTTTTAGGTAAAAATTTTAGGTAAAGACATATTATGTATATGGCCATATTTGGCCATATATATATTATATATGGACATATGTGCATATGTCATGTACATTATATATATGTCCAAAGATAGACCATATATATACTATACATGGATATATATACACATATATACATATGTGTATATATACATATATGTATATATACCTTGTGTGCATATATATCCATGGATATATGTATACACATATATACAGATATATGTGTATATATGTATATATATACACATATATACAGATATTTGTGTATATATATATCCATGTATATATATGTGTACACATATATACAGATATATGTGTACACATATATATCTGTATATATGTGTATACATATATATCTATACAGATATATGTATACACATATATATATCTGTATATATGTGTATACATATATATCTCCACATATATATATACACACACAGATATATATATATATATCTCCCTGTATAATATATATGGCCAAAGATGGACATATATATATCTGTCCGTCTTTACGTAAAAATTATGTTTCAAAAACAGGAAACATGTTTTGTTGTTGTTGTTGTTGTTAAGAAAAATTGAAGTACAATCTTATGTGATTTATTTTGGCATACTGCCCTGTGCCCTGATTCTGCTTACAGTGCAAATTAAGAATTATTTCTCCAAGTACAGTGAAATTATAAATAAATACTTTGGAAACATTGTAGTTTGAGTTTTACATGCCTTGAAGCCTATAATGATAAAGATTTTGTTTTTAATGAGTCATACTAATGATAATCATGAATTAAACATATTTTAATTATGCTCTTTGATGTGATGCAGAAGCAGTTGGACATAAATAACCATTAAATTTCCAAGAAGGGTCATATTCAAGAACTTTGAGTCCATGAAGCTTCGACTTTGGTCATTATAAATCATTTCTTACACTGCTTATGAATAGATTGACTAAATATGGTTTAGGATTAGAAAATGGAATTCAGACAATATCCATCTTAACTAATTAGTATAATTTTTTTACTTGAAGCTCTTAAATTCTGTTACGGAAAGATTGTTTTTATTGGCTAAAACTTTATTAAACTATAATTAGTTTTTGCTTGAAGAGGTATCTGCATTTAAAAAATAAAATATTAAAAAAGTAGACAGAATTTGTATACATTATTGTCATTTTTGCTAGCACTAATGTTCAATAAAAATAAGTTGACATGTTTTAAAAGAAAAACGTATTATGCAAAAAAGCACATGCTTATCTAAATAAAAGGGACTACTTTTAGTTGGCTGCTGAATGGGTCAAGAAAGAAATAACCAGACAGATTGTTTGGGTATAAAATCCTGGCAGAGTTGATGGAAGAAATATGATGACCATCTGTTTTGTTCATATAGATATATCAGACTGTCAAAGTTTAACAAAGCCATGTGTCTTTTTTTTTCCCAAAGTGATATTTGCAATTACTGCTCTGAAATAGTGATTACATTATTAATAAAACATTTACTAATTTCTAAATGCTTGGTTTATGCCAGATACTACTGTAAGTTCTTTACATATAGTATCTCATCTGATAATTAAGCAATGAAACCAACAATTAAACAATTGTCTAATTAAACAAATTCAATTGTAAACAATTAAAACAATCCAGTGAATGGGGTATTGCTATTTTCTGTTTTATTCAACATGTAGTTGAGAAGGATTTTAAGCTGTTAGTCTTAATTACAACACTAAATAAAAATCCAAATTCCAGAGAGCTCTTACTAAGTTTTAATAAAGTGAAACAAAATCATACAAAAACTCCAATTTCAATTGTTATATCCCCTTCCAGATGTTAATAGAGACTAGTATATACTATAGACAGATTTTTTTTCTTCTGAGGTTATGATCTTCCTAGTTGAGTTCTTACAAGAGTGATAACTCCTCACTAGAGAAAAGGGAGCTTCACATCTTTACATTTTCATTTTAAGCCCAAATTAAAAATTACCCCGTGTTAAAAAGCTATATTTTTATTTATCTAAATTATTTAATGTTTATACATACTTACTAGTACATACATACATAAGTACTAGCACAATGCCTAGAACATTGTCGTGATTCTAGGATTGTAAGAGAGATATCAAATAGGTAGGTAGATAGATAGATAGAGAGATAGATGGATAGATTTACTAGGTATTAGTGTTTTTAAAAAAATCTTTAAGTTCTTAAACAAATGTTTGTGGTATGGCTAACAGACATAAACTTCACATTACTCAGAAGACTGATATCAGCAAAATTTATTCCAAAGAACTTTTCTTTGTATGTTTCTCTTTCTCTCTCCCACACACAGGGAGTAGCAGACATACACACAAACACAGTAGTGTGCAATGTAGACTACACTGAAAATTTTGAGAAGTTGAGGAAAAGGAGAGTATAAATAATTAAACCTGCCTGAGCCGGTCAAAAATCTTCATTTGGCATTTCAATCTTTTTCACTTACAAGCAAAAATTTGTTGCCTTTCCCTTCTCTGAGGCTTTATACTTGATCTTCTTCCATAACACAGACATTTCTCCTAGGAACTGATATTTGTTGGCCTTCTGTCTGCATATCTACCTAGTTCTATCCCAGCTCATAATGTGCATACATAAAACCACTGTGCTTGGAATAAAAAATCCCAATGTGTATTTCAGAAGAGAGACTAAGCACAGATCATCTCTGGAGGTCAAACACTTGGGTTCAAATTGTAATGTTTTTTGTTTTATAACTTACTAAGTGACTATGGGCATATTACATGATTTCTCTGTGACTAAGACAACAATGTAAAAACCATTTTTTATTGAACTGAATATATTGGTGAGCCATCTGCCTCACACACTGGACAGCCCATTAATATGTTTCTTGAAAGTTATTTATATGGTCTTTTTTGACATTTTGCCATTGGTTTGTAATTTATTATCAACAATTAAACATGAGGATGAGCCATAGATGGATCAAGGCATTTTGTAGCCTTCTGTTGATATTCTCTCAGGCCTGAGTTATGCAGCCTTGGCTGGGTTTGCCACTGGCTTCTCAGTCATAGCCTTCAGAGGTGTAAAATATGCATGATGGTTTACATAGTGGTTTCCAGTTCTGCTAAGTCCTCGCCATCTCTCAGTGTCTCTCTCATCCAAACACATGCATGTAACCTTGAAATTATCTGAACAAAGATTTCAGTATTTTCAGTGTTCTAAAAGATCTAATGGAAACTTATGTTATATACATACACATATATATAACACATAAATTTGTAGATAACCATTAATATAGATTATAATGCATAACTATGGAGACAGCATAAACAGAAGGAAACTGAGATTCAATCTGGGTTCTGGGTCTAATTATTGCACCTAGTTACTGCATTTTTGGTGGCAATAGTATTCACCTGAAAAGTATTACAGTGTGGTTGGGGGGCAAAAAATAAGATAATAGATGTTAATGTGTTGTGGGGAAAAATACTTTGCATTTTATGTAATAATAAAATCTTCAAGTATTGTTACTACAATGGATATTGGTTGAGAAAGACAATTGGTTGAAAAAGGATTTCATGCAGTGATAAACTAATGAGATTATTTCCTACTCATAGGATAAGAGAAAGAGGAACAGAACCACACAGCAGGTATCCAAAACAATGTGATGGCTTAAAATTTCCTAACTGTGAGAAAATAAACAACTTATTTTTCTCCTATTAAGTTATAGTTTTAAAACTCTGGTTAAAAGAAAATCCTCTTGCTATGCAATAAATTCTGTCGTTTTTGTTATCATTCTTTGAATATCACTAAATAAAAAGATGAAAAATAAATGTTTAAAGCTTCACCTTACAAGCGAATGTTGTGCCTAAAAAGCACTATTATATTTTCCTTTAAACACATGACAATTATTCTTACAATAGAAGACTTCATACTGAAAACATAATGATGCAATAAATTTAACTGGAAGCTTGTAATATTTAATAACTTGGAAAGGACAAAATTATTTCAACAATGAACATTAAATTACATCTTTATCAATTATGTATGGTGAAAGTTATTTCTGACATTGTCCTTTGGTTAAGTGTCCGTTGAAAAAACAGAGGTCATTTTATTTATACATGTTAAATTGTTCAGCCCCTGGCTGTTTCGTGAATAAATTAAGCACCTTTTTCAGAAGACAAACATCAACTCAGTACAATTATTGAAGGCATTAGGAGACAATGCTAATGTATTTCATGCTTCAAAAGCTACAGCTGCCAAAAATTCATAGCAATCAATCAACATCTTTTCTGCAGTATTTCATATCTTAAACAGCCCACCAGGGGTAATTATTATGGGTAGAGTTTCCTTTTTTAGATAAAGTTGCTGGATATATTGATTAACCTATTGTTCCTTTGTGACTGCCTCATATGTAGCTAGAATATTAAAACTATGCTCTGTTTTTTCTTTTACAGAAAAAAATTAAAACTCAATCTAGACGATTTAATAAAATTCATTGCTTGTGAATAGAATTACCTTTTTTGTATGTGCTATTATACTCTACAATTCAGAATTAGAAAACTGAACAAAAGGATAAAATGGATAAAGAATTTGTTTTTCGTAGCTAAGAGATTTTGTTTTGAATTCTAAAACACATTTTAGAGGGCACCGAGCAGTCCCCAAGGAAACAGAATCTTCGTGAGAGAAGCGTCTCAGTTCATTGGAACGAGTAGATATAAGGTCAGATCATAATTCTTCAGCTGTTCATAGCAATGACTTCTTAGCCTCAAATGCAAAGAATGATGTGCTTTGTTAGTCAAAATTCTCAAGGAAAGGAAAAAGCAAAACAAAACAAACTTATCTTGGATTTTGCTTCCATTTTGAAAATTTCTTTCCAATCCTGTATTTCTCCTGCCCATCATCATAGCTACGATATAATTAAATCATTTAAATAAATGCATCAGGGCCGGGCGTGGTGGCTCACGCCTGTAATCCCAGCACTTTGGGAAGCTGAGATGGGCAGATCACGAGGTCAGGAGATCGAGACCATCCTGGCTAACACGGTGAAACCCCGTCTCTACTAAAAAATACAAAAAATTAGCCGGGTGTAGTGGCGGGCGCCTGTAGTCCCAGCTGCTCAGGAGGCTGAGGCAGGAGAATGGCGTGAACCAGGGAGGCGAAGCTTGCAGTGAGCCAAGATCTCACCACTGCACTCCAGCCTGGGCGACAGAGCGAGACTCGGTCTCAATAAATAAATAAATAAATAAATGCATCAGGATTTTGGCCCCAGAATATGACAACAACATCAACCTAACTAAAATTAATTAGAGATGATTTTGTATTCAGAAGCTTCAAACTGGTAGTCTTGGACGAAGCAGTAGCCTACAGAGGTGTTTAGCTTGGCCTACATAGTACTTAAAAATGTTGTTAAATAAGTTAGCAATATTTAAATATGCTAAATATTTAAAATAGTTAATAACAATAATATAAAAGTTTTGTTTTTCAGCTTTTAAAAAAAAAATCAGAACAGCTGACAATCTTGATTCCATATTACACAGAGGCTGAAGCTGAGTAATATAATTTTCTACTTCCCCTGAACTCCTTCATATGTCTTCCTTAAGGCATATTGATTTCTATAAACGCTGCTCACTTTTACAACACTTGTTTGTAGACATGTCTTATTCTTAACCCCTGTCAGCATCTTAATGGAAGAAACAATATTTTATCCTTTGCAAAGACCTTATATAGATAAAGAACATAGTAAGTGTCCCATGCTTTTTTTTTTCTTTCTTTCTTTTTTTTTTTTTTTGTAATTTTACTTTAAGTTCTGGGATACATGTGCAGAACGTGCAGGTTTGTTACATAAGTATACATGTGCCATGGTGGTTTGCTGCACCTATCAACCCATCAACTAGGTTTTAAGCCCCATATGCATTAGGTACTTGTCCTAATGCTCTCCCTCCCCTTGACCCTGACTTCCCAACAGACCCCGGTGTGATGTTCCCCTCCCTGTGTCCATATGTTCTCATCATTCAATTCCCAGTTATGAATGAGAGCATGCTGTGTTTGGTTTTCTGTTCTTGTGTTTGCTGAGAACAATGGCTTCTAGCTTCCTCCATGTCCCTGCAAAGGACATGAACTCATTCTTTTTTATGGCTGTATAGTATTCCATGGTGTATATGTGCCATATTTTCTTTATCCAGTCTATCATTGATGGAGATGTGGGTTGGTTCCAAGTCTTTGCTATTGAAAATAGTGCTGCAATAATCATACATGTGTATGTATCTTTATAGTAGAATGATTTAGAATCCTTTGGCTATATGCCCAGTAATGGGATTGTTGGGTCAAATGATATTTCTGGTTCTAGATCCTTGAGGAATCGCCACACTGTCTTCCACAATGGTTGAACTAATTTACACTCTCATCAATAGGGTGAAAGCATTCCTACTTCTCCACGCCTCGCCAGCATCTGTTGTTTCCTCACTTTTTAATAATTGCCATTCTAACTGGCATGAGATGGTATCTCATTGTGGTTTTGATTTGCATTTCTCTAATAACCAGTGATGATGTGATTTTTTAAATATGTTTGTTGGTTGTATAAATGCGTTTTTTGAGAAGTGTCTGTTCATATCCTTTGCCCACTTCTTGATGGTTTTTTTTTTCTTATAAATTTGTTTAAGTTCCTTGTAGGTTCTGGATGTTGCTTTCTAATAGGCATAAAATAATTAACCAGTGAAAGTAAAAAGGTCACTACATTACTAATTTTAGGATAATTTTGAATGCAAAGGAATTTCCAAAGGATGATAATGAAATTGAAGAATATTGAAAATATTTATTTATAAAAATTTTCCTGTAAAAATTTGTAACTTATTTTAAAACTTGAAGAGAACTTGATTACAGTGTGATACAGTGGTTATGAAACCCTGTTTTCCCTTAGCAGAGGAAACTAGTATAGACGCTAGACATGTACAGAACAGCTTCCCATGGCAAAGCAGGAATGGATGGAGGGTCCAGAACCCTTCATTAAGCCTTCTTGTTCCTGATACAGTTTAAAACCACAGTTACCCAGGGGTTTTGTGGATCAGTTTGGAAAGTACTAATCCTATCAGAAAGATTTCCCTCATTTGAGAAAAGAAGAGATTGACGGCTTTGCCCATTATGAGCAGACTCAGGATTACTGGTTACAAAGTTCTATTCTGAGATATATAGGATCTGAAAAAGTATGGCAGACACCCTTCCTGCTCGCAAAGAAAAGGAAAGAAAAAAATGCAATGTTTTAAAAATAACCATATAAACAAGTACCGTGCAGCTTAGAATCACTAAGAAATAAAAAATATGTCTGTAAAAACAGGTCAGGAATTTGAGACCATCCTGGTGAACATGGTGAAACCCTGCCTCTACTAAAAATACAAAAATTAGCCAGGCATGGTGGCACATGCCTGTAATCCCAGCTACTCAGGAAGCTGAGGCAGGAGAATCACTTGAACCCGGGAGGTGAAGGTTGCAGTAAGCTGAGATCGTGCCATTGCACTCCAGGTTGGGCAACAAGAGAGAAACTCTGTCTCAAAACAAAAACAGAAATAAAAACAAAAACGAAAACAGTCAAATATAGAGAACTCTGTTAATGCAGCATTTTTAGACTTCCTTGTTTTAGGCTAAATTACAGAAACACTGTTTTACAATTGTATATTCTGCATCAGGGTGTCGCAACCACAGCACTATTGATATCTGGGGCTAAAAAAGTCTTTTTCTAATGGAGTTATCTTGTGCATTATAGTTTGTTTAGCAACATTCCTGGCCTCTACCCATTAGATATCAGTAGAACATCCCAGGTGATGACTATCAGAAATGTCTTCGGACATTATCATATATCCCCTGAGGGCAAAATTATCCCCAGTAGAGAACCATTGCTCTATGTTACTAGAAACGGACGCTAATTCTTGGTAAACAAGACTAACATGCACCCTCCAATTCCAACTGTAGGATGTATAATGAATTATATAATAATTTTTGCAGTATTTGGAATTATTTTGAACCATCAACAAGATTGTAAGTATTGCTTCTCCTGTGTAGGATTTGAGGCAAAAGTGTTTTTATATTTATTACCAAGGTAGTCTCTAGACTTCAACAGTGCGTTCCATGTTTTCTTAAATGCCAGTTGTTACGGAGGGATGTCTGAGCCTGGGCAGATTCTGGAAGGCGGTTGATTAGGCCTGGTTAGAACCCTTCACTAAGCTGCTAAGAATGGGTACTGGGACTGAGAGCTTATGCTAAGCACTTTGGGCCAGGCATTTCAAATCTTTTGATGAGCTCTTGAGGTTCAGGATGGCTCTTCTCATTTACCTAAATTTGATTGAATATTTCTATTAGTTTGAAAAACAAAACAAAGACAAAACAATCAGCCTTGGAGATATGTCACTTACGTATGTACTAGGGATCTTCTAAGCATTTTGTATATATTAACTAGTTTGATCCTCACAGAAAAACAATGAGGTAACTATTGTGACTTCTCTCATCTTAGTCACAGAGCAATCATTTAATGTGCCAATAGTCATTTAGTTGGTAAGTTTAAAAAAAAACAACAACAAAAAACAGCATTACTATTTGAATCCAAGTATTTGACGTCCAGAGTTGATAGGTTTATGTCTGTGGCTCTGTCTCTTCACAAATACACACGTTTGGATTTTGCATAGTCATTTTTATTATTATAATCAGTATATTAATGAGTTACATATTTATTAGGTATAAGAATATCTTAATCTAACATTTTGTTTAAATAAAATTTTATTACTTTATAATTGATTTATTTCTCTTCCTACCCAATAAGTTATGCTTTTGTAAAATAGAGGTTCTTTTTATTTTATGAACTATAAATGAGTGTGTATATGTATATAATTACATTAAATGCCTACATGCAGATATATATTAATACTCTGCATACATGATTTCTTTTTTTTTATCTTTTACTTTGGTATCATTTCAGTCTTACGGAAAAATTGCAAAAGTCTCTCTCTCCCTTTTTAATTTTTCTTCCTTCTTCCTTCTTTCTCTTCCCCTTCTCCTTCCCCTTCTTTTCCTCCTTCTCCTCCTCTTTCCTCTTTTCCTCCTCCTCCCCCTTCTCATTCTCTTTGTTTTTTCTTCTTTCTCTTCACCCACTCTCTGTCTTCTGTAAAGTCATTTTTTTCTTTATAATTAATATACAGCTTGTGGAGAGATACTTTGTAACTACATAAATATTCTCTTACTCTTCAGAGTTATACCTCTGGCTTTAGAATCAATTGATAAACTGGCATGAAAATAATATTATCATGTATGCAGAGTATTATCTATTGCTTAAAAGTCACCATGTTAAAACAATAGGCCCTTATTATTTCATAGTTTCTGTGGGTCAGAAATTCAGAACCTGCTTTATAGGGTGGCCCTGACTCTGACTCTCAGAGGATAACAATGAAGATGTCCTCTGGGCTGTAGTCATAATGAGGACTTGATGGGAGTGAGGATTTACTTTCAAGATAGCTGACATGCCTGGCTACTGCAGGAGGCCTCACTTCGTCACTGACTGACGTGGTCTCAGTTCCCCAAATGTGTACCTCTCCATGGGGCTGCTGTGTGTACACCTGACATGGCAAATGACTTGACCTTGAGTGAGTGATCCAAGAGACAGTAAGGTAGAAGCTTCACTGTATTTTATGTCATAGCCATGGAAATCACACATTGTCATTTCTACTGAGATGAGAGGGGAGTATGTAAAGGTTCAAATACAAAGAAATGGAAAGTTAGAGGCCGTCTTGGATTCTAGCTACCAAAATTATTTTTGTGATGGTTGGCAAATGATTTTCTAGTGCAATCATCTCTTCTGTAGTTATTATTTGGCTTTCAAAAAGAAAGCAGAGCTGTCTTTTATCCTTCAGTTATTTATTATTTAATTCGTGTAGATTTATGAATTCATATTTTATTCAGTAGATTGTAATCTATTAATATAATTATTTACTTTTGTTCTCCAAATGCCTAAGATTCAACAAGCTGGATCTCCTTCAAGCACTTCTGTTTCCTTTTAACATGTCCCTGTTATGTTTTGAGTTTGCTATGTTTGAACTACTTATTAGTTTTAACTGAAGTTACATTTGCACCACCCTAATAACTCATTGGCTAACAAAGAGTGGTTTGTTTGGGCCCCTAGATTCCCAGACCCTTTCAGTGGAACTTCAAGGTCAAAACTATTATAAAAATGTTACTTTTTTACCTTTTATTTACATTGATAGTGCAAATGCAATGGTAGAAAATAATTCCTGGAACCTTAACGCTACTCAAGGGCTCCCAACAAATTACACTACCAATCATTGTGTTCTTCACCCTTCTCAAAAAAAAAAAAAAAATCAACTTCACATGAAAATGTACTTAATAATAAGAATTATTAATTTTGTTGAATCTGTACGCTTGAGAATAATCTTTTAACTATTCTTTTTAATAAAATAGCAATCATTCATAAAGTTCTTCCTCTGTATATCAAATTATGATGACTGTGGCTGGACTTAATAGGGTCTTCTCAAAATTCATAAGTTGAAACCCTAACATCCCATATGACTATATTTGAAAACACGGTGTTTAGGATGTAATTAAGATTAAATGATGGGCCGGGCGCGGTGGCTCACGCCTGTAATCCCAGCACTTTGGGAGGACGAGGAGGGTGGATCACCTGAGGTCAGGAGTTTGAAACAAGCCTGGCTGACATGGTGAAACCCTGTTGCTACTAAAACTACAAAAAATTAGCCAGGTATGGTGGCATACACCTGTAATCCCAGCTACTCGGGAGGCTGAGGCAGGAGAATCACTTGAACCCGGGAGGCGGAGGTTGCAGTGAGCTGGGATTGTGCCACTGCACTCCAGCCTGGGCAATAAGAGTGAAACTCTGTCTCAAAAAAGAAATAAAAGATTACATGAGATTGTTTAACCTCATTAAGGTGGAGCCTTAATGCAAAAGGACTGGTGGTCTCATAAGAAGAGGGGGAACCTCCCTCTCTGTCTATATGCATGTGCACAGAAGAAAGCCTATGTGATCATAGAGAAAGAAGGCAGCCATCTGCAAGCCAAACAGAGAAGGCTCACCAGAACTTAACCATGCTGGCACCTTCATTTCAGATTTTTAGCTTCCAGAACTGTGAAAAATGAATGTATGCCGTTTTAGCATCCTGTCCATGATATGTTGTTATGGCACCCGCAGCTGACTAATACAACTGCCATGGGGCAAAACATCCTATTATTGTTTTTGAGTTGTTAGCTAAACTAGCTGCTTTGTTTATGGTACAAGTTGAAAGGGTGACTGAGCAATAAAGCATGATTATGCAGACCTCACTAATTGGCAGATACTTTATCAAATATGAACTGAGTCTACTGCTTTAAGAAAAACAACTGACATTTTTAATTTTTGATGATATAACCCAAGCTTTATGTGAAAATTAGACACATAAAACACTTTTATAAGCCACCATGAACTAAGACTTTTTAATGAAAATGGTGATAATGTTAGCCATGTGAGTTTTTAAATAATGTATAATCAAATTTGCCAACATTTGAGGGATCTGCCTAACTCAGTGAACCAATATTTTCCAGATGATAAATGTGTAATATTATAAAATTGTCTATGGGTAAGAGATCATTCAAAATGCAAGATAGAAAAAGAGGTTTTACTGTAACAAGGTATGAAAAGTCCATTGATCTGATTTTAGATTTCATATTTCAACTAATCTTTTTTTTTTTTTTTTTTTTTGAGACAGTCTCACTAGTGCAGTGGCATGATTTCAGCTCACTGCAAGCTCCGCCTCCCGGGTTCACGCCATTCTCCTGCCTCAGCCTTCTGAGTTGCTGGGACTACAGGCGCCTGCCCCGACACCCGCAAATTTTTTGTATTTTTAGTAGAGACGAGGTTTCACCGTATTAGCCAGAATGGTCTCGATCTCCTGACCTCGTGATCCTCCTGCCTGGCCTCCCAAAGTGCTGGGATTACAGGCGTGAGCCACCACGCCCGGCCTCAACTAATCTTTAAAAAAACTACCAATCATCAAGTTTTGGAACAGTATCCAAAAACAATATGTAAAATTATGTGGAAAGTCTATTAAAATACTTAACATTTCAACTACATATATGTAGTTGGATTTTCATCATATGCTTTAACTAAAGCAATATAGAGTAAAAGATTGAATTCAAAAGCACACATTAGAGTCCTCCTCTCTTCTAGTAAGTCAGATTAAAACAATGCCATACTTCTCACTAATTTGGGAAATAAAATATTATATTATTATTTTTTATAACAAATTTTATTTATGTTAACTTGTAATGGTTTTATTATTGTTGTCTTAAAACAAATCAATAAATGGATACATAATTTTTGTTTGCATTTCAATTATAATAAACAATAATAGATATAACCTATATAAACAAAGTTTTTTGGGTTCCTTGATCATTTTAAGAGTGTAAAGTTATTATGAATTCCAAAAGTTTGAAAACTGCTGCTTTAAATGATTTTAATTTTTATGTTCATTTATTTTATTTGATTTTTTAAATACAATTTCTATATTTTTAGATTTTATTACTTTTACATATGAAAATATTAAACTCCATTTATGGGTATAATGAGGACAACTAAAAATGTAGCCCATGTCTTTAGAAAGAGGTTAAGAACATTATCTGAGGAGTAGAATGGCTAAGCCAATTTCAAAATAAATTCCTTTAGGTATTCCTAGATGCAAACACTGATTTTAAAATCAGTCAGCTACAGAAGATCAGAAATCTTATTTTAAAATTAGCTGAGCTGTGTTACTTAAGGGACCAGAGGGTAAAATACCACTATTAAGAAATTTTTCTTTTGTCTCTACAACAGACAAGTAAAGTACTGGATCCTTGTTTTGTTTTCGTTTTCTTGCTTTGTCACTCAGGCTGGAGTGCAGTGGCACAATTTTGGCTCACTGAAACCTCTGCCTCCCAGGTTCAAGTGATTCTTGTGCCTTAGCCCCCCAAGCAGCTGGTATTATAGGCGTATGCCACAATGCCTGGCTAATTTTTGTATTTTTAGTAGAGGCAGGGTTTCACCATGTTGGCCAGGTTGGTCTCGAACTCCTGACCTCAAGTGATCTGCCGCCTTGGCCTCCCAAAGTATTGGGATTACAGGTGTGAGCCACTGTGCCAGGCCCATGTTGTTTTTAATAAGTAGTTTGTTCATGTAGAAATACACAGTCTAGAGTTTTTCATTTATTCCAAAGATTTGGTATTCAGGAACACATTCTTTAATGAATCAAACACACATACACGTTCATTTATATGCTGAATGATATTTATAGTATGTATATATATATGTGTGTGTGCATATATATGTATATATGAGATAAATCAAATTTGCAGTTTTTGGTTTACACAGCCAAATTGGAAAAGACATATTCTTTCCGTATAGGCAAGACAGCTTTACCTTTTAACAGAGGGCATTCAAGCTTTTTAATCCTGAGCTCTTCTGGTGCCAAAGTCCCCGATCTTCTAGAATCCTGCAGACTGACTGATAACAAATAGACTTTGCCATTATGATAACTATATTTATTTTGAACACAGGAAACCCCACATTGAATTTCTGACATATTTGATTAGGACTAGGAAGGCCATGGGTCCTTTTGCAACATAAGAGAAAAAAGAAAAAAAAAAAGAAAAAGCTAGTCCAGCCATAAAAATGTACAGATGATGCAGACTTTCAAGAGATTTTTATTTTAGAACTTGATGATTTCTAGTAGTTTTCAGTTTTTCATTTAAAATATTCTAACAAAACCCTGAATGGTTTATAGAACACTCATTTAAATGGGCCTCTAAAAATATTGTGATTAAACATCTTAAACAGCTCATATTTATTTCTCATAAGAGGGCTCCTGACTAATCTTCATTATTTGAAAGCTTCATTTTCATGTTTCAAAAAGTGTACATGGGCATTGTGAAATGGCAATTAAGTTTTGATGTTTTTAAATACCTAATTTAATTTGAATGCTTAAATATTTCAAGCCATCTACAGGGACTTAATGTCATGTCCATAAGGAAGTTTTTTCTCAGGTTGAATGATTCATTGAACACTTTAAAATGTAGTAAAAGCAAAAATTAATGGACCCTAGTTTACTTAATTTTTAAAGTAAGAGTAAAACAAAATATAACATTATAAATTCAATAAACACTGTTTTAGGTAAATGGTTTTATAATATGATATTGTTGGATTTTTAAAAATTAGACATTTATTTTACTTAGCATAATGTACACACTTTTGAAAAAATGGAAAGAAACTACTACTGTTTGACACAAGTCATAATTCGTTTTTATTTTACCTTTAACAAAAGAAATATTTATTGACTGCTTGCCATGTACTAGGTATAGTGCTAGGTACTTGAGATCCAGCGGTACAGATTAAAAGTTGATGGGAGTGAAGGAGTTATAACAAATAAAAACATAAGTAATTGTGTAACTTCAATCCCTAATGAGTGCTATAAAGGAGAAAAAAAGAGTAATGCAACAGAGAATAATTGATGATCTCTGTATTTTAAGAGGTTACAGATCACCTTACAGAAAAATTATCATTTTTATTGATATCAAAAGGTGAAGACAAATTATGCATGTGAAGAGGAGGAAGAATATGTATTGTAGGATGCAAAGGCCCTAAGTTTGAAATTGCTCAGACTTTCAAAATACAGAAAGAATATCAATGTGGCTAGAGTATAATGAACATGAAGGAAGGAGGTACAAAGAAAGCTTTGCATGACATACCAAGACTTTTGAATATTATTTTAAGTCCACATGAAGTTATTGAAGGGTTTTAAGCAAGATAATGATATGTCTGCTGCATTGAAAATATCTGTTACACAGTAAGGTGACTATAGCAAATAACAATGTTCTATATATTTCAAGAAGGTTGGAAGAAATTTTCAATGTTATCACCACAAAGATATCATAGATATTTAAAGTGATAAATATAATATTTACTCTAATTTTATTGTTATATAATGTATACAAACATTAAAATGTCACATTGTACCCCATAAGCATGTACAATCATTATGTGCCAACTATAAATAAAACTAAAACTGGTTGCTACATGGAGATTAGAATGGGATGTGAGAGTAGTGGAAATTGGCAAATAACTGTGGAGGTGAGGATCTCTTAATATTTCAAAGCAGAAGATTTAGGTGGATAGAGTTTACAGTGCATTTTGTAACAGAAATGATAGGATTGGATGATGCTTATGTAGAATGAAGTGAAGTTGAAGGTATCAAGGCGATGCCTGGTTTCTCTTTTGAGCCACTGATGTGCCTGGGGTGGAACAGATTAGAGAAGAGGTAAGTTTTTAAGAGAATGATAATGATTGTGGACATATAGTGTATTGTTTGAGAAGCCTGGGAGGAATCTTAGAGGAAATTCACATGGGTAATGTATGAGGAAATTGAGAAAGAAGACTAAGATTCATAGACGTGCTTTAGTACCATAGGTGTGAGTTGCCACAACACTTGAAGAAAATGAGATTGTCCAGGGTAAAATGTAAGGTGGACAAAAGAAGACTAAATTTATATTTAAAGGAAAAATCCTTTTGGAATTTCATAACCAATCTCTCTCTTTCAATATTTAATTCATTCCTTTAAACTTTGCATAAAGGAATATTTCATTTGCAAGAGTAGAATGATTTTATATGTGATTTTTTTTCCAATGGATATTTTAATCTGGCAAAATAATGAATTTTTCCGTTGAAATTTGATAGAACCTATCTATAAAACCACCAGGGTCTGAGAATTTATTTTTTAAAAGAAAATATTTTACTATAAGTATAATTGATTTAAAACTAAAACCAATGTTTATTTAATTTCTTTATTTCTTCTTCTACTGATTTTGAATAAGATATCATTCATTTCGGCCACATGTTTAAATGTATTATTAACAGTCATTCATAATTATTTTCCACTATTTTGTGTAATATTTTGCTTCTGTATTTATATTTACCGATTCTCTCATTAGCTATCATAATTCACTTGTGGATTTTTCTGAGCTTATCTATATAAAGACAAGACATACTACCTGACACTACTGACATTTCTCTTTCTCTGTTTCTTAACCTTAAATATTTTATTTTGTTTATTATCATATTTTTATAGTCCTGCCTCAGCCCTTCAGTACAGTCTAGTATAGAGGCAGAAATAGTAGTTATCATAGCTCATTTCTGAATTTAAAAGACAAGTTTCAAATTGTCACCTCCGAATATGATCTTTGCTGTTCATTTCGGTGATACCCTTTTTCATCTTAAGGAAGTGCCTTTTTATTGAAATCAGTAGTGTGCATGCTTATGTTTGCATCTCCAGAAATAACTGCATGTCAGCTATTCCAACTGAGGAAATATCTGAGGAACGATAAAAATAGGGCCTTTTGGTTGGAATTATTCATGCTTTGTTTGACTGGTGGCATTTGGATTCTTATTCCTTTTTAGGTAATAAAATTTATTTTTTCTTCTGAAGTTTATATTTTCTTTTATTGTTATGTGACTTTTTCTGTGATATATTTATGTGCAGATTGCTTTTAGTTATCCTTGTTGACAATTACTTAATGGGCCTTCTCAATCTGAAGACTCATGGCTTTCTTCATTCCTGGGTGATGGTCTGGGGCAGTAATGATTTTAGGCTTGGGCAAGAAGACACATTGTGCCCTACACTATAAAAATTTTCACTAAACATTTTCTCTAGCTGTGTTTTTACAACAAAAAGAAGGCTGCACTTGCCCACTTGGGGGCTACACTCCACCTCTAGATCACACTTCCAGATCACAAATTTAGATCACACTTCAGGGTTCCTGGGAACCTTACATTTCCATTTCAAATAGCCCCAGCATACTTTTGGGATATATGCAGCCCTCTTAACTCTTTCTTTCTTTTTTTTTTTTTTTTTTCACTGTGTGTCTCTTTTTAATTTCAACACTTGGAAAATACTATGAAATGATTCCCTTATTATTGGGGTAAATTCAGCCAGACATCGGGCAAAATTCACCTCCGATATTTCACCTAGGTTCTTTTCTATTTTCCCTAAGCCTCGACCGGTTTGAGAAATAAAGGGACAGAGTACAAAAGAGAGAAATTTTAAAGCTGGGCATCCGGGGGTGACATCACATGTCGGTAGGTTCCATGATGCCCCACAAGCCGCAAAACCAGTAAGTTTTTATTAGGGATTTTCGAAGGGGAGGGAGTGTACGAATAGGGTGTGGGTCACAGAGATCACATGCTTCACAAGGTAATAGAATATCACAAGGCAAATGGAGGCAGGGCGAGATCACAGGACCACAGGACTGGGGTGAAATTAAAATTGCTAATGAAGTTTCGGGCACCATTGTCATTGATAACATCTTATCAGGAGACAGGGTTTGAGAGCAACCGGTCTGACCAAAATTTATTAGGCGGGAATTTCCTTGTCCTAATAAGCCTGGGAGCGCTATGGGAGACTGGGGCTTATTTCATCCCTATAGTCTTGACCATAGAAGACAGCCACACCCAGGGGGGCCATTTCAGAGGCCCACCCTCAGGGGTGCATTCTCTTTCTCTGGGATGTTCTTTGCTGAGAAAAAGAATTCAGCAATATTTCTCCCATTTGCTTTTGAAAGAAGAGAAATATGGCTCTGTTCTACCCCGCTCACCTGCAGTCAGAGTTTAAGGTTATCTCTCTTATTCCCTGCACATTGCTGTTATCCTGTTCTTTTTTCAAGGAGCCCAGATTTCATATTGTTCAAACACACATGCTCTACAATTTGTGCAGTTAACGCAATTATCACAGGGTCCTGAGGCAACATACATCCTCTTCAGCTGACAGGATTAAGAGACTAAAGTAAAGACAGGCATAGGAAATCACAAGGGTATTGATTGGGGAAGTGATAAGTGTCCATGAAATCTTCACAATTTATGTTTAGAGACTGCAGTAAAAACAGGCATAAGAAATTATAAAAGTATTAATTTGGGTAACTAATAAATGTCCATGAAATCTTCACAATCCACATTCTTCTGTGATGGCTTCAGCCGGTCCCTCCGTTCAGGGTCCCTGACTTCCCGCAACACCTTATTTTTTATAATTTGATTTTATATTAGATTCAGGAGGTGCTTGTATGTGCAGGTTTGTTACATGGGCAGCTTGCATAATGGCAGAGTTTGGACTTCTAGTGTACCTATCACCCAAATAGAAAATATTGTACACAATAGATAATTTTTCAGACTTCAACCCCTCTCACCCTCCTCCCTTTTGGAGTTCCCAGTGCCTTTTATTTCCACATTCATTGTCCATGTGTTGCTGAGGCCAGCTAGGTCAGAGAGACCCTAACCCAGTGGCACTAGAGGAATTAAAGACACACACACAGAAATATAGAGGTGTGAAGTGGGAAATCAGGGGTCTCACAGCCGTCAGAGCTGAGAGCCCCGAACAGAGATTTACCCACGTATTTATTAACAGCAAGCCAGTCATTAGCATTGTTTCTACAGATATTCGATTAACTAAAAGTATCCCTTATGGGAGACAAAGAGTTGAGCCGAAATAAAGGGGTGGGTCTGGCTAGTTATCTGCAGCAGGAATATGCCCTTAAGGCACAGATTGCTCATGCTATTTTTGTGGTTTAAGAACACCTTTAAGCGGTTTTCCACCCTGGGCGGGCCAGGTGTTCCTTGCCCTCATTCCAGTAAACCCACAACCTTCCAGTGTGGGTGTTATGGCCATCATGAACATGTCACAATGCTGCAGAGATTTTGTTTATGGCCAGTTTTGGGGCTAGTTTATGGCCAGATTTTGGGGGGGCCTGTTCCCAACAATGTGTATCCATTGTTTAGCTCCCACTTATAAGTGAGAACATTAACTCTTATCTATCCTTCTAAGGGCTGACTGCTCCGTCAGTTTTCACTGTTAGGGTCAATGACAAAAGACATCTGCATGTTTTTCTTTCTTTCTTTGTTTTCCCGTGACAGTATTGGCTTATACTCTATTAGCTAGTTACTCATTGCACTCAGATCTTTAGTTTATAATTTCTGTTAGACTATCATCAGTTTCTTTGTTTTGTTTTGGGGTTTCATTATTTCAATATGTAATAGGAAGTTTTAGTGTGGCTTATCTCTTAACCTGCTTTCAAGAAAACTGAAAGAAGGCCAGTCTGTTGCTAGTAGAGTATGATGACCTAATCCCTTGGGTATAGATGAAGGCTACCCATTGCTCCTACACTTTACTAACTACTTAGGGCAACCCTTTTTCTCTATATCCATTTCACTCCAAGTATTCTCCAAAGGGAAGAGAGAGACCTAGGTCACAAATGACCTAGTGTACAGACGAAGTGTAAGTATCGGAGTGTTCATGTTTTGGCACACTAATAATCTTGTGTAACAATAGGCCTCTTTCATTTTTTATATTATTATGAATGCTCAACCTCAAATCAGTACTCTTTTGTGAAATATTGGTTTTTAGCATTAAGTAAATAAGGATTCTTTTGTTGGAATTTGAATTTCTTGAGCTGTGGTTTATTTATTTATTTTTTAATCCAGAAGACAGCAATAAAGCAACACAGCTGAGGATCCTGCATTATCTACATAAAAGAAAATCTACACAATGTTTATAAAAATAGATCTCAGTGAAGCATATCATTTGCAAATTCAATAAGCAAATACAATGGGGTTTGTTTTTCTACTTTGTTATATAAATTTCAGGATGATGTTCTACAAACTTCGAGAATCTAGTGGCATCTAATATGGAATGATTCTTCCAGGAAGACGTTTGTAATGCTCACTCAGGAAATATCAGTGAATACTTCAGAAAGCTTAATTTCTTTACAACAGAAGCTCGTATATAAAATTTAATTTTTAATAAAACCTTTTCTCAGTATGTTGGCCTTTTTGTCCCCTGCGATCCCAAAGACAATGGAATGCCCCCTGGGATCCCAAAGACAATGGAATGCAAATACTATGTAAGAACAATATTCTGCTATACAAGAGCACTTTAGTTTGATGACTACTTCAGTATGTTCAAAATGCATGATATGCCAGGATTTTTCTCTTTGAACATTTTCGTAACTACAGAGCTATTATTTGTAGTTTATTTAAACTTTAGTTGAGGATAGATTAAAGTAGCTTAACATTTATGATTTCTATTTCCATATTGTTTCTTCTTTAATCTTTATCTTGCATTTTTTTCTTTCAGAAACTTTTCACAACTTTGATCTACTGTAGCTTTTTTCCCAACACAATTGTGAATTGATTTAAAATTTTTAATGTTCTCTCTACAAGTTATGATGATTTGTGGCAGAAAGGAGAGTCTAAAGCATGTGCACAATCCTCCCAGCATCTTTTTAACTACGGAAATTTGTCAAAATGTTCAGTCTTCCTTGCAGATGCTAATTCTGTAGGTCTAAAAGGGGCTTCAAGTATCTGCTTTCGTTAAACTCCCCAGTGTATTTTTATGAGAAAGTACATCTGGGAAACATGGCTATAATGAACAAAAATCCAATTCAAATAAATAAAGTTAGGTTTCATTCCAAACTCTGTTACTTAAAGCCAGTCGCTCACCATCGTTGAAACATAGTGACATCTTCTTTAGAAGATTATATCTACTACTCAGCTGAGAGCAATAAAATTGGTAATGTCTATGAAGCAAAGAAAAAATGCCTACAGTAAAGTTACGTAAGTTATTTTCATTTTTGGTGCTTCCCAGATAAAGAGAAGTAATCCACTTGGGGAACCTCACTGAAGCATTACATTATATGATCATTAGCTCTCAGGTCTTGTATAGTAGAACCAGTCTCTTCCATTATCATTCATACAAACGTAATTGTCTATAGTTATATTAATTTTCTCTGATTTTTATGTAGTGCCTTCTAGGTAATACACTGCATTGGTTTGGAATCTCTCTACTTCTGATATGTGATGGACATTGTATTGGTGACCCATGGACACATTGATTATGCAACCTCAGGCTACGCTCACCCTGATTATACTTGCATTGGAAAGGTATCTCCAAAAGCCAAATCTGAAACAGAAAACAACAAAAACAAAGAGGGACTGAGGTAGACATGCCTCTGATTCTAGCCTAACTTCTTTTTTTTGTTTGTTTGTTTTAAACCTGTTACCTTATATCTCTATTTTATTTTAATGGTAAGTCAAAAAAAAACTGTAGGTTCAAAAATAGAATTTTAGATGAGTTCCAATTTTATCTGATACTTTTTTTCATAACCCATATAGTTATAATAAGATGTACCTCCAGTAATTTTGGCTTTGTTAAACTCTCCAAAGCTTATTATAAATTTCAAGTTTTTATAAATAAGTTTTCAACATTTCCTACAGCTAGGGTAATCTGGTTACTATAGGAAAGATTGAGAACTTAAATACACACCCACAACTCCACACACATATGCCTACACAGCAAAAACATTGGCAAAGACAATTGTGAATACCTCAATAATTTGATTATATAAATAAGGTTCATATCTATAACCATATTATAGCTTTAATCCTCAGGCATTTAAACTAAAAAAAGGTATTAACCATCATACCATTCTTCATTCATATATTTATATATCAATTCTAATTTGGTTAATTAGGAACTCTTTAGATAATGAATGGATAATCCTAATTCAATCTTTCATGAAACAAACATTTTAATTCCATTGAAAGATTCACTAAAGATACTGATGTTCCGCCGGGCTCGGTGGCTCACGCCTGTAATCGCAGCACTTTGGGAGGCCGAGGTGGGCAGATCATGAGGTTAGGAGATCAAGACCATCCTGGCTAACACGGTGAAACCTCGTCTTTACTAAAAATACAAAAAATGGGCAGATCATGAGGTTAGGAGATCGAGACCATCCTGGCTAACACGGTGAAACCTCGTCTTTACTAAAAATACAAAAAATTAGCCAGGCGTGGTGGCGGGAGACTGTAGTCTCAGCTACTCCGGAGGCTGAGGCAGGAGAATGGCGTGAACCAGAAGGCAGAGCTTGCAGTGAGCAGAGATCGCGCCACCGCACTCCAGCCTGGGAGACAGAGCGGGACTCCGTCTCAAAAAAAAAAAAAAAAAAAAAAGATATTAATGTTCATTTGCAACAACTCACAAATATGAACTTGAAGAAATAATGTATTTTATGTTGTTTTCTTTTTTAATTTAAATCAATAGCTAATCATAAAATCAAACATTGATTAATAAGGTCTCTATAATAAGTGTTATCAAAAAATCAAAGTTTGAATTAAGTATTTAGAATGCTCAAATTGAAAGTTAATGAAGATTAACTTTCTTCTAATGTTCTTAATTCTAATTTTCAATCTATTTGAAGATTATCCTTCCTCAGAAAGAAGATGAATAAATAGGAAAATTAAGCTGCCATTTTAAACAATAAAGTCATAAAAAACTAAAACCAAAAGATAATCCTAAAAATAAATTACTATTCAACTATTAAAGAGAGTGAAATAGTTTATACTCTGTGTAAAATGAAATAAAATAAACTAAATTGCTATGTTGGTGATATAATAAAATTTGCTCAGATACTTTATTTTTATGATGAATTAAATTATACACACTCTTCTCAGCATAAGTCAGCACAATCTATGGGTATAATTATGCTAACAATGAGTATACATAATTTTATAATGTAATTTCAGGAAGTCATTTTTGGAGTCAAAATTTCAAATTAGTTTATGTAATATGAAAAGATAAATTACATACAGATGAAAAATTTTGTATGTATTTATACATTCCTATGTATTAAAGATACAGCTGTTTATTTAACAAGTACATATTAGTGTTTATTCTCTAAAGATATGTGTTAGTGCCTATATTGTGAATGGTAATAAAAACAGAATATTAATATATTATCTGATACATCTATAAAATATCAATTAGAATCTGTTTATCATTCTGTATAGGAAAATCATCTGGATAAAAATATCAGTTCAACACAGCAAAATCTAAAGGTCCAAATTAAAACACACTATAATTTAGTAGAAACTTCACTTTAGTAGACACAGATTTAAAATTTCTATTGGAGCAAAATAAAACTATTTTGCAAGACATTTCCCACCATCTCCATCTCAGTTATTTATCTCCCTTTTCAAACTTCTGTACATATATGAAAATGTGAGCTTCATCCCTAGAGAACCTACTGTGAAACAAGTTTCTGGTTTTCTTTCAGGCATTCTTATATTCAATTGTGTTGGCTAGAGGAAGATGTGAAGAAAGGGTATTTCACTCAGTCATTTTTTAACCATCATTGTCTCTTATTTTCTGAATATCTGTATAAACTTAATTTCTCTAAACTAGCTGTGGACATCCTGTTTTCAATGGAAGAGCTCGCTTCCTTCTTTACACAGAATGATAAAAACATCATTGATGCACTCAGACAACTTGTGTCTTCTACTTAAAACAAAAATAACAATTTCATTCCTCCCTTTTCTCATTCAGGCCTCAGGGTTACATATTTCTAATCTACTCTCGAGGACTTCCACTTCACTTTTACCTTCTAAGTAATCTGTATTCATTAATTCTCCTAGTTAACATTTTCTCTTGTAATTACTCCTTAATCTACAAATATTTCCAAATCTCTTTATGAATAAAAAAGAAGAAAACACTCCCTTTGATTCTTTGCTTTATCTCAGGAAAACTTCTTAGAAAGAATGATGTGGTGCATTTTCTGACACCAACCAATTCTCTAACTCAAGCTGGGTTTCTAACAATTCAGTTTAATTCTGACAACAACTACCCAGAGCTAGAACAGAACCCACACGTTAAGGACTGAGTCCAACAAGACTGCTCCTACTTGAGACACAAGTCACAAGTCTCAGGCCATCTGTAATTCTAATCAACTGGTTATAAATCAGGAGTTTACATAACCCTTTCCTCGATTTCATAATTTGCTAGAATGACTCATAGAACCCAGAAAAGCATTTTACTTACACTTAGCAGTCATTATATAGGATGTAAATGAACAGCCAGATGAAGAGGTACATAGGGTGAAGTCTGGATAGCAAGTAATCTAAAGTCTCTGTTCCTCAATTTCCTCATCTTACAATGGTGATAGTACAGAACTTGCTTCATAGAGCTATTATGAAGATCACATAATTTAATAAATGCACAATGCTTGCAAGGAAAACAGCTAATTATGGATTAGCCATTTTTATTGGTGGTGCTATTAGGCAATACAATGAGGAAATTCAGAGCTCAAGGTTGCAGTCCAAGAAGTTTCAATTACAGTTCCATCACCTACTCATTTCGTGATCTGCCATATATTTACTTGTAACTGAGCCTCAGTTTTCTGATATATAAAAAAGAATTTTAACAACCTACAACTCATCGAGTTTTATGATAATCTAATAAATTCATCTATAAAAAAGTACTCAGTAATTACAACTATATAATTATTATAGTCATCCAAGATCATAGGTGTAAAATGGGGTTATTTTAATTCACCTTTCTGTGATTACTGGTAAAGTCGAGAATCTTTGCATAAAAATATTGACAGGTTTACTCAGAAGACAAGGAAAATAAACACACCTGAGGATCCCATATTACCTCCATAAGAGAAAATCTACACAATACTTATAAAAATAGATCACAATGAAGCATATAATTTACAGATTACATGAGCAAATACAATGGGGGTTTGTTTCTCTACCTTGTTCTACAAACTTTAATATAATGTCCTACGAACTTCAAGGGCTGGTCTAAGGACGTTTTAGCAGTTCTCCCAGAAATACCTTATTTGACAACATTGCATTCAGAAATAAACATGGATCAGGCTGAACAAGCTGAAGAGACTGCAGGTTATGTTTGAAGGCAGTGTTCACATCTGAATAACCTGATGTGATGTGTTCATATTGTGTACTTTAGAGATATTTGTGACCCAGTGAGGTGCCTTTGTCATATATCAAGATGAGGCTATTTGGAGGATCAGTAGAATCAGTAAACTTTATTTGTGTTACTCAAGGGACTCTGTGAAGGTTTTGACCTCAATCCATTTCCACCACTGACATAAGTCAATAGAGGGTTCTCTATCTATTCATGGCCTTTGCACATGTTTCTGTGGGATTACTTCTCTCTATATTTCTATATTTTGAACAAGAATTCTTTGTTACATGCATATTCTTCCAGCCCAAGGCTTGTCTTTACTTTGTTTGTCCTTTACCTTAAAAAATGTTTTGACTTCAATGCAGTAAAATTAACCAGTGCTTTTGCTGATTGATGTCTTGTAATTTTAGCATTTTGCTTTACTTTTCCTTTAGTACACCGATGATATAAAGATTTTCCTTCCATTATTCTAAATAAATTGAAGCTTCATTTTCATAGTATATATTGGATATATATATATACTGAATATATGGAGTCATATTATATATTCAGTTCATATATTGTTATCAATATATCAGGTTTTTAAAATTAAACGGCAGTGCTTGGGATGTGTAAGTCCTACGTAAGTATTCCCTGTTGTACCAGATGCTGTCAGGGTTCTGTCTGTGTGCCCCCAGCCTTTCTGTGTGCACTCGTCAAATTCCCAAAGCCTCTATATGCATTTTTTGTCTATGAAAAATTTTACCGGATTTGTTGGGAGGCCAGTGTATCGTACATGGCAGGCCAGAAGTACCAGGGAAATCTTACCAGGTGAGATATCAATACCCCCAGGAAAAGTTTTCCACAATATTACTCCAGAGAGAAGGTTTCTGACCCTTCAAACCTGTATTTTCACAGTCAACATTTATTAGAATTTCTGGTTTCTCTGTCCCAGTAGTGACCTTTTGGCCTGGGCCTATTGTGTAGATTCTCAGCTTCTTGTCTAGCAGCCAGTATAGTTAAATGTTCTGAGTTCACTAGAAGAAGTAGAATATCTCATCACCGTTCTACTGTTTCCCATCTCTACAATTTTCCCTCTCAACTCTTGCTTGATTCAGCAGCTGTCCCATGCCTTCAACCATATGATTTTAAATTTTATGTAGATTTTCTAGCTATCTGCAACAATTACATTACTCTACCGTAATATACATTACCATAGCCGGAAGCAGAGGTCTCAGATTCTTTTTTAAGTTCTGGGGTACATGTGCAGGATGTGCAGGTTTGTTACATAAGTAAACGTGTGCCACGGTGGTTTGCTGCACCTATCAACCGATCACCTAAGTATCCAACCTAGCAAGCCTTAGCTATGTTTTCTAATGCTCTTTCTTCCTCCCACCCCACCTCCTGATAGGCCCCAGTTTGTGTTGTTCCCCTCGCTGCGTCCATGTGTTCTCATTGTTCAGCTCCCACTTGTAAGTAAGAACATGCAGTGTTAGGTTTTCTGTTCCTATCTTAGTTGGCTGGGGATAATGGCTTCCAGCTCCATCCATGTCCCTGCAAAGGACATGCTCTCCTTCTCTTTTATGCCTGCATAGTATTCCATGGTGTATATGTACCACATTTTCTTTATCCAGTCTATCATTGATGGGCATTTGAGTTGATTCCATGCCTTTGCTATTGTGAATAGTGCTGCAGTGAACATATATGTGCATATATCTTTGTAATACAATGACTTATATTTCTTTGGGTATATACTCAATAATGGGATTGCTGGGTCAAATGGTATTTCTAGTTCTAAATCTTTGAGAAACCACAACAACCATCTTCCACAATCGTTGAACTAATTTACATTCCCACCAATGGTGTAAAAGTGTTTCTGTGTCTCCGCAACCTCACCAGCATCTGTTGGTTTTGACTTTTTAGTAATTGCCATTCTGACTGGAGTGAGATGGTATTGCATTGTGATTTTCATTTGCATTTCTCTAATGATCAGTGATGGTGAGAGTTTATTCATACGTTTGTTGGCCACATAAATGCCTTCTTTTTATAAATGTCTGGTCATGTCCTTTGCCCACTTTTTGATGGGGTTGTCTGTATTTTTTCCTGTAAATGTTTAAGTTCCTCGTAGATTCTCGATTTTAGACCTTTGTCAGATGGATAGATTGCAAAAATTTTATCCGACTCTGTAGGTCGCCTTTTTACTCTGATGATAGTGTTTTTGCTGTGCAGAAGTTCCTTAGTTTAATTAGATCCCATTTGTCAATTTTTGCTTTTGTTACAATTGCTTTTGGCAATTTTGTCATGAAGTCTTTGCCTGTGCCTATGTCCTGGATGGTATTGCCAGATTTTCTTCTAGGGTGTTTATTGTTCTGGGTTTTACACTTAAGTCTCTAATCCATCCTGAGTTAATTTTGCTTAAAGTGTGAGGAAGGTGTCCAGTTTCAATTTTCTGCCTAGGGCTAGCCAGTTCTCCCAGTACCGCTTATTAAATAGAGAACCCTTTCCCCATTACTTGTTTTTCTCAGGTTTGTTAAAGACCAGATGGTTATCTATGTGTGGTTTTATTTATGAGTTTTCTATTCTGTTCCATTGGTGTATATGTTTATTTTTCTCCCAGTAACATGCTCTTTTGGTTATTGTAGCCTTGTACTATAAAGTCCAGTGCTGTGATGCCCCCAGCTTTGTTCTTTTTGCTTAGAATTATCTTGGCTATATGACCTCTTTTTTGATTCCATAAGAATGTTATTTTATTTATTTTATTTTATTTTTTAATTATACTTTAAGTTCGAGGGTACTTGTGCACAACGTGCAGGTTTGTTACATATGTATACATGTGCCATGTTGGTGTGCTGCACCCATTAACTCATCATTTACATTAGGTATATCTCCTAATGCTTTCCCTCCCCCCTTCCCCAACCCCACAACAGGCCCCGGTGTGTGATGTTCCCCTTCCTGTGTCCAGGTGTTCTCATTGTTCAATTCCCACCTATGAGTGAGAACATGCAGTGTTTGGTTTCTTGTCCTTGCAGTAGTTTGCTGAGAATGATGGTTTCTAGCTTCATGTATGTCCCTGCAAAGGACATGAACTCATCATTTTTTATGGCTGCATAGTATTCCATGGTGTATATGTGCCACATTTTCTTAATCCAGTCTATCACTGATGGACATTTGGGTTGGTTCCAAGTCTTTGCTATTGTGAATAGTGCTGCAATAAACATATGTGTGCATGTGTCTTTATAGCATCATGATTTATAATCCTTTGGGTATATACCCAGTAATGGGATAGCTGGGTCAAGTGGTATTTCTAGTTCTAGATCCTTGAGGAATCACCACACTGTCTTCCACAATGGTTGAACTAGTTTACAGTCCCACCTACAGTGTAAAAGTGTTCCTATTTCGCCACATCCTCTCCAACACCTGTTGTTTCCTGACCTTTTAATGATCGCCATTCTAACTGGTGTGAGATGGTATCTCTTTGTGGCTTTGATTTGTATTTCTCTGATGGCCAGTGATGATGAGCATTTTTTCATGTGTCTGTTGGCTGCATAAATGTCTTCTTTTGAGAAGTGTCTGTTCATATCCTTTGCCCACTTGTTGATGGGGTTGTTTGTTGTTTTTCTTGTAAATTTGTTGGAGTTCTTTGTAGATTCTGGATATTAGCCCTTTGTCAGATGAGTAGATTGCAAAAATTTTCTCCCATTCTGTAGGTTGCCTGTTCATTCTGATGGTAGTTTCTTTTGCTGTGCAGAAGCTCCTTAGTTTAATTAGATCCCATTTGTCAATTTTGGCTTTTGTTGCCATTGCTTTTGGTGTTTTAGACATGAAGTCCTTGCCCATGCCTATGTCCTGAATGGTATTGCCTAGGTTTTCTTCTAGGGTTTTTATGGTTTTAGGTCTAACATGTAAGTCTTTAATCCATCTTGAATTAATTTTTGTATAAGGTGTAAGGAAGGGATCCAGTTTCAGCTTTCTACATATGGCTAGCCAGTTTTCCCAGCACCATTCAGCCATCTTGGAACAACCCCCCCCCACCCCCGCCGATTTCATATGAATTTTAAAATAGTTTCTTCTAATTCTGTCAAGAATGTCAATGGTAGTTTAATGGGAATAGCATTGAATCTATAAATTACTTTGGGAAGTATTGCCATTCTCACAATATTGATTTTTCCTATTCATGAGCATGGAATGGTTTTTCATTTGCTTGTTTCCTCTGCAATTTCCTTGAGCAGTGGTTTGTGGTTCTCCACGAAGAGGTCCTTCACTTCCCTTGTTAGCTATATTCCTAGGTATTTTATTCTCTTTGTAGCAGTTGTGAATGGCAGATCATTCATGATTTGGCTCTCTGTTTGCCTGTTGTTGGTTTATAGGAATGCTTGTAAATTTTGCATATTGATTTTGTATACTGAGACTTTGCTGAAGTTGCTTATCAGCTTAAGAAACTTTTGGAACTGAGACGATGAGATTTTCTAGATATAGGATCATGTCATCTGCAAACAAAGATGACTTGACTTCCTCTCTTCCTATTTGAATACCTTTATTTCTTTCTCTTGCCTGATTGCCCTAGCCAGAACTTGCAATACTATGTTGGATAAGAGTGGTGAGATAGGGCATTCTTGTCTTGTACTGGTTTTCAAGGGGAATGCTTCCAGCTATTGCCCATTCAGTATAATATTGGCTGTGGGTATGTTGAATTTTATCAAAGGCCTTTTCTGTTTCTATCAATACAATCATGTGGTTGCTGTCTTTAGATCTCTTTATGTGATGAATTACATTTATTGATTTATGTATGCTAAACCAGCCTTGCATCCTGGGGAGGAAGCCAACTTCATCGTGGTGAATAAGCTTTTTGATGTGCTGCTGTATTTGGTTTGCCAGTATTTTTTTTGAGAATTTTGCATCAATATTCACCAGGGATATTGGCCTGAAGTTTCCTTTTTCTTGTATCTCTGCCAGGTTTCGATATCAGGATGATCATGGCCTCATAGAATGAGTTAGGGAGGAGTCTCGCCTTTTCAGTTGTTTGGGGTAGTTTCAGAAGAAAGGGTATCAGCTCCTCTTTGTATTGCTGGTAGAATTCAGCTGTAAATCAATCTGGTCCTGGGCTTTTTTTGGTTGATAGGCTATTTATTACTGCCTGAATTTCAGAGCCTTTTATTGTCTATTCAGCAATTCAACTTCTTCCTGGTTCAGTCTTGGGAGGGTGTATATGTCTAGGAATTTATCCATTTCTTCTAGACTTTCTAGTTTATTTGCATAGAGGTGTTTATAGTATTCTCTTATGGTTCTTTGTACTTCTGTGGGGTAAGTGGTGATATCCCCCTTAACATTTTTGTTGTCTATTTGATTCTTCTCTCTTTAATTCTTTATTAGCCTAGCTAGTGGTCTATTTTATTAAACTTTTTTTTTTTTTTTTTTTTTTAAACAGCTCCTGGCTTCATTGATTTTTTGAAGGATTTTTTGTGTCTCTATCTCCTTCAGTTTTGCTCTGATTTTGGCTATTTCTTGTCTTCCGCTAGGTTTGGGGTTTGTTTGCCCTTGGTTCTCTAGTTCTTTTAGTTGTGATGTTAGGGTGTTGATTTGAGATCTTTCTAGCTTTCTAATGTGGGCATTTAGTGGTATAAATTTCCCTCTTAACACTGCTTTAGCTTTATCTCAGAGATTCTGGTATGTTGTCTCTTTGTGTGGTTTTGAGTGAGTTTCTTAATCTTGAGTTCTGATTTGATTGCACTGTGATATGAGAGACTTTTGTGATTTCAGTTCTTTTGCATTTGCTAAGGAGTGATTTACTTCCAATTATGTGATCAATTTTCAAGTAGGTACCATGTGGCACTAAGAAGAATGTATATTCTGTTGTTTTGGGGCAGAGAGTTCTTTAGGTATCTATCAGGTCCACTTTACCCAGAGCTGAGTTCAAGTCCTGAATATCTTTGTTAATTTTCTGTCTCGATGATCTGTCTAATATTGACAGTGGAATGTTAAAGTCTGTCATTATTATTGTGTGGGAGTCTAAGTCTCTTTGTAGGTCTCTAAGAACTTGTTTTACAAATATGGGTGCATATATGTTTAGGATAGTTAGCTCTTTTGATGAATTGACCCCTTTACCATTATGTAATGTGTGTCTTTGTCTTTTTTGATCTTTGTGTGTTAAAGTCTGTTTTGTCAGAAACTAGGATTGCAACCCATGCTTTTTTCTGTTTTTCATTTGCTTGATATTCAAAATAAAATTTTCCTCCATCCCTTTGAGTCTATGTGTGTTCCTGCATGTGAGACAGATCTTTGAATACAACACACCAATGGATCTTGACTCTTTATCCAGCTTGCTATTCTGTGTCTTTTAATTGGGCCACTTACCCCATTTACATTTAAGGTCAATATTGTTATGTATGAATTTGATTCTGTCATCATGATGATAGCTGGCTATTTTGCAGTATTTTTAGTTTAGTTTCTTCATAGTGTCACTGGTCTGTGTGCTTCAGTGTGTTTCGTAGTGGCTGGTAACAGTTTTTCCTTTCCATTTAGTCCTTCCTTCAGGAGCTCTTGCAAGGCACATCTGGTAGTGATGAATTCTCTCAGCATTTCCTTGTCTGAATTAGATTTTGTTTCTCCTTCACTTATGAAGCTTAGTTTGACCAGATATGAAATTCTAGGTTGGAAATTATTTTCTTTAAGAATGTTGAATGTTGACCACCAATCTTTTCTGTCTTGGAAGGTTTCCACTGAGACGTCTGCTGTTAGTCTGATGACCTTCCCTTTATAGATGTCCTGGCCTTTCTCTCTGGCTGCCCTTAACATTTTTTATTCATTTTGACCTTGGAGAATCTGATGATGAATTGTCTTGAGGTTGATCTTCTCATGCAGTATCTTACTGGGGTTCTCTGGATTTCCTGAATTTGAATGTCAAGCTGTCTTGCTAAGTTCTCCAGGATAATATCAAAGTGGAAGAAAGAATTTCAGAACATGGAGACTATCTTGATGAAATGAGGCAGTCAGATAAGATTAGAGAAAAAAGAATAAACTTAGGAAGACAGTTCCACATTCAAATTCAGGAAATCTAGAGAACCCCAGTAAGATACTCCATGAGAAAATCAACCTCAAGACAAATTATCATCAGATATCTTGAAGTGTGTTTTCCAACTTGATTCCATTCTCTCCATCTCTTTCTTGCACTCTTATTAGTTGTAGGCTCAGTCTTTTAACATAATCCCACAGTTTTCAGAGGTTTTGCTCATTTTTATTCTTTTTTCTCTAATCTTATATGACTGCCTCATTTCATCAAGATAGCCTCCATGTTCTAATATTCTTTCTTCCACTTGGTCTGTTCCACTATTGAAACTTGTTCTTGCATTGTAAAGTTCTTGTGTTGTGTTTTTCAGCTCCATCAGGTCATTTATGTTCCTCTTTAAAGTGGTTGTTTTGGTTAACAGCTCCTGTAATGTTTTATCATGTTTCTTAGCTTATTTTCAATGAGTTAGAACATACCCCTTTAGCTCAGCTAAGGTCGTTATTACCTATCTTTTGAAACCCAATTCAGTCAATTCCTTCATCTCCGCCTCAGCCCCGTTCTGTGCCCTTGTTGGAGACATGTTGCGATCATTTGGAAGAGAAGAGGCACTCTGGCTTTTTGAGTTTTCAGCATTTTTGTATTGATTCCTTCTCATCCTCATGGGTTTATCATCCTTTGATCTTTGAGGCTGCTGACCTTTGGATGGAGCTTTGGTGGAAACTTTTTCATTGATGTTGTCACTGCTTTCTCTTTGTTTTTCTTTTAGCAGGTAGGCCTCTCTTCTGAATGGCTGCTGCAGTTTGCTGGGGTTCCACTACAGACCCTATTCACCTGGGTCTCTCCTGCCCCTGGAAATATCACCAGTGGAGGCTGTAGACCAGCAAAGATGGCAGCCTGCTCTTTCCTCTGGGAGCTTTGTCCCAGAGGGGCACTGGCCTGATGCCCCCCGGAACGTTCCTGTATGAGGTGTCTGGAGAATTTTAAAATACATTTTTAAACCAATGAATGTAGTGTTTGTCATGCATATAGATAAATTATGTATATATGTATAATATACATGTATACATATGTGTGTATACATATACACATAAAGAAAGAGAGAGAGGAATGAGAGATAGAATCTATTTTATCTGTATTTGTCAATTAAAAAATAAAATAGAGAGAATAAAAGGATACAACTTTAATATGGTCATTCAATTACACTCCAAATACTCTGTGAAATTGAGTCAGCAGCAGAACTAAATAAACTAGAATAAACTAGGATTGTACATATGCTGAAACCCACTTAATAATGCCATAATCTACAGGAATTGGTCACAACTGTATAATCACTATTAATTTTGATAGTGCTTCATATCTCCAAACATATTTGGAAAGTTACAGTAAAATCTGGACCTGAGTTTCCTGTGCAAATGCCATTCTTCAGGTGTATTCATGTAAAAAATTTCTGAGAACCGTCTGTTGTTGTTATTGTTGTTTGTTTATTTGTTTTCATTCTTGGATTTACCTGACTCTATTCTTGGCCCACTTGTGCATTTTCATACCTGCTAGTCACCATGGTACATATTATGCACTCTCATGCTTGTAATCACTTTCAATGTGTTACTGATTTACTGATTTTCAAACTGACAGTTATTTCCATTAGAATGTGCTCCAATTATGTCAAATTCATTGTTAGTCCAGTCTTCCATCACTATGAATAAATACCCAAGGTTGGGTGATTTATAAAGAAAAGAGTTTTAATTGGGTCGTGGGTCTGCACATTGTGTGAGCATGGCCATGGCAGTAAGCTTACAATCATGGCAGAAGGCAAAGGGAGAGCAGGTTATGTCGCATAGTGAGAAAGGAAGCAAGGGAGTGGGAGACCTGCCGAACTCTTTTAAACAATGATATCTCCTGTGAACTCAGAGCAAGAACTCCCCAAGGACAGTACCAAGCCATTCATGAGGAATCCACACCCCATGAACAAACCATCTCCCACCAGGCCCCACCTTTAACATTGGGGATTACATTTCTACATGAGACTTACTGGGGGAGAAGCATCCAAATAAAATCATTCTGCCTCTAGCCACCCCCCACCCCCTAAAACTCATGTCATTCTCATATTGCAAAATACAATAATCTCATCTCCATTGTCCCCTAAATTTTCAAATTTGTTTCAGCATCCAATTACAAATCCAAAGTCCAAAGTCTCATCTGAGACTCAAGGCCAAGTTCCTTCCACCAATGAACCTGTAAAATCAAAACAAAGTAATTTACTTTAAAGATTCAATGGTGGTACAGGAATTGGGTAAACATTCTCATTCCAAAAGAGATAACCAGCCAAAGGAAATTGATAACATACCCCATGCAAGCTGGAAAACCAGTAGGGCAGACATTAAACCTTAAAGCTCCAAAATAATCTCCTTTGACTCCATGTCCCACATCCTAGGCACACTGCTGCAAGGTGCAGACTCCTAAGGCCTTGGGCAGGTCTACCCCTGTGGCTTTGCATGCTGCAGCCCTAATGGCTGTTCTCATGGGTTGGATTTGAGTGCTGTGGCTTTCTCAGGTTGAGAGTACAACCTGCTGGTGGCTTTACAATTCTGGGGGCTGAGTGGTGGCAGCTGTCATCCCACAGCTTCACTAGGCAGCTCCCTGAAGGGGACTCTGAGTGGCGGCTCCAACCCCACTTTTCCCCTCTTCATTGAACCTGTAGAGGTTCTCTGTGTGGGTTTCACCCCTATGACAGGCTTCTGCCTGGGCACTGAGGCTTTTTCTTACTTCTGAAATCTAAAGGGCATTGTTTCATAAGGAAATTATTATGAGGCTACGGCGCTAAAAAAATAGTTAAATATTATTTTCCAAAAGAATACTACTCAGTTCTAGACTAAAATATGCATGGGAAAGATGCAGGTCTATGATAAACAAACCAAAACAATAGTAAAATAAAAAACTAGGCATTGAAGTGATTTCCTGATTCAATAGTCCCCCATTACCCATGATTTTACTTTCCATGGTTTCAGTTACCTGCAGTCAGCTGTGGCCCCAAAATGTTAAGGGAAGCTGCAAAGCTTTTTTCATGCTTGAATTTTGTGCACCTGCAGACTTAACACCATGTGGAGGCCACCAAGGCTTGAGGCTTATGCCCTCTGGAGTGGCAGCCCACACTATACCTGGGACCCTTTTAGCTGTGGCTGTTTCAGGGGTAGCCTAGATTCAGGGAGCAGGTTCCTGAGGCTGAACAGAGTAATGGGGCTCCATGCTTGGCACCTGAAGCCATTATTTTCTCCTAGGCCTCTGAGACTATTGTGGGAGGAGCTGTCTAGAAGATCTCTGAAATACCTTCAAGACCTTTTTCACACTTTTTTGGATATGAACACTTGGCTCCTTTTTATTCACACAAATCTCATTAGCAAATGTTTGCAAAACAACCCACTTGTATTTCTCACCTGAAAATGCTTTTACTTTCTCTGCCACATGGCTAGGGTGCAAATTTCCCAAACTTTGATTCTATGCTTTCCTTTTACATATGAGTTCCAATTTTACATCATTTATTTGCTCCCATATCTGATCTAAGGCTGTTAGAAGCAGTCAGGATACATCCTGAATGCTTTGCTGCTAGAAATTTCTTCTGCCAGGCACCATGTTATAATTCATAGGTTCAAACTTCTTTAGATGTCTAGGACATGAACAAAGTGCAGCCAGGTTATTTGCTAGTGTAACACAGGTGACCTGTATTGTAGTTCCCAATAACATCTTCATTTCCATCTGAAACCTCATCAGCCTGAACTTCAATGTTCATATCTCTATCAGCATTTTGGTCACAACATTTTAACTAGTCTCTAAGAAGTTCCAAATTTTTCGTCATCTTCTTATGTTTTTCTGAGCACTACAAACTATCCCAACCTCTGTCCATTACCCTATTCCAAAGCTGCTTCTACATCTTAAGGGTCTTTATGGCAACACCCCACTCTTGGTACCAGTTTTCTGTGTTAGTTCATTTTTGCATCATTATTAATAAATATCTGAGGCTGGGTATTTTATATGTTAAAAAAAGGTTTAATTTGCAGGCTGTACAAACATGGAACCAATACCTGCTGGGCCTCTGGTGAAGGCCTCAGGAAGCTTAGAACCATAGTGAAATGGGAAGCCAGAGAAGACACATCACATGGTAAGAACAGGAGCAAAAGAGAGATGGGAGGAAGGCGCAAAACTCTTTTAAACAACCAGATCTTGTGTGAATTCAGCAAGAACTCCTCATTATCACAAGGACAGCACAAAACCATTCATTAGCAATGAATCCCCATGACTCAAACACCTCCCATTAGGCCCCACCTCCAACATTGGAGATTACATTTTAACATGAGATTTGGAGGTAACAAATTTGCAAACTATATCACTCATCAAGATCAGGTTGAACAATTCATCTCTGCACTAAATCTTCTCTCCCTTTACAGAGGTTTCTCATCTTTATCAGTCACTCAAAGTCACTATTAACATAGACTGTGTTTGATTTCATACATGTAAAAGTCATATCAAAATACTTTATATTTTTTATGTAACCAAATCTTTATAAAAAACATACTTGCTGGACTCTATTTTAGGGATGTACTCAGTGTACTAGTCCCTTCTCACACTGCTAAAAAGAACTACCTGAGACTGGGTAATTTATGCAGAAAAGAGGTTTAATTGACCCACAACCCACAGGCTTTACAGGAATCATGCCTGGGAGGCCTCAGGAAACTGACAATCATGACAGAAGGTGAAGCGGAAGCAAGCATGTCTTACCATGGTGGAACAGGAGAGAGAGAGAGCAAATGGGAAAGTGCCACACACTTTTAAATAAGCATATCTCATGAGAACTCACTCAGTATAACCAGAAAAGCAAGGGGGATGTCTGCCCCCATGATTCAGTCACCTCCCACCAGGCCCCTCCTCTGATACTTGGGGATTACAATTCGAGATGAAATTGCCTGGGCATACAGAGCTAAAACATATCATTTAGTTTAGCGTATAGCAACCCCAGATGCTGATCAATGTCATGGTTTAAACTAAACAGAGACAGATTACCTTTTTTGACCATATTATTGAATCTCCTGATGGATTTTCTTGTTACTGTTGGATATGACAAAGACTAACATGAAGAATATTCTGTTAGAAAGTTATTCTTCTTTCAGAGACTCTCTCGCTTATAGTCTCAGCAAACATTTGCACACAAGTACATATTCAATTATAATGTAAATATGCACTAGGGTGCAGTAGGAATATAGATATACTGCATTTATTATAATAACTGCTCTGTGTTTAGTGCTGTGTACAATATGATCTCCAAATCTTTTACAAGAAATAGTTCTCTTCAATCTTCTCTGGTGGGAAAATTTACATAGTGATGTAAAAGTGAAATAAATAGAGGAGCAATACAAAAATAAATGGAAAATATGTTTCATATAGTTATTTCCCATTATGTAGATTAAATTAAAATAATTGGGAAAACTCTTATTTTGTATATGATACAGTAAAATTACTGTCTTTCCTTGATTTTTAAAAACCTCTTGTCTATTGTGTTTTATCTCTATACATACATGTGTAAGAATTTGCCCACTCTTCTCTCACATTATTAACAGGGCCAGCATTTATCTTTAAAATATATACCTACTTTCTGTCTTAAATTTTGAATTCACTCAACATTCATTCAGAAAATACATAATAAATACCTACTATGTATTAAGTGCCATACTAAAGTTGGGCACATTAAAAAAAACAGTGTCCCTGCTCTGAAGGAGCTCACAATTTGAAGATATACATTAAGAAAACTCTATTAATTGGTGATACATGCCTTAAAAATAATATGTGGCCATTAGAGATTGTTCAAGAGACCTTTAACAGAGGATTTGATTTTTAATTCATTCTGAAAGATGAGTGCTGTGGCAGACAGAAGACACAGAATGTGCATAAGCACTATGCTATGAAAAATATATTTTTAGAGCATGTTGCAGTTTAAGAGAGAAGCCATTGGTGAAACTGCTGTAAGTACATAAACTAAAAATTTAACTGTTCACGTGATTGAAGTGTGATTTTTCATTTGTACATTTAAAGTTTTAGATTAATTGTAACATTAATTTTAAGAACAACATTGTTTCAAAATAAAGCATATTTGTATGTGGTAATACAAAGTAGAGAAAAGTAGCTCAGCCAATTATTAGAAAAATCACAAGTTTCAAAGCAAACTATTAGTAACAGTCTCTTGAAAATTGATTTTAAACTGTGATAATGCTTATAAAACCTATCTCAAAGGGGAACTGGAATCACACGGCCATTCTCTGACTATTCCCTCCCCATTACCCTTCCTGGCGTCTACTAACCACTATTCTACTTTCCATTTCTATGAAATCAACTTTTTAGCTTTCACATGTGAGTGAGAAAATACAGTATTAGTCTTTCTGCACTTGGCTTATTTCAGTTAACAAAATCTCCTCCAATTTTCATCCATGTCACACAAATGAGAGGATTTTTAAAATTATTATTTTGTAGCTGAATAGTACTTCATTTTGTAGAAATACCACATTTTCTTTATCCATTCATCTATTGATGAACACTTAGGTTGATTCCATATTTTGACGGTTGTGACTAATGATCCAATATAAGTGGGAATGCAGATCTCTCTTAGAAATGGTGATTTTCTTTCTTTTGGGCATCAGGCCCCATAGTGGGATTGCTGGATCTTATGGTAGTTCTATCTGTAGTTTCTTAAGGAACTTCCGTACTGTTTTCCATAATGGCTGTACTAATTTATATTCCCATTAACAGTGTATAACAGTTAATTTTTCTCCGCATCCTCATAAGCATTGGTTATCTTTTGTGGGCCATAACCTTTTGAAAATATCAGATTCTAGACTCACAAAGTTACTTTACTTGCTTGTATATTTACTTAAAAGTCATACAGGAATGGTAGAATAAACAATTTGAAATGTGGAGTATCGAAAAGGAAAATTATTTTGTATATGTGTTCATCAATGTAATTTCTTCAATGTTACCTCAAATAATGTTTCATTTGTTATGTGAGATGGCTCAGATTTAGCCACACTCACTGTACGAGAGGTAAAGAGTCACAAATGATTGAATATAACTCTAATTCTGACTCTGTATAATTAATAGCCATTCATCACATAAATTATATTCTTTGGAAACATTCATTTACGGTATGAGAATTGGAGCTTCCCTTCTGTTCACTTAATATTTAATGTTTTTATCCTCCCATCTCATTTTCAGTATTGACCTTCATTTGTCCATTTTATTTCAGAATAGCAAGGATGGCCCTCTTCTGTCATCTTAGCTTTTATCAGCCACTGTCATATTTTTCACTGTTAGAGATTTATGCTGCACCTTGCAGTGATTGATTATATTTAAAATGAGAACAGCTGACAACATGATAGCTGTTTACAAATTTCCTCATTTATAACAGGAAAATTTTATAAAGAGGAAAGTATCATTATATCTTTTTCATGATATTTAGTGTCCCTACCATTTGCATGACACCTTTGACTTTTACTAAGTTTTAAGCTTTATTATAATGCATTTATCTCAGACCTAATTAGCACATACGCCTTTCCCTCTCTGAATGTCCTTGGGCCATGTCTTACAGTCATAATTTCTATAATTAATTTAATCCGTTCATTTTTCATGTCACCAACAACATGATACTGACTATAAAAAACTTTGTTAGTCAGAAATGGCTTGGGTTCTGACCCATGATCATGCTCAGATTTCATGGACCTTTAAAGTGAACGACTTGAAACCTACCCATGATATTTTTATCTTCGTGCAACATGTGTCACATTTGAAATAATACTCTATAACAATGACCTCCTTGCTGATTTAAAGGACCATTAGTCTAACAGATGTAATTACTAATTTTTATAATTAAGTTAATATGTTAAAGCTGTGAATGATGCACTGCCTTCTAAAGCTAATTAATAATAATATGATTTCTATTATGGTAATATCTCTCTAAGATGTATAAACAGGACACTGTATTTTTGGTCTATATTAGTAACCATTTATCACATTATTAGAACACAGTATTAATGTGCACACTTATTGTTTTATTTTCTCTGGACTCCTAATGAAACATGCATTTACATTACTAATATTTTTGCTATTATTAATATTTGCCTTTTCTACATTTTATGCAAACATTCTGAATATTTTCCACCTGAAGTTAGGCAAGTGAGGTGATTTTAGGGAAACACTGCCAAAAACTAGGATATCTCAGATTCATGGCTGCTCTGTTGCAAACATGCTTTATGGCCCTAAGCAACTTACTTCAATTCTCTGAAACCAGATAAAATTAAATGAAAAAATATATATCTTGGGAAAAGTAACCCATCAAGATATAGTAATGTACATGGAGGTTTTGGTAATTTACAAAATTTACTTTCCTTCCAAAAGGGTAAAAGGAAATACCAAGGAGTGTAAAGATGCCTGAATGTCACACTTGAGGCTAGAGAATATACAGATTGTGATTAGCTTTAAGGGAAGGACCATTATCTTACTATGCTTACGTTTATAGTTCTTATCACAGTTTCTGCCTGCATTAGTTCCTCTTCAGGAGTTTGCTGATCACTTTGTGATTTTGCTTTGTGAGTCACAGTCGTAAATGCCAAACTCCTAGATAGCATAGAATGCAATCGTTTATAAGCTATGTATATTTCCAACTACACTTAAGAATTCCAAACTTTTTTTGCAATTTACATTAAAAACTCATGCATAACTTCTCTGATGAAAAGTGTCAGAAAAGTCTTTCCATGTAGCAGTTCTAAAATAACAGGAATTGTAAAAGATATACAAATGAAGATTTTTGATATTTTGAATTCATATCTTTATTGATCTTCAGAGTTAAATAGATTATTTTTTGAATAGTGTTTGACAATGTATTTTAAACAAATCTGCAAACCTATACAAAATGTTAGATTCAGGTACTAAATAAATATCATCAGAGTGGCATAAGAAAAAATAATTTGCCTTGTCATATCTGATATTAAGTGTTCTTTTCAAGAGTGATCCAATGATACTCTGATCAACACTTAATTTTTCTCTAGTATAAATTCAGTGTAAAGGTAAACTAGCCAAACTTATCTTTTTAAAATCAGAGTAATTATATCCTGAAGCCACAATAATATTTACTCAGCTCAGTAGTGTGTGCCTCTGATGTAAACAGAATATTCTTGATTTGCCAGTAATAATCTCTTGGTTATACTGAAGTAATTGTTTTTGCTTCTAAACCAAAATGACCAATTCTAGTAAATGAGATGCTGGGTGTAATGTAGTATAGGAAGTTGGTGCAGGACATGGAAAATTTAAAAGGCCTAGTTTAGCACACCATTTAACATGTCTCAGCAGGGTAAAACCAAAATTTTGTTTCTTGCAAAGAACTGATGGATGTCAAAATGATGTTTTCTTGAAGAGTAAACTTTGGTCCAAGGACAAAGAAAAAAGTTCCATTAATTTTTGTTCAGTAAAAATGTTTTTTCTCTCTCTCTCTAAAAGCTTTATTTTTCCGACAAAAAGAATATTACAAGAAAAGGGGTGTGTGTGTGTGTGTGTGCGTGCGTGTGTGTGTATATGCTGTGTGTAACGTGGACACTATCTTTCCTTTGTGAATATTTATGTTAAGTGAATAAAATACTTTGCCCAGTTAAAAAGAAAGATAAACTTTAGCATATGCTTATAAGCATACAGAAATTTAAACATCTAATATATAAAATAGAACATGTAGTCATGTACACATTTTGTGTACCATACATAATTGAATATGTTCAGAAACAATACAATTGTATTGTTGATGCAGAAATCACTTAAGGTCTAATATACTTCATTCAACAAAACCTTTGGCAACTCTGTGTCATGTACTACCACAGGTACTTGAGATATAGTGTGATACAACCTTCAAAGATTCCTGTTAGCAATAATGAATTTAAGTGATATAAGAGCAAGTGTTAATTTCTATAGTTACAGCAGATAGTGTAATGTTGTAGCAAAATATGTATCTTACAGGCTTCTGACAAATATTACTAAATTACTTCAAAGAAGATATTTTCCCCCAATTTGCCAAAGTGTGCCATATGTACTAATGATATCCTTGTCTATACTGAGTTTTTCATTATGTGAATTAATGAGCCCACAGCTATGAAACTCATTATTTTATGTGTCCAGTTCTGCCTTTAGATTGCCTTGGACCATGTAAATTTTAGCATCTTATAATCTGATCGCCTTCCTTGAGATATTTGTAACTGCTTGTCTTCTGCCTGGGGCTGGCTGGGGTTCACAGTGTTATCCATGGTGGACATCCCATCCAGACAAATATCCGGGTGGGCCCTGATACCCAGTTCTCCTCTTCAGGTAATTCTTTGACTATTTTCTCCAAATGTGGAATCAAAGAGACGTCTTGAGGAGCTCTGGATGTCACTCCTATGGATTATTCTAGACACTTGGCTGGCTCCAGTTCCAGGAAAATGGGCTGGTAAGCAGATCACTCTACTGGCTGTCATGGTACTTTTTTCACAGGATCGAAAAAGATTGAGCCACCAAGATGGTACTGTCATGCTGATTTGGGTCAACTCATTTATATAGAAAAGAGTTCAGAAAAAATTAATTTCCCAGGATCCCAGGCCTTGTATGAACTGATTAGCTTTTCATTATTTTTAAATAAGAAATATAATATTCACATTTTTTTAACTTTCTTATAAATTAGTTTAACTAATACCCCCCCTTCCATACTCTTCTTTATTTTTAACTTCTTTTGTTATAGTTTATACTGAATTCTCAGGAGGTAGAGGAAATAAATATATGTGCTCATTCTTCACCTTAAATAAGAAATTACTCCTTTATCTTACCAATAAATTTTAAAGTTTGCTCAAGTAATTTTCGAGAAAGTTTCTAGTATTTTCAACAAGAAAAATTATTTGAGTGCACATTGTCACACCTAAAATACATAAAATTCACAACTTTACTGTGTCATTTTAGTAACCTTAGCTGTGTTCTCAGAATAGGTTATAACTCATTGGAATGAAGCACAATTTCCAGCATCTAGGTTACCATGGGAGTCAGAACCTAAAATACTTTAGGCTGTATTTAGAAAGAATGAAACTGGGATGCTGGAGAAAATATATGTGACATATAATATACTGCCTCTACTCCTTATAGAGTCAACAGCAATGAATATAAAACCATTTATGAATAATAAGCAATAAATAATATAATAGTGAAGAATAAAAAAGAAAAAAACCAGAAAGAGACGTAATTCTTGCAGGTATGTATTTAATACATTCTAGCTAGTTGGAGGATGTAGTTGATGCTTTCTCAAAATACTTTTAGGTGATCCCTGGGCAGGGGGCAATTTAGGATGTTCAGCCTTTTAAATACCCCAAATTATTATTGTATTAATGAAAGAAATTTGTGTGTGATGTATGTGGATATTTCTGTGTGTGTGTGTGTCTGTGTAAACAGATGTTATTTAATTGCTATGGCACTTAAGTTTCCTTTAACAACTTGAAGAAGCAATGCAAACTACTAAAATTGACTCAACCTGATACTCAGTAGAGGAGGGACGGTGATATGGTTTGACTCTGTGTTGCTACCAAATCTCATCTCAAATTGTAATCCCCATAATTGTCATATACCAAGGGAGTGACCAGATGGGAGGTGATTAGAACATGGGGGCAGTTTCCCCCATGCTGTTCTCATGACAGTGAGTTCTCACGAGTTCTGATGGCTTTATAAGGCAGTTTCCCCTTCTCTTGCACACGCTGTCTCACCTGATGCCATGTAAAATGTGCCTCTTCTCCTTCTGCCATGATTGTAAGTTTCCTGAGGCCTCCCCAGCCATGCAGAGCTGTGAGTCAAGTAAACTTCTTTTCTTTATAAATTACCGCGTCTTGGTAGTATCTTTATAGCAGTGTGAGAACAGACTAATACAGATAAGAAGTTACTGAAAACTTGGACAATGATGACCGCAACATGGTAGTATCTATTATAGTTGATGAAAAGGAACAAAATATAGTTTAGGAAAACAAAATTAAACTGTTAAGTCAAGATAGGATTATTTCAACTGCAGGTATTTTGAAAAGAGGAATACTGAAGAGTGATAGAAGGGGACTACAAATAAAATGTGGACAATAAAAGCACAAATGGCACTGAGAGGGGTGACATTTATTTCGACAACTGTCTTTAGAAGGCTTAATTGTGCCAAATACTGTGCTAAGACTTACAACACCACTGTCATCAAGACAGATTAGGCCCTGCCCCAAAGAAGCCCACTTTCTAATAGAATAAGTTGCTGGGACTATGTAAGCTCTCACTTGGCCAAAAATATCAGTGCTCTAGAGTTTCATATGAAAATATGCATCCTGAACTTCCATTCATCCTGTTCAGATACCTTTTTCCCAGGAACATTACAGTATTGTTAAAATAACAATATTGTAAGAATTAAGCCCACATATTATTGACCACTCAGTCTTAGTTATTTGCTGATTCCATATTTATAGAATTCACCTACTGGCTAAAATCTACTTGTAACCCCAAAGTCAATGCTTATGACACTTCTGAAGTCATTCACAGATGTGTGCCTTTACACAACGGTGAGAAATTTGAGTCATCCCAGAACCATATTTTCAGTTTTAGCCCAACAAAGTGATGCACTACCTTCTTGCTTCAGCTATCATACTGCAAACAAGTGTTTTGTTTTGTTTTGTTTTGTTTTTCATGGTCTTGGACCAAAGCATAGTGCTGAAATGCTGCCTAGTGTTCCTAAGCACAGGAAAGCTGTTATGTTCCTTAGAGAGAAAATACAGGTGGGTTAGATAAGTTTCCTGCCAGTATGAGTTACAGTGCTGCTGGCTGTAAGTTGAGTGTTAATGAATCAACAATATGTATTAAATAAGTTATCTTTAAGCAGAAACACTCATAAAATAATATATTGGTCAGTTGATTAATTGGCAAAAATATAACCCAGTATTTTACCTAAAGGCAATGATTAGGTATTTGCTAATTAATGCTCCCTGTAACTTTATAAAAAACAACTACAGCAAACAATGGAGGTTGACATTATATTGAGTGTCCTTATAGTTCATGCATCTATAACCAATAATACAATAATTGTGTTTGATGTTAACTTACAAACCCTATTTTTTGAAATGCTGGTAAAATTAGTAATTATTGTTCCCATCAACAAACCCTCAGTCCCCTAGCTTAGTCAGGACTATATGATCTTGCTTGGAGTCTTATTCTTTTCGTGTGACAATTTATTAATAATTTTTATGTGCAGATTCTGTTCTATTTTCCTTATTGCCCAAATCCCATCCCACTATGGCTGTTTCCTAATGTTGAAAGTAATTTACTTACTACAGAGATCTTTGGATTTCCTTTTCTTTAGACAGTGGCCCTTTGTTCATTTATTAAAGTAATGACTTTCTGCCTGAAGTACATAGACTTTATCAATGGTATTTCTATTACTGTCACCATTTCTCTTCTTAATTGCCCTGGCAAAGAAATCCATGCAGACAATGAACTCAGAATGAGCAGCGTACTTTATACGCAAACTCACCCAAGATGCTTTATAAAAACATCTATGAATGCCCACTATTTCTCAGATAAAATAAACTTTAAAGATCATTTTAATTTTAGGCAGAAAGAAAGATAATAAAAGATCATACAGGCTGCTATCTTGATAACCTCGTGTCATTAATATTCAAAACCTCTTTACTGTAAAATGGTTTTTTGTCTCTTTCTATAAAATAGCCCTTGGAGATTCCATAAAACAAAGCACAGGTGTGTAAGAAAATCCAGAAAAGCCTAAAATACAGAATAAACTATGGATTGTGTAAAATATTAGGCAACCAATAAAGATCAGTGGATGAATGGATAAAGAAGATATGGTGTACGTATACAAACTCAAGGGAATATTATTCAGCCTTAAAAAATAAGTAGATGCTGCTATTCTCTTTTCCTCTTTTTTTCCATAATACTTTTAGTCATATTCCAAATAAATATATTACTTATAAATTTGTTTAGTGTTCATTATCACCTAGCAACTGTCGACTTCATGAGTTCAGGGATAGTGTCTGTTTTTATCATAGAATGACTGGCTCCTATTAAACTCTTAATAAACCACTTCCACCTCTCTAAGGTCAGATAAATTGCAATGTAAAACACTTTACGTATGATATGATATGTAAATTCCAGCTAGAAAAATATTTTGTGAGGAACACCCAAGTTTGGTACATCAAATATTTTAATGGTTTTCATATTTATTGATAGAGTTGAAGACAAAGGCATTTCTTTCTTATTTGATCTTTAATATTGGTGGTAGTAGACAAATATATTTTAAGAATAGTTTTATGAATCTTTGAAGCTCATTTAAAGTGTGCTTAAAAATTGTTTTCTATATCCTTATATTTTGTAATTCGCTTCAGAACACACATTCTGTGATTACCACTTTAACTAAAAATCAGAATAAAACCATGAGGTTTTTTCAAATAATTACTAAAATAAGAATTATTAACATGAAAATTTTTAATGAATTACTGCACATATCTAAAAGTATATAGATTATAAATAAATGAATTTTCACAAAACAAATGCATTTATATAAGTGACGTTCAGATCAAGAAATGAACATTATCTTCACCAAAGGAGCTTCTCTTAAACCCCTTACAAGTCACTATCCCCCAAAAGTAAATTCTACATTGACTTCTAACACTAGATATATGTCTGTTATAAATTTTTCATACTTTACATAGATGATATTGTACTTTCCTGTTTCTGAATTTTTTTCCTGAACATTATCATGGTGAGATATATCCATGATTTTGCATGTGGCAACAGGAAATTGAGCATTCTTATTGTGATAGAGTATTTCATTTAATGAATACTACAAGTTATCTGTTGAACACTACTATCTATGAATACTAAAAGTTATTTGTTGCATGATGTTTGGGTTACATCCAGTTTTTGACTAACATTATGGTGCTCCCATGTGTAGACTTGTGCATATCTTGGGTGAGTATATGTGCACTATTCTGTTGAGTATATCAAGGAGGAATTTCTAGCTCATAAGGTACACACATAGTTAGATTTAGTAGATATTGCCAAATTAGTTCCCAAAGTGTTTTCACCAATTTGCATTCACTAGTAGTATATAATAGTTACACTTGCCACATAATCCTTGTTTTTTAGTCTGTCTAATGAGATTACTGTAGTATACATGGCAATTTTAATTTGTGTTCTTCTAAAGACTAATCAGCATTTTTTTATGTGCAGTTGTCATATGGGATAATTTTTATCTTCAAAACTGTCCATTTACTTTTTTTACTTATTTTCTATTTGTCTCCCTTTTTTCAAAAAATTAAATTAATATACATATATGAGAGATATATAATATATCATATACATAATCTTTCACTCTATATTTGGATGTTTTCTTTCTTAAAACTGTATTTTGAAAGAGAGAATCTACACTGTAATGTAGCCAGATTATGATTTTTTTCCTTGGGGATTTTCCTCCTTACTCTCTCAAGCTTCTAGGAGTAAACAGATTGCTTGTCTTGCATAGAAAAGCAAGGTAAATATCCTCTCTACAAGAAGCTAAGCCCCTAATGTGCTTGGTTGTGACACTAGATATCTGATCTCATGGGGCAAAGTTCTTGGGCAGCTGATGTTAGGCCTGAGTCTGGATTGTGATCTCTGAGGAAACCAAGAAACTGAGATAACCTTAAATTAACTGACAGAGAAACGTAAGAAGATGGCAGTGTTTGAAATTCAAAATTAACTTGGAAATGGGAACTAAAGATGAACTTTTTCCCCCATATTCAAATACATCTTTATGGAAATACTTTTTAAAACCATGCTCTATAACACTATCAAATTCATAGGCTCTAACGAAGTTAACCTTGTCTTTACTACAGATCCCTTCATATTGGTTTTCATTATGCTTCATCTGAAGGAGAAATAGTTGAATGTTCTAAGATTTACTTGTGTTTCAAAACTGACTAACTAATTATAGGCTCATAAATATTTTTGAGGTAGGTGGAAATTAATTACTCTCCCATAAACGGCTCAACAGATTATGATAAAACAAGTCCCAAAACAAATTTTCTGCCACACATGCAACATTTATTAATCATATGTTTATTGGCAAGCAAGCAGAAAAAAATTCAAATAATTTGTTCATCCAGCTTGAGTAAACCTTTCAAGTATCCTGACCACATCTTAAAGGGTTCATATAAGGCAAACCCTCAGCCTTCCAAAGCCAGGCCCCACTTAAAAGGAACAGAGTGGCAAGTTGGATTAAGCAAAAACACACCCAACTGTTTGCTGTCTTCAGGTCCATCTCATATGTAAAGACACTCATAGGTTTAAAGTAAGGAGTTGAAGAAAGATCTACCATGCAAATAGAAAATGAAAAAAAGAGTAGAGGTAAAACAGACTTCAAACCAAAAACAGTTAAAACGGGCAAAGAAGGGCGTTACATAATGACAAATGATTCAAGTCAACAGGAAAACTAAACGATTCTACATATATATGCAACACAAATTGAAGCACCCAGATTCATAAAACAAGTACTTTTAGACCTATGAAAAGACTTGGACAACCACACAATAACAGTGGGTGATTTCAACATGCCACTGACAGTGCTAAACAGATCTTTAAGACAGAAAATTAACAAATAAATACTGAACTTAAATTGAGGTCTTGATTAATTGGACCTAATAGATGTCTATAGAATACTCTACCCATCAAATGCAGAATATACAGTCTTCTAATTGGCATGTGGGACATACTCCAAGATTGATAACATGCTTTGTGATAGAGCAAGTCTCAATAAATTCAAAAATATAAAAATAAAAATTATACCAACCATACTGTTGGACCACATGGAATAAAAATAGAAATTAATTATAAGAAAATCTCTCAAAGCCACACAGTTCCATGAAAATTAAACAGCTTGCTCATAAATAACTTTCAGATAAACAAGGAAACTAGGGCAGACATTTAAAAAAATTCTTGAAAAAAAAATTAAAACAGAGACACAACATGCCAAAGTTTCTGGGATGCAGCAAAAGCAGCTTTATAGGGCCAAATGCCTACATCAAGCAATTAGAAAGATCTCAAATACCTAGAGGAACTAGAAAAATATGAACAAACTAACCCCAAAACTAGCAGAAGAAAAGAAATAACTAAAATCAGAGCAGAATCAAACAAAATTAAGACCCAGAAATCCATAAAAAGGATCAACAAATGAAAAAGTTGGTTTTTTGAAAGGACTAACAAGATTGACAGACTGCTAGCTAGATAAACCCAAAAGAGAAAGGGAGAAAAGCCAAATAAGCACAATCAGAAATAACAAGGGTGACATTACAACTAATCCCACAGAAATATAAAAGGCCCTTAGAGACTACTATAAACACCTCTATGCATACAAACTAAAAAATCCAGAGGATGTGGACAAAATCCTGAAACACACAACCTCCAACCTCCAAAGACTGAAACAGGAAGAAATTAAAACCACGAACAGACAGAGTTTTGAAATTCAATTAGTCATAAAACAAAATGTACTAACCAAAATAAGGCCCTGGGCCAGATGGATTCACAGATGAATTTTACCAAACATACAAAAAAGAGCTAGTACTAGTTTTACTAAAATTGTTCCAAAAAATACAGGAAGCAGAACTCTTTCAAAATTATTTCTACAATGTCAGCATCACTTTGATACCAAAATTTGGCAAAGACACAATTAAACTGCAGCCCAATATTCTTGATGAACATAGATGCAAAAATGTTCAACAAAATACTGGCAGAATGAATCCAGCAGCACATCAAAAAGTTAATTCACCACAATCAAATAGGCTTCATTCCTGATATGCAAGGTTCAACATACACAAACACAAGGTTCAACACACAATATACACAACATACATAAATCACCAAATATTATTTACCACATTCACAGAATTAAAAACAGAAACCAGGCCGGGCGCGGTGGCTCACGCCTGTAATCCCAGCACTTTGGGAGGCTGAGGCGGGCGGATCACGAGGTCAGGAGATCGAGACCATCCCGGCTAAAATGGTGAAACCCCGTCTCTACTAAAAATACAAAAAATTAGCCGGGCGTAGTGGCGGGCGCCTGTAGTCCCAGCTACTTGGGAGGCTGAGGCAGGAGAATGGCGTGAACCCGGGAGGCGGAGCTTGCAGTGAGCCGAGATCCCGCCACTGCACTCCAGCCTGGGCGACAGAGCGAGACTCCGTCTCAAAAAAAAACAAACAAACAAACAAAAAAAACAGAAACCATATGATCATCTCAATAGACATGAATAAAAAGCTTTTGATAAATAAAATTCAAAATTCCTTCATGATAAAAACCTTCAAAAAACTCGGCATCTAAGGAACACACCTCAGAATAATAATAGCCAACTATAACAAACTCCCAGCCAACGTCATACTGAACAGGCAATAACTGGAAGCATCCCCTTTGAGAGCTGGAAGAAGATGAAAATGGCCACTCTCATTACTCCTATTCAACATAGTACTGGAAGTCCCAACCAAAACAATCAGGCAAGAGAAAGAAGTAAAAGGCACCCAAACAGGAAAATAAGTCAACTATCTCTCTTCACTGACAATATGATTCTATGCTTAGAAAACTTTAAAAGATTCCATCAAAAGTCTCTTGGAACTGATAATGATAAAGTTTCAGGATACAAAACCTATGTACAAAAATCAGTAGCATTTCTATACACCAATAATGTTCAAGGTGAGAGCCAAATCAGGAATGCAATCTTATTTACAATAGCCTCAAGAAATAAAATACCTGGCCGGGCGTGGTGGCTCACACCTGTAATCCCAGCACTTTGAGAGGCCGAGGCGGGTGGATCACGAGGTCAGGAGATCCAGACCATCCTGGTTAACACGGTGAAACCCCATCTCTACTAAAAATACAAAAAAATTAGCCGAGCATGGTGGTGGGGGCCTGTGGTCCCAGCTACTCAGGAGGCTGAGGCAGGAGAATGGCATGAACCTGGGAGGCGGAGCTTGCAGTGAGCCGACATTGAGCCACTGTACTCCAGCCTAGGCAACAGAGCAAGACTCCATCTCAAAAAAAAAAAAATTAATAAATAAAATAAAATAAAATACCCAAGAATACGTCTAACCAGGAAGGTGAATGACCTCCACAAGGATAGTTACAAAACACTGCTGAAATAAATTATAAATGGCACAAACAAATGGAGAAACATTCCAGGTCATGGATTTGGAAGAATCAAATCAATATTGTTAAAATGGCCACACTGCCCAAGGAAATGTACAAATCCAACATTGTTCCCGTCAAACTATCATCATCATTTTTCATAAAATTAGAAAAAAAATAACTATTCTAAAATTAATATGGGTGATGGGATTAATTGGGCCCCAATATATGCATCACACAATACACTCATGTAACAAACCTGCACATGTATCCACTTAAACTAAAATAAAAGTTGAAAAGAGTCATAGGAATGTCAGATACTTTTTGCTTAATATGGAGGGATAGGGAAAAGTGTGAAGATTAACAAATTAACTAACATATTCAAAACTACACATTACCAAACTGAGACTCTTTGTTGCCTCTAAAAGATTTATTTATATCTAAAATAACATAATGAAACAAGGAAAACAAGACCTTTCTGAGACAGTACATTTATACTGAGGTAGTAGAAGAACTCTCTCATTTAATTAACATTAAAACAACAATAAGAGACAAACCTAAAGTTCTGATTTCGTTATGTTCCACACTAAGTATACCCCTAAAAATGAAAGGAATGTCTGGGTCCCAAATTTGATTTTTCTGCAAGTATTTTCTTTCCTGTCAATGATACTTCACAGCCACTCCCACCTGCATTGTCATTTTAAGTTTCCTAATGTTAAGAGGAGGCTGAGAAATATAATTGAATTTTAGAATCTATAGACTCATTCATCTCCAGCATCTTAAAGGCTCCAGGCAAAGTGTTTGGATATCCCACACTGAATTTTCCTGATCGGTTTACATTCAAGCCCTCAGCAACAAGAGATGCCCATTGGCCATCTTTTAGACTTTAGGAGTATGACTGGTACTGGATCAATAATCCACTCTTATTAGCAAGGACCTGCTCTAGAGACACTTGTAGGCTTTGGATGAAGACTCAGTGCTGTTTGAACAGTGAGGCTTGGCTTTCTAGCCGAGGCAGTGGTTTAGAGGGGGAGTATGGCCTCAGGGTGGCCACATACTCTTAACCACAGGAACTCCACTTTCTATCCAGACAAAATTCCTTAAGGTTTATGAAAGGGCCTTTCTTGCCTTAGACTAAATACTGCACCTGTGTTGTGCTGATTCAATTTGCCAGGTATACAAGTAACAGCAATTTAAAAATTTGCAACAGCCATTTAGAAAACATTAAAGCATAAGCTTCTATAGGCACTACAAGTAATAGGAATGCTTGTATATTAAGCTGATGACTTTTATTTTTCAGAACTCTCCCAATATTGCTTAATTTTATTCAGATACTCTCATTTTCTTCGTATTACTTCAAATATAATTTTAAATGCACTTTAAAACACTTCCTTCTTAAAAAGTCTTATATGATGTTGGACTAAATATAATAAAATAGGCACACTTTGGATTAGAAAAAAAATTACTGCTTTATATTTATTCTATGAAAACATTGATGTGTTTTCTATGTGATTAAATAGACATTTTTTGCCATTTAAGATGGAATTGTTCATGAGCCCAGGCTAAAATTTCTAGGCAAAAACCAACAGCAACAACAGTAATAATAATAACTGAAAAAAGAAAAAAAACAAAGAAAACATTTAACCATGAAGGGATAACTGATGAAATTATGTGGCACTGGAACTTAAAAGAGTGAAAAGAAATTTCTCTTTATAACCTTTTAATCATTAGATGCAACTGAAATAAAACATAAATGAGAAATTGTGATTTTTTTCCATATTGAGTGAAAATTGATAGTGATTTTTATGAAATCTCATATATGTGAAAGAATATCTATATTTACATATTAAGTGCTGCTGCAAGAATTATATTAACTAGAATGCCTCCATGCCTATATTACATATGAGGAAAATGAGCTAATTGATGTCCTTTGTTGAAAAGTTTTAAATATACTCTGTTACATCTTGTTACATAATGTATCATTTATATTATTAAGACAGTTGATTTAGTATAGATTTAGCTATTAATTCAAAGCTTACAAAAGTCTACAGTTAAGAAGTGTGTTGTGCAGTGCAAATAGTTATCATTGCTCAAATCCAATAGCTGACCTCAAATTGAGTTTGTAAGATGAGGGCATAGACTGACAGGAGCTAGCATATCAACATACTGAATTCTAGAGGCAAGTTTATTTTTCCTTTGAGAAAAGTAGTTCTTATGGTTTGCCCTTCCAGAAAAGATGGGACTTACTATGTTGACCTTTTCCTGACTTTATGGGTCTTATGGGGGAAATCTATAAGTAACTCTTTGGAACTCATTCTCAATATACGGCGGCAAATATATGTTAAGTACTGTTATAAAATTAATGTTAACAATATAGGACATTTTCAATACAATTATAACCTTTCACATATTTTGATATCTATTAATGTTGCATCAGTATCATCATATTAAAATTGACTCAATTTATATTTAATTTTAATTTTTCATTTTCAAATACAGTGTGAAAATGAATGGATTTTTGCAACAGCCTTGTAAAGAAGACCAAAATATTAGGATATAGTTATTAAACTGAATTTCTATACAATGCTTTATATAAAATGGAGTAGGAGAGATAATAAAGGGATAACATGTAACTGTCTAATAAATTTATTTTCAAGTGAGCATTCGTTTCCTATTCTAATATAAATCTGAGCTTATTAAACATTTTTCCACGAAAGTTAATTTTAATTACCAAGTAAGCAATATTTTTTTGGAAGAAGAAAATTCTAAAATTTTGGTGACAAAAATCTTATCCCAGATAAGAGATGTTAGCAAAAATATTTTTAAAAACATATAAACATTTTCTATGTTTAAGGGGAATTAATCACCCTAACTTTATGCTAAGAATCTTAACACTTGAGAAGCTTACAGATGCTAATCACTGCCTTTCTTGAGGGTGTTACGTATGTGTTGTATTTTTATTTTTATTCACGTCTTTAGAGAGTGAAAGAGGAGCAAGACAGAATAATAACTTAAGGGTGTCTTTTAGCACTTAACTTAGCTGCACATATATGGAAAAGAAAAGGTACATGATAGGTACAAGACATATTGTGCTTTCAATTTCAATGCCATTTAATAGCCAGAAGAACATTTACAAAATCAAATCATATAAAATATTAAAAGAATTTTGATGCTAATGAGGGTGGAAAAAGCTGTTGAGGTTAGAGTAAGTACAGTTACATGCTGTAAGTGTGTTATAAAAATGGGGAGGAACTGTGAAGTTTAAAACACGTCTACAACTGTAGTTTAATCTCCATATAATCTAAGCAATTATTTAAAAAAAATTTTCAATCTACGCACTTTCAATTGAAGTCACTCATGTGACCAAAACCCTCCAATGGCTTTCTGTCTCATTCAGAGTAAATCCAAAGTCCTTCCCTGTGCTTTCATCTGCCCTGTGCCATCCTCCTCCACCCCCTTTCATGCATGTCTTTGAACACACCACATCGTCTCACAAGGACTTTGTCCCAACTCTTTTCTCTACTTGTAAGTTTGGGTTGTTGGCCAGATAAACCCAGGGCTCAATCCCTTATTTCAGTTAGTACTCAGTCAGGAACACAGAAACCTCTCTGTATAATTCAAGCAGGGCGAGATTTCAGTGCAAGCATGTGGTCACAGAAGAAATGAAAAGACTAAAGCAGCAAACCAAAAAGTAGGGTACTATTGAAAGATTTAAACCTTTACCATCTGTGATAGGCAGAACAATGTCCCTGAATCCCCAAAGATGTCCACGTGCTCATTCCTGGAACCTGTAAATATGTTGTATGACTATGGCAAGGGGAATTACTATTATATATGTAATTTAAAATGCTAATCAGGTGACCTCAAAATAAGGAGATTGTTCTGAATCATTAGAATGTTATTGTTAGAATGTAATTATTAGGTCATTAGGTCGAATGTTATTATCACAATGTAATCATCACAGTTTTTATGAGTGGAAGAAGGAGTCAGAAGAATCAAAGTCTACAGACCTAAAGATGCTGCTCTGCTGATTTAGAAGAAGACAGCAGGTGTCAAGAAATGGAGCAGCATCTGAAAACTGGAAAAGTCAAGGAACCAATTCTGCCCTAAAGGCTCCAGAAGGAACACAGCAGTACTGACACCTAGCTTTCAGCCTAGTGAGAACCATTTTTAACCTCTGACCTCCAGAAATGTAAGGCAATAAATTTGCATTGATTTAAGGACAAAATTTCTGCTAAATCAGCCTATGAGCCGACATGTCCTTCTGACCTGGTGATTGGCTTAACTATATACATATAACAATAGGTCCTATAATTTTTTAATTTATGGTAGTTTTGATTATTATAAGTCACTTCACATTCATCAGGATTTTGCATTTACTTTTAAAGTTTTAACTTCCACTAATGTTTTTGAATTTTAATGTATTCTCTTATCCCTGAATGCTCTACTAAGTATCGAACTTGTATGTCAAAACTTATTTTATATAGTTTATACATTATATAAAATAAGTTTATCTTACATAAACTTATTTTTATGTAAGTTTATGTAGTTTATGTAAGATAAACTTATTTTATATAATGTTAGATAGACATTTTATTGGACAGTCACAGATAATATAATTTTATTAATATCATTATGTTAAATACAAGAGCTATTATGTTCTAAAAATACTATTGTATTTATGTTCTTTCCTTTTCGATATGCCTCACACAGGCTGCATTCTTTCCTATTCCTTATTTTTGTAAAAGGTCTACTATCCCTTGGAATTTTAAAGTGAAAAGTCAGGCATATATTCTAACATGTGTCATTCATAACCTACTGACTATTTTACATCTTAACTACTTGACTTTTTCCCTTCTTCATCATCTTAAGCATCCTGACACTCACTGTGCTAGTTCTGGTCATCAACTTTTCTTGCCTAGGTAATTGTTTTTCTTCTTTGTTGTAGCATCTTCCACTTGCAGCTTTTTAAATAGTCATATTTTCTATTTTACTTTTAATTGACTTGAAATCATTATATATATTTATGTGATACACTGTGATATATTTTGATACATGTATGTGATATGTAATGATTAAATCAGGATATTTAGCATATCCATCACTAAAACATTTATCATTGCTTTTGGTTACGATCATCTCCTTTTTAGCTATTAGAAAATATATTATAAATTATTAGCCATAGTCACCTTACAGTACTATAGAACCCTAGAACCTATTCCTCCTATCTAGCTGTAATTTTTTGTATCCCTTTTATAGTTTCCATCCTTCCCTGTCATCATCAAAATTGAATAATTTTATTTTGTATCCTTTTGATTATATCTCACATTGTAAGTTTTTCCTTTAAAAGACAGAAAGCTACTACTTCCTAGTCACCTTTGCAGCTAGTATGCAGACATATTATCTAGATTTCATCAATCAAATATACATCAAGTTTTCAGTTCTGAAGTTAGAAGTGAAGTGCCTGTTTTGCTGTAACAGGTTGTGACAGAAAGCAGCACGGCTTTCAATTTCAGGCTGTTCTTTTGCAGTCTTGAGTTGATTAGTATCAGTATCACAAACTGTCAGCCCAGTGTGTGGTGTTGTTCAGAGTATTTCTCCAGTAAATTTAATCTCGAACCTGTTTTTCTAGACATTTCAATGATTCTGTGAGCTAACATATCTTCCCAAAGCCTAATTCCAGTGTCAAACCTCATCACTGCTGAATTTCTTCAATGACCCACATGCCAGGATGAAGTTCTGGCTCTTTGAAATTATATCCAATCTCCTCCATGACAAAACTTCAGCTTTGGTTTCTATCCTTTCCTACTGTGTCTGACACATGACGTTTTACAACTTCACGATTCTTTCTCTTGATATCTAAAATAACTTAGTTCTTGATATCTAAAATATTTTCCCTCATCACTTCCACCCTCTATCCTGCCAATCAGTAAGCTCAAGAGCTCCTCCAGGAAGCCTTCAATGTCTTTTTCTCAACCTGTTCCTGTTTTCAGCAAAGTGACATTCTTCTGTGACCTCATAGCTCCCTGCATATTCTATCATAAAATTATCTTTATTATATATAATTATCTGTGTTTATGTGCCTACCATACACTTAGTGAGTTCCTTGATAGAGGCTGAAGATAAATTTGTATATTTCCAACACTTATCAAGCACCTGTTATTTAGTACATTTCGTACACGAATGATTATCTTATAAGTATCAATATAACTACATGTGATTGGGATTACACTTATAACTAAAACAGAGAGAGGCAAGGATAGGGAAAACATCTTTCTCATTCCTAAAGGTATAGAAATCAAGATACATTTATTTCTTTCGAGATGCTGTGTGTGAGAGACATTCTGTGAACAAATAGGTTTGGAAAATATTGAAGAATGCACCTTTTATTGCATATTTATTATATTTATTGACATCGTCAAAGTTCTATGAAATCGTGCAACCCCATCAAAAAGTGGGCGAAGGACATGAACAGACACTTCTCAAAAGAAGACATTTATGCAGCCAAAAAACACATGAAAAAATGCTCATCATCACTGGCCATCAGAGAAATGCAAATCAAAACCACAATGAGATACCATCTCACACCAGTTAGAATGGCAATCATTAAAAAGTCAGGAAACAACAGGTGCTGGAGAGGATGTGGGGAAATAGGAACACTTTTACACTGTTGGTGGGACTGTAAACTAGTTCAACCCTTGTGGCAGTCAGTGTGGCGATTCCTCAGGGATCTAGAACTAGAAATACCATTTGACCCAGCCATCCCATTACTGGGTATATACCCAAAGGACTATAAATCATGCTGCTATAAAGACACATGCACACGTATGTGTATTGCGGCACTATTTACAATAGCAAAGACTTGGAACCAACCCAAATGTCCAACAATGGCAGACTGGATTAAGAAAATGTGGCACATATACACCATGGAATACTATGCAGCCATAAAAAAATGATGAGTTCATGTCCTTTGTAGGGACATGGATGAAATTGGAAATCATCATTCTCAGTAAACTATCGCAAGAACAAAAAACCAAACACCGCATATTCTCACTCATAGGTGGGAACTGAACAATGAGAACACATGGACACAGGAAGGGGAACATCACACTCTGAGGACTGTTGTGGGGTGGGGGGAGGGGGGAGGAATAGCTTTAGGAGATATACCTAATGCTAAATGAAGAGTTAATGGGTGCAGCACACCAGCATGGCACATGTATACATATGCAACTAACCTGCACATTGTGCACATGTACCCTAAAACTTAAAGTATAATAATAATAAAATAAATAAATAAATAAAATAAAATAAAGATAACATAGACAAAAAAAAGGTTAATTAGGTTCCAAAAAAAAAAAAGAAATCCTGCAATATCAAAAATATGTAACTTCAGTTTCTATTTTGTAGTGTTCCATATTAACAGCTTAAGGAAATAGGGTTCCTAGGGACACAAATAGAATAAGAGTGTAGAAGTGAAAACAGAGTCAGCCATGTGTCTCAGTATGATCTTGTCCATCATTTTCAATGCTGGGGGATGTGAGTCTGTTTTATTATTCCATTATATTATACCTTTTTTGAATGTTCAGAAATCTGCAATTTAAATGTTTTATATGGAAAAGAGCATAGTGCTTTTAGTTCTCATTGGAATCAATGATGGCAATGCTAAGCCTGAGTAAAAAATATTTGACAGTAAACTTCTCTTTTTAATCTATTCATTTCAAATTGATTTTTCAAAATTGACCTATGCTGCTGTCAACAATCCTCACTTTGATACTGATTTGACTCAACGTCAAACAAACCAAATAAGCAGGATTCTGAAGCAGGGAAGTCAAGTTAACAGACAGTAAATTTGACATTCTGAAGAATAATTTGTTTTAAAATGATGAATATCATAATTTTCATGAGTCTACACATTATAATAGAAGCTATATGTCTGTAAAGAATTGATTTCTTATCAAAATAAAAGCTAAAGCTATTTTTGAATGTAACTATCTTGAAAGTGTAGCATTTTTTTGAAATTATATGTGGTAGCAAAGCAACTTTCATATAGTTATTAATTTTACACTCGAGATTTATTCTAGAGATTGCTAATTGATTATCTTTCCATATATTTTACTTTTTAGCTATTGAAAATGGTCACCCAGAATAACACATTTCCCCACTTTTCCTGAAGCTAGATTTGAAGATATGACTACCTTGTGGCCAGTGGGATATAAATGCATCTTTTCTGTGTAGACTTCTGGGAACTTTTTTAGGAGAGCCCTAGCTACATCCTTTCTGGATCCTAATACCTGTAGCAAAGAGGAAACTTTGCACAATGGGGATAAGGATCACACCATACAGATGATAAATGATTACATTGGAAGAATCCAGGCTATAAAAAATTGTATTTTTCAAAAAGGATACAGCAAGATTTCAGATCTCAAATACTGTTCCAGAACCTATTGCCTGTGACAATCGTTACTCCCCCTAAAGAGGCAAAATGATTTCCTTTCCACTGGAACCGGGGTCAAATTTTTTGATGGCCTTGATGAATAAAGTGTGGCACAAGTGACACTGCAAGACTTTGGAGGGTAGGCCATAAAGGGAAAGAAAGCTTCTGGGTTTCTTTTAGTCCTGGGACTGGGCTGCCATACTGTGACAAAGCACACATGAAAGAACATCAAGAGATGTTTAGATGAAATCCAAATCACATTTATGTGAATCCAGCCCCCAGCCTTTGAATCCTTCAGTTAACTTCCCCAACTTTGTGGAGTAGAGAAAAATTGTCCCCACTGTGACTATCCAAATATCTTGCCTTCACAATCTGAACATAATAAATTTTTGATTTATACCAATACATTTTGTAATAATTTTGTTACAGAGCCAGATAAATTGAAACACTGGATTACTGGAGACTTTGTTGATTAGTGTTGTCAAACAAACTCTGGAATGAATCACTCTAAACTTTATTGTAAAAACAAATCAACATTATTATGTTTAAGCCATTGTTATCAGATTTTCTTACTTATAGCCGAGGGTAATCTTTCTTTTGCTCAGTGATCTCTCTCATGCTCATAGGTACAACTGCCATGTGTAGACCCATTACCCAAATCTCTATCTTGGACTGACACCTTGCTGATGAGCTGCACATTCATATATTTGATTGCCTACAGATTATCTTTACTCTAATATCTTACAGGAAGATCAGATACAGCATATATATCTCAACTCAAACTCATTAATATTTATCCACAATCTTATCTTCATTCTACATTCTGTACTTTGGTTAAAGGCACCATAAAACACCCAGTCAATCATAAAAACAGAGTACCCACTTGGTATTTGATATGGCTTGGCTCTGTGTCTCCACCTAAATGTCATCGTGTAGCTCCTATAATTCCCATATGTTGTGGAAGGGACCTGGTGGGAGATGACTGAATGATGGGGTTGGGTCTTTCCAATGCTTTTCTTGTGATAGTCAATGGGTGTTATGAGATATAATTGTTTTAAAAACAGAAGTTTCTCAGCACAAACCCTCTTTGCCTGCTGCCATCCCCATAAGATGTGATTTGCTCCTCCTTGCCTTCCACCATGATTGTGGGGCCTCTGCAGTCATGTGGGACTGTAAGTCCAATAAACCCTTTTTCCTTTATTAATTACCCAGTCTCAGGTATGTCTTTATCAGCAGTGTGAAAACCGACTAATACAGTACATTGGTACCAGTAGAGTAGGGTGCTTCTATAAATATACCCAAATATGTGGAAGCTATTTGGGAACTGAGTAACAGGAAGAGGTTGGAACAGTTGGAAGACCCAGAAGAATACAGGATAATGTGGGAAAATTTGTAACTTCCCAGAGACTTGTTGAAGCTTTTAACAAAATGTTGATAGTGATAAGGACAATGAAATCCAGGCTGAGGTGGTCACAGATGGAGATGAAGAACTTGTTGGAAACTGGAGTAAAAGTGCCTTTTGCTATGTTTTACCAAGGAGACTGGCAGCCTTTTGCTTCTTCCCTAGAGATTTGTGAAACTTTGAACTTGAGAGAGATGATTTAGGGTATCTAGTAGAAGAAACTTCTAAGCAGCAAAACGTTGAAAAAGTCACTTGGGTGCTGTTAAAGGCATTCAGTTTTAAAAGAGAAACAGCATAAAAGTTCAGAAAATTTGCAGCCTGAAAATGCAATAGAAAAGAAAATCCAATTTTCTGAGGAGAAATTCAAGCCAGCTGCAGAAATTGCATAAGTTATGAGGAGCCAAATGTTAATCCCAAGACAATGAGGAAAATGTCCCCAGGGAATGTTAGAGGTCTTCATGGCAGCCCCTCCCATCACAGGCCCAGAGGCCTAGGAAGAAAAAGTGGTTTCATGGGCTGGGCTCAGGGATCCCGTTGTGTGTGCAGCCTAGGGACTTGGTGCCCTGTGTCCCAGCCACTCCAGTCATCGCTGAAAGGGGCCAATGTCAAGCTCTGGCCATGGATTCAGAGGGTGTAAGCCTCAATCTTGGCAGAATAAACATGGTGTTGAGCCTGCAAGTGCACAGAAATCAAGAACTAAGATTTGGGAAACTCCAGCTAGATTCCAGAGGATGTATGGAAATGCCTGGATGTCCATGCAGAAGTTTGCTGTAGGGGTGGGGTCCTCATGGAGAACCTCTGCTAGGACAGTGCAGAAGGAAAATGTGGGGCGGGAGCCCCCATACAGAGTCCTTACTGGGGCACCAACTAGTGGAACAGTGAGAAGAAGGCCACTGTCCTCCAGACTCCTGAATGGTAGATCCACTGACAGCTTGCACTGTGTACCTGGAACAGCTGCAAACACTCAATGCCAGCCCATGAAAGCAGCCTGGAGAGAAGCTGTACCCTGCAAAGCCATGGGGGTGGATCTGCCCAAGACCATAGGAACCCACCTCTTGCATCAGTGTGACCTGGATTTGAGACATGGAGTCAAAGGAGATCATTTTGGAGCTTTAAGATTTGACTTCCCCACTGAATTTTGGACTTGCATGGGGTCTGTAGCCCCCTTTTTTTGGCCAATTTCCCATTTGGAATGGCTGCATTTACCCAATGACTCTACCCCCATTGTATCTAGGGAGTAATTAACTTGCTTTTGATTTTACAGGCTCATAGGCAGGAGGGACTTGCCTTGTCTTGGATGAGACTTTCGACTTTGGACTTTTGAGTTAATGCTGAAATGAGTTAAGACTTTGGGGGTGCTGTTGGGAAGGCGTGATCAGTTTTGAAATGTGAAGGTATGAAATATGGGAGGGACCAAGGGCAGAATGATATTGTTTGGCTCTGTGTCCCCACCTAAATCTCATCTTGTAGCTCCTATAATTCCCTAATGCTGTGAAAGGGAGCTGGTGGAAGGTGATTGAATCATGGGCAGGTCTTTCCCATGCTGTTCTCTTGATGGTGCGTAAGTCTCGTGAGATATGATGGTTTTAAAAATGGGAGTTTTTCTGCACAAGCTCCCTCTTTGCCTGCTGCCATCCATGTAAGATGTGACTTGCTCCTACTTGCCTTCTGCCATGATTGTGAGGCCTCCCCAGCCATGTGGAACTGTAAGTCCAATAAACCTTTTTTCTTGTATAAATTACCCAGTCTTGGTTATGTCTTTATCAGCAGTGTGAAAATGGACTAATACAGTATTCCTTCATGTTTCTCTTCCAGTCATATAATTGTTTAATCCAAAATTAAATTCTGTCAAATGAGAAGCCTAGTACACTTTTGCTGTGAATGTAAATTAGTACAGCCACTAGGGAGAATAGTTTGGAGGTTCCTCAAAAGACTAAAAATAGAGATACCGTATAGTCCAGCAATTCTACTGCTGGGTATACAACCCCCCCAAAAAAAGGAAATCAGTATATTGAAGACATATCTGCATTTTCGTGTTTTTTTTTTTTGGTAGCACTATTCACAATAGCAAAGATTTGGAAGCAATCTGTGTCCATCAACAGAGGATAAAAAAATGTGGTGCCTATACGCAGTGGAGTATTAGTCAGCCATAACAAATAATGAGCTCCTGTCATTTGCCACAACATGGATGGAACCGAAAGTCATTATGTTAAGGGAAGTAAACCAGGCACAGAAAGACAAATTTTGCAGGTTCTTACTTATTTAAGGTTGGAAACATTTAAAAAATTGAACTCATGGGTATAGAGAGTAGAATGATGATTACTAGAGGCTAGGAAGAGTAGTAGATAGTGGGGAGGAAGAGGGTAGTAATGAGTACAAAAATGTAGTTAGATAGAATAAAGATCTAGTATTTGATAGCACAACAGAGTAACTACAGTCAACTATGGTTTATTATACATTTTAAAATAACTAAAAGAGGATTGCTTGCAATACAAATAAAGAATAAATGTTTGAGGTTACAGATATCCCATTTACCCTAATGTGATTATTATGCATTATATGCCTGTACCAAAATATCTCTTGTACACCATAAATATATATATATATCTACTATGGACCCACAAAAATTAAAAATTTAAAATTTAAAAAATATATTTAAAAACAAAACACAACAAAACTACATTAAGTTCTGTTGATTCCACTAAAATTTTCTCCCTTTCGGCAATACCCATTTTTCATATTTTAGTTATGTATATTAATCTTTACCTACACCACCCATAACCATTTGCTGCAGTAGTTTCCTCATTTATACTATCATTGATCTATCCTCTCTTGTGCAGCTAGAGATTTTTTCAAAACAAAAATGTGAGCACATGAGTTCCCTAATGATAGTGCTCTGGCTTACATCTCCCATTTAATATTATGTCATGCTTTCAACCATAAAGAACCAAGACTAATGTAGATAATCCTTCTCTGTATCATTCTAGCACCATTTTCATTTATCAACCACAGCATGTAACCTATAGTTACTTGTTTCTCTCATTCTTATGTGATATTCATAAATTATTGACCATATCTTTTCCCTCTGTATGCTCTAGCTTAATGCCTGGTACATTACATACACTCATAAATATTTTTGGAATAATTGAAGTATGTAACAGCCTACCATTTACCTAACATTTCAAAAATTATTTCTTACCCCTCCCTCTACCCTAATAATGAAAGTATCAGATGCTTCTTTTGCTTAAACAGTATTTTTTATCTATTATATAATTTACTTCTATTCTACTTGCCTATGCATGTGACAGTGTCCATTTATTTAATCCGGAGCAGAGGCAGATTTACTGTGAAGCTAATGAGGCTTAAACTTCAGGCCACTTAATTGCATAACCTCCTCTAAAGCCAGATATCTAATGTTTTCATAATTTGTATTCTGTTTTTCTAAACATATTTTCCTAACTTATATACATACCCCACAAAACGTGGACTAATACCTGTTCCAATTATAATTTAGGTACCTACCATGTGACAGAAACTACACTATATGCATGAATATAAAAATAAATAAAATAAGTTTAATTTTACATATTTTCAGGAATCAGAATGCTCCATTTGCTGGAGATCATGCTTACTACATCCTACATTATCACAATATCTCATAGTGTCTGGTCTCTCTACCCTCTTATTCATTCCCCTTAATACTAAGAAAAAAATAGAAAATTCATTAAACTCTAATTTCAACATACCTTTTCAGTCACAAAGCCTGTGATGCTGCCCCTTTCTAAATAGTCCTTTATTATAATAATTCTATGTTCAAGGCAAACTAAATTATTTATTAATAATCACCTGATTGTCTTTCTGTTCAGGTTATTTTTCTCCTTTCAGTATCAAGTTTTTATATATTGTTTCTCTCTAGAACATTCTCCAACACAAATTGGCAGAGTGAGTAACTGATTCCTTTGCCCTCTCAACAATTTGACCATACCTTTAGCATTGTGTTTATCCCACTGTGCCAGTTAGGATATGTCAGTTTGAATTGCATTCAGCTGCCTGAAAAGAATCCATTAATAATAGTGATTCTCTTGATTATTTTGCTTGTTCATTAGATCTTTTCTTCCATTTTTTTCCTGCTCCTTGCCCAGGAAGGTATATCTCTACACACTGCTTCAAACCAGCTCCTTCCCCCTCTAGATTTTAGGTGGGTCCAGTTAATTGGAGATGCTGGCAGGAAATTGTTCTCTCTCTTTTTTTTTTTTTTTAGCAATACAGTATTTTAAATTAAAGTTAACTGCATTGTATTTTAGACAGTGTTATTACATGCTTAATGGACTAAAATATAGTGTAACTTTTACATGCACTGGGGAACCCAAAAAATGTGTGACTTACTTCATTTTTTAATAATTTCAACTTTTATTATAGATTAAAGGGTATATGTGCAGGTTTGTAGGTATATTGTGTGACACTGAAGTTTGGGATACAAATGATCCTATCCCCCACGTAGTGAGCATAATACCCAATGGATGTTTTTCCTTACTTGCAAGCGGGAGCTAAACATGCATACACATAAATATAAAGATGGAAACAAGAGACACTGGGGATTTCTAGACAGAGGAGGGAGAGGAGGAGGGAGATTGCTGTTTGAATGGAAAAAGTAGCCAGAGTATTTTCCCCTTTTATCTTCCTGCTAGGCCTTGGCAGTAGCTATGAAATTGTTGTTTGAATAGAAAAAGTAGCCCAAGTATTCTCCCCTTTTATCTTCCTGCTAGGTCTTGGCAGTAGGTATATCCTTCTCCTTATAATTTCAGATGTTGTTGAGTGACCCTTCTGCTGTGATCATAGCTCTTACTTCTTATCATGTTCTGGTATTATGTGTCTTTTTTTTTTTTTATTTGTCATGTCAAGCAAAGGAGAGGTAATGACTTTCTATTCTTGCTGGATCTGGGTGCTTCATCATGTCCTCTTTGGTTCCTTTCACCTTGACCTCACCTCTGCAATAATTCTTTTGTTCCATTCGTTACATTAAAAACATTATCCCCTTGAGTGCGTCATCTGCTTCTTCCTGCAAGAAGTATTTTGGTAATTAGTATCATCTTGGACCCAGACGACAAGCGTCAAAATTGGATTCTAGGACTGGGTGGCTCACATATTTGATGAATGAAGAAATAATCTCTCTTAAATCTCATTTTCATTGACCTATCTAAAATGGACACTTGGCTGCAATGGGAGCAGAAAATGAAACTTTTATTCTAAGCAGTAATGGGCCATGCTGATTAATAGGGTCTTTCCAAAGGAAAAGGAATGAATGGATAATTATTATGCAACTAGCAGATTTTGTCACATATGGTTACATGAGTATGAATCTAAATTCTCGAAGAGTCTGAAATTCTATAGCTATTTAAGTTCCCAGATGATTCCAGAAATTAGGAATTGAGAAATTGCAAAATTAGAAATAACACATTCTCTTTAGAACCATAAGATTTTGAGCCTGACACTTATAAAGGTAGTTGTATTTTCTCTAAAAAGTGTGCATATGTCTATTGATATTAAATTCAAGGTATTTTCCTCATATTACTCATTATTTATCTTTTTGTAATGACAAGTACTTTTTACAGAGTTAAGAAAGAAAAATCACACAAACATTAAAAATTAAACAAAAGTTTTTTTCTGAAAATGATTCCCTTATTGATTTGGCATTAGAATATTTGGTGTTAGCCTTTGCTTATCCATCCATATTACCAAATTGTACCAAGCTTTGAGAAATGTAAGAGATTATATTGTCTTCCTACAGAGAAGAAGGTGACATGATTATGTTCTTGGTATAAGAACATACATTTTGATTATAAACTACTTCTTAATTTCATAAACACTTATCAGAAAGTTGATTCCATGAGGAAGTTAAGTTACAGAGCAGATTTGAAAATAAAATACTTGACTATGGCTCAAAAATTAGGTTATGGTTCTGCTTCTACTAATAAATCAGTAATGTGACCTTTTCAACCTTCAGTTTCCTCATTCTGAAAATGGGAGGTTTAAGGGACTGTATCATTGCTTCCTTTCCAGGTTTACAATTTTGGAATTCGGTGAGTAATCTTTGCTCATAAAGAATTTTTAAGAAGATTAAGTTGATTTTAGTTTCTGAGGCTATCACAAATCTTTATCCACTGCCATGGCTTCAGGCAAGTCATTGAAAAAAATCATACACCCCTGGGAAATGTCAAGGTCCAAGATATTGCCCTTGAAATTGCTGTTAGCTCATGTTCCCCAAATTAACAACAATAAGAAGATACAAATACTAGAAAACCTTAAAGTGACTGAGGACTGCCTTGATCTCTCAACAGGCTAAGCTTGATAGACTGAAGGAATCTTTCTTTAAAGGAACATTTTCTTTTACTCTGTTGCCTTGAGACCATTGTCACTTGTACCTTCAGATTACAATATCACGTCAACAGCCCTGGCCATTTCTTGATACTGAAGTCCATAAACAAACCTCAGGGTAGCTCAATATCCTCATGTGAGAGGAGCCGAAGTCCTTCAGTAGTAATTCCTCTTTCTCAAATCGCCCTTCCTACCAGGACTTGTTAATTGCCAGATAGGGTTTAATATTTATGAAGCTGCTACATACTGTTTTTAAGGCTGAGATCCTGACCAGAGAAGAATCAGCAAACTGGAGTGCTACCTAGTGATTCCATGATGCCTGGGGCTCTCATCACTCCAACTCATAACTTCTCCTCTACTTAAAGTCAGAGAATAAGTCCTTTAGCCCTCTTCCAATATAAAGTAACAGCCTGAATACTGTATCTCTGGAGAAAATAAATTCACAGTTTGAAATAACTGAATAATATGATTTCCCTAAAAAAAGAAAGACAGCAAACTGGATCGCAGGTATCATTTAAAGCAGATGTATTAGTACAGAAGGGCCAAGAATGTAAAATGTTGTCTTCAGTTGGCACTGTAGATACAACAGTCCATCCTAATAGAGAAGAAAATCAACCGAAGAAAGTTTATTTAAAAATATTTGAATTGCCAACATTAGTATCTGGCCCATTGCCCTTATGCGACATTAAAGAAAGAGGATAAACTTAAATTCTGATTTGGAGTTTCCATTTAATGATTAGTTCGTCCTTCTCACCTCTAGGTAAGCTCTTTTGATGTATACTGATATGATCATCCTGAGCAGCCTCATGCCTCACTTGCTTTAATGCTTATACTTCTAACCTTTAACAATAATGCACAATAAAAGCACTGCTTAACTGTAGGACATAAGTCCATATGTATGTATCCTGATTCATCCTATGTCTTTGTCTTTATTCCTTGTTCTTTACAACATAGCACAACAACCTTATTTGTTCCCTTGCTACTTAATGCATCAAGACTTTTGCATTACTTCTAGTTTGCTGTTATTAGAAGTTTTAAGGTAAAAGCGAATGTGGTATCTGAAAGGAGGTTTAAAAAAGAGGAAGTAGACGAGGCAGGAGTAGGAAGCATCATCATAGAGCTATATATCATGGAAAAGGGAAAACCAATATCCTGGAACAAACCTGATACCCTGGAATAAACCTGTACAAATTCTTTTCAAGCAGACTCTTAGCTTGAATGTAGGACTTGGCTTGAATGTAAGGTTTTAACAGACTCTGTCTCTAAATGCTCAGGCTGGTTTAGTAATTTAAAGATACTACAAGAGATATAGTGATGGCTCCAGTCCCATCACTAATGATTCTGAAATATTCTCACCAATCTTGCTTCGTATAACACAAGTAATGGACTCAGTTCTACAAAACAATAAGGGAAAAGAAGAATAAAATGAGTTAATATGTGTAAATGTTCTTAAATAGCTTTTTTAATGACAAAGGCAAACTTTTTCTCTTTCAATAACAAACGTTTTGAAAGAGATTTGAATTATAATAGTCATTTGTCTTTCACACTAATTACTTGAGTCCATAAATAATGATTGTACTTTGATCAGAATGACCAGAGCTTGGATCTCAAACTTGGCACAAAGTAGCCTGCCACTTCTCAAAGCCTGTAACTGAGGTGGCTGTTATCTTACTTTTTTTCATTAAAATACAATATCTTTCATATTGTGACATATGGATGCCAAAGTACAATGAAGTGTGATATTTTGGGATGAAAATAAACTGTTTTCTTTATGGGTGAGATTAATGTTTACATCCATGGAAACCTAAATCCCAACACATGTGATGTTGTTTGGCTCTGTGTCCCCACTCAAATCTCATCTCAAACTGTAATCCCCATAATGCCCACATGTCAAGGGAGCTCCCTGGTGGGAGGTGATTGGATCATGGGGGTGGTTTCCCCCATGCTGTTCTCATAATGGTGAGGGAGTTCTCAGAAGATCTGCTGGTTTTATAAGTATTTGACAGTTCCCCCTTCACATGCTCTCTTTTGCCTGCTGCCATGTAAGACATGCCTGCTTCCCCTTCCACCATGATTTTAAGTTTCCTGAGGCCTCCTCAGCCATGCAGAACTGATTCAATTAAACCTCTTTTATTTACGAATTACCCAGTCTTGGGCAGTTCTTTATAGCAGTGTGAGAACAGACTAATACAACATGGTCTGCCCTGTTTACAAGTAAGATATTCTATCTTACTTGTTTTCTTTGTCTTCCTTCCTGTATTTCATGAATATAATTATGTAATTTACCTCTATTGTATTTGTAGTGTTGAGTCCAGAGGTTAGATTTGCAAACTCATTATTTGTACTCTTAGTGACGTTCTAAGATTTTTGCCCCAAGTGTGGACTCGTATGATGAATGCAAGGTGGTAAGACCAAATAACTCAGAAAACATAATATGAAATGTATCTACTCATTTGTGGCAGAAGTATCATATTTCTTATTAAAGGGCTATAGATAATATTAAGACAGATGGCATATTTAGAAACAATCAGATTTCTTTAGATTTTTTAAAAAATTTTGCTGACACAGATAGTAACAGAATTTGTAAATATAATACTGCAAATAGTATCTTCAATTTTTAAAATTCTACCAAGATTTAAGAAACCAGTAATATGAGGGGACTGTGCTAACAAGGTTTAAAATCTTGTAATTGATTTTAAAAAGTGAAATAGCAAGTGGTTCATTTATAAATATAAATATTTGAAATGAATATTGCTGCTGTAAAGATAATTTTACCTACTTGAAATAATTAAATAGTTCAATTTTCTTGTAATTGTGAAATATATATTATTATAGTTTGGTACAAGCCTAATATTATTAATTTATCTTAAAACATAATAAGTTGAAATACCAAATTCTGTGCTGTGTGTGTATATATATATATATATAGCCTATCCTATATATATATATATATATATAGCCTATCCTATATATATATATATATATATAGATGTTCACTACCTAAATACTAATTTCATCTGAGCAGTTATAACTGTATTAAAGAGAGTTTTGTCAATACTGTTGTCAAAAATGTGGCAAAATTGGGGACTGTAGAAATAAATTTGCTTAGTAAAACATAAAGATATAAAAAATGATATAGGACTCAGTAAGTGTTTTCAAACCTAGAAACGAAGTAAAAGAAACATTTAGAGAAAGAAAATTCTAAATAGGTAAGGAAATACAATATATAATAATCTATGCAAAACCCAAGGAAAGCTATCAGAGGCATTTACTTTTTTCAGTTTCAGACCAAAATCACACAAGACTATACATTCACATAATTTCCAGCCCTGGAAATAAATTAATAGAGTACATAGCAGCATTTAAGCCAGATGAGTATTAGGTGATGGGTGTTAGGTAGCTCAATGGTGGAAAAATATTTCATATAATCATATACAAAATGGGAAATCAGTTAAAAATATAAAAATATTGGTGGAATGTTTATGTAATGATGTTTTCTTTTGGAGAAAAGATCCTCATTAAGCAAAAGTAGATGGCCACAGTTTTGAGCCCCTTTCTCTGATGTCTTTTTCCAACTAACCACTAATTGTTCATTGCAATTCATATTCCAACAGGAAACACCAGGTCTCTGGATCAGAGGACAGATGGTTTATTATTCACAGAGCATCTTAGTGTCAGTTCCCTGAACCCCAATCCTCATAGAGTATGAGGGTCTCATGTTACCTTGCATGTGCAATGAAGTTGCAACACACTAAATAAAGCAATACTGAAATGAAGAGACTCAAAGTCAGATACTGTATTGGTATCTGCCCCTTTTCCTTTTCGAGGAGAGATGGAGAAAGGGGTGGGGGGCGAGGCGGGGAGAGAGAGAGACAGAATGAATGAGTGAGTGAATGAATGAATGAATGAGAGAGACTGGGAGATCTTTGCTCTGGAACAGAAACTAATGATCAGAGATGGGAAAAGGATGGGGAGGAGAATCTCTTTAAGCTTCACAATTCTGGAACGTGAACAAATTGCTCGGAGGGAGAAAAGTCACCAAAACTTTCCAGAATAATTCACTATCACTAACTTCCAAGGCATATTTGCCATTCAATCATGCCTTAGCTTTTGCTCTTTGCTCAGAAAGCCTGGATTGTATATAGTAATTCATGAAAATAAACATGATAATTTTTGTCCAGCATACTTCTAGAGCAAATCTAAGATGTAAAATTTCTTATTCATCATTTCAATTGAAACGTCCTAAATCACCAGTGTTCAAGACAAGACCAAATTTCTTTTCAAAATGTCCTTTGCTAATTGGATGCACTCATCACCCATGCTAATATTGCAATCTAAAGAGGCATAATAGTTTGGTCAATTAGATTCATACTACCATTGGCAGACGGTACTTCAGGAAGAAATTTTGAATTGTACATACATTTTAATAGCTTTCTAATCTCTTTGTGTCTATAGGCCTCTACCTGAAAGTCTGCTTTTCACCGGAATGTTTATCCTACCAAAGCTTCAACAGTATAATGTTAGAGCCCTTCAAGTACTAATAATGTTAACTCTCTAATTTTTATTTAGAGGAATATATACATACTAAATATAATATAATAAACTAATTAAATCTATTTATTTGGTAAGAATAAATATTTATTAAATATATTAAAATTAATATTTTAGTCATTGCATTATTTTCATTTTGAAACTATGAAAATATAATTTAAAATGTCAAGATAAAATCACAATTTTTTTTGTTCTTAGTTTAATACTGGTATAGCTATATGGCAGTGTTTCTTCAAATTATAAATGGTTTACATTACTTTTCTTTGGTTTTGTTTTTAACAAAATGTCATCTGAAATGTGTATGCCCTATTAACACTTTTTTTATACTATTTAATGGAATAGAATAAACAGTGACCACTTTCTTCTGCAATCTGTTTGGCTGAATTCTTTTTTTTTTTTTTTCTTCCTTAGAGTCTCACTCTCTTGCTCAGGCTGGAGTGCTCAATCTTGGATCACTGCAAGCTCCGCCTCCTGGGTTCAAGTGATTCTCCTGTGTCAGCCTCCCGAGTAGCTGGGATTACGGTGCATGCCACCACGCCTCACTAATGTTATTTTTAGTAGAGATGGGGTTTTGCCATGTTGGCCAGGCTGGCCTTGAACACTTGACCTCAGGTGATTCACCCACCTTGGCCTCCCAAAGTGCTGGGATTACAGGCGTGAGCTACCAGCCAAATGAATTCTTATGTTTCCTTTTCTCTTTCTTTCATGTCATCCCCATAAGCACACAGACCTGCTCTGATGTCCTGAAAGCTTAAAACAAAACAAAACAAACCAAAAAATCTGCAGCCATTATCCTCTTTTATCTATTCTTTATACTCATAAATAAACTCACTGAAGTTTTCTGCACATGTTAAATCCATTTCTTCACCTTCCATTCCCTTTTGGTTTCACTCTACCTCACTAACCATGGAAACTACTTTGAGTCAAGGTCACAAAGCACATTATTGTGCTCAATATAGTAGACAGCTGTAAGCATGATGTTTCTTTCACTATTTTCTATGCAGAGCAGAGAGTCCAACTGAATGGCTGAACAATTTTTCTCATAATAATAATTATGGAAGGTGAAGGAAAATACTCAAAATATTTAAACAAATTCCAAGCTGAATTGCAGTCAGTTCTATGTGGACTCTTTGAGTCTGATAAGTAATCCTTTCTGTTGTGTTTCTAGAGGTTGAGATATATGGGTTGGAACTCAGGAAATTGTTTAAAGCAGCAGCAAAGATTTGTATTTTTCCAAGAGCAAAACACAGACCATTCGTTCTATCAATATGAAACACTGTATTCGATTGTTTCAGTCAAATATTCTTGACCATATTGACCTACTTCCTTAGTAATTTGGCATTCATAGAATAAAGCCTTTGAGAGGGAACAGTAATAGCAGGTTCCATCCATGTGAAAACTTCCCTTTCTAATGGGTTGTTGAGGGCAAGCTGGCTTGCTCATTAGGGAAATTTTTCTTACTTGAAAAATGCATTTAGTAATTCTTTCTGGTTCACCTGGTCAGATTTATTTTTTTTAATCTGAAGTTCAAGTAATTATATTTATACTGCCATGTACAGTACAAGAATATGTAGTATTTATATAGCAATATATTCTTATATATCTGGCTAAAACAGTTTCTAGATAAATAGATTATGTTGTGATATTGACATTAAACTCTATATAACTTCATATATGTTAGATATTATTTTCAATTGTTTCAGAAAGAAATATTTTCATAGAAAAATATATTTATTCCTCTTTCAAGTATATAAATACAAAAAATGTTACTTTGCAATCCATATTCTCAGAGCAGAATTTGATGTATACTGAATGCAATGTATTGTTAGAAAATTATGGTAAATTACAAATTCAAGTAGCTTACAAATAACATAAACCATATTGACTTTGTTATTCTAATGGTTTCATTTCAAGCATTAAAATTACTTGCATAATCTTACAGAGAAAACTATTACCCTGAGAAAAATATACATAATAAACAAAATCCCTCTATATTTGTCCATGTGATATAATGAAAACAATGCATTCCTATACTTTATATTTATTCATTTTACCTATTAACATAATGCTCGGATATGTTTGGTATGTGGTTTTGGGGATATTGACATTATCATATATCCATACTGCTAACGCTCATATATTTTCATGGCTTTACTACTGGTTCTGTCCTAACAGAGAAATGACATTGATAATTTTGAAATATCATGGTTGAAGACAAGGATTGGGAAGATATTTGTACCATTCAGAATATATGCATGCTGTATTGGTCCATTCTCACACTGCTATAAAGGTACTACCCAAGACTGGGTAATTTATCAAGAAAGAGGTTTAATTCACTCACCGTTCTGCATGGCTGTGGAGGCCTCAGGAAACTTACAATCATGGTGGAAGGGGAAGCAGGCACATTTACATGGTGGCAGGTGAGACAGAGTAAGCAAGAGCAGGGAAAAGTGCCTTATAAAACTATCATATCTTGTGAGATCTCACTCAGTATCACAAGAACAGCATAGGTGCAACTGCCCCCGTGATCTAATCACCTCCCAACCGGTCGCTCCCTCAACACCTGGGAATTACAATTCAAGATGAGATTTGGGTGGCGACACAAAGCCTAATCATATCACATACATATGTATGTGTGTCTTTTATCTTTGTGTTTATAGATACATAAATACAAGGAATAATATACAATTTATTTATCTAGCAAAAGTTTGATGGTTTCCCTCTGTAAATTACCTAACATGATAGAAAAGGAGGGTGCAAACTAGAAACATTAAAAGTAACTTTTAGACAGAAACAACGCCAACAAATAATTATCTAAAATATTAAGTAAAAATCATTACTAAATATAGGAGTCTGACAAACTGGGAAGGTGGGCAGGTGTCACTTCAGATATAAATAAAGGAGCACTTCCTTGAGAAGAAGGTGAGGCTGCTGGGACTAATAATATTTATTTTGCGTTACTTGCCAAATCAAGAATCAAATTAATAAAATAATTTAAAAACTGTAAACAAGCAACCCTAATCTGGAACCATTTGGGAAACCTATTTAAGTCTCTGAATTCAGGAATAATCATTTGTGATGTCTGCTGTTTACTCACAACCCAGAGTTGCCTTCTTTCAGGGAATTAGCAATTACGTTTCAGGCCCTTCCTCAGCCTCCTTTACATCTTATTTGTATTTTGTTTAAAAAGAATAAAAGGAAGGAAAACAATAAGTTTCTCATACATAGGCTATAAGCTTCATTTGTGTTTTCTACTAATTGCTAACTAGCCTTGTGGTGAGACCATATTTTTCTGGAAAATAGTAAAAAGCAGTTAAATAGGGCTTTAAAATTTTAATATCAATGCAGATGTGTTAATACATACGGGCACACACAAAATATTTGTTTTTGAAAATGTACTTTTGTGACAAACTTTGCTCTAATACAGGTGAATATGCTTTGAGATAGATGATAAACTTAAATATTTATTTTAACTGTGGAATTCTCTTTTATTTAAAACTCAAGACTAGTACATGTCCTGCAAGTATTGAATAACTTTTTTTTTCTGAGAGTACGAGTCTGGATTCAGATTACCTCACCCCAAAAGGGGTTTAGCTGTGTGCATTTTTCCATTCAAATATTGGTTGAGTATCTACTATGTTCTAGGAATGGTTCTAGTAAAGAGTATAACAGTAAACATAACAGAAAAATATCCATGGCTAGGCTAGAATAGTTAAGAAAAAAAGTGGGAATTGTTTATTGAAATAATTAAAATATCAAAACATTTAAAATGTTCTTAGTATTTGAAAATATCTGATTAATGAATTGATATAAAATATACTAGTGTCATATTCTAAATACAAGAATTTCAAAGCATGCTTTTAAATAATTTTGGAAATGAAAATGCTCATGATAACGAGTTAAATTAAAATATAACCTTGCATAAACATTATATATATGCAATAGATACACATATGCATACGTGTATATTTATTTATATATCAACATACATTCACATATCACCTCTCCCCCATACACAAACACACACTGTCTATTTTCATTATTACTAGATTACTTATATGCAAATTTGACTGCTTGCTAAAATTTATTCATAACCCTAAAATGAATATTCTCAGTGCTTTCTTGATATTTCATCAACATGCATATGTGCAGGACAGTGAAAAAATTTGAGTTGCCTGACTTTAGAGCTTCACCTTGATCAAATTCTGCTGGGACAGTTAGGCAACTCAATTGCCTAACTCAATTGCCTAACTGTCCCAGCAGAATTTGATCAAGGTGAAGCTCTAACTTCCTATTATAGCTCTTACACTGTGTATTAGTTCATTCTCACACTGCTATAAAGAAGTAGCTGAGACTGGGTAGTTTACGAAAAAAAAGGTTTAATTAACTCACAGTTCTGCAGGCTTAACAGGACTCATGACTGGGAGGCCTCAGGAGACTTATAATCATGGCGGAAGGCAAAGGAAGCAAGCACCTTCTTCACATGGTGGGAGGAGACAGAGAGAGACTGAGGGGCGAAGTGGCACACTTTTAAACCATCAGATCTCATGAAAACTCATTCACCATTACAGAACAGCATGAAGGAAATATGCCCCTATGATCCCCAGGTTCCTCCCTCAACATTGGAAATTACTATTCAACATGAGATTTGGCTGGGGACACACAGTGAAACCATATCATATTACAAGCAAGTGTCCTTTTCTCTGTAAATCCTGTGCCATATTTTTCTCATTTTTGTGCTTTTGGTTGGTGATTTTGATGTTTAAAATGTCCCCCAAATATAGTGTGAAAATATTGTATAGTATTTCTAAATGCAAGGAGGCTGTAATGTGACTTAAAGACAAAATAAATGTGTTAGGTAAGTTTCATTCAGGCATGAATTACAGTGCTGTGGGCTGAGTTCAATATTAATGAATCAATAAAATATATTAAAGGGTTTTTTCTAGCTTTATTGAGGTATAATTGATAAATGAAAAATGTATACATTTAAGGTGTACAATGTGATATTTTGATATACATATACACTATGAAATAATTACTGTAATCAAACTAATTACACCCATCACCTCACAGCTATTATTTTCTTTTCCATGGTGAAAACATTTAAGATCGTTGTGCTCTTAGCAAATTTCAAGTCTACAATGCAGCATCATTAAGTATAGTCACCATGTTCTAGAACTTACTCATCTTAAACTTTGTACACTTTGACCAACATCTGCCTATTTCCTCCATTCCCCAGCTTCTAGCAACCACCCATCTACTCTGCTTCTAAGAGTTTGACCAGTTTAGACTCCACATATATGTGAGATCATGCATTATTGTCTTTCTATTCCTGGCATATTTCACTTAATACAATGTCCTCCAAGTTCTCCCTTGTTGCTGCAAATGACAGGCTTTCCTTATTGTATAAGGATGAATAATATTCAATTGTATGTGAATACATACCACATTTTACATATGGAATTTTTAAATAGGAACACAGATAAAATGAAGTATTTATCAGTTGATGAAAATGCTATGACAAGAGACTTACAGAAACCTAACCCTGTATTTCTCCCAGGGGTAACGATTCAGTATTTGATAGTTTGATGTTTGTAGCAACTTTATAAAACATTTACTGCAGATAATAAGAATCAACTGTGTTTATATAATATATATTATGTGTGTTTAAACGTTTGCATTGACATAGACAGATTCAGGGATCTTGAGTGAGACCTCCTGAGGCCTCAGTTTGTTCAACTATAAAATGACAATAACAGTAGTACCTTCCTTGTAAGGTTGTTTTTAAAATAAAATAAATTATTGCTTGCATATTAATTTGGAGAATATATTGTACATAAGGCTCAAATAAATTTGTAGCTATTAGGTGACATTTGCATGTATATAAAATCATATTGGCTGTCAAGCTGCTATGAATTGATAAGTGATAACTATTTTTATTTTTTTATTTTTATTTTTTGTTTTAGATGGAGTCTCGCTCTGACGCCCAGGCTGGAGGCAATGGGACGATCTCAGATCACTGCAAACTCCCCCTCCCGAGTTCAAGCAATTCTCTGTCTCAGCCTCCCAAGTAGCTGGGATTACAGGCGCCCGCCACTACGCCCGGCTAATTTTTTTGTATTTTTAGTAGAGACGGGGTTTCACCATCTTGGCCAGGCTGGTCTTAAACTCATGATCTCCTGATCCACCTGCCTTGGCCTCCCAAAGTGCTGGGATTACAGGCATGAGCCACCGCGCCAGCCAACTACTTTTGAAGTCAGGCTTACGAAGATATAATTTACATTCATTAAAACTCATCCTTTTTAGTGTAGACATCTGTGAGTTTGGACAAAGTCATATCATTGTGTAACTATCACGACATTAATGATATAAAACAATTTATAACCAAAATTTCCCTCATTTTCTGCTTTAGTCAGCCTCTTCCACACTCCCTGCCAATGACACTTAACTTATTTTCTGTCCCTGTAGTTCTGTCTTTTCCAGAATATCATATACATAAAATTATTTGTCATTTAAATGAATTAAAAGTATGTAGCCTTTTGATTATGTGTTCTACTTACTGTAATAAATTTGAGATTCATCAACATTTTCATCTGTATCAGTTATTTCCTTTATTTCTGAGTATTAATCAATTTTATAGATGCTTCACAGTGTATCTATATATCATCATTGGAAAGACATTGAGGTTGTATATAGTGTTGATATTTGAATAAAACAGCTATAAGAATTAGCATACAAGTTTTTGTGCTAACACAACTTTTCATTTGTCTTGGGCAAATATCTAGCAGTGGTTTTTGACTTGATTCTCAGCTTGGTTGCTGTTGGTGTATAGCAGAGCTACTGATTTGTGTACATTGACTTTGTGTCCTGAAACTTTTTCTGAATTCATTTATCAGTACTAGGAGCTTTTTGGAACAGCCTTTAGGGTTTTCTAGGTATACAATCATATAATCAGCAAACAGTGACAGGTTGGCTTTCTCTTTACTGATTTGGATGCCCTTTCTTTCTTTCTCTAGTCTCATTGCTATGGCTAAGACTTCCAGTACTATGTTGACTAGAAGTAGTGAGAGTGAGCATCCTTGTCTTCTTCCAGTTCTCAGATGGAATGCTTTCAACTTTTCCCTGTTCAGTATGATGTTGGCTGTGGGTTTGTCATATATTTTATTTTATTACAATGTTATAGCTTTTATTACACTGAGGTATGTCTCTTCTGTGCCGATTTACTGAGGGATTGAATCATAAGGGGATGCTGGATTTTGTCTAATCCTTTTTCTGTGTCTATTGAGATGATCATGTGATTTTTGTTTTAAATTCTGTTTGTGTGGTGTATCAAATTTATTGACTTGCGTATGTGAAACCATCCCTACATCCCTGGTATGAAAACCACTTGATCATTGTTGATTATCTTTTTCATATGCTGTTGGATTCAGTTAGCTAGTATTTTGTAAAAGATTTTTACATCTATGTTCATCAGGGTTATTGGTCTGTAGTTTTTTTTGTTATGTCTTTTCCTAGTTTTGGTATTAGGGTGATACTGGCTTCATAGAATGATTTAGGGAGGATTCCCTCTTTCTCTATCTTGTGGAATGGTGTCAACAGCATTGGTACCAATTCTTCTTTGAATGGCTGGTAGACTTCAGCTGTGAATCTGTCTGGTCCTGGACTTTTTTTGGAAATTTTTGTCACGCGAAATGGGAATTTTCAACTTTATAAGAAACTGCCAAACTTACTTCCTAAATGGTTATATTATGAAGCATTTTCCACAAGCAAGGTATGAGAGCTCTAGTTATTCTGAACTTTGTCAGATGTTAGTATTATTGGCTTTTTTTTTTTTTTAACTTTTCCAAACTAAAAACTGTGTAGTAGTATTTTCACGTTGATTGATTTGCATTTTCACAATAGATATTGATATTGAGCATCTTTTCATGGGTTTACTTCCCATTCGTATATATTTTTGATGAAGTTCCTAATTCTCAAATATTTGGAAATTTAACAACACACTTCTAGGTAACCCATGTATCAAGAAAAAATTACAGGAAAAATTAAAAATATATATTTTTCAATTTAATGGAAATGAAAGTGCAACTTATCAAAATATGTTGGCTACAACTAAAGTTGTGCTTAAAGGAAAACGTTAAGCATTAAAAGCTTGTGTTATAAAATAAGAAATATCTCAAGTAAATGATTCATGTTTCCCAAATAAAAAATGAAAAACAAAAAATAAACACACATCTCTTAACAACTAGTCTCTCATCCTGTATTAGTCTTCACTTTTCAAAAAATGTTACTTATCCTTTACAAAAATATTTTTGCTGGCTATGAAACTCTGGATAGCTATGTATTTTATTTTTATTTTCTTTTTCAAAATCTCTCACTCCATTGTCATCTGACTTGCATCATTTCTGATGAGAAACTATGTTACCTTATTGTTATTCTTATGTTTGTTCTCTTGTATGTAGTGTATATTTAGTATTTCTCTTTATCTTTGATTTTCAACAGTTTGATTATGATTTGTCAAAGGTTGCATGTGTATGTCGACAAGAAGTCTCTCATAGACCAAACTTTAGTCAGGCTCCTCTGAGCTCTCTTTTTGACTAGGCCTTATTCTTGGCCTGCTGTGCTCAGCAGTAGCAATAATTCCTCTGAGTCCAGTGTAACAAAGATCCTGCCAATACCCTTTAGCAAGAATTCCTCTCACACTTGATAACTAAACACTTCCCCCTTATTAATTTTCTGTCTGTTGAGTCCCTCATTCTACCTGTTGGCTAGAAATCCCCAGTGAACCCTGCTTTATTTGTAGTTGAGATGAGTCCCACACTGAAGTCTCTCTGCCCTACTGCAGTAGTCAAAATAAAATCTGTCTTGACCTTTTTTACAATTGTCCAGTTCAATTTTTTCAACTATGTCTGTGTGTGTATATATTGAATCAGATATTTATTCTTCTCAGGATTATCTGAGATTTTTGGATTTGTTTTATATCTTTGATTTTTTTTTAAAAAATTCATGACCATTATCTTCTCAAATATTTCTTCTCTGCATTCTCTCTTTATGTTCTACTCTGGAATTCAAATTACATGTGTGTTTGACTATTTGCTATTGTCCTAAAGATCATTGATATTCTCTTTCGTATACTTTTTTCTCCTTTTGATTCAACTTGGATAGTTTCTATTGATCTGGCTTCACATTCTGTGATTCTTTTCTGTGTTGACTGATAATGAGACTGTCAAAGCATTCTTCATTGGTCATTCCCCCCCTGCTAAAATTTATGCTATACTCTTTCTAACAGTTTCTACCTTCTCCCTAAATTTCTTTTCAAGAGCATAACATCTGTTCATTTATCTTTTCTACCTTTTCCACAAGAGACTTTTACATACTAATCAAAGTTATCTTAAATTCACTTTGTGATAAACCCAACATTTTTATCCTCTCTAAGTATAGTTCTGTTGATGGCCTTGTCTCTTCAGAGTGCTCTTTTCTCCTGTTTGTCACATATTATTTGTTTGAATGCCAGGTGCTGTGTCTGGAGTAGTACAGAACGAGATAAATAATGTGTTTTCCTGGAATTGGTATATATCTTCCAATTTTAGTTGGTTAGCGTAGAGATTTGAATCCATTTAGTCAGGAATTGGCTTGAGTTTGAATCTCATTGTTGCTCTGGTTACTTTCAGTGCCCAGGGACTTCAAATGTATCTAATATTCCTTGTTATTCCTGTAATGTTACCTTGTGCTTAGGATGATGACAGATTTTCTCAATGCCCTTGTTTTATTCTCAACATTTGGCCTTCTCTGTGTGCCTGCAACACTTAGAAGTTCTCTCACCAAGTTTCGCCTTTCCCCCAGGAGTAGAGAGCTGTTGCTTGTTATTTGATTCTTGTTAACCTGGTGGTGGAAGGGAAAGAGAGATTTCTCTTGTCCTGATCCAGCCTCAATCTTAGTCAAAACTTATGTGCCTGCTCTTATGATTGAGATTTTCTAGTTATCCTGGTCCTTCGTCTCATGACAACCAAACTCTTTCTGCAATTTAGGCAGGACTTATGTGGGAAAATATTTTCTACCTCTTCCCTAGCCTTAAGAGACCTCTGCTGCAATTGGAATAGAATCCTGGACGTTAAACTGTTTAATATTCCTCCCCCAGAGTTGAAGAATTTTTTTTAACACTCTTCCCACAGTCAAAATGGATCTTTACCTGCTCATGGGGGTAATGGAATTTTCTACTTCTCAGAAAATCAGGAACTCCTGTTCTACAGGGAAGAAGGAGCAGCAGGGCTTCTTTCCCTTTTTGCAGTGGTGGCCACTTCTCTCCTCCAAGGGTACAGCAACAGGGAGAGCTATCTTTAATCAATCTCTTACTCTTCACCATCCTGCTCCTTAAAACCCAGTGAAGGACCATGAAGAAGAGACCATAGAGGGTACATTCTCCTATTTTGCCTGTAATTTCTGGAGATCTATTCTCTGATGGAAGCCCAGACTTGATTAATATTAATTTGTTACCAAATTGGTTTGAATTCTCACCTGCCTTTATAGTCTCAGCTGCTCTTCTGTCAGTGCTCTGTCACAGGTGAGCCAATGCTAATACATAGTCTGTCTTTGAGGAGCTACTTTTTTGGATATTTTGGATACTTGGTTTCTTGTAAACCTTAAATCTCAGAGAGCTTTCAGAAAATTTGTGATTCTCAGGTTTATTTATTCTTATTGTTAGCATGAACATGATGTTTTTTCAAGCTTTCTACATTCAAGGGAAAAACCCAACTCTCTGTTTATATATAAACACATAGAGAAACACACATACGCAGACACACACATACTATTTTCTAAAATTCTGTGAACAATGCATATTATTTTAGCAATAGGAAAAATAGATAAATACAATAATTTTTCTAGAATGCTAAATAACATGGAATACATTTCTAGTACTTTTATATTTAAAAATCATCTCATCTCTTTGATTTTTCTATATGAGTAATGCAGACAAAAATACAAACCTTAATATTCATTCCTCAGATTTCTTTGAGATATTAAAATCAAAGGAAGAATTAATAATAATAGCACTGTAGAAAGAGAAAGAAAAGAAGAAAACTGTTTCCCTTTTAGCAAAATATTCTATTTTGGTTTTCAATATTTGCTCTCTCAGATTTTTTTTTTGTTTTTCTTCAAACTGGTTTGAGAGGCTTGAAATTCACAGTTAGGAATATCTGTCAAATAATTAAAACCAAGAATAATGTGTCACTAATTTTACAGTGTTTCAATTAGTAAATTTAAGACTATCTCTAGTTAATTATACAGGGCATATAAATTATGTAGCACTTTACAAAACGGTAGAAATCAGTACAATATCAGATGCTGGCAGAAGGACATAGTGCATTGAATTTTCTTTAATAGTTTGATGGGAATACAGTGCTTTAAAATTCAAGAAAAATAATTCTCAATGTAAAAGCAAAATAATTTGTAAAATGATTAATTTATAATGGAATTTATAGTTTGCATATATCAACCATAAAATAATAATCACTAGAACTAAAAACAACTTCATAATTAATGTATAAATTTTTTAGGCAAAAGAATACTGATCAGTAAAGAAATTTGCTATGTAGTTTGTATGAAAAAAGAGGAATTTTAATTACTAAAAACGCAGTAGGCTTCATGGTGGTAATGCTGATTGAGAATTAAAAGCTAACTTTTTTTTTTTTTGACAGAGTCTCACTCTGTCATCCAGGCTGGAGTGCAGTGGCCCTGTCTCAGCTCACTGCAACCTCTACCTCCTGAGTTCAAGGGATTCTCATGCCTCAGCCTCCAGAATAGCTTGGATTACAGGTGGACCTCACACCCAGCCAATTTTTGTATTTTTAGTAGGGATGGAGTTTCACCATGTTGGTTAGGCTGGTCTTGAACTCCTGACCTCAGGTCATCTGCCCACCTCAGCCTCCCAGAAAGGTTGGGATTACAGGCGTGAGCCACTATACCTGGCCAAAAACTAACATTCTTAATAGAATGAGATGAGTCTATATGTCTGTCCATAGTTGGTGAAATATGTTCCATTATTCATTGGTCAGAATAGGGTTTTCATTTCATTAAGTTGAGGATGTCAAGATCACCAAAATTTCATGAATCTTTATTAGCTTGAGCTTCTTCAAGCCAATTATAATAAAACAAACCATCACTTTTATCTCTACTAGGCAACTGATGCTAAAATTGAACATTTTCCTTGTGCATATGAGGTTACCTGTTCAACTTTCAAGAAGCCTTCATACAATCAGCAGCAACACAACCACTGTGTACTTATTACAGAAAGAATTACACTTAAGTTTAGAAAATTCAAAACTAAAAAGAAAAGATTCTTTAAAAGGAATGCAATTAGAAATAACTATATAACATAAATTTCATGACGAGTAGACATTTTATATTTTACTTCTAATTACATAAATTTATCTACCAACTGATTATAAAAGGTAAATATGTCAGATTGATACTACCATACATTGTGTTCAGTGGATGCTCCAGTACTCCTAATACAGAAGGTTTTAAAATTAGGATTCTGATAAAAGGAGGGGCTTAAGTTGCATTTATAAATGAATATTCTATTCTTGTTTAGATTTTATGTTAATTTTATATGGCTGATAGAAATGGCAATTTTTATAGGTTTTGGAAATAGCAATTATTTTTATGTGTTTTTTTTTTTTAATGAAGGCGGGTGGTTGGCATTATTGTAAATTCCAAAAGCTAGCTTCTGATCACAAATTGTTACATTTTAACCATCTGGAGTAAAACAAAGAATTTGGATACTCTGTGCACATTTTGTTTTCTCTGATTTGTGTCTTGGATTATTGTTCAAACATTTTATTCTACAACTCTACTAATGGGAAGAGAAAAATGTAGAATATCTGAATGTGTGAATCATGTGTTTTATGATGCAGAGAAGCAGTGGAGTTAGGAGATTCAGGAGGTTGGACAATGTTAATGAGAATTTTTATTGAAAAAGACTGAATTATGTATACATGTGCCATGTTGGTGTGCTGCGCCCATTAACTTGTCATTTAACATTAGGTATATATGTAACTAACCTGCACGTTGTGCACATGTACCCTAAAACTTAAAGTATAATTTAAAAAAAAAGAAAAAGACTGAATTATTGGCTGGCAACATTTGACGAATGAGGATAAAATCTTAATACCTGGCCAGGCGCGGTGGCTCACGCCTGTAATCCCAGCACTTTGGGAGGCCGAGGCGGGCGGATCACGAGGTCAGGAGATCGAGACCATCCCGGCTAAAACGGTGAAACCCCGTCTCTACTAAAAATACAAAAAATTAGCCAGGCGTAGTGGCGGGCGCCTGTAGTCCCAGCTACTTGGGAGGCTGAGGCAGGAGAATGGCGTGAACCCAGGAGGCGGAGCTTGCAGTGAGCCGAGATCCTGCCACTGCACTCCAGCCTGGGCGACAGAGCGAGACTCCGTCTCAAAAAAAAAAAAAAAAAAAAAAAAAATCTTAATACCTTCATGCTCCTTGAGAACAAAGAGGTCTAAAATGAAAGATTCCATGAATCCTAATTTGGAGAATTAAGGAATTGATGGTTAATTTTACATTTCAATTCTACTGGGGCATGAGGTACCCAGACTTTTGGTGAAAGATTATTCTGAATATGTCTTTGAGGGTGTTTCTGAATGAGATTAACATCTGAATCAGAAGACTGTGTAAAGGAGATGGGATGGTCTCTTTATGTGGACAGGTCTCATCTAATCAATTGTAGACATTAATAAAACAAAAACGCTGAGTAAGAGGGAACTTCCCCAGCCTGACTACTTGAGCAAGGACACAAGTCTTCTGCCCTCAGACTGGAACTTACACCATCAGCTTTCCTGGTTTTCAGGCCTTTGATCCCAGGCTGGGACCATGTCATCAGCTCTCCAGGGCCTACAGCTTGACAATTACAGGATTTGGGATGTCTCAGACTCTATAACCGCATGAGCCAATTTCTTATAATCTCTGTGTGTGTGTACGTGTGTGTGTGTGTGTGTGTATAAATATAATATCAATAAAAAATAATAGAATATTAATGTTATCTTAGAATATTTTAACAGAACATATAGAGCATATATATATATTCTATTAATTTTGTTTCTTTGGAGAACTTTAATTAGTATAAATTTTGGTATCAAGAGCAGTTCTAGAGGTTAAAGTGAGGGTGTTGATTGGGAAGCAATGGGGTCCTGAAAGTGGAAAAAGAGATGTGTGTGAAGACTGTGATGAAGCTGGAGATCTTGAACCCCTAAATTCTGATGGGTCTTTTTTGTTAGTGGTAGAGACGCCCCTATTCCCAGTGTGAGTGACTTCTACAACCCCAGAGGAGCAGATTCTCCACTCCCAATGACAGCAGTCTTTCCATCCCTAACTGTGGAATTAACTGTGCCTGAAGAAACTGTGTAATTATTTCCATTGAGATAGTTGCCATGAAAGACAATGCTGAGTCTTCTCTGGATCCACTCCCACTACCTTTCTTTGCTTCTATACACCTATCTAGATTCAAATCTAATTAGGCTCCCAAAGGTGAGGCACAAAGTGTGACCCATAAGGAATTTTGCTACACTCCAAAAAAACCTACTTTGTTTTCTAATTTATACAAATAGAAATTCAGGGAATATGTGTGCAAATAAAGATTAAGGATGTGGGATAATAGTGGGAGGAACATAAAATTGGATCAGGTAAGTGTATTAATTTGGGTCCACCAAGCAGAGATTCTGAATTTAATGTTCCATCACAGGGAGTTAAAAAGAGCTCTAACAGTTTGGTTGTTTGGTTGGCTGAAATATGGACCAACAAGGAAGACTATAGGGAGCATATTGGAAATGTCAGCCCTGCCTTAGTGTAATGTAGAGGAAAGGATTCAAGGCTTGGGGATGTTGAAAAGTCAGAGTGGATTTTTCATTTAATGCATATTTACTTATACTGAAAGAGCTGTAAAGATATATCTTTCATCAATACTGTGAGAAATATATTTACACAGGGAGGTCTGGCATCCTTGAAGAGCTCAATAATGGCCCTTTTTTTAGGCCAGATCATACAGCTGCAACTGCATTTACTGAATGCATAAACTTGAGTTCAATGGGAATAATTGGATCTTGGGATGGCCGGGGTCAAGTTGTGACACTCAACTACCAAAAGCAAGGTGGCTGTAATTACTGTAATGAGCAAAAGAGTCGAAGCAGCAATCAGAATACTCTGACTTGTGCAGACTTATGGAACTGACTCCTTGATCAGGGTTTCTGGAAATAAAATAGATAAGAAGCCTACCAGATAATTACTTGGCCTATATAAGCAGAATAGTTGTAAGTCAAGTGAACAATAGTCTAACCTCAATAAAAACAACAACAACAAAAAGCAAAACAAGAGTCATGACCCCTCAATCAATTCCTAGACTTGAAATAGTTTACAGACCTCAGAACATTTTGAATGAAAGGGTGGCCAGTTCCCCTTGAGGAAGGACCCAAGTACACTGCCAAAAAAGTATACTGGTAATCTTTCTTTCAGCTTTATCCAAAGGGACCTATGGTCTTTTAACAGGCATTTATGTCCATTGTCTGTTGCTTATAACAGAATACCTAAAACTAGTTAATTTATAAAGGAAATACATTTATTTTTAAAATTATAGATGCTGAGAAGTCTAAAGTCAAGGGGCCCGTATTAGTCAGGGTTCCCTTAAAGGGACAGAACTAATAGGATAGATACCTATATATATAAAGGGGAGTTTGTTATGTATTAACTTACATGATTACAAGGTCCCGCAATAGGCTTTCTGCAAGCTGAGAAGCAAGGAGAGCCAGTCCGAGTTCCAAAACTGAAAAACTTGGAGTCCAGTGTTCGAGGGCAGGAAGCATGCAGCATAAGAGAAAGATGTAGGCTGGGAGACTAGGCTCGTCTCTCCTTTTCACGTTTTTCTGCCTGCTTTCTATTCACTGGCAGCTGATTAGATTGTGCCAAGATTAAGGGTGGATCTGCCTTCCCCAGCCCACTGACTCAAATGTTAATCTCTTTTGGCAACACCCTCACAAACACACTCAGGATTAATGCTTTGTATCCTACAATACAATCAAGTTAACACTCAGTATTAACCTTCACATGGTCATATTTGGTGAGGAACTTCTTGCTGGTGGAGACCCTCGGCAGAGTCCCAAGGTGTCACAGGGCATCACATGGTGATGGGGCTGAGTGTGTTAGCTCAGTTTTCTTTTTTTCTTTTAATAAAACCACTAGTTTCACCTCCAAGATAACTCACTAATCCATTAACCCAATAGTTCATTAATCTATGGATAGATCAATTCATTCATGAGAGCAAAGCCCTCATGACCCAATCACTTTTTAATTTTATATTATTTATTTATTTATTTATTTATTTATTTATTTATTTATTTATTTTTTGAGATGCAGTCTCGCTCTTGTTGCCTAGGCTGGAGTGCAATGGCATGATCTTGGCTCACCACAACCTCCGCCTCCTGGTTTCAGTGATTCTCCTGCCTCAGCCTTCTGAGTAGCTGGGATTACAAGCATGTGCCACTGTGAACAGTTAATTTTGTATTTTTAGTAGAGATGGGGTGTCTCCATGTTGGTCAGGCTGGTCTTGAACTCCTGACCTCAGGTGATCCACCCACCTCTGCCTCCCAATGTGCTGGGATTACAGGCATAAGTCACTGTGCCCGGCCATCCCAGTCACTTTTTGAGAGTTCCAACTCTCAGTAGTGTCACATTGGAAATTAAATTTCAATGAGTTTTGGAAAGGACAAATGTGGAATGAGGGCAACTATGGTGGGAAAGACAAAGTGGAAGCCACTAGAATTATCTGTATTAAAAAAAAAAGTAAGCAAAACAATACCACATTGCTGGAAAGATTACAGAGATTAGTGTCATCATCAAAGACTTGACAGATGCAGGGATGGTGATTCCCAGCATAATTTCACTCAACTAACGTATTTAGCCTACGCAGAAGATAGGTGGATCTTGGAGAATGATAGTGAATCATTGTAAGCTTAACCCATTCCTGGTGACTTTAATTGTAACTAGTGTACTATATGTGGTTTTATTGCTTGAACAAATTAAAACATTCTCTGGTACCTGATATACAGCTATTGATCTGACAAATATTATTTTTTTCTTTCTCTGTGCATAAGCAACACCAGAAGCAGTTTGCTTTCAGCTGTCAGAGCCAGCAATACATTTTCGTTTCTTTGCCTCAGGGATATATCAACTTTCCAGTCCTGTGTCATCACTTAGTTTGCAAGGACCTTGATCACCTTACCTTTCCACAAGATATTATACTGGCCCATTATATTAATGACATTATGCTGATTTGTCTTAGCAAGAAGTGGCAATGATTAAACTTATTGGTAAGACATTAACATATCATTGGGTGGAAAATAAATCGGAAAAGTATTTAGGGTCTTTTACCTCACTGACATTTCTAAGGTTCCATTGGTATAGAGAATGCTAAGATACCCTTCCATGGTGAAGAATGTATCTGTATCTGGCCCATCCCATGATAAAAAATGAGTCACAATGCCACGTGGCCCTATTTGGATTTTGGTGGCAATATCTTGGTACTTTACTTCAGCTCATTTGCTGAGTGACTCAAAAGGTGCTAATTTTGAGTGAGGTTTTGAGCAAGATAAAGCTTTACAACAATTCCAGGCTGCTGTGCAAGCTGCCCTGCCACTTGGGCCATGTGACCCTGTAGATCCAATGCTGCTTGAAGTTCCAGTCACAGATATGGATGCTATTTGGAGCCAAGCCTCACCATTCTCTGCAGAAAACTACTCTTTTGAGAAACAGCTTATTACCTGCTAGTAAGGTTTGGTAAAAAGTAAATGCTTAAAGATGGGTCACCAAGTTACTATGAGACCTGAGTTTCCCATTATAAACTAGGTGTTATCTGACCCACTGTGATGGTTAATTTTAGGTGCTAACTTGACTGGATTAAAGAATATCTAGAGAACTGGTAAACATTACTTTCATTGTGTCTATGAGGGACTTTCCAGAGAAGATTGGCAGATGTCAGTAGACTGAAAGGAGAAGATCTGCCTTCAATTCAGGCAGGTACCATCCAAACAGCTGGGGGCCCAGTTAGAACAAAAAGAAAGGAGAGAAAAGGATTTCCTCTCTGTCAATTCTGGAGCTGGGCACTCTCCCCATCCTCCTGTCCTTGGAAATTAAAAATTTAGGCTCTCCCATCTTGGAACTTCTGGACTTACACCAGTTCTCTCCCCCTGGATTATCAGATATCTGGCTTCAAACTGAGAATTACATCATTAACTTTCATCCTTTGAGGCTTTTATACTTAAACTGAGCCACACTACTAGCATCCCAGGGTCTCCAGCTTATAGAAAGCCTGTCATGGTGGGACTTCTCTGCCAGCCTTCTAGCAGCATGGGACTTCTGTTAGCCAGCATAATTGCATGAGCCAATTGCACTAATAAATCATCTTTCACGTATGTTTGTATGTATGTATGTATATATGTATGTATGTGTGTATCTACCATCTATCTATCATCTATATACATATCTCTCCAGCTATCTATCTTATTGGTTCTGTCTCACTGGAGAGCCCTAAGACCTAAGCCATAAAGTTGAGCGTGCATGTCAGGACTCCATCATGAAATAGAAGGCATATATACATGATCAGGCCCAAAGAAATCCTGAAGGCTCAAATAAGTTACAGGAAGTTGCCCAAATGTCCATGGTTCCCACTTCTGCTACATTGTCTTCTCTCTCCCAGCGTGAACCTATGGGCTCATGAGAAGTTCTTTATGATCAGCTGAAAGAGGAAGAAAAGACTCAGGCCTGGTTTACAGATGGGTCAGTATTACAGACAGACATTACCGAAAAGTGGACATCTGCTGTACTATAGCTTCCTTCTGGGACATCCCTAAAGGACAGTGGAGATAAGAAATCCTCCTAGTGGGCATAACCATGAGCAGAGCACCTGGTTGTTCACTTTGCTTGAAATGAGCATTAGCCAGACATGCAATTATATAATGATTCATGGGCTGTGGTTGATAATTTGGCTGGATGGCCAGAGGTTTGAAAGGAACATTATTGGAAAATTTATGATAATTTACTCAATTCCTGGAGGAAAAGATATGTGGACAGACCTTTCTAAATGGGCAAAACAATGTGAAGATATATGCATCTCATGTGAATGCTCACCAAAATTCTCCAGACTAGTATTTTAATAATCAAGTGGATAGAATGAACCATTGTGTGGATACCAGTTAGCCTCTTTCCCTAGCCACCCCTATTATCACCCATTGGGCTCATAAAAAAAGTGGACATGGTAGCACAGATGAAGGTTATTTATAAGCTCAGCAACATGGACCTCTATTTACTAAGGTATACCTAGCTATAGCAACAGCTGAGTGTTCATTCTGTCAGGAGCAGAGACATGCAGCACTGAGTTCCTGTTACTTGGGGTAATAAGCCAACTACTTGGCTTATTTAATTACATTGGACTGCTTCTATCATGGAAGGGGCAGTGCTTTATTTTTACTGGAATAGACACCCTGAATACAAGATTACCCTCTATATATGCAATGGTGCTGTCAAAAATACCTATATACTTACAGAATGCATCATCCACTATCATGATATTCCACACAGTGTTTCTTCTGATCAATGGAACTCACTTCACTGGAAATGAAGTGTAGCAGTAGACTAATGTACAGATAATTAACTGATCTTACCATGTTTCTCACCATTCATAAAAAGTTGGCTTGATAGTATAGTGGAATGTCCTCTTGAATGCTCAGTTACATTGCAAGCTACATGGAAATACCTTTCAGAGCTGGAACAACATTCTTCAGAAAGCTGCATATGTTCTAATCAGTACTAATATATGGTACTGTTTGTCCAATAGCCAGGATTCATGGGTTCAGGAATCAAGGGGTGAAAATGGGAGTGGCAACACTGACTATTATCCCTAGTGACCTACTATCAAAATTTTTACTTCTGGTTTTCATGAACTTAGGTTCTACTGGCATAGAGGTCTTAGGAAGTTCTAAAGGAAGAACTGTTACCACCTGGAGAAACAATAATGATTCATTTCAACTGGACATTAAGACTACTCCTGGCCACTTTGGAGTCCTCATGACTCTAAATCAACAAGTAAAGAAAGGAGTAACTGTGCTGGCTGCAGTGATTGATCTTGACTACCGCGGGAAAATTGGACTACTATTCTGCAGTGGAAGGAAATACAACAATGTCTGGAATACAAGAGATCCTTTAGGGCATCTCTCAGTATTACAAAGACTTGTGATTAAGGTCAATGGCAAATGACAACAACCCAATCCAATACCAGTACCAGGTAGTGGCACTAATAGCTCAGACCCTTCATGTCTGAAGATTTGGGTCAGCCAAACAGATAAAACACACACACACACACATACACACACACACAACCAACTAACATTCTTGGTAAAGGCAAAGGGAATACAGAATGAACAGTGGGAAAATGTCATTATAAATACTAGCTGTGACCATGTAGCCACTTACAGAAACATGAATGATAACTACCAAGAATGTTTCATAATTGTTTTGTGATGGATTTGTGTGTGTGTGTGTGTGTGTGTGTGTGTGTGTGTGTGTGTGTGTATAATCTTTGGGATCTTTTCTCTCTTTTCTTACCATATAACATAATGTGTATTTGCTTTATATCATAATTACTTTACATTATAATATTTAAGTTATGGGTCATCAAAGAGAAGAACAGAAAAGTAAACATCATTCAGGACTTTACTTCCTCTTCTGGGGAAAGGGTGAGTGTGCTTTGGGTCATACACAGAATAGTTGCATAATACTTAGTGAAATTATGACCTCGCTATTGTCTTTACTTGTAGACTAACTATGGTTGAAGGAGATGTGTATGAGTGCCAAATTAACATGGTGATTATTAACTTGTGATTATCAATTTTATTTATCAATTTGACTGTGCTATGTGGTATTCAAACATTTAGTCAAACACTATTCTCAATACATCTGAGAGGGTGTTCTGCATGAGATTAATATTTGAATTGGTAGATATAGTAAAGCAGATTGCCCTCCCTAATGTAAGTGGGCCTCATCTAATCAGTTCAAGACCTGAATGTTTTTAAAAGACTGAGGAAGAGGGAACTTCTTTAGCCTAACTGTTAGAAGTAGGATATGATTCTTCTCCTGCCCTCAAGCTTGAACATACACTATTGGGTGTCCGGATTCTCAGGCCCTTGGACTCATAAAAACTACATATCTCCTCTCCTGCATTTCCAGCTTGCCAACTGAAGATCATGAGAATGTTCAGCCTGTATAATTGTATGAGCAAATTCCTTATATCTCAGTCTTTCTCTGTCTCTCTCTGTCACACATATGTGTGCGTATGTGTGTGTGTGTGTGTGTGTGTGTGTGTACACTTATGTATCTTATTAGTTTTGTTTCTCTGGAAAACTTTGACTAATAAATTAGTACCTGATCAGTGTAGTGAATAAGCGTCTGGCTTTCATATATGTGACTGTTTTAGTTACATCTATTTCAGAATAATTTATTTTTATACTTGTTCATTATTTTGGCTGCTGTCATTCATGTACAGGAAATTAGCTCTAATTAATGTGGTATTTCATATTCCTACCCTAAGAAGAGTTATTTTCATGTTTTAAAACTGTGTGTCATTTCTGTTAAATTAAAAAAAAATCTCATTTTTATCTGTATTGATAAGCAGCCTTGAGGGAAACTAAGAAGGTTATATCTAAATATCACCACAAATTGCAAACATTTTTTCCATTTAACTGTTTGTAGTTGATTTAAAAATAACTATAGTTGGTTTTGGTTGCTGTTTTCAAAATGTAAAAAATCAGTACAACATTGAATATGCTCTTTGAAGCAAATATGTCCTATCTGGGCTTCCAGGTCTCCCATGTCACTTACCAAATGCTAATCACTGGGGTAGAATATCTCAACAGATGTAATATAGGCATTCACTGAAGTTAAATACTTCCAATTTATCTTCATTTTATTTTGTGTGCTCATAATACCCACAATTACCTGAGAGGAAACCAAATTTTCTGTGAGAAATTTCTGTTTTTCTATCCTTTTCTGGGGAGTGTATGCCATGATAGAAGAAAATATATTGTACCAAATCATTTATTGGGGCATTTCTTTAATACACATGCATAGAGTGCACAGTATGTACTAGGCATTGTTCTAGATGTGGGGACATAGTCAGTTCTTCTATTATGCTCATTTTGAAACTGAATTTCTTTTTCTGTATTAGAGAACAATTTGAGCATTATGTCAACTTTGTACTTGCTTATGCATGGTTTTGCTGGTGAGAAATATTTGGTAAATACAAAAACTGCTCTCAGCTAAACTAAGCTTTGTAGAAAAATATGCAAGTAGGCATTAAACATACATTCCTTCACAAATGTTCATGCATACCTCAAACATATACCAGCTACCTCAGGTCATGTATTAGTCTGTTTTCATGCTGTTGATAGAGACATACAAAAGACTAGGGCAATTTACAAAAGAAAGAGGTTTAATGGACTTAGAGTTCCACATGGCTGGAGTGGCCTCACAATGATGGCAGAAGGCAAGGAGGATCAAGTCACATCTTACATGGATGGCAGCAGGCAAAGAGAGAGTGCTTGTACAGAAAAACTCCCATTTTTAAAACCATCAGATCTTATGAGACCCAATTACTATCATGAAAACAGCACAAGAAAAACCTGCCCCATGATTCAATTACCTCTCACTGGGTCCCTCCCACAACACATGGGAACACAAAATGAGATTTGGGTAAAGACACAGCCAAAAAATATCATTCCGCCTCTGGCCCTTCACAAATCTCATGTCCTCACATTTCAAAACTAATCATGCCTTCCCAACAGTCCCCCAAAGTCCTAACTCATTTCAGCATTAACTCAAAAGTCCGCAAACCAAAGTCTCATCTGAGAGAAGCCAAGTCCCTTCTGCCTATGAGCTTGTAAAATCAAAAGCAAGTTAGTTACTTCCTAGATGCAATGGGAGTAAAGGTATTGGGTAAACACAGTTGTTCCAAAGGAGAGAAATTGGCCAAAACGAAGGGGCCACAGGCCCCATGCAAGTCTGAAGTCCAGCAGGGTAGTCAAATCTTAAAGCTCCAACGTGATCTCCTTTGACTCTAGGTCTCACATCCAGGTCACTCTGATGGAACAGATGGGTTCCCATGGTCGTGAGGCAGCTCTGCCCCAGTGGCTTTGGAGGGTACAGCCTCCTTCCAAGCTGCTTTCATGGGCTAGCATTGTGTCTGTGGCTTTTCCAGGTGCATGGTGCAAGCTGTCAGGGGACCTACAATTCTGAGTTCTGGAGGACGGTGGCCCTCTTCTCACAACTCCACCAGGCAGTACCCCAGTAGGGACTCTGTGTGGGGCTTCCAACCCCACGTTTCCCTTCCACACTGCCCTAGCAGAGGTTCTCCATGAGAGCCCCACCCCTGCAGCAAACTTCTGCCTGGACATCCAGGAATTTCCACACATCCTGTGAAATCTAGGCAGAGATTCCCAAACCTCAATTCTTGACTTCTGTGCACCCATAGGCTCAACACCACATGGAAGCTGCCAAGGCCTAGGGCTTCCACCTTCTGAAGCCATGAGCCGAGCTATACCTTGGCCCCTTTTAGTCAAGGCTGGAGCAGCTGGGCACAGGGCACCAAGTTCCTAGACTGCACACAGCATGGGGACCCTAGGACCACCCCTCAAAACCATTTTTTCCTCCTAGACCTCTGGGCCTATTAAGGGAGGGACTGCCATGAATACCTCTGACATGCCCTGCAGATATTTTTCCCATTGCCTTGGGGATTAAAATTGGGCTGCTTGTTACTTATGCAAATTTCTGCAGCCAGATTGAATTTCTGCAGCCAGATTGAATTTCTCCTCAGAAAATGGAATTTTCTTTTCTATTGCATTGTCAGTGTGCAAATTTTCCAAACTTTTATGCTGGTTCCCTTTTAAAACTGAATGGCATTACCACACCCAAGTCACCTCTTGAATACTTTGCTGCTTAGAAATTTCTTCTACCAGATACCCTAAATCATATCTCTCAAGTTCAAAATTTTACAAATCTCTATGGCAGGGGCAAAATGCCACCAATATCTTTGCTAAGACATAACAAGAGTCAACTTTGCTCCAGTTCCCAAAAAGTTTCTCATCTCCATCTGAGACCACCTCAGCCTAGAACTTACTGTTTATATAACTATCATCATTTTTGTCAAAGCCATTCAACACATCTCTAGGAAGTTCCAAACTTTCCCACATTTTCCTGTCTTCTTCTGAGCCCCCCAACTGTTCCAACCTTTGCCTGTTACCCAGTTCCAAAGTTGCTTCCACATTTTTGTGTACCTTTTCAGCAGCACCCCACTCGTGGTACCAATTTACTGTATTAGTTTATTTTCTGTTGCTGATAAAGACATACCTGAGACTGGGCAATTTACAAAAAAAAAAAAAAAAAGGTTTAATGGACTTACAGTTCCACATGGCTGGAGAGGCCTCACAATCATTGTGGAAGGCAAGGAGGAGCAAGTCGTGTCTTACATGTATGCAAAGAGAGAGAGATTGTGCAGAAAACCTCTCACTTTTAGAACCATCAGATCTCATGAGACCCATTCACTATCACAGGAACAGGATGGGAAAGACCTGCCCCTATGATTTCATTACTTACCACCGGGTCCCTCCCAAACACGTAGGAATTCTAAATGAGATTTGGGTGAGGACACAGCCAAACCATATCAGACACCAAGTGTGTTATGAGCCACACTCATCTACATCTGATGTTACAACTTGCCATCACAATAATGCATCTCCTGCAATCCTTCTAAAGCTGACTTACACAAGCAAACATTAGTTCTCTTCAAGGTAATGTGCCATATTTGTTGTTGTTTATATATTTCTTAGCCATTTAACATGTATAAATATGTAGGTTTTAAAAAACACATCACTGACACAGATTTTGAGTGTTATGTCCCTAACCCCATTTTCCCCACACACTCTGTGATTTTTATTGTACAATTTAGCATAGTGGGGTAACTTTTAAGAATAAATATGCCATATTATAGCAGAAATGGCTGTACATTAGTAAGCAAAAAAAAAAATTTGCCCTTATGGAACTTATATTCTAACAGGAGGGAGAGAGAAAATAAAGACTATATAACTGTAAATTATATAGTATCTCAAAAGCTGAGAAATGCTCTGAAGGACAATAACAAAGGAGAAAGTAAAATAGTAAGGGAGAAAGAAATCACTAGAGGTGAAATTTGCAGCAATTTAAACATAGGGTGATAAGTCTTGGACTCACTGAGCAGGTAATACATAAAAATTTGAAAAAGATAAGATTTTACAAAAGTATGCTTTTTCAAAATTTAAACATGACTTCATACAAATAGAAAATGTGCCTGTACCAATAATTTTATTTTAATCATTACTAGAATAATCAATAAGGTGAGTGCATGAAAGATCATTTTAGGAGCTTAAAATTACATACACGATGTAGTAAATAATGTCAGAATAAGTTTGCAAGGTTAGATACAAAACTGTTTAATATTTTCTCCACTATAAACCATAATCTGCAAGGCTTTCTTTTCTATTGAAAAGAAATTATGTGCACCAATTAGTGGTCAAAATATGCAAGTCAATATGTAACACTGCTAAATCTGTCACCTTTATTAGTCCATAGTCAATAATCAATAACACACATTGACTCAAACAAATTGCATTCCTCTGAATAATCATTGGGTTCACCTGTTATACATTGCCCCCAGATAACATTGAAAGTATATATATATTGTACTTTGTTTTTCCTTATTCTACGTTTTAGATAGCTTTTCCTAAGAAGGTAAGCCATGTGGATATTTTTGGACACCGCTTTGAGTCAGAAGAAACCACCAAAGCCTTTAAGCCGTAGTTTTCTCGACAGTTCTGTAATATACAAGTAATCTCCTGTGACTGGAAGAAAGTAAGTGAGGCGAAATAAGACTTTGTAAGACCTTTAAGGAATTTGAGTTTTAGATTGAATAAAATAGAGAGCCACTGGAAAAAAAAACTGAGCAGAGCAAAGGCATCATCTGATATTTAACTTTAAAAGCTCCCTCTGTCCTTTGTATTGAGAATACATATAGCGGTTTGGTGGGAGCAAGGAAACCCACAGGTGGTTAGTGCAATACTCCAGGCTTGGGGCTTGGACCAATAGGGGATAGTCCATGGAAGTAACGTGCACAGTTATCAGAATCTGGATGTGTCTTTGATAGGAGAAGCAGGGTTTTCTAAATAATTGCAGTTGGATTGTAACAAAAACATCTGAATTTAAAACAACTAGAAGAGATGGAGTTGTCATAAACTGAGAAGTCTGTCGGTGGCAGAGGTTTCGAGGGCAAGAAAAATATGGTGATGGCCAGAACTTCCAACACTATGTTGAATAGGAGTGGTGAGCGAGGGCATCCCTGTCTTGTGCCAGTTTTCAAAGGAAATGCTTCCATTTTTTGCCCATTCAGTATGATATTGGCTGTGGGTTTGTCATAAATAGCTCTTATTATTTTGAGATACGTCCCATCAATACCTAATTTATTGAGTTTTTAGCATGAAGGCTGTTGAATTTTGTCAGAGGCCTTTTCTGCATCTATTGAGATAATCATGTGGTTTTTGTCTTTGGTTCTGTTTATATGCTGGATTACGTTTATTGATATGCATATGTTGAACCAGCCTTGCATCCCAGGGAAATTCTGGCCAGGGCAATCAGGCAGGAGAAAGAAATAAAGGGTATTCAATTAGGAAAAGAGGAAGTGAAATTGCCCCTGTTTGCAGATGACATGATCGTATATTTAGAAAACCCCATCATCTCAGCCCCAAATCTCCTTAAGCTGATAAGCAACTTCAGCAAAGTCTCAGGACACAAAATTAATGTGGAAAAATCACAAGTATTCTTATACACTAATAACAGACAAACAGAGAGCCAAATCATGAGTGAACTCCCATTCAAAATTGCTTCAAAGAGAATAAAATACCTAGGAATCCAACTTACAAGGGATGTGAAGGACCTCTTCAAGGAGAACTACAAACCACTGCTCAAGGAAATAAAGGAGGACACAAACAAATGGAAGAACATTCCATGCTCATGGATAGGAAGAATCAATATCGTGAAAATGGCCATACTGCCCAAGGGAATTTATAGATTCAATGTCATCCCCATCAAGCTACCAATGACTTTCTTCACAGAATTGGAAAAAACTAAATTTCACATGGAACAAAAAAAGCCTGCATTGACAAGATAATCCTAAGCCAAAAGAACAAAGCTGGAGGCATCACGCTACCTGACTTCAAACAATACTACAAGGCTACAGTAACCAAAACAGCATGGTACTGGTACCAAAACAGAGATATAGATCAATGGAACAGAACAGAGCCCTCAGAAATAACGCCGCATATCTACAACTATCTGATCTTTGACAAACCTCAGAAAAACAAGCAATGGGAAAAGGATTCCCTATTTAATAAATGGTGCTGGGAAAACTGGCTGGCCATACGTAGAAAGCTGAAAATGGATCCCTTCCTTACACCTTATACAAAAATTAATTCAAGATGGATTAAAGACTTAAATGTTAGACCTAAAACCGTAAAAACCCTAGAAGAAAACCTAGGCATTACCATTCAGGACATAGACATGGGCAAGGACTTCATGTCTAAAACACCAAAAGCAATGGCAACCAAAGCCAAAATTGACAAATGGGATCTAACTAAACTAAAGAGCTTCTGCACAGCAAAAGAAACTACCATCAGAGTGAACAGGCAAGCTACAAAATGGGAGAAAATTTTCACAACCTACTCATCTGACAAAGGGCTAATATCCAGAATCTACAAAGAACTCAAACAAGTTTACAAGAAAAAAACAAACAACCCCATCAAAAAGTGGGCGAGGGACTTGAACAGACACTTCTCAAAAGAAGACATTTATGCAGCCAAAAAACACATGAAAAAATGCTCACCATCACTGGCCATCAGAGAAATGCAAATCAAAACCACAATGAGATACCATGTCACACCAGTTAGAATGGCAATCATTAAAAAGTCAGGAAACAACAGGTGCTGGAGAGGATGTGGAGAAATAGGAACACTTTTACACTGTTGGTGGGACTGTAAACTAGTTCAACCATTGTGGAAGACAGTGTGGTGATTCCTCAAGGATCTAGAACTAGAAATACCATCTGACCCAGCCATCCCATTATTGGGTATATACCCAAAGGATTATAAATCATGCTGCTATAAACACACATGCACACGTATGTTTATTGAGGCACTACTCACAAAGCAAAGACTTGGAACCAATCCAAATGTCCATCAATGATAGACTGGATTAAGAAAATGTGGCACATATACACCACAGAATACTATGCAGCCATAAAAAAGGATGAGTTCATGTCCTTTGTAGGGACATGGATGAAGCTGGAAACCATATTTCTCAGCAAACTATCACAAGCACCAAAAACCAAACACCGCATGTTCTCACTCATAGGTGGGAAATGAACCATGAGAACACTTGGACACAGGAAGGGGAACATCACACACTGGGGCCTGTCGTGGAGTGGGGGGAGGGGGGAGGGATAGCATTAGGAGATATACCTAATGTAAATGATGAGTTAATATATGCAGCACTCCAACATGGCACAGGTATACATATGTAACAAACCTGCATGTTGTGCACATGTACCCTAGAACTTAAAGTATAATTAAAAAAAAATAAAAATAAAGGTACAGTGTTAGTCTGGTTCAATTTGAATTGTGTCTTGGCTCAATTTCTTAGCCAAAAGCGTTGGTCTTTAACTTAGACTGAAGAAATGGAAGCATCTTTGTGAAAAAGAAATATATATTTTTCTTAATGTCAGGTCTTCATGGAAGCAAAATTTTCAGGCTTACTTTAGTCATTTTTTTCTTCTTAATATAGATGCCTAGACTAATTGCTCATAAACAAAGACTATACTAGCTACTTACTGTAACAAAAAAGTGAAAACAGTTATGAAGTAAAGAAAAACTAAAAATTTGAAAAGGTGTTACATATTATCTTGGAATAAACCTTTAATATGTAATATTGGGAAGTTGTGAATTATGAGTATACTAGTTCAGATGTAAGTGAAAATGCTGGTTTGAAATCTGGCCTCTCCTAAGCAAAAGTTACTCAGGTTGATAAAATATTTTACCTAGTCTAACTGCAGTACAATTTAAACTAGTTGTTAAGGAATCAAGGTTGAATAATTACTTTTCCATGTTTTCACATATACATTGTATGGAATTACTATGATCTACCTGTAACTTTCTATATTTATTTGAATCATGGACATCTTTCCAACTGTTTAAAAATTTAAGCTGTTGAGAATTCCCTATGCTACTGTAACATCATAGGAAATACTTTTCAAAATTTTAGAAAAATAAACAATGTCAATTATTTTTGTTATTGCCGTTGTTATTTTCAAATTCAAATCCTCAAATGTTTTGATTCTTTTATTTACAGAGATATAATATTTCAACTTTTAAAGGGGATAAAATTTTTAAATTAGTAAGTATTATAAAAGTAAACTAGAAGTCAGAAGAAAATAATCATGTGTATAATAATATTGTATTTTCTATTTTTCTGTAAAAAGTTATATTTGTATCCAGGCATCATATAGAACATGGTTAAAGATAATAATTCAAAAATTAAATATACACATTTAAAATAATTTTTAGACATTTTCTTCATGTAGCTAATGACTTAGATTCAAGAAGCATAAGTCAAATGTTTTAATAATAAAAATAAACTGTTTCATATAAAATTATATATTTAGTTTATTTACATTCTTCTTTAATTCCATTTTTGGTGTTTTAGAGGATAAGCGACAAAGAATTCTTGATGTCATATATGTATCACATGTCAAGGTATTTTAAGAAACTTTTGGGATTTAGGGAGAAAGAATATTTTGTCAATCACAAAATAACTGAAGAGATAGTCTTTTTGTTGCTACTATTTGTTTTTAAATACTTTTAAAAATAATTCTGGCTATAAATGTAAAATTTACTGTTTCCTTATTTGGCTCAAATCTCAAGTTGATTGTATGTCTGTACATGAATGGGTTTATAACATTAGTTAAACTGAAAATATATCTCCTCTGGATTGTTTTGCTATTCCTTCTTTTTATTTATGTATTTATTCCTAGTTGGTTTTAGTTGTTCTTTGCAAGATAAGATGTACAATTTACCATTTATATGTTACTAATTAACAAAATAAAATAAAATATCTCCGGGTGAATTTTGAAGTATCAATCCTGGCACAAGGAAACAGGCCAAGTTTTTCTGAAACACTGTGTTTATTCTATACTGGCTATATTAAAAATACATAAATGTTAGTCATGGTGGCTCACACCTGTAGTCCCAGCTACTGGGGGTGCTAAGCCTAGAAAGATCACTTGAGCTCAACAGTTTAAGACTGCAGTGAGCCATGATCATACTAGTGCACTTCGGCCTAGGCAAAGTGAGTCCCCATCTCTATATAAAATAAATAAATAAAAATAACGCACTACTTTTTTAAAGCAATGGTGCCTTAAAGGTAGCAGAAGTTTAATCTCAGAGTGTGATTACAAATCTAATCTACATTTTAATAAGTCGAACTAGCTTAATTATTATAGACGTTGGAAAATTGCTTCTTCAGTATCTTAAACTTTATTATTATCATGGATGTTTATGATCTGGGGTATTATATTCTGCCAAATGTCACCACTATGTCTTATTTCAATTCTATATAATTAGAAAAGGGAAATGGGATTGATTTTTTAATGGAATGCTTTATATAAAAGGTAATGGGGGTAAATTTTTCCAAACATCTACTTTGATATTTTAATGTCCTAAATGTGGACATATTTTTATTTTTAAAAACTATATTATATCAAGGAACCCTGAGATAGCTTCAGGACATGCACATAAATAAAAGGGTAAAGATGTAAATATTAGGAGAAGAAGAGATAAAAGATAAACATCTGTTAGACTGGCTACATATGTGGCTCATATTTATTAATCTTTATGGTGTCTGTTTATAATGTTTGGTATGGTGAAAATAGGTGGATTATTTGTCAGAAGACAAGTTTCTGCCCCTGATCAGCCCTAGTGAGGCTTAATTAATAGCAAAAAGTCCATGTGGTATAAAGGAATGAACCTACATTTTGGAGCCATTTTTAGAGGATTTTGAAAACAGTTCTACCGTTGTCCGCCTAACCTTTGGCAAGTTAAATAAACTTTTTGAACTTCAGTATGGAGGTAAAGATGTACATTAAATATTTTGTAATTTTTAGGAATCTTTTATTTGCAAGAGACAAAATACTTAATTCAAACTACATTTAATTTTTAGAAAACACAAAAGAAGAAAGAAAGGAAGGGAGGGAGGGAGGTAGGAAGGAAGGAAGAAAGGAAGGAAGGAAGGGAAGGAAACAAGGGAGGTAGGAAGGAAAAACAGTTTATTGGTTTATGAAACTGATAGTCCTTATGCAGACTTGCCTTCAAATGTGCTTTGATCCAATAGATTCAAATGATATTAATTCAGACTCTGTTTAATCTACACTCTTGACTTTTTCAACTTTATCCTCAAACTACCTTCCCTTATGATAGCATCACGTTTTACATAGTTTTGATAGTAAGTTATGAGGAATAGAGCAATCTTCACCCTTCTTTGAGTCACAGTATTAATAATCTTACATCTTTTTACATCTAATTAAATTTGATCATCCCTCTGAAAAAAAAATCCCTCATATCCAGAAAATGGTGCAAGCTGATTGGGTTAAACTGCCTTTAGACTTATTCTTACAGTGGGAGATAAGATCAACCCTACACAAACCACATGGTTAATAATAGCAGACAACGGTTTCTCAAATAAAATTCTGTGTGGTCATCTGAAAGAAAAGAAATGAATGGGCGGGGCACGGTGGCCCACACCTGTAATCCCAGCACTTTGGGAGGCCAAGGCGGGTGGATCACGAGGTCAGGAGATAGAGACCATCCTGGCCAACATGGTGAAACCCCATCTCTACTAAAAACATACAAAAATTAGCCGGGCGTTGTGGCATGCACCTGTAGTCCCAGCTACTCAGGAGGCTGAGGCAGGAGAATCACTTGAACCCAGGAGGCGCAGGATGCAGTGAGCCAAGATTGCACCACTGCACTCCAGCCTGGGTGACAGAGCAAGACTCCATCTCAAAAAACAAAAAACAAACAAACAAACAAACAAAAAAAAAACAAAAAAGAAAGAAAGAAAAAAGAAAAGAAATGAATGTGATGAATGTGGGAGAGTGAACCCTAGACAGACCCTTCAAGGATTTCTTGTAAAAATGAAGTGTCTTAACACATGTGAGATACCTAAACCAAATTACATATTCAAGAACTGTTGAGCTATATACCTAGTTAGAGTGTATCAGTGGCTCTCTGCAATATCTTGATAATATAGTGATATGTCACAATATATCTTATATAGATACCAACATTTAAGAATAAACTGACTAGCTCACATTTATGAATTTCATTGAAAAGTCTATTCCTATTCAATGAGTTTATTCTTACAATACTAAAATTCAGGTATTTTTGTTTTTTATGGTTTTTTGCATGATAAAGACATAAAGTTAAAGCCCTGCTTAACTTACTCCAGTCTTACTCCAACATGAACACAGTATAGTATCCTATTGATTGCTGTCAAGTTTATAAATTAATCTTATAATTAATTTATAATCTTTTGTTCAGTTTGAATGTTTAGTTTTTGACTAAATCAGAGTATAATCATGACAGCGGGTCATTGGCTACTGGCATTATTCATGTGGGTCTTGGTAGAGCAAAGGGGACAACATTCTGGGCATTGTAAAAGTTATCGAAATTAAAACGAATTTATTTGTAATAAAAGCGCAGACAAACTGAGTCAGGGAAAGCCATTAAGGAAGGATTCTCATGTGCAAACACCTGATAACAAGAAATATTACAAAAAACTACAAAATTGTAAACTTGCACAAAGTCCATTGCAATCTGACACAGAAAAATACTTCTGCAAGAACATCTAGCCAGTAACAGCCTGTTCAGATTTGGACCGGTGCCACCCTTGTTATTGATCCTTGTAGTTAAAGATAATTATCTGAAAACAATGATGTAATCCTCTCCACTTTCTGTTTAAAACTTTTGTTTTCCTCTAGCTCCCTGAATATGCACATAGTTTACTATGATATGTGCCTTCCCATTGCAATGTCTATTTTCCAATAAACATCACTTTCCCTTTTAAAGAGTCACTGCCTCTTTGTTATTTAGGTTGGCACCATGAAACTGCCATTTCTTTTTGGCTCTAAAATGACGGTTTTCTGTGAAAATCGATTCACTAATATGGTTCTTTTATGTTTTGCATTATAAATCTATATGTGTTCCAGTTCTGTCTGATATTTACCATTAAAAAGTGTCAACCAAGAGAAATATATATTTTTCCATGTATTACCTCTGTGAAAATGATAGAACAACCAAAAATGATAATAAACATTTGTTTAAAGAAAAAGGTTTTTGATGACTTTATGAGTAAATTGGACAAGCTCCTAGAGCCCTTTAAGTTATATTTAGTATTTGGAAATATCTGTTTTTAACCAAATATAGTGCATTCATGGAAATGCTTATTAATATCTTTGCCAGTCCAAGAAACACAGTGCCTGCCAGCAAATAGTAATTGGTCACTGAAGCAATCCCACAAGTCCTGTTATGATCACTTCAGTTTCCTACTGATTATCATCACAAATTTAATTGCTCACATACAGCTAAATGCTTTGAAATAATCGTCTCAGAATCTTTCACGTAGTTTTATTAAATAATCAATTTAACTTAGCAATTTTATGGAATGTTGGAAATGTTTTTATATGGAAATCAATTTTAGTAATGTTTTTTCAAACAGAAAAATCTTGTTTTTGCAGAGATAAAAGTATTAAAGCTAAGTTCTATTTGTTGTAGGGGTTTGCAAGATCCATTGTGTTTATGTGAATGTGGATACGTAAATATGCAAGTAATTTGAAGTAGTGGTGCAATCCACAAATGATGAGCTCATAAACTCAGGTTCATTTGCCTATGAGGGGATAATATATGAAAAATCAATAGAAGATGAAGATTTATCAGGTGGATTTCTTTATATGGTAAAATGAGTAAGGAGTAGGGATGATTGATTTTTCTTTTACTTTTCCCTTCTTGCACTACATATTTCTTAAACACTCACAGGGCATTGGAAATAGAATGCATTTTAAATAAGGTGTATTTGATGTTCATGCTTTCAGCTATTAATTTTCAATATTTAACACTTACCCATGGAAATATTCTTCCCAGATAAATGGAGAAAGAAACAAAATCCGTCTAGAGTATATAAGACACTTATATTCTTCATTTCACTTTGTGTTTTCATGCCGCTGACAAAGACATACCCGACACTGGGAGGAAAAAGAGGTTTAATTGGACTTACAGTTCCACATGGCTGGGGAGGCCTCAGAATCATGGCAGGAGGCGAAAGGCACTTCTTACATGGCAGCAGAGAAAATGAGGAAGAAGCAAAAGCAGAAACCCCTGATAAACTCATCAGATCTTGTGAGACTTATTCACTATCATAAGAATAGCATAAGAAATGCCTGCCCCCATGATTCAATGACCTCCCCCGGGTCCCTCCCACAAGATGTGGGAATTTTGGGAGATACAATTCAAGTTGAGATTTGGGTGAGAATACAGCCAAAACATATCATTCTGCCCCTGGCCCCTCCATGTCCTCACATTTCAAAACTAATCATGCCTTCCCAACAGTCCCCCAAAGTTTTAATTCATTTCATCATTAACCCAAAAGTCCACAGTCCAAAGTCTCATCTGAGACAAGTCAAGTCCCTTCCACCTATGAGCCTGTAAAATCAAAGGCAAGCTAGTTACTTTCTAGATACAATGGGGGTACAAGTATTGGGTAAATATAGCTGTCCCAAATGGGATAAATTGGCCAAAACAAAGGGCTTACAGGGCCTATGCAAGTCCAAAATCCAGCAGGGCAGTCAAATTTTAAAGCTCCAAAAGGATCTCCTTTGACTCCAGGTCTCACATCCAGGTCATGTAGATGCAAGAGGTGGGTTCCTGTGGTCTTGGGCAGCTCTGCCCCTGTGGCTTTGCAGGGTACAGTCTCTCTCCTGGCTGCTTTCACGGGCTGGTGTTGAGAGCCTGTGGCTCTTCACAGTGCAAGCTCTCAGTAGATCTACGATTCTGGGGTCTGGAGGATGGTGGCCCTCTTCTCACACATCCACCAGGCAGTGTCCCGGTAGGGACACTGTGTGGGGGCTCCAACCCTACATTTCCCTTCCACACCGTCCTAGAAGAGGTTCTCCATGAGGGCCCCACCCCTGCAGCTATCTTTTGCTTGGGCATCCAGGCATTTCCGTGTATCTTTTGTAATCTAGGTGGAGGCTCGCAAACCTAAATTCTTGACTTCTGTGCACCCACAGGCTCAATACCACGTGGAAGCTGCCAAGGCTTGGGGCTTCCACCCTCTGAAGCCACAGCCTGAGATATACGTTGGACCGTTTCAGTCCTGACTGGAATGGCTGGGGTATAGGGCACCAACTCCCTAGGCTGCACACAGCCTGGGGATGCTGGGCCTGAGCCATGAAACCACTTTTTCCTCCTGGGCCTTCAGGCCTGTGATGGGAGGGGCTGCTGTAAAATTCTCTGACATGGCCTGGAGACATTTTCCCCATGGTCTTGGGGATTAACATTAGGCTCCTTGCTACTTATGCAAATTTCTGCAGCCTGCTTGAATTTCTCTCTAGAAAATGGGTTTTTCTTTTCTATCACATTTTCAGGCTACAAATTTCCCAAACTTTAATGTTCTGTTTCCCTTTTAAAACTGAGTGCTTTTAATAGCACTGCTGTCATGTGTTGAATGCTTTGCTACTTAGAAATTTTTTCCACCAGATACCCTAAATCATCTCTCTCAAGTTCAAAGTTCCACAAATCTCTATGGCAGGGGCAAAAATGCTGCCAATCTCTTTGCTAAAACATAACAAGAGTCACGTTTGCTCCAGTTCCCAACAAGTTCCTCATCTTCATCTGAGATAGACCTCAGATGGACCTTATTGTTCATATCATTATCACCATTTTCATCAAAGCCATTGAACAAGTCTCTAGGAAGTTCCAAACTTTCCCACATTTTCCTGTATCCTTCTGAGGCCTCCAAACTTTTCCAACCTCTGCCTGTTACCCAGTTCCTAAGTCACTTCCACATTTTTGGGTATCTTTTCAGCAATGCCCCACTCTACTGGTGCCAATTTACTGTATTACTCTGTTTTCATGCTGCTGACAAAGATACCTGAGACTGGGAATTAAAACAGGTTTAATTGGACTTACAGTTCCACATGGCTCTGGAGGCCTCAGAATCATGGCAGGAGGCAAAAAGCATGGCGGCAACAAGAGAAAATGAGGGAGAAGCAAAAATGGAAACCCCTGGTAAACTCATCAGATCTTGTGAGACTTATTCACTATCAAGAGAATAGCATGGGAAAGACCTGCCCCCATGATTCAATTACCTGCCCTTGGGTCCCTCCCACAACATGTGGGAATTCTGGGAAATACAATTCAAGTTGAAATTTTGCTGGGGGCACAGCCAAACCATATCATATGATAAACTTTGAATGATGCAACACAATGCATATTCTTGTGATAGTTTTCAATTAATACAAGTTCCTCATCTTTAAGTATACTGTGTGTGTGTTTTCTCAACTAAGAGGACCATTTTACAAGCCAATTTTTTGAATGTGATAATTAATTTAAATACATGAATAACATTTTAATAATATGTTGGAGATATTTGGAAACAAGCTCAGAAGATATAAGACCCATCTTTTCAAAAGTACAATTTTGCCAGGCACAAACAGAAATGATGCTAGATTGCTAAATCTACACAACATGAAAATTTCGTAAGTCTGTTTTTTCTAAGTATAAAGAATATACACATTGATGTACAAAGTGATCTTTATGCAAAAATGATGTTCTATAGATAGTTAATCTTAGTGGTGAAACTTGGGTTTTGCATATAACACATCCAGACATTGTTGTCATATATTCATACTTCCCTTCAGCTCTCCAATCACTTATAGCATTCTTCCCTTTTGCTTTTCAAGGTTTTAGTAACCAGGGGTTGACCATAGTCCAAATATATTAAATTTTGAAATTTCATAAATAAATAAACAATTCATACATTTTAAACTACACACCACTCTGAGGAGTATGATGAAATCTTGTTCTGTCCTGCTAAGCTCTGCTCAGCATATCCACAATGTAGGCATTGCCCACACATTTGTCACTTAGGACTGGGCTCAGTTCAGAGCAACTTTTTCTGTATTGCAGTGCTGTGTTCAAGTAACCCTAATTTTACTTAATAACGGCCCCAAAGCACAAGAGTCGTGATGCTGGTAATTTGGGTATATCAGAAAGAAAAGTGCTTCCTTTAAGTGATGAGGTGAAAGTTCTTGCCTTAATGAGAAAAGAAAAATATATGCTGAGGTTGCTAACTCATGCTTTGTAAGAATGAATCTTCTATCTGTGAAATTGTGAAGGAAAAAAATGTGCTAGGTTTACTGTTGTATCTGAAACTACAAAAGTCATGGTCACAGTGCATGACAAGTGCTTAACTGAGATGGGAAAAGCACTACATTTGTGGTGAAAGACCTGAAAAGAATGTTCCAATTAATGATAATTAGGCTCAGTACTATCTGTGATTTCAGGAACTGGAGGTCGTGGAATAATATCCCTCATGGATAAAAGGGGACTAATGTATCTGTCTCACCAGAGTCCATTTCTCATTTTATTTCTGAAGAGAAGTATAATTTTCTATCTTTACTCATACAACCCCCCCAAAAACTGAATTACATTTACTAGCTATCCCTGTGGGCACTGTAGGGGCTAGAGCACTTGCCAGAGATTGACCCATTACTGTCTTCAGTAGACATAGTTTTCTGGGAGATTTAGTTTAGTTTCATTACTCTAGTTCTTCTCAAACCTTAGCATGCATCAGAATCACTTGGAGGGCTTGCTAAAACATAGATTGCTGGGCTGTGCCTCTAGAATTTCAGATACAGTAGGTTTGGCCAAAGCTTGAGAATTTTAACTTCTAACAAGTTACCAGATGGTGCTGATGCTGTTGGTCCTCTAGGTGATTCAACTTTGTTCATATAGAAACCCTCCCTTCTACTTTATTGAAGAGAAGACAGGAATGAGGAATGCACAGTAAACTAGAGACATTCCTATTAAGAATAATTATTAGGGCCGGGAGAGGTGGGTCATGCCTGTAATCCCAGCACTTTGGGAGGCCGAGGCAGGGAGATCACGAGGGCAAGAGATGGAGACCATCTTGGCCAACATGGTGAAACCCCATCTCTACTAAAAATACAAAAATTAGCTGGGCATCTTGGCAAGTGCCTATAGTCCCAGCTACTCAGGAGGCTGTGGCAGAAGAATTGCTTGAACCTGGGAGGTGGAGGTTGCAGTGAGCCGACATCATGCCACTGCACTCCAGCCTGGCGACAGAGTGATACTCCGTCTCAAAAAAAAAAAAAAAAAAAAGAAAGAAAAAATAAAAATTATTAGTTCTAAAATGTGCTTCAAACATCTTGAAAAATAATATCTTAGATGGCTCTCCTTGTGTTTAAGTTCCCTGAGCATTATATGCCATTACTAAGTACGCAAAATATAATCGGTATTTCCATTAGGTATTTTGTTTGCCAACCTGGACTTGGTTTTATTGCTACAGATATACAATTCAAGGATCAATTATACATTTAAATATGATTGTACTAATCCCAATTGAGTGCTTCTTAGGAGTTTGTTTGAATAACATTTAGCAACTAAAAACCAGAATGCCCTTCAGAATAAATATAAAATTTAATTGAATACTACTTATTGGATCAACTGTCATTCCTACATAACTCAGGAGCTGGGTAATTAAGGCCATTGTTTTTGTTAAGATTGAAGATACTTCACAACTTTCTTCAACTGAAACTTCTATGCAATCCAGACTTGTCTGGTAGCTATGTAGAAAGGAAATGTACTTGTAACCATCAATTTTTTATTCAGAGAAACTCAATGAATTATTTAAGCTCAAGTTGAAATTAGAAATTTGACTTTCTATTTGACTTTCTTTTATTTATTTGTTAATTTATTTTTTGAGACAGAGTATCACTCTTATTGAGCAGGCTGGGGTCCAATGGCACGATCTCGGCTTGCTGCAACCTCCACCTCTTGGGTTCAAGTGATTCTCCTGCCTCAGCCTCCCAAGTAGCTGTGATTACAGGCACCTGCCACCATGCCTAGTTAATTTTTTGTATTTTTAGTAGAGACTGGGTTTCACTATGTTGGCCAGGCTGGTCTAAAACTCCTGACCTCAGGTGATCCACCCGCCTTGGCCTCCCAAAGTGCTGGGATTACAGGCGTGAGCCACCGTGCCCAGCCAAAATTTGACTTTCTTAAGAATGTGTAGGAAGTCAGTCAGAACTTTAGTGAATAGAGGAACTTGAATAATATTTTAAGAGTAGATTATGTTATCATAAATTACTATATGCTAAATATGTTTCATATGTATGTATTAACATTCTCTTCCTAAAATTAGCACTGTTCTATCAAATGTCAACTATTTATATCATTCTGCATATGTGACTTAAAAATGATAACTATAAGACATTATTGTTTTGCAAACATTCATAAGAACCAAACAGAAATAGAAACCCACTTTAATGTAACATGGTCACTTTTATTTAGGATATAATTAATTTATAATATGAATTATATGCAACCATGTAAACTTGGATCCCCACTGAAATTTAAAATAAACAGGAGAGAGTATTTTATATAAAATTATAAGGTCTACACACAGCTGGAAAATATCCAAAGGACGCTCAGATCCCTTGTTTTGAAAAATGGTGACACCAGAGCATTTGTCTTAAAGTTTCAGTCTGCATTAAAATTGCTCCCTAATTATTAGGTGAAAGTTCTGGAGATGGTTTTTTGAAAATGTTACTCTACCTTTGCCAGGTTAAAAAGAACTTTTAAGCAATCATCACTTTAGTAGTAGAGCTAGAAGCCTTAGAATAATAGCAGACATTTCTAAGAAAAGCCAAAAAGCTGCCTTCTAAGTAAACTTGTCATAAATCTTCAAACAGGAAACAAAGCATCTTACCTTCAGAAATTATTTCAGAAGACAGATTTTGCTAATATTGTGTGCTATAAAGCAAGTATAGAAAACACATGAGGAAATTATAGACTTTTGTCTGTACCAGTCTATAAAATAATGCTTAATTTCATCCATCTATAAAATCAGCAAATTGGATTTAAGTTGTCAGCAGGACCATGCTCCCTCTGAAAGTTCTAGGGAGAAACTGTTCCTTGTTCCTTCAGCTTCTGGTGGCTCTTGGCACTTGTTGGCATTCTCTGACTTGTAGACACCTTACTACAGTCTCTCCCTCTGTCTTTCCACCACTTTCTCTGTGTCTGTCTTCTTTTCTCCAAGTCTCTTATAAGGATATTTGTCACTAGATTTAGGGCTCACTCAAATAATTCCTCAAGATCTTGGAAGATTTTTAATCACATCCGCAGAGACTTTTTTTTTTTTTTTAAATAAACGTTACATTCACAGCATTCACAGGTTCCAGAGATTAGGAATGGATATCTATCTATCATTTGTCTATCTGTCTGTCTATCTGTCTGTCTGTCTATCTATCTATCTATCTATCTATCTATCTATCTATCTATCTATCCATCCATCCATCCATCTAGCATTATTTCTGTGTTGGGATACATGTCCTTCTGAAATTGCCATGAGGCAACAAGAAAATGAATGGCCATAAAATCTTATGTGAAATACTTGGGCCTAGCATTGCTTTGGAATTCAAAATGTTTATTAAAAAAATAAGGTACTTTATTACATAACACTGTCAGCATGTGACACATTAACTTACTATGACAAAATCTTATGAGCATTCACAGGGGATATAACTTCATACCAGTTAAGGTTGGTTACAATTCAGTTCATGTCAAGTCAAGTTTCTCCACTAAAGCAGTTTCAAAGAATATAAGACAACATAAAACAAACAAAAGCATAATTTTCATAGGGCTTGGATCTCAGAAATGTGACTATGGGATTCTGGGCTTGTACTTAGACTAGGTCCAGATTAATTTAAGAGAGACTCCACATGGCCTGTCTAAATTTCCTATTTCCATGTGTCTAAAGATGCATTAAATAATGAAGGTATATTTAAAAAATAATGTTAGATGAAATCTGAAAAAAATACTGTTGTGAGGTAAGGCCATAAGGTCAATACTGCTGGCATAACACTAACAAAGAAACCCAAGTCTAAAAATTGTCTAATGTCTCATAAACAACAAAAGTTAAATTTCACTTATATAGGGCCCAGACAGATGTTTCTGATTGGCAGGCTTACTCTTCAAGTAGTAGTGTCTCTGACTACCAGATTTCCTCCATCCTGTGCCTAGGCCATGTTCAATAGAATACATTCAAGGCAACTATGCTACTTTATATAAATTCAGCAGAAAGAAGAAAAAAATAAAAAAGATGGAAAATGCGCTTACTCTTTTCTGTCACCTTAGGAAATAACAGATACCACTTTGTCTCATATCCTCTTGGCAAAATCTAGCCATGTGGCTCCATCCTGATGCCAGAGAGGCTGAAATATGCAGACTGCTCAGCTCCTTGCCAAATCTTTCATTATGATGGGGGATAATGAATTTAATTGAACAGTTTGCTGTATCTGTCACACATTCTAGAACTGAGATAATTTCGCAAAAATGCAACATCAGTGATGCTTATTCATACACTGCCCTGCAAGTAAGGACACTGTGGTTGATTGTAAAAGTAAAACATTCCAACTCTCCCTATAATTCTGGAATGTACAAGCTGCCTTAATCAAGGAAAAAATATAAAATCACTCTCACACCTGCCATTCATCACTTCCTTTCTTTCTATATCTATTCAGGGATTTCAAGTTCCAGAATAAGATCCATACAACAAGATCAAAATTAGATGGAGATTGCGAGTGTTCCATTGCAGTATGTTGATATTAAGAAAGAAAAATATATAAACAAATAAAAGGTTTATAACAGTTACAATATTTCTGAAATATTTACAAATTTAGACACTTTCATCATGAAATAAGTTGACTCTTATGGATGGCAGGAATACATTCAAGTTGAAAGTATTAATAGGAACACAGACCCATGTCTTATTTCTCTTCTGTAGACTGCAGTTCCAGAAACAGTAGCAGGCTAATGTTTTAGATAATTTAATGGGGAACTCTATCCAGATTTGTGTTTAGGAAAATGGAGAAAAAAATACACAGAATCACACCACTGTAACACTAATCTTAATATATTACTTATCAACTATTGTATACTGTACATATTTCTCATAATTATAGTCATAATATTAAGATTTATATCAACTATTTTCCAAGATTATATAACACCAGTGAGCTACCTATTTTATTATTTAAGCTGCATATTTAACATAAATTTAAAAGCTAATTATGTGGTCTCTAAAAGAAAAAAGCAAATTCAGATTTATATTGTTCTTGGAATTTATGGGCTTAGCTGGAATTTATGAAAGATCCAGACTATCTACCCACTCTAGAAAGAAAATATTTTGAAATACTTTGGATCAATGGTTATTGAGCTTCTGTTTAACATGAACAGTAATTATGAAATCAGTGCCAATTTTACTTATTGATTTCTAGTAGTAATACTAAAAATAACCAATGATAATGTGAGATTGGAAGTTTAAAAAATAAAAAAGCTAGGCATAAACTTATGGGTCATGACCCTAAAGATACCATTTCAATTCTCTAAATACTCATTAATTTCTATCTCTTAGTGGAGCTTTTCAGCCTACTTCTAAGTGACCAAACTCATCACATCTCATTTTATTTAATTAAAACCCTGAATCATTTCATAAATTTTATTGATTAAGTCAAGGTCCAAGATATCTTATTTGGTTTGGAGCCATTCAGGAAAAGAGAAACCACACCAGTTATTTTAACAGAGAATATGATAATGAAATGAGTTGGTTAAAGACATATTAGAGGGTTAAAATGGCAAAAATAGAAAAATAACATAGTAACTGCAGAAAGCACAAACCAATTCTTGAGCTGTAGGACAAAAATAAAAGAAGTTTGGGTTCTTTAAAGCTGGAAGCTTAGCAGGGAAGCACGGAGATCTCAGAAGGGGTTGTCGTACTGGTATCTTTGAGGAGGTAAGTGGAGATGGTTCAGGGAGCAGAAACAAACTGGAAACTGAAATCAATTGTCTTTGTTAAGGTGACTGCCTGTTGCAGGTGAGATGCTGACAGAAAAAATGACTAAACAGGAAAGAGTAACTACTTCTTCCTCACATGCCCTATAGTGTCAGAAGCTGACAAGATGCCAGTTAAAGAAAGATAAATATAGTTTGCTTTATAACCAGCTCATTATGTAATATTTTGGGGACTATGGGTGGGAATATATAAAAAAATAAAGCTAAATGTCTGTGAAATTCCACTTGATTAGAAGTCTTTAAGTCTTTAAAACAAAACAAGACAGATTTACATAAAAAATCTAGCTAAATTTATACTTGATCATAATATGCTCCCTAAGTTCTATCAAAACATTAACTTAGTCTAAAGATGCTTATGCCTTATGTAATAAACAACCTATTAGACTATGCCAAAAATTGTTTTCAGCTTACTTAGAATTTTAAGCTCTAGAATTTTAACATTTGCCATTTTTTAAAAAACAATAACTTTTATCTGTCATTATCATTTTCCAATTACCTCATGGTTTTCCCAGTCACTCTTTCTTTATTCCAAATCAATATTTATTTAGTTTTGACTCCAAGAATTTCTGTTTTTCACCTTTGCAAAGTTATAATGAACGATTTTATTCTCCCCTGTAGATATATTTTATTCAGCTTAATCCATCAGACACAACTATAACTTGGTGTTTTTTTTTAATACATCTTCTTTCAAAGTATCTGAGCATGTCCTTGATGTTGTGTTTACTAGTTTGAACATCTGTTTGAAGACCTCTCCCCCAAGCCAGAACTAATCTCTTCTGCCTCTGAAATCCCATAAAATTTTATCTGTAACTCTCAAGTAATGTAAAGTTTCCAATCAGACCTAAACTTATCTATGTTTATATGTTTTTCTCTTCGATCCTACTTTTAAGTTAGAACAGGGTCTTTTTGCAACACTATTATGTGCCAACTATTTTATTAGGTACTAAGAATGTGGATTTAAATAAAACAGAAAACTCACTCTCAAGAAATTCAAGACTAGTCAGAGGTGATAAACAGTGTGAAATGAGTAGAATAACAGTAATATTTATAAGATACAGAGAAAGGAAGACAATGGTGATTAATTTTTCTGGTTGTGAATTGAAGGAAATTTCAAGATGCATCTTGACCTGACACTTCAATATAAAAAAGGGTGGAGTTGGAGAGTCAAAGGATGACATTTCCTGTAGAAAATACATTATAGGTGAAAGTATGATGATGTGAAATATCAAAGCACATTAAAGTAATTGCAAGGAGTTCAGCATAACTTGAGATGTGAGGGACCATTTAGTAGACAAGACCTAGGCTTTGACCAGATCATGAAAGTGCTTGAATGATATGCAAAAGAATTTGTCTGTATTTAGTAGAAAGTTCAAAACTAATAAAATATTCTAATGATAGGACTCTTGCAATCAGTTTTACTTAAGAGAGATCCCTTTGGATCTGGTGGATTGAAAAAAGACTTTAGAATATGAGTTGCAGGCACATAATTTAATCAAATACTCATTTAGAACATGGGATTTTAAAGAAGTGTTGCAAAGAAACCCACAATGCTTTAGAGTTAAATCCAGCAGTGGAGGCATCTATTACCTATTGGCAGAAATCTCAGAGCTACCTTGGGTATAGTGTTAATAGAATAATTAAGGCAGCAAGGACACCCTAACTGATCTATTTTTTACAGTACCCATGAGTGCTATTGTTGATCCAAATTCCAAAGTCTCATACTAGTTCTCCACTTTTTTTTTGTTTTGTAAATTAAGCAATCTACTTTCAGTAGATTTCTTTTATCTTTAATTTAGTCAGAATTATTTTCTATAGATTCCAAATTGGCTTTGTAAAAATCTGAAGTTGAACCATAAATTTTATCATGAAATCTGAGAGAATATCTTTAAATATATATATGAAGATGAGATCAGTTTTAAAAATTCTCACTTTGAAAGTTTAAAATTAATGCAATATTCAAGATAATTTAGAAATACTTTGTTGAAAGTAATAGTGGGGAAATAGATTTGGCATGATAATTGCATTTGAAGACCAGAATTACTAATTGAATGTATTTTTCACAAGCCCATATGAACCATATTGGAGGGCAAGAATAACATGTTTTAGATCTGCAGTGTGTTAATTTTTATTGAGATTCTTTTTTAAGTTTTCAGGAGAATGAAAACAAGGAAAATCAAATATGCATTGCATTAGCATTGAGTAGAATGCTTTGAATTTTATAAATCTTCTTGCTATTCTTTTTATTATGTTTTTATGCCCTTATTTTGCCTGACATCAACTAGTTAGTATAGTCTAAATAATATTGATAAAATACCACTATTAGTTAGGCTGGAATAAAAATTACTGTATTTGATAAGTGAAGTTTATTTTAGGGAGTATCATTTTTTTAAGAAGGTGTAATTTATATACAGTAAAATTTATCCTTTGTTATAAGCAGCTCTGCAAGTTTTGGCATATTTCTCTAGCAGTATAACTATCACCATAATCAAGATGCAGAACAATCCTATTACCCTGCATAGTTACTTTGCTCCCCTTTATAATCAATCACTCTTGCCAGCCTAGTTCCTGGCCACAATGGATCTGTTTTCTGTTCCTGCAGATTTTCCTCTTCCCAGAATGTTGTATAAATGGAATTGTTAAGACTGTAAGCTGTTGAGTCTAGCTTCTTCCGCTTAGCATAATGTATTTGAAACTTACCATGCTATCCCATATGTATGTTATTATTGTTCACTAGTATTCTCCTCTTTGATAGACCTTAATTTGTTTGTCCATTCCTCAGGTAGGGATATTTGAATTGTTTCTAGTTTGAGGACAGTATAAATCACTCTACATATTCAGGTACAAGTTTTGGTGTGAACATGTTTTTGTTTCTCTTGAATAAATACCCATGGGTCGAATTGCTGAGCCAGATATTAATGAACTTTAAGAAATTGTCAAAATATTTGCAAAAATGTTAACATTTTGCATCTCATGAGCAATGTATACATTTTGAATGCTCACCAGTACTTGGCCTTGTAAGATTCGTTGGAGTTGTTGTTAGCCATTTAAATAGTGACTTCATTTGGTTTTTAATTTGCATTTCTCTAATGAATAATGATATAGGGCATTGTTTCATGTGCTTATTTGCCAATTGTTTTTCTTTGTTGAAATATTTCAGATTTTTGCATATTTTTATTGGATTAGTTGTTTATTAAGGAGTTTTATCATTCTTTTATCTTCTTGATACAATCTTTTATTAAATATTTGATTAGAAAAGTTTTTTCCCATTTTATGGCTTTTTATCTTTTACTGTAAATAGCTACTTTTGAAAAGAAGTTCTTAATTTTTAAAAAGTTTAATTTTGTATCACTTTCACACTTCATTTTCTCTCTACTATTGGTTTATTATCTATATTTTTATTATGTTTTTTGATAACTGCCCCAGGCTTTACAATATACACCTTTCATTAATCGTAGTCCACCTTCAAATGATAATATATTACTTCACACAGTGTAAAGACCTTACAACATTATACTCCTAATTCCCCCTCTTCATACTTCACATTGTTTTTATACATTTTTACATCTGTAAACATGTACTACTTTGCTAATATTTGCTTTATAAGGTGAATTAATATTTTGATAAATTAAAAATAATAAAATGAAATTTATAATCATCTTTAATTATGACATTTCTTTGAGATGACACAATTTTTTATTTAATATCTGGTGTCAATTTCTTCTAGCTTAAGATCTTTTCTTTTTTAACATTTCCTTAAGTACTAGTCTAGTAATAATTATTTCAGTTATATATTAACTTTAAAAGTCTTTTTTTGTTCATTTTGAAATATATTTTTTCTCTATTCAGAATTCTCGGTTGTTTGTTTTTCTTTTTTGTTACTCTTTTTGCATTAGAAAGATGTCACTCCATTGTCTTCTGGCTAATATAATTTCTGCTGAGAAGTTTTCTATAAGTAATTCTTAGCTTTGTTACTTCTTATGGTCCGTGTCTTTTTTCTGGTTGCCTTCAAAAATTTTGTTTTTGTATTTAGATTTTGGCGACTCTGATATTATGCATCCAAGTTTATTTGTGTGTGTCTGTTTTGTGTTTTGTATTTATCCTATTAGATGTTCTCTAAGCTTCTTGGATCTTTAATTTGATATATTATATTAATTTTAGAAAATTATCCACTATTATTTCTTAGAATTTTCCTCTATCATTTTCATCCTTTCTGGCATTCCAAATACACATATGTTAGATTGTTTGATATTTTCCCACAGCTTCTAGATGCACTGGTTTTTTGTTTGTTTTTGTTTTAATTTTTTCTCTTTCCCTTTAATACGGGAAATTTCTATTGATCTACATTTTAAAGCACTATTATTTTTTTGGTTATTATTAAGTACACTTTGGGGACCATCAGAAATATCCTTTACCTCTGTTGCCATGTTTTCATCTCTAGAATTCTAGTTTGATTCTTTCTTAGATGTTACATTTTTCTGCTGACATTCCCTATGTGTTTATGCATGCTGTTGACCTTTCCCTCTTGCACGTTTAACACATATTATATTAATTTTAGGTTCCCTATTTGATAGTTACAATCTCTGATTTACATCTACATCTAATTTTATAAAATATCTCTTGACAATGGTTCTTTTTTGTATCTCATAATTTTTCGTTAAAACCTAAACATATTGTGTAGTACAGTGCAGACTAAGGTATAAATTATTTATACCTTGAAATGGGCATATCTTTTGTTTGCCTGTAATGTGGGAGGTTGACTAAATCTTTTAGGATTTTCTTTGGCTTTGTGTTTTGTTGTTGCTGTGTTTAATCTCCCTGGACCATATGCTTCAAGTCTAGCATTAGTGTATGAGCTAGTTTGCTGAAGAGATTTTACTCAATGCCTGCTTCATCCTGTTTTAGATCTTTCCTTTGTGACTTCATCTCAGAGAGGTTCTTACTTTACACTCTTGTCTATCCACATCAGTAGATGGTTGTTGTTTCTTAAGACTTGTCAACCCGTTGGTGTGGGGAAGAAGGCAGGAAAAGAGTGTTATCTTCTGTTCCTGTTCTGTTCTATTAATATCTTAGAAAGATGCTATGCTGCTGGGTCTCAAGGGAAGGGCCTTCTCAGAGATCTTATATCCCTTCTACCCCATGCTAGGGGTACTATAATGGTCCTGGGACATTTTCCTAAAAAAAACTCTCAGGCAAATCTTTTTATTTTACCTTTTTTCTTCCTCTACATGCAATGTATTCTCACCTATGCCCTGAGAGTGCTACAGTTTTCTGTCGTTTCCCCAGTGGCTTAAGGCTTTCTCGCTGTAGGAGAGATAGCAGGGAAAGATCCAAATAAGGCTTTCTGCCTTTTTCACAGTGGCTGCTGTTCCCCTGGACAATGCTACACTCCCAGGGAAGCTTTCTCCTATCTTTTACTTTCCCTCCATTCTTCTTATGAGTATTTGGTGGGTTGTTTGGAGAAGAGCCTGTGAACAGTTGTAGATTCCCTTGTATTAGTGGTTCCTAAGTGTTTCATATACTCAAGCTAGGCCACATGTAGCTGTTAACAATTTGTTAAAAAGTTTAGTGAAATTATTCTTACCAGTGTGAATGGCATCATCCAGTGTCTTCCTCAGGCAGGTGAGTAGTCAAGTTCTTTTATCTTTGTCTCTACATAGATTTCCAATGAATGACTTCCCTGTGACCTCAGCTTCCTGATTGCTTTTAGTTTTATTATGTAAAGAAAAAAACAAAGCTTGAGAAAAGACAGAAGTTATGAAATGTCTAAGAGAGGGATTATATTGGAGGCTCAGTAACTGTCCTACCCCATTTTGTGCAGTTGGAATACAACAGACTTGCTAGTTTATAATAAAAGAAATGCATTTATCACAGTTCTGGAGGATGGGAAGTTTAAGATCATGGTGCCAACAAGTTCAGTTGTCTGGTGATAGCTGCATCTTCCAGAGGGGAGGAACACTGTGCCCTCACATGACAGAAAGTGGAAGGGCAAGCTACCAAACACTGTGTGAGGCCTCTTTTATAAGAGCCTTAATTCCATTCACAAGGGATGAGCTCTCAAGCCTAATCACCTTTTAAAGGTCTCACCTCTAAATACTAACACAATTAGCCATTAAGTTTCAACACCGGAAATTTGGAGGGGACACATTTAAACCATACCACTAAGTAAGATGGAAGGGTGGGATGGTAGTAAGCCACTACCCAATCTGTGGAGTTTCAGTCAAGCAAGGGAAGCAAATATATGACTCGAATAAATTATTATAAAAAGAAGATCCAGAATTAGAGAAAAAAACTTACAGTGTCCTAACCTATACATATAAGACAATTAAAATTAAGAACTCATAACCAGGAACTTAAAAAAAAAGAATGGTAAAGAAAGGCTATGTTATTGTGTTCATGCAAAAGTTATTGCAATTTTGCCATTACTTTCAGAGACAGAAACAATATGATAAAATTGTGGAAGAGGTTGACATGGTGAAAGTGAGCATGATACTTGAATGGGGATGTAAAGCAGAGTCTTGAATTCCTACCCTTCACATGTCATCCCAGAGGAGATGCCCTCAGGGTTCCACTCAGGATGGATATGGTTAAAAATGGATGATGTAGTAATTCCTGCTCCTGGTCCTTGATTTGGCTGTGCTAGGTCCACACAAAAACTCTCAAGCACTAGTTCTACCCAATAATCAGCCCTCAGTTGTCTTGCAGTGTCTGCTTTCCTTCCATGTCACATTTCCGTGGACATGAAAGTTTTTCTATCATGATTATTTCACCAGAAAAAGCAACTCACAGAGCAGTACTCTATCTAACCTCACAAGTGGTGTTTTGCTTGGCTGTTAAGGGAATGTAGAGACAAGATTTAGTTAATCCAGTAAACCCACATAAAACAAAACGTGTTGCTCAAAATTAAACCATATAAAATTGTAGTTACTCAATCTTATAGAAGGAGAGAGAATGGTAGTTGCCAGGGTCTGGAGTATGAAGGAAATAGGGAGATACTAGTCAAAGGATACAAAATTTTAATTATGCAGGATAAATGAATAAGTTCTGGGAACTAATTTATAGCATGGTGACTATAGTTAATAATAATCTATTGTATACTTGAAATTTGATGAGTTTAGACTCTAAATGTTCTTATCCCAGAAAAATAAAAGTGGTGTATGTGAGGTGGTGGATATGTCAATGAGCTTAATAGTGGTAAATATTTCATAATGTACATGTATATCAAAACATCACATTTCACACCTTAAATACACATGATTTTTTGTTGACTTATCTTCAATCAAGCTGGACAAAATAAATTAAAAGTTGAAGTTATGCTATTGGTAAGTAGTATTTTTATACTGTCACAAAAAGAAATGTTATACTGCACACAAGTAACTGAACTCTGAACTGAGGAAGTCCTGAAAAATTAGGAGGCACTCGCTTCATAAGAGAAACCCTGACCTAAAAGAGGAACATTTAAGGAAAGGCCTTTGTAACTATAATTCAAAATCCTAAAACCTAAATAAATACCAACAATTCAACTACATAAGCATCAGCACTCTGTGCATACAAAAATTAAATAAAAAATTTAAAAAGTACCATGAGAAAAACAAAATGTAAGTGCTGTACTGGTGAGAAATATTTATTTCATAGACAAAGGACTAATATCCTTGAGGTACAGAACTTCTCAAGAGTGATGTCAGCTCAGGCTGACATAACGAAATACCATAGAATGGATGGCTCAAACAACATAAACTTATTTTCTCATAGTTCTGGAGGCCAGAAAGTTTAAGATCAAGATCTGACAAGGCTTGGTTTCTGGTTCTCTTCCTGCCTTGCAGATGGCTACTTTCTTGCTATGTACTCAATGACATTTTCTTGGTGAGTGCACATAGAGAGAGAGCAAGCTCTCACTTCTCCTTTTCAGCAGGACATATATCCCATTGAGGGTCCCACCCGCATAACCTCATCTAACCCTAATTACCTCCCATGGCCTTATTTCCAGTATCACACTGGGGGTTTGGCTTCAACATATAGATTTTCAGGGTAGACAAACATTTGGTTTATAACAAGTGGTAAAGACCAATAATATAACAGAAAAAAGATGGACAAAGATATATATGCATAATTCTCAGAAAATAAAATACAATACTCTATACCCAGGAAAAGATGAGCCACTACAATCATAATGAACAAAGTGACATCTGCCCATATTCCTCCCAGATAGTATCAAGGAACTGAAACTTTCCAGATCATCACATCCAGACAATGAGACACCAGACCCCTTATCTCACCATCTGCTGTCTGTCGACCAACTCCTATATAAACCCCTACCTTTAGTAAGTTAGGAAGATAGATTTGAGACTTGTCTCCTATCTCCCAGATGACGTCACTTGCAATAAAGCCTTTCTTCCCTGGCAATACTCATTTTCTCAGTGACTGGCTTTCTGTGGGATGAGCAACCAGACCTAGGTTGAACTCCTTGTGTTTGGCAACAAATGCATACTGAGATAGTATTTTCCACCTAGCCACAACCAAAATTTTAATAACACTCTTGGTTTATGAGATTGACAGAAAGCAGGAACTCCTAAATTCCTGGAGAAAGTATAGGTTTCTATATTTTCAAATGTTCATCAATTGGGGCTGCTTTGGTCCTGAATTTTGGTATTTTTTCAAAAGAATATTATATAGCTGTCAAAAGAATGAGGTAGCTCTCTATGATATATGAGATAATGTTTAGTATGATATATGTCTCTGTATCTACATACAGATCTGTATCTACGATACATGAGATAGTTAGCAAACATAAAGTGCAATGTATATAATATACCAAATGTTGTATAAAATTGAAGGAAACATGCACCTACATTAGTATTTTCTTGTTTGTGCTTTAAAAAAAATGAGCAAATCCAGATAAGAAAATGCCAGTAATTCTTAGGTTTTTAGTGAATGGTTGAGGCTGGAAATGAAAACAGAAGAGACAAAAATAAGAGAAAACCTTTTAACTGTGCACTCCTATGCATTTTTTTTCTTGAACTATATAACCTAATCAAATGAAAAATCACTAAAAAATATTTTTGATTTTTTAAAAAGTAGAACCTACAAAAAAATCTACTTATAAAATGCTGATTATAATGTAGATACAAAAAATAAAATAAAAATATTTAACAAATAATAAGATTTGTAAGAACATTGTACTCAAATTTTTAAAATAATTTGTTATAAACATATAATTTCATAAAAATGCAAGAAAATTTAACACAAATTTAATTTCACGATTAAAATGCAAGAAAATTTTACAATTACTATAAAATGAGATGAAAAGGCCAATGAGAATCAAAACATGCAAATTTTAATTGAATGGGTCACTTAAGAAGAATAAAGAGAAGTGTTAAGAACATTTATAAAACTTGAGCCTGCATCACCTTGAGAAAAGAGGCAAAGGAATTCAAAAAGTTAGAGGAGGGTCAAAGCTCAAGATGGAAGTATTCTCAGAGATTGTTAGGCAGAATCTGCCATCGTTCACATCAAATTATGTGCTGTTAAACCATTGAGATTTTGAGATGTTCCCTCCACCAACAGATACATTGGCTCTTTCATGACCCTACATGACTCTTTCATGACTCTTACATGACCTCGAACTGTGTAATATTAGAAACTCAAAGTACCTAACTTGCTATCAGGGACACCTTGATGTTGGGGAGACCTTGCTTTTCATGCAGCAGTGAAGTCAGTGCCTTCTCTTTTAAATGTAATAATTAAATTAATCTTAAATTAGTTGACTAAAAAGGAAATCTGAGGACATTTTAAACCAGTCCTATTGAAACAGAAGAACAAGACCATTTTAAAGCTATATTCTCCAGCTTCTTAAGGGGAGAAAAATGTGCATTGCTTCCTTAATATTTCTTTTAGAGCTTAGCACAGGCCTACACATATACCTAGTATGGAGCTTTCTTTTATTCATCAAAACTTAGTTGATATTATGGAGTGATCATATTCCAAGTCAAGCATGTAAGTAAAACTGTAAACATGTTTTCATAATATAAATGCAAACTTTTTAAATAACGGACTTCTATTGGCAGAAATTCTTTTTTGATATGTTTTAGGATATATAACACATGGATTTCTTCCAAGCTGATGCGGCCCCATGCCAAGTGTCTCCGGTGGATTTTAGCTCTCATAGGCCTCTCTACTGGGTGTTCTGGCGGCGCAAGGCACAGCCTCCTCAACCTTATATGGTGACTTGGACAACTTTGAATTAGAGGAGATATAATCAGGGAGGGGCAGAAAAGGGAATGAGAAATTTGAACAGAAAATTTTATATTGATAAAGCCATTTTATTACTTCCAGCTTGGTGTTAGCAAAGTATTAGCATCCTTTAATGAAATCTTTATGACATATAGCAAAAGTTAATATGGTCCATGGTATTTGATGAATATTGAGGTAGACTTTTCCAGAACACCAAATACACTTTGGGGAGTAAGTTACAGACTGCTTGGAGATACATTGGCTCTTTCATGACCCTAGAGTTCTATTTATTGAACTGCCTAATATCAGAAACTCAAAGTACCTAACTTGTTACCAGGGACAAAATGATAACTGGGGATCCCTGGCTTTTCATGCAGCAGTGATGAGGCAGCAGAACTGGGAATGTCAGACTGCCATGATGTTTGCTATGGGAACAATAAGAATCAAATTTATAGCACTGTCTGCATTTTCCCAGGAATTTCCTTGTGTGTTTGGAGCTGCTTTTAACACCTCTGGAACCACGTGTTTTGTGGAAATGTGATTTTCTTTACTTATTCAGTCACCATATTGAGAGATTGTTGGTATGTATCACTCAGTGTAGTGAAACACTATAACCTGAATTTTTTTCTTTATGTCTATGTAAATAAATCAGATAGCTTAATTCATTTGAATGCAGTTTTAGTCAAATTCTCTTTGTATTTTTATGGTAGCATTAAAGCTATCAGAAACACTCCCACGGCAGCCGTGAGCACTATAAAAAGCAAAGTCTCAAAGAACGATTTCAGATTATGTCCTAAATGTGCACAAAAAATAATTTTGGAAAACTCTATTATTTACTTAATGATCCATTCTTAAGCAGTTTAAAAATAAAGAATGAATATCTAATGCCAGCAAGCATAGAAACATTTTGATAGAGCTAAGCCGATCATAAACTTGATGTATTAGAATATGCAGTTACATTCTCAATATAATACATCTAAAATATTAATAAAGATGTTGTCATAAAATGGCATCAAAGCACTAAAGATGGGCAGTATTCAGCTCTGCATGACTTTATGCCTGCTCTCTTTTGATCATATGATATATCTTAATCAACTTTATGACCTAGGGAAAGTATTAGAAAAAAAGAATGTATTCAAAACCCAGAGACATCAGCCATGTTTATTTCAAAAATTAGACAATAAAAGAAAAATATATTTTATCTTACTTTACTAAGCATTATACTCATGGCAAAGAAATTATACACGCTGTACTGGGGGGAAGAAAAATGCTTAATGATAATTGAAGTAAACTGTTACACTGTTGATGCATTCATACTTAGATATAATCCATGGTTTCCAGGAAAATTGCTTAATCAAATGAGGACATTACTGAATATTTATAATTATAGGAGAATCTATAAAAGAATCTAGAATAATTTAAATTTTGAATTTAAATTTTTTAAAAGACATAAAACTAACCTTGAAGAGTAACTTAAATTTTTAACTGTTTCTTTTTTATTGTTAACTATTACTTTTTCTGAATGATGTTTTTGTTATCTAAAATTATTGAAGATACAGTAGAAAGCATAAATAATAAACAAAAATGCCCCATCCTTCTAGTTATGAAGGTTAGAGTCAGTGATCTCACTTAAAGTAGCTTCTAGTGAATAGCTCCTGGTGTGGCCTCTCATTTCCCACCAAAGTACTGGTGAATAAAATATCAAACATAAAATCTCTCAGCACTGAAAACTCAGCGTGATTGACAATGCCTCTTAGAATTTGGGAGTAATTTTTATGATGTATATTTGACAGTTAATATTTTTAAAGTCATACTTTACTGATACTCTCTCTTATGGGTCAGAGAAGCCCTTCAAGTTTAGGAGATAAATAAACTGACTGGGATCAGGGATGCATAGAAGAACAGAGATTAATTGGAAATGCCTCTGGTACATTATAACAATACTTTGGGATAGTATGTTGATTCATCCTTCATTGTATCTCTACAGATACCAAATTAATAGATGACAAGAAGGTATTTTATGTTCACTTCAAGGTTTTCTTAACTTTTTAAACTCCTTTTTCCATCCCCATGGAGTTCACAGAAGAAAGGTGTTGTGGTGAGTTGAATGACAATCCCCAAATATATATGTTTGTGTTCTCATTCCCAGGACCTATGAATATTAACCTTTTTAGAAACAAATAGGTATTTATAGATGTAACTATCAAGGATCTTAAGATGAAATAATTCTGGGTTACCTAGGTGGGCCCTAACTCTAATGACATGTGTCTTTATGTGAGACAGAAGAGGAGAAGATGCAGAGAGGAAAAGGCAATGTGAAGATGAAGGCAGAGAGTGGAGTAATGTGGCTACAAATCAAGAAAATCAAGGAATGCTGGCAGATACCAGGAGCTAAAAAAAGGCAAGGAAAGATTATTCCCTAGAACCTCCAAAAGGAATGTGGCCTTGCTGATACCCTGCTTTTGGAATTCTAGACTGCAGAACTGTGTGAGGGAAAAAATTCTGCTGTTTTAAGCCACCCAATTTGTGGTAGTGTGTTACAACAGCCACAGAAAAGTGACAGAGGTGAGGATAAGGGGGTAGCAGAAAGCAGCATACATGAGTAGGGCACTGATGTGATAGTAGACAAATACACGTCAGGGAGAATTCTGGAAAATGTGCAGCTTTGGTTAAATATGACAACAACAATGATGATGATGATCATGATTATGATATCTTCTATGTTTCCATTTTTATTGTAAAATAGTTTATTGTTGGAAATTTTGGTCAAGAAACTTCACTTTCCGAATGCTTTTATTCTTCATATGCATGTAGTTTAATGTATTACTATATATTTTTCTTGGTGAAGTGCACTGCAGTGAGAGATAAGAACTAAGTTATCTATGGCTCTACAAAGCATCTTTTTTTTTTCAAACAAATATAACCCACCTTCACTTCCATTGATAGCATGTCTTCCAAACATCAGTCTGGTAACTAAGGAAATCTGAAGTGTGAAAGTTGTAAGATTCAAAATAGAGTCACTTGGGCTGAATCCTGGCAAGTGAAACTAGAGAAGGCCATGAACAGAAGGCTGTTATGCATAGCTTGCCTGATAATGGGAACTATAACAAGAAATTTTTCCATACCACAGCTTACTACATGAGTCACACAAGGGCAGCTAACAGCTCAGGGACAACTAGCCGAATGTACAGGAATATTTGCCTGTTCAAAATCTATCTCAAGAGCCCAGCTGAAAACTACAAGAGCCTAACTGTAATTCTAAGATTACAAATCCTACCTAGCAACTGCTGACACTTCCCAGTTAGACTCACCAGCATTTCTAAGACGCTGCCAGCACCAATAAGCTTTCTTTCAAAACAATTTGTGTAACCTCCTCCTTCCTTAATAAACCTAACATTTCCTTTGTTCCCCTGACATTCTGAAGGCCACGCTGGTCTAGATGTATGTCCCAGATTGCAATCCTAGTTCTTTAATGTTATTCTGAAAGAAAACCTTTTTACTTAGAGATTTGTCTCTGTTTTTTATGTTGACAGAAATCAATTAATTAACATCCCACCTGGTATTATATTAGTGTGTTTCATCTCTGAAGTAGTTTTCTTAATTACAAATACTATAAAACTTCATATATTTGCTCCCTCAAAGAAACCATTGATCCATTTTCCCACCTATAATCACTGGGTCTACTTGAAAATTATTAGTTTCTGATAGATTTTTATCTGATCTTTCTCATCGGAGTCTATGGTACCTGTAGTCACTTTGTAGTTCTGTCCATCAAGAAAAGGATTCCATGTTAGTCTCATGGACATTTTATCTGCATCTTTCAGAGCATGCTTTTCTTGGATCTCAAGTAGGATCCTTGATCTGAACTTCTGTTAGGGTAATAATTCCAGCTTGCTCTCTGGTATCTTTTATATTCAATTAAATATCAATGGAACCCAAGTTTCCTCCAGTTTAGTTTTGGGGTTGTATCTCTTTATTTTTATTTAACTTTAATATTTTTCATTTGGGTTTAATTTGTTCTCTATTTTGTATGCCTCTCAGACTTTAGTATACATACAAATAACATGGATATAATACATATATGGATCCATTATTTGAGGTGTAGCCTGTGATTGTGCATTTCTAACAAGCTCCCATGTGATGAAGATGCTGCTGATGCACAGCAATATTTTGTTTAGAGATAAAATTCATCCATCTTTGAATTTTGTTCTTCTCTTTATTTCCTACACTTTCCAACATTTTTAATCGTGTAATACTGTTTCCTGAGCACCATACTCTGTTCATTGAAATATCTGGCAAATATTTTACCTTAGTATAAAATCATTCAAGGCATAAGCAATTTTAAATATTTATTAAAGGTAATAAACATGATAAGGGATCGAGTTTGGGGGTCAGAGATACACCAATTATTCACTTTCAGACTCTTTTAACACTGGTTCCCTCTGTCTAATTTCCCCCTTGGGGCAAAATGATAAGAGCAAATGTCACCCTACAGATCCAGGGACATCTGTACTATAGGAGAGGAAACCTGAAATTATAAATCCCAGAGCTTATATATAGCAGCATGCACAGCTGTGCCTCCTTTCTGGAGAAACAGAAATTTATCCTTTAATAAAAAAAAAAACAAATCTCTAGTTTTCTAGGCTCATTATTTTTTAGAATATTAATGAATGGGTTTAGAGGCCATATTTCTGTAAATCTCTCCTAATAAATTTGCTACCTCTAACATTTATTTATAACAACATTGCCAGTAATTTAAGCTTAGAAAGCCTTGGCCTTAGAGAAATATGAAAAACTTTATAGATCATTTATTCCCACAAAACTTACTTTTTCATTCATGTATACTTTTTGCACATTAGGTATTTGGGATTTCAGAATGATATTTATTAATAACCTATTATCACTCTTCCTAACCTGCACCTTATCTTCTTTGTTTTGTTCCTCCCTCCCTCCCATTCTTTTCTCTCTATTCTCCATTTGCTTTACACTGAATGTCCACAGCAAACCATTCTAAAGAGTTTAATGTATAACTAAACAAACACTTTTCTTAATCCAATTTTCTGTCAAAGGACATTTGAATTGTTTGGTTGGGGCTATTAGGAAAATATAATATTAAAAACATTCTTGAGCAAGTCTTTCCTGGTTAAATAGGAGTAAAATTTCTGGGTCATAGGGTAAATATATATAACTTTATAAGATTTTATAAGTATTCCATTTGTTTTACATCCTTAGCAAGACTTAACACTGCTAGTCTTTTTTCCCTTTATTTTAGTCATTCTAATGTATATAAAATGGGCTTATAAAATAAATAGTTTATTGGTTAACTTGGGGATGTTTTATATCTTTAAACTTTAAAATACCCTATGAAAGATTATAAAATATTATTTCCTTATTTAGCTTTATTGAGCTATTATTGACAAGCATTCTATATAATTGAGGGGGTAAAACATGGGTTTTGATATACTATACATCCATGGAATGATTACTACAGTCAAGCTAATTAACATGCCTATCATCTCTCATGGTTACCTTTTGTGTGTGTGTGGTGAGAATACTACAATTCTACTTATTCTTCTTTCAGTGTGGGCAACAGTGTGCAACTTTTCGGTGCTGTGGAGCATCGAAGCAGCTGAGGTTCAGAGTGTAGATACCTGCAGAGCTACAACAGCTCCAGGGTCTGGGGTTCAGGAGCTTCCTTTGTGAAGTAGACCTGATGTCTAAGAAATGGGCCCTCATAGTATGCCTGGAGCCAGGGTCGAAAGTGCAGGTGCATGAAGAGCAACCATGGCTCCAAATTCAGGGCTCTGGCTAGCCCACAGTGATGGTGTATGTGATGTCTGAGGCATGGACATTCATGCGACTGTGGAGCCATGGTCTGGAGCAGAGGTAAATGCTGAGCAGCCAAGGTTCTGAGGTCTAGAACATGTGCAGGCTTGGGAGGGTAGCAACCCCAGTCCTGGGTGGCATAACAAAGGCTCCTCCTTGGGTGAAAGTGCCCAGCAGCCTTTTCTTTTCCATTGGGTCCATAGCAGTGATGGCTGTTGGTTATCTTAATGGTGAAAGCTGCAGTTCTCCTCTATATAGCAGGAAGTGAGGGTCTATGCTAATGAACAATAAGGGGACCTCTAGTGTGAAAATGTTTGGGAGTTCTTGCCTACTACAGGAGCTATTGAATAGCTCATTGGCAAAGGCTGCTGGAGTACAAAGCTAGCCACTGGGGACTGTGGTGACATCTGCTGCGTGGCTGATACTGATAGCCCTGCCCCTCGCCTTTGATCCTAGCTGTCTCCAGACATCTCAGGTATGGGAATCTCTCCAGTAATACTCCACTGTGTTGCTCCAGGTTCTTATTTGGACTCTGGAGTCCTGTGAGGGCTACTGTGTGTGTGGATAGATTCAAATTGTCAGTTTTTCTTGGGGAATGAAGGTGAGAATCTCCTACTCTGCACCTTAGAATATTATTCTTTTAATTTAGATAAAGTACTTTGTCTTAATTGGTCTCTAAAATTCCTCTTTTCAAGCAGAGTTGACTTATGTGATCTTAGTTTATGTCTAGACTCATTTGTCTGTAATGTTTTTTAGTACGTGAATGGTATCTTAAGTTCAGTTGCATTACCTAGTAATCACTGGTGTATAGAAAACACTTGTAATTGACAACTTTGTGTAAGTTCTGATAAACTATGCTTTTTCCTTGGTAATTTAACAATAACTTAATTTATTTAATTATAATTGTTACATCTTTTTATTTTTGCATTACTTGATTCCATCTACCAGGCATGCCAGGACTATGTTAAATAGTGGAAATATTTAGTAGGCAAATTTCTTGCTGATTTCAAAAGGCAATCATCTTAAGTTTCAACATTAAGTATGATACTACATTTGCTTTAGGATGTTGACATATAATCATTACCAAGTTAAGAAGTTTTCTTTTATTATTCTCTTAGAATTGTTTTCTTACTTACTACAATCAAAAGTTTTAACATAATCAAAGATTTTAGTATAATCATTTAAACAATTACTATAATCAAAATGTCTTTGTAAAAAACTCTCTTTCAGATATTGAGATACTTATGTGATATTTCTCCTTCAATTAATTTATTGAATTGCATAATTACATTTTCTAAACTTAAACACACTTCTAAGTTTAGGACCTAAGTTAATAATAGCATATCGATAAAGAAATAATTTTGAGTCTGATTCACTAATAATTGATTTTTGAATCCATAGTAAATTGTGTCATTTGGTTTCTCAGGGTTTGGTACCATGGTTATATAAGTCTCATCTAATGAATTTGGGAATGTTCTCTCAATCTCTCTCTCTGATTTTAAGTTTATTATTGAAAAGAACTTACAGACTATTTGTTAGAGAACACTAGTGAACATATCTTGTCCCTAGACTTACTTTTCTTTTTATAATTTGATTACATTTTTTAATGGCTGCAGATCTAGCCAACTTTTTTTCTTGATTTGTGTTATATAAAGTGGCTTTGTATACTTCCAATTATTTGAATATAACATACTGTCTAAGTATTTAGTGGAACCCCAGCTGTTTTACAGGCATTATTTATCCTTCTCTTGTTCAAAATGAAGAATTCTAACCAACCTATGTTCATATTGTCCAGTATTTTAACTCGAGACCTTTTTCCAAAATTAGATTTGATGACTATTGGTTTTATTCTCTTCACATGTTGTCTGTTTTCTATTCTGTTTTATTTCTCTAGATGTAAGTAGATATACTTGTGACCTCCCACAGTGTTTTCCATGTCTTCTATACTCTCCTTTTATTTGTCTGTCTGGATTATGGATTATGGATAAAAGTATTGAGGTCTATTATTAAGTTTTTTTAGCTATAGTTATTCTGAAAATTGAAAGGTATCCTGGCAATTATTTATACTTTCTTATTTTCTAACTGAACATTTATTAATGTGTCTGTATATGTGAATAAGCATTTTCTAACACATACATGCTATAGGATTAAATTTGCCCTTCAAATTGAGATATAAGATTTACTAAAATGCTTTGAAATAAACATTTTAAACATATTTAACTTTTATATGCTATTAAGATAGGAAGCAGAAAATATGTTTATATTTATATATATTATATATAAAATATTTATATTTATTTATAAATAAATATAAATATAAAATATTATAAATATAAAAAGCATATCAACATGACATGTTGGTGACACCTATATGGTTACTATATCTTGCTGTATCAACTGTATTTGCATACCACAAATGTTTAAGATTCATAGACGTTTTTGTCATTTAAGAGTTCTCTATGAGTACACTTTTTTCTTTTTTGTTTCATTGCTTTTATATGAGATCATACTAAAATTAAATGTGTTTTTAAAAAGCAAAAAGAAAGTTTTTGTTCATTGTTTTAAATACATTAACTCAGTTATTTAACATTTCCTATCTAAAAATTACAGTGTGTAAAGTCTTAAAGGGCTTCTTCATGCTTTTTATTGTGTTGCTGTTTTTGCTGTTTCTAAACCCAAGCACCTAGTTCCATAAAATTATGTGTGTGGTTGCCTATTGACTGCTTATTTTTCTTGAAAAGAATTTATTGAAAATTCTTTCTGGTCATAGAGGATTAACATCTTTTTCTACCAGACGTGAAGGGGCATTAACAACACAGAACCAGTTGAAATCAAATTCTCCATTTGAATATCTTAGGCCACAAAGGTAGCACAGGTTTAAGCATGAAATCAATCACATGAGGTCATACTTTTAGTTACAATTTTTCATGGAAGCCTCCAAGTTTCAAATAATTGAATCATGTAGATTACGTATATTTACCACAGTAAAATCTAGTAAGAAATAAACAACAAGAATAGGAACCAATGCAGGAATTATCATAAATATTTCTATAAATACGACTCATCAGAAAGTCGATTTATAGTGAAATTAGAAAACACATTGTACCGAAGCATGATGAAAATATCCAGAGCCAGAAGACTAATAAGTTTCTGCTTAAAGAAAATATAGCGACAAGGCCCGGTGGCTCACGCCTGTAATCCCAGCACTTTGGGAGGACGAGGTGGCAGATCTCAAGGTCAGGAGTTTGCGACCAGCCTGGTCAACATAGTGAAACCCCGCCTCTACTGAAAATACAAAAAATTAGCTGGGCGTGGTGGCAGGTGCCTGTAATCCCAGCTGCTTGGGAGGCTGAGGCAGGAGAATCGCTTGAACCTGGGAGACGTAGGTTGCAGTGAGCCGAGATCGTGTCGCTGAACGCCAGCCCGGGTAACAGTGCGAGACTCAGTCTCGAGAAATATATATATATATATATATAGTTATGTAATATAAAAATTAAAAGTCTATAAAACTAAGGCTATTTCAAGAAATTTTAAAAGAAGCAATCTAAACCCAGAGAATGTAGATGAAAAAAAATACAACAGCAGAAATTAATGTTGTATAATACAAACAACAGAAAAAAAAAAACCCAGACAATTGTTAGTTCTTTTAGATTAATAATTGATTAACACTTTGAAAGACTAATCAGTTAATGAAAAAGAGTAGGCACAAAATGAATTATGAATACAAAAGGATCATCACTACAGAGTCTGTAAATATTACAATGATCATGAGGGTATGTACTACATAATTTTATGCCAGTTAAATAAATAAGTAAAATGGAAAGACTGTTAGAAAAATAAAACAACAATAAGTTAAGATAAAATAGAAAACTTCAATAATTGTATATTAAATTGAATCCGTATTTTAAAACTTCATATACTACTGTAAATAGGCTAGGCCCAAATTACTCAAAATTTCAGAGGTTTAACAGATCAAATATTCACTTTATGCTCATGGCACCTTTCCATCATGGCTTGTTGGAGTTGCAGTTTTTCTCTACATCATCCTGTCATAGGGATCAAGGCTTATGAAAATTCTATTTCTGTGCTTCCAAGATTGGTGTGGCAAGGGGAAAAGAGTTATATGATATCTCAACTGGTAATTTAGTGTCTCTGCCTGAAAACAACACATTCAATTTCCACTCATTTCATTGATCGAAGCAAGATAGATGGCCATACCATAATACATGGGTTCAGAAATGTTTAATTTTATCTCAAGCCTGTAATTCCATTAAATGTAAGTTGAGTGAATTCCTTAACTTTAAAAGTTAAATGTAGATACAAAATGGATACAAAAATTTTTTTTAAATGTAGACAAACCCAACTACATGCTACCAACATGAAACACATCTTAAATACAAGTCCAATTTTAAACGTATGATTAAAGTTTAAATAACGTAAAAACATCATACAAACTATAAAAGAAATTTGGTGCAACTCAGTTAATAATAGACAGTATAATTTCTAAGATAAAAATAATAGGAAAATATAAAGGATAATTGTACTAATGTCAATGAACTTGTAAATATACTAGCATAATATCACAGTTTTAAATTTATATGCATCCAATAACATACATTCAAAATAAATAAAAACTTACTGGACTAAAGAATGAAATAAAAAATTCACAATTGTAGGAAAAAACAGTAATATATTTCACTATATAGCTGACAGGAAAAGTTAAGTGAAATAGACAGACTTAATGAAAAACAACATTTAAGGAGAAAACCTATGAGAAATTATACAACATTATATTGGACAATAATAGAATATACATATTTTTTCAGATAAGCATAAAACGAAAAACAAATGACTTCCTTATGGTGGGTCATAAAATAAACCTTACCTCAATTCCAATAAATTTAAATTATCCCAAGAATTTTCTTAGAGTGAAATTAAGTAGAAACCAATAAAAAAATAATGAGAAATGGAAAGCCCCTAACTACTGGGAAATTAAGGTATGCATTTCTGAATAGTTTATGAGTTAAATAAAAATGTAACAAGGGAAATTTAAAGAAATGAAATTAATTAATATTAAGTGATGACATATCAACACCTGAAGGGCGCACCTCAGTATTAATTAGATGAATATTTGGTTTCTAAAGTGCACACACTACTAAAGAAGAAGTGAAAAAGATTGATCTAAGCATCCATCTCAAGAACCAAGAAAAAGAAGACAAATTAAACACAAAAAATGTAGAAAAAGTGAGTAACAAAACAATCAGATATCAGTGAAATAGAAAACAAATATACAATAGAGAATACCAACTAGATGAAAGTTTACTATAATAAAAACTTGATAAAATAATAAAACCCTAGTCAGAGTACAGACAGAAAGGCAGAGATAAAGGGAAGGAGGAAAGAAAGATGTAGCAAATTGCTGATATCAATAACTTAAATGAGAACATCACTATAGATCGAGAGACATTGTAAAGAATTACTAACAACATTATGACAGTAAATTACAATTGAGATGACTTGAGTTACGCAAAAACAACAATTTATCAACACTGACACCAATAGATTTTCAAAAAGCACTGAATGGTCCTGTATCTTAAAAAATAATTGAATCTATTACTGAAAACCTCTCAATAAAAAATCTCAGAGACATGATTGCGTCATTGGTGAATTTCTCCAACATTAAAACAACAAATAAGAGTTTTCCATAAACTTTTCAAAGAATACAAAAAGAGGGCACAATTTCCAACCTGTATAAGAAAATCTAATGATAATCATCATTATCTTTACACATGCAGAAAATGCATTTGACAAAATTTAGTAGCCATTTACGAGAGAAAAATAGCTAACTAGCAATAGAAAAGAATTTCCTTAATATGACTAAGGATGTTAAAACAAATCTTGCAGTAAACATCAGACTTGGTGATATTTTGAAAACTTTCTCTAGACATTTATAACAAAATAAAGATGATGTTATCAGTTATACAATGCTACTAATAACATAATGCTGTGCTGAAGAAAATAGAAAAGGGAAAAGGAAAAACACACACAGATATTAGTGTCTTAAAACAGTAATGCTTCATTTATTTCTTTAGTCATTGGATAGGCAATAAGACTAACTTTACCTATCTTATTCTTTTGATCTCCGAATATCTAATGGAAAGTTGATTGTGAGCTGAACTAGGATGATCTCAGCTGGAATACCTGGGTGGCTCTGCTCTTCTTCAGGTGTCTCTGATCCTCTAGCAGGATAATTTGTGTATTTATTTATAATGTAATAATATAATTTGTGGATAATATAATGTATATTTGTGGATTTGTGGATAATATAATATAATGTGTAATATGATTTGTGGATAATTTATCATGTCAATAGCTAAGAACAAAAACAAAGGTAATCCCAATCAGGCAAGTCCTTTTCAAGTCTCTGCTTAATTTACTTTTGTTACCATCCTATTGACCAAAGCAAGTCCTGTGGTCAAGCTCAAAGTTAGAGTGGGAGGATACTGAAAATTTACCAGATAAGAATGTGCATACATGGAGAAGTGACACATTGATGCCTTCAGGTAAAATAAACCTATGGAGTTAGATATTAATATAATGGTTTTCAGTAGAAGTGCCTGGAAGGGGCACAGAATACTTCTGAGATGTTGATAATAATCTGTTCGAAAAGTCCATATGACTTTTGCTTCGCAGGTGTGTTAGTTTATCAAAATTCATTGCACTGTATACTTATTTCTATGCATAAGACACTTTAAAAGGTCATTTTAAAAAACAAAAAAAATAAATTAATTAAAAATTGCAGATGAAAAATGTAATTAAAAACATGATATATTACTATCTAACCAAACAATTTGTTAAATAAAATAATTTCAAAGCACAGATGAAGAGTTGATAAGGATGGATATAAGAAATATTGTATGTTCCTAAGGGTTCTTTTATCTGTTTGGTGATAAATCGTACAACGACTTTAGAAAATAAACTTCTATGCTAGTACAGGCATAAAATGCCGTATGACCTGGCCACTTCATACCCAGGTACAGACAGAAGAACTTATTACATATGTGCTTTTAAATAATTTGTACAAGAACAGCCATAGATGAATTACTTAATAATAATAAAAAACTCATAACATTCAAAATGTATACTTAGGATGGATAAATTGTGATATCATCATACAGTAACATCCTTTACTGCAATAAGTAAAATACAGCTACACATAATAACATGGAAAAATGTAAGAAGCATATACTGAACAAAAAGATCCAGATCCAGAAAAGCACTTATTACATTGATTCTATTTATATAAAATTCAAAAATTACCAAAATTAAGCCAATGCCTGTGGAACTAGTACACCTCCAAAAGAAAGCATTAAAATCATAGCAAAATTAAACCAATGATGCTGAAATAGTAAAACTCTAAAAGAAAGCACAAAAGTCAGCACACTGTTCACTTTGGCAGTGTTTGATGCCTGAGATGGGACACAAAAGAAACTTCTGTTGTGCTCATAATGTTCTGTTTCTTTTCCTATTTGGATATTACACAGGGTTTGCCTTTTGATAAATTATTGAGATGTAGATTTTTGTTTTATTTACTTTTCTCTAAGTGTGTATTATTCCACAATTAAATTAAATAAAAAATCCAAGTTAATGGTTGACACTGTTTGGAGGAATACAGATGCATTTGGATAGAGCTACTTTGAGGACATCAAAGATAACAGTAATATTTTGTTTGTCAATCTGTGTACTGCATCAAGGGTTTTTATTCTATGATTCATTTTTTTTTTATTTGAAATGTTCCCTATGTACATGGGTTACTGAATAGGATCTATTTTGTAATAAATTTTAAAGGAACATTTGGTTATGCATTTGCAGGTTAAAATGTAGTTTTCTGCGAAATGCTCTCATAATTTTGCAATTCCTCTGAAGCACTCAAATAATATAATCCAATCTTTCAATTTATATGCAAGTTAGATAATTATGACATATATGCAAATGCAATTAAGAGTGTTCATATATGCAAATAACTATAACTTCCAACATGATAAATATTTCAGTAATTCCATAACAAGAATAGCATTTATCAGGAAATGATTGCTTACTCAATCTTATTGCAAGTTATTATAATTTAAAAAAATTTTTTCTATATATTTAGAGATGGTTAAGAGAGTCAAGTCTTACTGTAGACCTTCGTATATCCTGCAATCATTATCACTGTAATACCTATAGGGGTGGTCAGGAAGACTTTGTAACTCAGTTGTTTGTATTAGATCACATGCCTTACTTGTACAACTTACATATCAGCTTTTGACGAATTTTGGGTCCTTGTCTGTCCATATCCCAATTTATTTTATTTTATTTTACTTATACACAGAACTTCCTGACTGCTTTTACTGCGTTCAGATTGTCTTTGCCACACATACTGACTTCAACCATTTCCCCCAACCTTGTTTATTTGTATATTTCTGTCCTCTTTCTGATTTATTCACACCTGTTTTTGTTTATTATATTATTTGCTCAAAACTTAGGCAGCCCAGATATTTTTTATGGTCTTTAATTATGTACAAAATGCCATGGGTTCTCTTTTTGGTGCAATGCCCGGTTTTATATTGCTTGTTTCCCAAACAGTGAGAACAGCAAGTTAGGAACAAATTTCATACCTATATCTTCCATTGTTTAAATATAATTACAGTTATATTTTAAATTCTGAAATTGTTTTAAAAATAAGCCAGAACAAATTAAATGTATAGCATTATTAGTTGACTGTATTTAAAGAATGTTGCTTCTAAAATGCATCAAATGGCTTTTTTTTTAACAACCTGGAGAAAAGAAACAACAAAGATAATAATAATTGAGAAAACATGTGGACTAAAATTTTCCCTGGAAAATTGAATTGCACATCAGTATAATAATTTTTCAGAGAAATTGTTCAGCAAATAAATCTGCTTACTATGAACAGAAGATTAACTGAATTAATTTGACAAATTATTTGTTACTGAATAAAACTGTTTATCAGTGATTTCCCAAGTGATATACTTTTGAATGATAAATTCTAACTTAAGTGTGTATCTACATTTTGCAATAACTCTTTACTCTTTTGCTTATGTTTCAGGCTTAAAATCTGAACCATGTAGTAATGATGATGATGCATGCAAAGCTAATATAACTTATGAAAGGCTAAATAACATCCTCAGATCAACAATTTGAATAGTATATTTTGGATTTTAAATTGTTTTAGTAAAATTTTGTAATTTAGAAATTTCCAAATAATAAGTTTGTTGGATCAAATGGTTACGATACACAGAGAGTGACAGAAAAATCATCTTTCAAATCAATTATCAGTATCACTACAATACTTTTTGTTATAACAAATAAACTAGAAAAAGAACAGGCTGGATTTCTTAATACAAATGCTAATTAATTTATTCCACAAATAAGAACCAAATTAAAACTGTGACACAAATTAAAGTAACAATTAAGCTAACTCATGCAATTATTCATCTTTCAAATAAATGAGGTTAGAAGAGATGAATCTTGCCATTGATGCTGCAGTGCAAATTACCTAGTTTTAAAAAATTCATTAGAATAGTTAATAAAGCCTGAGTCATCATTAGTTGTGATGTTATAAAGCTTCTTTTATAAAGAAGTAGGAACTGTTGTACAGATTTAATTTCCTTTTATAACAAAATAAGTGATAAATAGCTCACCAAGAATGCTTTCTATGAAGAATAGCATCAGTTTGTGTTTGATATTATTTCCCTACAGTCTAGCAGTTTTTCGAACTGTGTACCTGCTCAGTAAAAACACACTGAATTGGTGAACATATCTGGTAGATCAAGCAACTGATCAAATAGAACTACCTTGGTAGGGCACAGTGGCTCACGCCTGTAATCCCAGCACTTTGAGAGGCTGAGGTGGGCAGACCACCTGAGGTCGGGAGTTCAAGACCAGCCTGGCCAACATGGGGAAACCTAGTCTCTACTAAAAATACAAAAATTAGCCGGGTGTGGTTGTATGTGCCTGTAAACCCAGCTACTCAGGAGACTGAGGCAGGAGAATCACTTGAACCTGGGAGGTGGAGGTTGCAGTGAGCAGTGAGCCAAGATTGAGCCACTGCACTCCAGCCTGGGTGACAGAGCAAGACTCTATCTCAAAAAACAAAACAAAACAAAACAAAACAAAAAACATATAGAACTATCTTGCTTTATCTATACTTAAGATTCTACTACATAATATGCTCAACAATAAACAAAGTGAGTTACTAATAGCCACAAGGTGTGTGTATATATATATATATATATATATATATATATATACACATATACACACACACACACATATGTGTGTGTGTGTTTACAAACATATATATATATATGAAGTTAATATGCATATGTGATATATGCAAGCAATAGCAATTCTCCAAGAAGTGAACTGTTGCTGGCTTTAGAGAAGTAAAATGGGAAATCTCAACATAAAATTGATCAGAACTAGAAGGTATAAAACTGGCTTCAAGAGACAGAATAATCTAGTTCTACAAGATTCTTTATTGTAAATGATTGGAGATATTAACGTATGAATTGAATAAGAGTCATTCAGAAGTGTACCAGGTCACTCTCAGAAGAAAAGACACGACATCACCAGAGAAAGCTTTAGCAACATTTATCCTGACAATAGGTAGATGTAATAGAAAATGTGAATACGTGTCTGCCTCTGTTTCACGTTGTGAAGAAAAGAATGGATGCCATATGACTTTTCTGGTTTGTATTCCATACTCATCAAGAATGTTTTTGGATAATTTGACTTCTTAGACAGTTTGCCTACAAGTAGTCAATGCCCTCTTCAAATCAATGAGACATTTTGGTCTTTATGAAAGATCCACTTACAGATATCTACATATTAGGCTTGCAAATAATTTATAGCACTCCATTAATTTGTGGACATGGATAAGATTGAGTTTCAGACAATACCTTTGAGAAACAGATCCCAGAAAAAGATCATTTCAACAAAATATCCCCTGGTATGGATGTAACTAGAAAATCAGTTAGACTTCCTAAAACACTACCCCTCCCCTAATTCGACCTCCATCCCAAAGAATACTTCATTTACTTCTGAAGATTTCTTTCCTTTTGAAAAATTAGACTTCATTTTTAAGGCATTTTTAGGTTCACAGCAAAATTGAGCAGAAGATACAGAGATTTCCAGTATACTGTCTTCCCCCACATGCACAGACTTTCCCACTGTCAACACCTCGTAGCAAAGTAGTGTATTTGTTATAGTTTGTGAACCTAGAGTGATACATCTTTATCACCTAAAGTTCATAGTTTACATTAGGGCTCACCCTTGGGGTTACATGTTCTGTGACTTTTGACAAATATGTAATGGCATGCACCCACTGTGATAGTGCTCTGCAGAATAGTTTCACTGTCCTAACAATCCTGAGCTGCATCTCTTCATCTCTACTTACCACCTAATCCTTGGAAATCACTGACACTTTTATTGTCTCCATACTTTTGCTGTTTTCAGAATGTCTTATAGCTGGAATCATATAATATTTAGTATCTTCCTATTTGCTTCTTTCATTTAGTAATACACATTTTAAGTTTTCTCTATGCTTTTTATGGTTTAATAGCTCATTTATTTTTAGAGATGAATAATACTGTATTGCCTGGATATGCCATCGTTTATCTATTTACCTATTGAAGGACATTTTGGCTGCTACCAAGTTTAGGCAATTATGAGTAAAGCTGCTATAAATATCTGTGTGTAGGTTTTTATATGGAAATATGTTTTTAACTCTTTCGAGTAAATACCAAGGAGCGTGAATGCTGTATTAGATGATAAGAGTATGTCTAGTTTTGTAAAAAATTGCCAGTCTTTAAGAATGGCTGTACCATTTTTTTTTTCTACCATCAATAAATGAGAGTTCCTGTTCCTCCATATTCTCACCAGCCTTTGGTGTTATCAGTATTTTGGGTTTTGACCAATAGGTGTGTAGGAGGTGTATAGTAGTATCTCATTGTTGTAGTAATTGAAAAATCCCCAATGATATTTGATTTTGAGCATCTTTTCTTACTTTTTTGCCACCTGTATATCTTTGGTGAGGTGTTGGTGCAAGATTTTTTGTCCATCTTAAAATCAGGCTGTTCATTTTTTTAAAGCTGATTTTTAAGAGTTCTTTGTAACATTTTGGAGAACAGTCATTTTTCAAATACAGGCATACCTCAAAGACATTGCTGATTTGGTTTCATATTACCATAATAAAGTGAATATCTCAATAAAGCTAGTCATAGACAATTTTTTTTGGTTTCCCAGTGCATAGAAGTTATGTTTACAATATACTGTAGTCCATTAAGTGTGTAATAGCATTATGTCTTAAAATGAACCTACTTTAAATAAAATACTACATTGATTAAAAATGCTAACAATCATTTGAACCTTCAGCATGTCATAATCCTTTAGCTGATAGAGGGGCTTACCTTGATGTTGATGGCTGCTGACTGATCAGGATGTTGTTGCTGAAGGTTGGGTGGTTGTGGCAATTTCTGAAAATGAGGCAACAACAAAGTTTGCTGCATTTGTTGACTCTTCCTTTTACAAAAGACTTATCTACTATATGAAATGCTGTTTGATAGGATTTTACCCACAGTAGAACTTCTTTCAAAATTGGAGTCAATCTCCTCAAACATTACCAGTGCTTTATCAAATACATTTATGTAATAGTCTAAATCCTTTATTGTCATTTCAACAATGTTCACAGCATCATCACTAGGAGTAGATTTTATCTCAACAAACTACTTTCTTTGCTCATCCATTAGAAGCCACTCATCACCTATTCAAGTTTTATCATGAAATTGAAACAATTTAGTCACACCTTCAGGTTTCACTTCTAGCTCTAATTTTCTTGTTCTTTCTACCACATCTGCAATGACTTTTTCCACTGAAGTATTAAACTCCTTAAAGTTATTCATGAGGGCTGGACTCAACTTCTTCCAAGCTCCTGTAAGTGTTAATATTTTCACCTCCTCTCATGAATCACAAAGGTTCTTAATGACATCTACAGTGGTGATTTTTTTTTCCCCAGAAAGTTTTCAATTTATTTTGCCCAGATCAGAGGACTCATTCCTTATGGCAGTTTTATCCCTCTGAAATGTATTTATTTATTTATTTATTTTATTTATTTATTTTTGAGACAGAGTCTTGCTCTGTTTCCAGGCTAGAGTGCAGTGGTGTGAGAGCTCACTGCAACCTCTGCCTCCTGGGTTCAAGTGATTCTCCTGCTTCAGCCTCCCTAGTAGCTAGGATTGCAGGTGCATGCCACCATGCCTAGCTAATTTTTGTATTTTTAGAAGAGACGAGGTTTCATCATGTTGGCCAGGCTGGTCTCGAACTCTGGGATTACGAGTGAAAGCCACTGCGCCCGGCCTGAAATGCATTTCTTAAGTAAGAATACTTGAAAGCGAAAATCAATGATCCATGGGCAAATGGATCAGAATGGATATTTTCTTAGCAGGCATGAAAACACATTAATTTCTTTAAACATCTCCATCAGAGTTCTGGGATGACCAGGTGCATTGTCAATGTGCAATAATATTTTGAAAAGAATCTATTGCCGAGCAGTAGGTCTTGATGGTGGGCTTAAATGTAATCAGTAAACTATGCTGTAAACAAATGTGCTATATTAAAAGATTTGTCATTCTATTTACAGAGCACAGGCAGAGTCAATTTAGTATACTTTTAAGGGTCTTAGAATTTTTGGAAAGGCACATAAGCTTTGGTTTCAATTTAAAGTCACCAGCTGCATTAGCTACTAACAAGAGAGTTTGCGTCTCCTTTGAAATTTTAAAGCTGGGCATTTGCTTCTCTTTAGCTGCTTCCCTTTAGTCCTAGATGGCATCTTCTTCCAATATAAGGTTGTTTTACCTCCATGGAAAACCTGTTTTTTACTGTGGATGCTTTCATGCACCTCCATGTGAAGAGACCACCAAACAGGCTTTGTGTGAGCAATAAAGCTTTTAATCACCCGAGAGCAGGCGGGCTGAATCCGAAAAGAGACTCTGCGAAGGGAGATAAGGGTGGAGCTGTCTTATAGGATTTGGGGAGATAAAGGAAAATTACAGTCAAAGGGGGGTTGTTCTCTGGCGGGCAGAGTTGGGGTCACAAGGTGCTCAGTAGGGGAGCTTTTGAGCCAGGATGAGCCAGGAGAAGGAATTTCACAAGACAATGTCATCAGTTAAGGCAGGAACAGGCCATTTTCACTTCTTTTGTGGTGGAATGTCATCAGTTAAGGCAGGAACTGGCCTTCTGGATGTGTACATGCAGGTCACAGGGGGTATGATGGCTTAGCTTGGGCTCAGAGGCCTGACATTCCTGTCTTCTTATATTAATAAGAAAAATAAAATGAAATAGTGGTAAAGTGTTGGGATGGTGAAAATTTTTGGAGGTGGTATGGAGAGATAATGGGCAATGTTTCTCAGGGCTGCTTCGAGCAGGATTAGGGGTGGCGTGGGAACCTAGAGTGGGAGAGATTAAGCTGAAGGAAGATTTTGTGGTAAAAGGTGATATTGTGGAGTTGTTAGAAGAAATATTTGTGGTGTAGAATTATTGGTGATGGCCTGGATACGGTTTTGTATGAATTGAAAAACTAAATGGAATAAGAGAAGGAGAAAAACAGGTATAAAAGGTCTAAGAATTGGGAGGACCTAGGACATCTGATTAGAGAGTGCCTAAGGAGATTCAGCATAGTCCTGCCAGCAGATTATTTATTTACTTCAAGAGTTTAGAGTGGCAGTATGGGGATAGCACCAGGAGATATCAACTGTGATGGCTTGGAGAAATAATGCAAACTGGCAGTGTAAACAAGAGTAGGGCATGTATGAGTAGTTGAGAACAGTGAATAGGAGTATGACTAGATAGAAGATAGTAGGGATGACAAGTTTTTTGGGGGCACAGTCTAAGTTGGTCTGGTGTCTGGAATGAGACTGGGGCCTAATAAAAAGGAGCATCTATACAGGAGCTCAAATGGGCTGTACACTGTAGCATCCTGAGGACAGGTCTGACTTCTGAGAAGCGAAAGTGGTAAAAGTATTGTCCAGTCCTTTTTAAGTTGTTGGCTGAGCTTGGTGAGGTGTGTTTTTAAAAGACATTTAGTCCATTCTACTTTTCTTGAAGACGGAGGACCATAAGGGATAAAGGTTTCACTGAATACTAAGAGCCTGAAAAACTGCTTGGCTGATTTGACTAATAAAGGCTGGTCTGTTATCAGACTGTATAGTGGTGGGAAGGCTAAACTGAGGAATTATGTCTGACAGAAAGGAAGAAATGACTGCGGTGGCCTTCTCAGACCCTGTAGGAAAGGCCTCTACCTATCCAGTGAAAGTGTCTACCTAGACTAAGAGGTATTTTAGTTATCTGACTCGGGACATGTTGAGTAAAGCTAATTTGCCAGTCCTGGGTGGGGGCAAATCCTTGAGCTTGATGTGTAGGGAAGGGAGGGGGCCTGAATAATCCCTGAGGAGTAGTAGAATAGCAGATGGAACACTGAGAAGTTATTTCCTTGAGGATAGATTTCCACGATGGAAAGGAAATGAGAGGTTCTAAGAGGTGGGATAGTGGCTTGTACTATAGCATAGCCTGCCTTTGCTGGTGTGGCAATTAGGCCTGGTGGAACTGCCATCAATAAATCAAGCATGATCAAGGCGAGGAAGAGGAAAGAAGGAAATATGGGGAAATGAGGTGAATGTCAAGAAGAGTTTATAAGCTTTAAAAGGCCATGCTGTAACAGGTGAATGATAACAGGCTTTAATCCTTTCAAAGCATGCTATAGGATAAGATATTGGCATTGAGCAGGGTAAGAGTGATTAGGTTTTAATAGGATGGTAGCCTTAACTGATGACATTGTCTTGTGAAATTCCTTCTCCTGGCTCATCCTGGCTCAAAAGCTCCCCTACTGAGCACCTTGTGACCCCCACTCTGCTTGCCAGAGAACAACCCCCCTTACTGTAATTTTCCTTTATCTACCCAAATCCTATAAAACAGCCCCACCCTTATCTCCCTTCGCTGAGTCTCTTTTCAGACTCAGCCCGCCTGCACCCAGGTGATTAAAAGCTTTATTGCTCACACAAAGCCTGTTTGGTAGTCTCTTCACACAGACACACATGAAATTTGGTGCCGTGACTCGGATCGGAGGACCTCCCTTAAGAGATCAATCCCCTGTCCTCCTGTTCTTTGCTCCGTGAGAAAGATCCACCTATGACCTCAGGTCCTCAGACCAACCAGCCCAAGAAATATCTCACCAATTTCAAATCCAGTAAGCGGCCTATTTTTACTCTCTTCTCCAACCTCCCTCACTATCCCTCAACCACTTTCTCCTTTCAATCTTGGTGCCACACTTCAATCTCTCCCTTCTCTTAATTTCAGTTCCTTTCATTTTCTGGTAGAGACAAAGGAGACACGTTTTATCCATGGACCCAAAACTCTGGCACCAGTCACGGACTGGGAAGGGAGCCTTCCCTTGGTGTTTAATCATTTCAGGGATGGATGCCTCTCTGATTATTCACTCACGTTTCAGAGGTGTCAGACCATGCAAGGACGCCTGCCTTGATCCTTCACCCTTAGTGGCAAGTCCTGCTTTTCTGGGGGAGGGGGAAGTACCCCAACCTCTTCTCTCCGTGGTTCTACCCCTTCTCTGCTTTTCTGGGGGAGGGGCAAGAACCCCTCAACCCCTTCTCCTTCACCCTTAGCGACAAGTCCCACTTTTCTAGGGGACAAGAATCCCCAACCCCTTATTTCCATGCCCCGACCCCTTTCCCACTTTTCTGAAGGGTAAGAACCCCCGAACCCCTTCCCTCCGTGTCTCTACTCTCTCTTTTCTCTGGGCTTGCCTCCTTCACTATAGGCAACCTTCCACCCTCCATTCCTCCATCTCCCTTAGCCTGTGGTCTCAAGAACTTAAAACCTCTTCAACTCACACCTGACCTAAAACCTAAATGCCTTATTTTCTTCTGCAATGCTGCTTGACCTCAATACAAACTTGACAGTGGTTCCAAATAGCCAGAAAATGACACTTTCAATTTTTCCATCCTGCAAGATCTAAATAATTCTTGTCATAAAATAGGCAAATGGCCTGAGGTGCCTGATGTCCAGGCATTCTTTTACACATCGGTCCCTCCCTAGTCTCTGTGCCCAGTGCAACTCGTCCCAAATCTTCCTTCTTTCCCTCCCGCCTGTACCCTCAGTCCCAACCCCAAGCATCGCTGAGTCTTTCTAATCTTCCTTTTCTACAGACCCATCTGACCTCTCCCCTCCTCCCCAGGCTGCTCCTTGCCAGGCCAAGCTAGGGCCGAATTCTTCCTCAGCCTCCACTCCTCCACCGGGTAATCTTTTTATCACCTCCCCTCCTTACACCTGGTCCAGTTTACAGTTTCATTCTGTGAGTAGCCCTCCCCTACCTGCCCAGCAATTTCCTCTTAAAAAGATGGCTGAAGCTAAAGGCATAGTCAAGGTTAATGCTCCTTTTTCTTTATCAGACCTCTCCCAAATCAGTGAGCATTTAGGCTCTTTCATCAAATATGAAAAACCCAGCCCAGTTCATGGCTCATTCCGCAGCAACCCTGAGACGCTTTACAGCCCTAGACCCTAAAAGGTCAAAAGGCCGTCTTATTCTCAATATACATTTTATTACCCAATCTGCTCCTGACATTAAATAAAACTACAAAAATTAAATTCCAGCCCTCAAACCCCACAACAGGACTTAATTAACCTCACCTTCAAGGTGTACAATAATAGAGTAGAAGCAGCCAAGTAGCAATGTATTTCTGAGTTGCAATTCCTTGCCTCCACTGTGAGACAAACCCCAGCCACATCTCCAGCACACAAGAACTCCAAATGCCTGAACCACAGCTCCCAGTGGTTCCTCCAGAACCTCCTCCCCCAGGAGCTTGCTACAAGTGCCGGAAATCTGGCCACTGGGCCAAGGGATGCCCACAGCCCAGGATTCCTCCTAAGCCTTATCCCATCTGTGTGGGACCCCACTGAAAATCAGACTGTTCAACTCACCTGGCAGCCACTCCCAGAGCCCCTGGAACTCTGGCCCAAGGCTCTCTGACTGACTCCTTCCCAGATCTTCTCGACTTAGTGGCTGAAGACTGACACTGCCTGATCACCTGGGAAGCCCCCTAGACCATCACGGACACCAAGCTTTGAGTAACTCTCACAGTGGAAAGTAAGTCCGTCCCCTTCTTAATCAATATGGAGGCTACCCACTCCACATTACCTTCTTTTCAAAGGCCTGTTTCCCTTGCTTCCATAACTGTTGTTCATATTGACGGCCAGGCTTCTAAACCTCTTAAAACTCCCCAACTCTGGTGCCAACTTAAACAATACTCTTTTCAGCACTCCTTTATAGTTATCCCCACCTGCCCAGTTCCCTTATTAGGCCGAGATGCTTTAACTAAATTATCTGCTTCCCTGACTAGTCCTGGGCTACAGCCACACCTCATTGCCGCCTTTTCCCCCAGTTCAAAGCCTCCTTCACATCCTCCCCTTGTATCTCCCCACCTTAACCCACAAGTATAAGACACCTCTACTCCCTCTTTAGTGACCGATCATGCACCCCTTACCATCCCATTAAAACCTAATCACTCTTACCCTGATCAATGCCAATATCCCATCCCACAGCATGCTTTGAAAGGATTAAATCCTGTTATCACTCGCCTGTTACAGCATGGCCTTTTAAAGCCTATAAACTCTTCTTACCATTCCCCCATTTTACCTGTCCTAAAACCAGACAAGGCTTACAGGTTAGTTCAGAATCTGCGCCTTATCAACCAAATTGTTTTGCCTATCCACCCCGTGGTGCCAAACTCCTATACTCTCCTATCCTCAATACCTCCCTCCACAACCCATTATTCTGTTCTGGATCTCAAACATGCTTTCTTTACTATTCCTTTGCACCCTTCATCCCAGCCTCTCTTTGCTTTCACTTAGACTGACCCTGACACCCATTAGGCTCAGCAAATTACCTGGGCTGTACTGCCACAAGGCTTCACAGACAGCTCCCATTACTTCAGTCAAGCCCAAATTTCATCCTCAGCTGTTACCTATCTCGGCATAATTCTCATAAAAACACACGTGCTCTCCCTGCTGATCGTGTCCGATTAATCTCCCAAACCTCAATCCCTTACAAAACAACTCCTTTCCTTCCTATGCATGGTTACTGTGGTCAGGATTCTTACACAAGAGCCGGGACCGCCCCCTGTAGCCTTTCTGTCCAAACAACTTGACCTTACTGTTTTAGCCTAGCCCTCATGTCTGTGTGCAGTGGCTGCCGCTGCTTTAATACTTTTAGAGGCCCTAAAAATCACAAACTATGCTCAACTCACTCTCTACATTTCTCATTACTTCCAAAATCTATTTTCTTCCTCATACCTGATGCATATACTTTCTGCTCCCCGGCTCCTTCAGCTGTACTCACTCTTTGTTAAGTCCCACAATTACCATTGTTCCTGGCCCAGACTTCAGTCCGGCCTCCCGCATTATTCCTGATACCACACCTGACCCCCATGATTGTATCTCTCTGATCCACCTGACAGATGCCTTCATTAACGATCTCATGTAGATTTTCTGGATAACTTCCTGCAGCTTGTCCATCAGCACTTACTGCTTCACTTTGCCTTGTTTTGTTATGGAGATGGCTCTTTTCTTAAACTCTATGAGCCAGCCACTTCTAGTTACCAATTTTTCTTCTGCAGCTTCCTCACTTCTCTCAGCTTTCACAGAATTGAAGAGAGGCAGGGCCTTGCTCCGGAATAGGCTTGGGCTTAAGGGAATATTATGGCTGGTTTGATCTTCTATCCACACCATTAAAACTTCTTCCCTATCAGCAATAAGCCTGCTTTGCTTTCTTATCATTTGTGTATTTACTAGAACAGCACTTTTAATTTTTGTTAAGAACCTTTCCTATGCATTCACAACTTGGCTAGATATTTTGTGCAAGGAACCTAGCTTTGGGCCTATCTCAGCTTGTGACATGTCTTCCTCATTGAGCTTAATCATAACCAGCTTTTGACTAAAAGTGAGAGACATAGAGGCCATTATAGAATTATTAATTGGCCTAATTTCTATATCACTGGTCTCAGGAAATAGGAAAACCCAAAGAGAGGGATACAGATGGAAGAATGTTTTTCAATGAAACAGTCAGAACACACACAACATGTATCAATTAAATTCTTCATCTTATATGGACATGGATTGTGACATAACAGAACAATTACAACAGTAACATCAAAGATCACTGATCGCAGATTACCATACAGGTATAATAATAGTGAACAAGTTTGAAATATTGTGAGAATTACCAAAATGTGACATGGAGACATGAAGTGAGCTCATGCTGTTGGAAAAATAGCACTGATAGACTTGCTGGACGAAGGGTTGCTGCAAATCTTCTAATTGTAAAAGGTACAATATATGTGAAGCACAGTGAGATCTGATCCAATAAAACAAAGTATGCCTTCATGTGTTTTTCAAATAGTTTCTCCCAGTCTGTGGCTTGTCTTCTCATTCTCATTTTAGTGCCTTTCACAGAAAAGTTATTAATTTTAATGAAATGCAGCTTATCAATTATTTCATCATGATTTGTGCCTTTGTGATGTATCTAAAAGGTCATCACTAAACCTAAGGTCATCTAGATTTTCTCCTACATTATCTTATAGGAGTTTTACAGTTTTGCATTTTATAATTATGTCTATAATCTATTTTGAGTTCATTTATATATATATATTGCATTTTATAATTATGTCTATAATCTATTTTGAGTTCATTTTTGTAAAGGGTGAAAGGTCTATGGGTAGATTCTTTTTTTTTTTTTTTTGCATGAGGATGTCCAGTTTTTCCAGCATCATTTGTTGAAAAGAATATTTTTGTTCCATTGTATTTCCTTTGATTCTTCATCAAAAATCAGTTTATTTTGTTTATGTGGACGTGTATTTCTTTGTAGTCTTGTAGTCTTTGTTAAAAGTTTCTTTTGCAGATATAACAAAGGCTGTGACAGGACATCAGTTACCTTTTCAGAATGAAAGGATTTATTTTTAAAGCTGCTTGGAGTGTTGCTGGTAGAGAACCTTCAGCTGTCAGCCTTTTTTGGGGTTGCACTCAGCAGCTTTGCACATGGACCTGAGCTTTTTCTGAGGTAACCCACATCCAAAGAATGATTAACACAGTGGTAATAAGAAAGCAGTCAGTTTTGCCCAACTCAAGATAATGATGAGGGGCCTGATGACTTAAAGATCCCTGAGGCCATGGTTAAGGCTTTTGCTGAGAAGGCATGGAAATGTGCTTTAATTTAGGCTGCCGTAATGAGAGACCATAGACTGAGTAGATTATAGAAAACAGAAATTTATTTATCATAGTTCTGGATGCTGTCAAATCCAATATCAAGGTGCTGTCAGATTCATTGTCTGCTGGGGCCCATTTTCTAGTTCATGGATGGCAGGTCCTCTTGCTGGGTTCACACGTGGTGGAAGTGGGCTAGCTAGCTCTTGAGGGTCTCTTTTTTAAGGGTGAATCCCTTATAAAAGGGCTCTGCCCTCTTGACCTAATTGCCTCCCAAAGGCCCCTTCTTTCCAACATTATCATCTTTGGGGCTAGAATTTCAGCATATCCATTTTGAGGGAACACAAACATTTCAACCATCGTTTTCTACCATTCAGACAGCTTCTCTCTGTGCTCAAATATTTTTGTCTTCCTACCCTTCCATGTATGTTGATTGAAGGGCATTCCCTCATAAATTCCTGTGTTTTAATCTGTTTCAGAATCTGCTTCAGGAACCAAACCTGTGAGGATTGGCTGAATCATGGTCTCAGTCCTTAATGGAATGCCACTGTTTATGGAAAATAATGTAATTAAAGGGACAAGGACTTTAGATACTTGAAGGTAGGTTTACTATGTTTTCAGACAGTTAAATTCAGGAAGTAAAAATGCATTTTGACCTGTATTTCTATGGTAACATTTTCTTGTCACTTTCTTATTTTGTTCATTTATTCAGTCATTGCCAAATCTGTTTCCAAAGGATTTTGGTAATTTTCAAAACCCTTCTGCTGCTGAAATATACATTATTTAGAAACAATAGATTGGTGAAGAGGCTTGGAAGCATCCAAGTAAACCCGTAGTGCCTGAGGGAGCTGATAATCCACTTTACATCTTCAAAACTCCAAGAACTCAAAAGTAATTTTCACGTTAAGATTCACTTATTTTAAATATCATCTTATGAGTTCAGCTTGAATAAACCATGACCAGTTTAAAGCTTCATATTTTTATAATTAGGGATTTCTAATTACATTGTGATCTATATTTTTACCAATTAATATCTACATAGAAACCTCCTTAAATACAATTTTAAATATTTTATGGTCCTGATTTTGCTATAATTATTCCAAATCACAAATGTATTTTAAAATTCTGTCAAATCATTGTCTATTCTATAGAAAATTCTTGTTTCATCCCCCAAAATATCACTTCTTTCAATTTTAACTAAATTAAATATAATTTCTGCTATCAGAAACTACAAATATTTTGGATCTATAATTTGTTTTATTTAGTCAGTTATGCTCATTCAAGAAAAAAGCAGTAATATAATGAATGCATCTTTTCCTTCACCAAAGACATCATAAAATAATTAAGTTAGTAGTTAATTGAATAAACAGCTCTGTTAGTTATTTTAGGTATATATTCAGCTTATAGGTAAATATTAACTCATAGTACTGGTTGTGGTAGCCTTGAAAATATACTCTTCAGATTTCCTACAGCACAGTTCACTGACAGCTCCCACGACTACCCTTCCTGGATCTACCATGATGGTTATCCTAAAGTCATACTTTCCTTAGTAGTTTTTGGCTGATGACTGTGCAGGCCCATTCCTATAGGATGTGGGATTCCTGTAACAGAGGGCTTTGACTAGAGGACTCTTTATTGGCCTAGCCAATACTTTCTTAGTATTGAGCTATGGTCTGTCTTACTAACCTAGCCACCTTACCTCCCTGCTTCTTTTACACATTTTGACCTCAGGGTATAAAATCTCTTCCTGACTACTGCTTGTTTGATTTTACAGACATTTGCTGTTTATGTTAGTGCATTAGGCAGTGAAGAACACTCAGTCCTGATAGATCAGGAAACTACCTAGAAAATGTCCTTTGGGGAAAAAAGGCCATACTTGCCAAATCGAAATAGACTAAAGTTATAGGCAAAATGATTTCATTTTTATAGTTCAAAGCCTTAGAAGTTTCCCAGTGTATTTTAAAAACTAAAGTAATTATTTTGTGTTATTTATGGTCCTTGATTTTGTCTGCATTTATTCATAGTGTTTCTTTATAAGTTTTCTTATTAAAATGGTTCTTTATTAATTCTTGATACCATCCGTTGTCACTCATGTGTTGTCAATATCTTTTTTGAGATTTTGTATTTTATTCCCATTTTCTTTTGGAGTCTTCTTGATAAGTGTTTCCCCACCAACTGGAGGTGGGCTTTAGTATATATATCTTAATCAAATTTTTAAAAAATATACAAAAAACAAACCACCACCACTGCAACACAAACCTTTAAGATTTTGTTTACAATTGCATTAAGACAATATATTAATTTGAAGATAAGCTTTTAAAAATATTAGATCTTCCATTCAGGAATATAATATATGTCTTCATTAAAGTTCTTTTTTTGCTTCTCAATATGTATAAGTTACATAACAAAAATAATTCAATCTGGTGTTTCTATAGCAAATCATGAATATAAGCAAACCTTTTAGAATTCTGAACCCAATTATTTTGCAACTAATTGTAATGCCAAATGAAATTATCAAATATGTATGAAGGCAAAGCAGATATATGTCAGGTATGTGGAATAACACCATGACATTTTCTGAAAAATTTGCTGGTGGGTGCGCTTGAGCATAACGAAAAGAAAATTTAAAAAGAATAAAACATATGAGTACAAAAATGAACCAGGGCCTACCACAGTGGCTCATGTCAGTAGTCCCAGCACTTTGGGAGGCTGAGGTGGAGTACAGCTTAAGGCCAAGAGTTCAAGACCAGCTGGTCAACAAAGTGAGACCCCTGTCTCTACAGAAATAAATAAATAAATAAAATAAATAATAAAATTAGCAGAGTGTGGTAGCATACACCTGCAGTTCTAACTACTCAGGAGGCTGAGGTGAGAAGATTGCTTGACCCCAGGGGGTGGAAGTTACAGTGAGCTATGATCACACCACAGTACACTAGTTAGGGTGACAGTAAGACCCTTTCTCTACATAAAAACAAAAAACAAAAAAAACAAGAGAAATCAAATAGTACAACCTGGGTAAAATGGGAAAAACATCTAAGGATTAAAATTAAATCTAAAACAAGTAAATTCAAGTTGATGCATTTAACCACTATTAATAAAATATTATTGAAAGGGGATTCTATTTTCTCTCAACAAGGAGAAACGTTAATTAGAAATTGCATAAGACACAAAAGAGTTTATAGCACCATATTTTGAATGAAAGTGTATAAGCAATAATGAAGCTGAAAATGTCATCATCTGAGATTTAGGAGGAGTAGAAAGAAAAGATGTTGAGTAATTTAGTTGCACTAGTGTTTTTATCTTATTTAATGTGGATTCCAAATATTGTATTGTATGTAAGTAAGAGAAGAAAGAGAGGTGTTCACATTTAAAAAAAATTAAATATATCTAATAGAAGAATTGAATGTAATAAAAATATCCAACCCAGGAAAGAAAGTGGAAGGTAAGTTAAAATAGGAATAAGTTAAAGCAGTGCCTTCTAAATGTGTCCTCGGAAATTACAAAATGGGATAGATCTGCATTTTAGTTTTTAATATGTTTTGGTTTTAAAAGTGTCAAAATTTCAAAATAATGCTTTATGTAAATAGCACATAATAATACAGGGACGATGACTAAAATTTAACTTCTGGAGCTAGGTAAATTATTTTTTTAGACTTTGTAATGCTTCTCCTGCTTTCTTTATTCACATGTTTCTGCATATACATCCATTTAGTACATCAAGCATGAACATTTCCACGCATAGTAAACTGCATATATGATTATACTTCTATAGCACACAGGTTTCATGCTTGGTTAATGTCAGGAGCATGTGTTGGAGTCTGTACTGGGTACATATTCCTCCTGGCTTATGGTTCAGCAGAAAAGTGCAATACATGCCATCACCATTATACGATACTACTTAGAATTTTAGTGCTTTTTTTAAATTTAGGGTACTTTTTGAAATTATAAATATGATATGGACTTTTAGGTAATATTAGAAATTGCATAAGGCTCAATTTGTAAATTCAAATTTTCTATTTTTTAAAGTTTATTAATAAATTGTAAATGTATCAAGTTTAAAAGATAATTTAAAAAGATTAAAATAATTATATTGTTGTATACATAATATATACAATGATGTTACAATATACATACACATAGTAAAATGGTTACTGTAGTAAATGAAAATATCTATCATCTCACATAGTTACCCATTTCCCCCTTTGTGGCAAGATCAGCTATAATCCACTCATTTAGCAAAAATCCTGAATATAATACATTATTTTTAACTACAATCCTTATGTTGTACATTACATTTTTTGACTAGTTCATCCAATGTATTTGCTATGTTGTATCTTTTGCCCTACATCTCCCCATTTTCTCTCTCCTACCTAGACCCTGGTAATTACTGTTTTGGTTTCTATCTCTATATATTTGACCTCTTTTTTGTTTTCTTTCAGATTCCAAATATAAGTGAGATCATGCAATATTATTATTTCTGTGTCTGGCTTATTTCATTTGGCATAATGTCTTCTAGGTCTATCCATTTTGTGGCAAATGGCAGGAACTCCCCCTCCTCTTTCGTAAGGCCAAATAATATTTTATTAAACATAGATATAGATACATGTACACATACATTGTAGTTTATTTATACATTCATCCATTGATAGACTTCTAGGTTGTTTCCATATTTTGACTATTGTAAATATTGCTGCAAGGAGCATGGGAGTACATATATCTTTATAAGGTGATGATTTCATTTCCTTTGAATATATATTCAAAGGAGGGCTACTTGGCTCATAAGGTAATTCTATTTTTAATTTCTTTAAGCATCGGCATACTCTTTTCCATAATGAATTCTTAAAACAGTAACATTTTGCCATTTGCTTTAATTCTCTTTGCCAGTCACAATACAAAGTAAATGATAAAAATAAACTTAATGTTAAAATTTATAAGCATCCGTAAACCTCCAATTAAAATTTTTGGTGTGTTTATCAAAACAATATTTCAATTCTACATTATTAACTTATAATATGAGGGCTATAAATGTAATTCCTAAAATAAATTTATAATTTTCACATATATATAGATGTTGGACGTTTTATAGATTAATATGCAGATGAAATAATAAAGTTATAAAGAGCTTCAATGAATGGGTCAAACTGAAGAAAAGTACAAACTTCCAAGAGAATCGCAGGGAATGTTATGTACATCGACACAAGTATATCTCTAGACAGAACTTGGAACTCTGTTTCTTATTTTAGAAGTATCTATAAAGTCCTTTATTGAGATATGTTAAGTCTATTGATTATATTTATGCTACTGGAGATTATTTTAAATATATCTTTATTTTCATGAAGTCTACGTTCAGAGGCAATGTGGAAAGTTACTTGTATTATAGACAGGTAAGAAAAAACATATTTCTGCTAAATATACTTATTATGATCTATTCTAGAAGGCCAAGGGATACCAGGTGTCTGGAGCATGGCTGGGAACACATGGGGTTTGGAAAGGAGTGGGAGAAATTATGTGAGAATAAGCTGAAGACAAACATTTGTTATTTTGATAGTCAGAGATTCCATTTCTCTTTCCTTCCTGATGAACCTTTTGGTAAATTTAAAATCAGACCAAGGATTCACAGGAGCTATATCAGTAATTTAGCTCACATACAATATGGGTTAGATGGAATTTTGTGGGAAGCAATTACTAAACATAACATTGCATTGCACCTTCGGGAAAACAAGTTTAGAATCCCAACTAACAGACCTACGAATAAAATTTTTATAACAATATCTGTCTATAAACTAGGACTTATGCACCTAACCAAAATAAATATTGCTTCTCCTGAAAGTAAGAGATGACTATTTTGAAGATTTTCTTTACATTTCTGGAATACTTCCATCTGTGTTTTGAAGCATGATAGATTCCCTGAAGTGTTATGAGATAGTTCTTCTCTCAGGATAGTATGTTTAGTGTGGGTTGCTATTGTGGCAAAATAAATCACATCTGAATGTCCTGTGTTTAAAACTGCAATATCAAGGACTTGGGTTTGCTTTGTAGTCTATGACTCAGCCACACAGTAAAAAATTAATGTCTATTCATTATAATCTTCTTTAAAATAATATTTAAATGAAAAAGGAAGCCCGATTTTAATAACCTGTTAAGACTTAATCTTATAAACTTGAAATTTAATTATAAAGTAGAAGTATGAACTTTCTTTTTCTGTTACTTTTGCGTTAATTTTGAGAAGATGAGGAGTGTCTCATTTCAATTTTTGTTTTTGAGATATAGGATCTTATATTTAGGAAGGAGTGTAGACTCTGTCATACCAAGGGTGTGTTTAAATAAACCTCAGCTCATGAATGACTGATCTTAAGAATTAGAAAACATCTCTAGTGTGAGCAATTAGACCTACTTTTATTGTTAAGTTCTGGTTCAATAAGCATGAAATTCTAGGGAATGGATTGTGAGTTATAGCACTCCAGGGTCCTTACTTCATTGGCAACTTCTAATGTTTCTATAATGAAACACCACTTTGATATTCAAAATTCTCCTTTGTTTAATGATCCCTGTAATGCATTTTGATGTTTCAATCACTCATGTGTTGGTTGAGCCCAGGTTTAGAAAATACTATCAATGTTGCCAACGATATTAAGGAAAAAAAAAAATCCAATGCAATGCACTATGCAAAGACAGATGAATAGATTGATGCAGAACTGGATAAATGTTGTATAAATAACTTGTTAATTTTAGCTGATATTCTGAGTAAAAGCATGCTTTCCTCTCCACTGAGGTTCTACATGGCCATGTGATACTTTCTGGGCTGTAATGTGTCACTTCTGAGTCAGCTATTTTGTCTTTGCTAGTCAATTATCTGGCCCTTTCTTTCCATACTGAAGTATTTGTGAAGCGTGTGTCAGAATGTGGTCTGCGAACAGCCTTGTTTCATAAGTTATAACAATGAGCAGAGGCCTTCCCTGTCAACTCACACTGTGCCTGTAGAGTAAATAAGAAATAAACTTTTGTTGCTGAAGATGAGCCGGAATCTCATTGTAGCAAAATGTAGCCTATTCTGCTAATGCAAATAGAAAAATGGAAATGGATTTCTAGACAATTATTCGATAAGTATTATATAAGGAACATAAGACAATATTTCTCATAAAAAGCTTTTCTTACCAGTTAAAATTTGTTACACCAATATTATATATCATCTGAAAATCATTCATTTTTTTTTCTTGGATGACCATTAAGTCAGGAAGTCAGACATTTGCATGTTCTTGTGCATTAATATCTGCTTATTGAAAGACCAATAATTAGGCTAGAATCCAAGAAACATTTAATTCATTCTCTCCATTTCACACAAATAACTGAAATGAAAGAAATTTACCAAAGGTTACCTATGACAATAAAAACATGCATGATAAAAACCAATTTTCTGAAAAATGAAGTCAGGGGCCATTACTAAAATCACGTTTCATTTATATTATCATCTAGCTGTGCATGCATGAGGCAGCAGCAGAACTTTGCAGAGAAAAGGATGTATTACAGTGTCATTTTGCAGTGCATTAAAGAATGCATAAAAAGCATATTTTGCGATGGCAGAGGAAGAGTTATAGAAGAGGGAGAGGGTAGAGCAAACTATTCACAACACAAAAAGGAAAATCCCTCCAATTTTTATATGAATGTCCCACAACTATTGTTCCAAAGGGACTCAAAGTGGCTTTACAGTCCTCAAGTCCATATGTCAAGTAAGCCACAACAACTTTTTTGTAATCATTTCAATAGCAGTTATAAGTAAAAGCATATCTTCACCTTCTGAGAAAACTGGTGTACAATTCAGGATCTTCTCTACAAATCTTCAGGCAAAATTCTATCTTCGGCAAAATTATTCCCTTTGATAATTTCTGAATTTGTCTAGCCTTTATTTCTTTCCAATCAACATGTTTGATGTGTAAGTAGATTATTCTTACTTCACATATGTTCAGAAAAAAAGAAACCCTGATTCTTTCAAGACATCCTCAAAATAATGACTTGAAGCTAAACTTATATTTATAAAAGTTGCCAAGATTTTTAGGTAAAATTCAATATAAATGTACCTAGTTAAATTGTATCACTGCTTATCAGAATCAGGCTATACCTGGTATGGTATCTGTGCTTTGTTTATCTCTGTTTTAATAGGCATTTCATTGACATTTTGATAGACTTCTCCAGTGCTTGAGGTTATTAACTTCTGTGCTTCAAGTTATTAAAGTCAAAGCAATGCAATTAAAAGTACTCCTTTGATCATGTATTATTCACTTACTTTTAGCTTTGGATATTACAGCAGAAAATTTATAAAAAGCTCAAAGTTTTAGATACATCTGAAGAGACATTCCTAAATAATAACAGACTTTCTATAATTATTTCTTTGAAACTGCTGTCTGGACATTTTGAAATGCAATTATCGTTGACTGACACTACATATATATGAATTTGGAGCTACAATTTTTCGGACTTGATTTTCTGGTCCTTGAATGAAGAGTAAAGTACGTGAAAATTACTGTTGACAAAGCCAATAGTTTTGTATCCTTGAAAATATGGCAAGGAATTCAACTTCAAATGAAATTTATTTTATATTAAACTTGATTTTTATTTTATCAGGAGTATAGTGCATTCACTACGTAACCATGAATTCTGAGCTGACTGAAGTTCATAACTTATAATAACATCAATGATTATAACAGCTTTTATTATCAATATTCTACATTATTTCCATTTTTTCCTATAAATTCTGTATATGTATGTGTGTTTGTATGTGCAATTGTTGTGTTTAAAGTGAATGACAAATTAAGAAGTATGTAGAATTATTCCCCTTTTATAAATGAAAAGACTATAGCTTGAATCAGCTAAAGTTTCTGCACTGATAAATGTCAGAGCCAGAACACAAATCCAGATTAATCTCATGCTAGCCATGTGATATTTTACTACACCGCTTTGCGTAGAATTGTGTTAAAATATATTTAAAAATGTATAGTGATAACAGCTGATATTTCCAGAGCTTTTAGTTTGTGCCAGGCACTGTTAACAGCGATTCAAATAGTTTGAGCCATTACTTCTCACAGCATCTCTACATTATTTTACAGATAATGCATGGAATAGAGAGACTGCACAATGTACTAAATTCATACAGGTAGTAATTGAGCCAGGATTTTACTCAGTTGCAGAATCGAGGCTCTTCACCAGCCTATTTACTCTGACTTTTAGTTCTAACTCTATCATCTTAGAGAAGGAAAACATTTTCATGAATGCTGTATTCGAGCTCCCTTCCAGAATAAGAAAATGCTGTATGGATTCCCCACCTGTTCACACTTCTACCTTGTTTCAAAACTTTGTTGTCTTCATTGATTCCAATCTACCCAGTACCCAGGTTTCATACTGTGTGAAAACATTTTGAAGTTTTATTTGCAAATAAAAATGATTCTGAGGACACCAGTCTCTTCAGTGAGTGTAATGAGTATATGATAATTTCTGCTAAAGATGCAGGAGAGTGGATTTGTGATTCAGTTGTCACATATTTACCATACAAGATATAAATCCTTATCTAAGCTTAAACAAAAATGATATAAGTAACTCATCTATTGCTCTAGCTCTATCTTGTACCTCAGTTTTAAATTGTAGGCTTCTACCTAGTCTTAAATATTCAGCTTATTCCACAGTCTTTGTCAGGGTCTGTTTTGTTCATTTTGCCTGAGCATCTGCCTTAGAAAACTATTGACCACTCTGAAAACCAGTCTCTGTAGAGATGAGACTTTGTCTTCTCTTGACAGCCCCACTGTCTTTGGCTTGAAGGCAGTTGCCTTTTTTATGATGATGGATTGTTGCCATAAGGACTACTTACCTGACTGATTTTCTACTCTGTGTTTCACCATTCTCAAGTAATGTTCCTGGCTTACCAGACTGAGTTTCCTCCAGGAGCTCTGATTGTGGTGTCAATCTCATTATTACTTGAAGTGCTACTCAGATGACATAGCTATAGAACTTTCATCAATCTCTGCATATGTTTCAGACATTGATAACTTGCCAGCGTGTGTCTTAAAATACGCTGTTCTGAATCAAACAAAATGGAGCAGAACTCAGTGATACACTCTCACTGTATCCTTGAACTTTATATTACACTTCTGTTACAATAGCCAAAAAACGGCATTAGACTTTGTAGCAGCCGGTATCCATGACTCCTGATGAATTTGCAGGCAAACACAATTCATATAAGAATACTGTAAAGACAAATGTTCTCCTTATGCATCTAGTTAATTATTTAACATCTGGTTATAGGACTTCATTTTTATGTATCTTAAATATTAACAAATAATCATATTTGAAGACTTTTCATCCTATGATTAAAAAAAATTCAGATTCAGTAAGTCACATAGTGGCTGTTTCTACTATATTTGTGCCCTCAGCAAAGATGTCAAAATTATTTTTGATTAAAATAGACAGGGCCAAATTAGAGTTCTTTGGCATGCCCCAAAACATCTTCATTCAGCCTAACAATGAGCATCAATCAATTTTCTTTAAACACTTGTTGTCAACCAGAATGTGGATGCTACTGATGCTAGTGAACAAGGATTTATTGAGTGTTTGCAAAGGTTCCTGTCTATGATTATTTCCTCAGCTTATTTCTAATGAGAGGTAAGGTGGTTTTCTAGTCAGGTACATGTGATTTTCAATTTCATCAGAATTTCAATACAACTTCTGTTTTAGTTGACACATAAAGTGCATAACCTTATCATCTTTAATAAAAAATGAGAACACAGCATTTTGGAACTTTTCAAAGAACATAATCTTGAGCTCTTTGATAAATTATATCTCTCCAATATAAAGTGAATAGGAATTACTCTCTATGACATATATTCTAAATACTCTGCAATTCTTACCACCCTCTCATTACTTAAGTAATCAATACTTGGAAAGTGAACACATAGTGGAAGTTACATGGAACCCTTACATTGTATGCACATTTTTGTGAATATTTATTTTGGAAATAATTTGCTTTATATTTATAATGCATTTATGTGAATTGAATGATATAGAAAAATGCAATTATAATAATGTTTTATTAGGTATTTTATTATGACAGGAACTGTGCTAAATGCTATACATGCATGATCATATTTCATCTATGCAATGTATTTTTAAACACATTTTAAATACTCATAATTTGCCTATGAAGTAAGGAAAGCTTGAAGAGACAATCATTGGCCCATGAACAACAGCTAGAGCTCTGATTCAAGTGTCAGAGCCCACACTCTCAGACACCAACAGTGGCTGTTTTCTTAATGAAATTATGACAGTTAAAAAAAAAGTTGTTTATGGGGACAGTACATAATGAGTATATGTTGACAGAGATTCAAAAGATTTTCAAATATTTTCCTGACTGAACCAGTAGCTCTTTGATATAAAAGTAGAGAAATACCTTGCTTGTCAATATCTTGTTTATTTTTCAATGTCATTTAGCTGCTCTTTGAGCAAAAATCATTTATTAAGAAAAGAAAATAAGGAAATCAATTTTTTCAATTACTGAATGTACAAACTTTCCCTCTGCAAAGGAATTTAAGGAATATATAATCTGCTCAAATGTTAATACTTTCCATCAGAAACATCACAAACATGACTTCATCTGAATTTTATCCTGTTTTTCTATAGCTCAATCATGGAAAAGACCTCTGAAAAGATTTTTTTTTAAGTTTAGATTTTTTTTCTTTCCCTTTCTTTTGAATTAAAATTGATCTTATTAAATAAATCAAGGAAATGTTGGTACAGTATTTCTTATAACATGTGGGTTCATTTCTAGTTAATTACTATTTATTGCTATTGCATTTTTTATAATAAAATGCATGGCACTCTTCTCATTCATCAGTCTTTAAGGTAACTTCATTAAAAATAAGTTTTTATGAAAAAACATTACATCATTTACTAAGTAATAATGACATTATTTTTGATGTGAGTTTAGTAATAAAAATGGGAAAAACGTTTCAAGCAGCTGATAATTCAAAATTATCAACTGCAATTTTACTTGTAAACTGTGAAATCTAATACGTAACAAGTATTCATAAATAAGTCAATATAGATGTATATCCTCCAAAAGTAATTATAGCTTGCTTATAACATTATACAACGGGAAACTTTAAAATGCCTACCATTGAGAAAAATTGGGACTTATTAAATCAACTGTGAGATTTTATTAAGTCTTTAGACTTTTGAAGTAAATTTGATTCTGCAAAATTGCATTACAGTATACATTATAACATTTTTGTAAGATCAGAAAATATGCTGTAAGATAGATGGGCAAACAGGTAATTTCTATAACAATAAGCAAACAAAGTTTAAAGAGTGCTAGCATCTTGAGAGAAGTGGGATGCGTTGGGAGAAAAAACATACTTTAAAGTTATAATCTTGTGAATTTTTGTCTTATTTCAGAATGTACCAAGGCTGTCTATAAAACTTTGTGATAAATCTGAATTTTTCTTTCTTACACTTTATCTTTATTTATATTTTATATAAGATATAAAATATTATAAAATACTGGGATTGTAATTATAGGATATAAATGGTACATTACTGAGTAAAACATTCCTTAAGCAGTACTGTATTGATTAATCTGCCACCAGAAAACACACAGTAGAGAATTGCCCTGCATTCATAAAATTTTAATGTTTGTTCTTTTCTATTTGATGTAGGGAAAATTATTATATAAATTAATATATTTGTAAAAATTAGGCTGGTTGAACAATTATTCACATTTGAGTGATTTACAAATCTTTTTAAATTGATTATTTTATTTATTCTTGATAGCACTGTATTTTCTAATAAATGCACAAAAAACATTGTAGTTTTGATCTTTAATTTTTATGAAATTTTTGTTGTAAAATTATCAGCCATGTTCTTCCTTCCCTTAATATTTATAATTTCTAGGATAAATAATAGTTCACAGCTTCAAAGCATTCAATATAATAATTGATATAGAAATAGAGGATTAAATTGTTTTACTTTTCATTATAAATAAAAAATTGTTCCTGACCACCTTATTAGTAGTAATTTCCTAGAGAGATAGATACATAGACACTTGGTGCTGAGTTTTATATTCTAGTCTGTTAACACTAGCTAATGTCACATACATAGATACAATGGAAACCTATTTCGTTGTTCTTTATGTCTTAAATCTTGTTTTATTTATTCTATGAGATAAATTTCAAACGATTTCAATTGAATAAAATTTCTTCGTGGTTTGAGTTACAAATGCATTAAATGTGCAAAGCCAGTTTGGATAATTGATTCCTTTACAGTATTGAATGTTCTCATTTAAGTCACATCTCTCTAATGATATATTTTATGTTATTTCATGCATTCAGTTTAGTATTTTCTTCAGGTAGATGTGCAATTTCATGTTTTATTTATAGATATTATATATGTTTTAAAGTGAAAAAATTCCCATTGTATGCTTTTACTAGTTATTAGTATGTATGTGTATATATGTGTTTATATTTACGTATGTTTTGTATCTTAACAACTTAATGATATAATATCTAACAAATATAATTAAAATATTCTTCCAACATCTTTATACATTTCAGGCATGTAATGTATGTCACCAATAGCATAACAAAGATCTCTGTAGGCACCAAAAAACTTAAAATTGTAAATATTTTGGATAAAAGTGAAACCTAGGCATCACCCTCACTAGTTGTGCATTCTCTATTCTCAGAAGCAAACCTTATACTGGTCATTATCCTGTCTGTATACGTTATATTTTACTTAATATGCATGTATAAAATATGCTACATAATGTTATTTTGTCTATTTATAAATTATTTGTAAATTCCATTATAGTGTAAAAAGTTTTCTACAACTTGCATTGTTGCACAACTGCATAATTCTGTGATTTGTTAAGTTCACTTTTTATGGTTTTTCACTATACAGATAAATTTATATACATACAGCAAGTGATAAAAGTTTTGATTGTTTATAATTTCTTCCTTTCTCTTTTTCCATTTCTTCCTTTTCCATTTTCTTTCTTCTTTTTTACAAATAATGCTGCAATTTACATTCTTGAACACCTCTCCCTTGCAAACCCATCAGGTTTCTCTACAATGTATCCCCAAGACATTTGTTGTTATCAACCTTACTATTGCGTCTTTCATCTCTGATTCATTTTAACTATGAGTGAGAGGGCATAAGTACTGATGCTGTGCACAGTTTACCATGCTTAATAGTCTCGGAGTTCTGGCTTTTTGACAATGTTATGAATGTAAAAAAGAATCTCATGGTACTTTTTATTTTATTTCTTTAATTATTAGTTGCGGCCAAACATCTTTTTATGTTTTTATTTCCCATTCAGTTTCCCTGTTTGGTTAAATGTCAATTGATATGTTTTCTCCTTTTTATTGATACAGTTATTATGGATTCCTTATTGATTTGGAGTAGATCATTATATATTCTAGGTACTTATTTTAGTCACTCATTTATTGACTTCTTTTTAAAAAATAATATGTATTTGATATGAAATGTTTTGTTTAATATAGTATAACTCTTCATTGATTTTCTTCATGGTTTATATTTCTGGTGGCTATTATTAGAAAGAATTCCCTAACTCCATGTCAAAAAAATTTTCTCCTATTTTTTTCTGAGTATTTTAAAGTGTTTTCCAGAACTAGTACAGATGAGGGGAGAAAAGCTAAAATGCTGCAAAATGTGAAGTACAGTAAGTTTCCAGTTTATCATCCACATTTTTTTCTACAGGCATAAAAGTAAATGGATCACTATTTTCTTCTGAGTGCTTGGTCTCAGCTAGCAGAAACAGGTGGTGCGCAATGCCTATCAGGAGTTTTTGGGTTTGTGCCTCTCTTAGAGTAAATACCATCTATAAGAGGATTATTCTTCAGCTGACTCTCGGCAAAAGGTTAAGTGGGAATAAATAAATTCTTTTTCTTTTAGTCAAGCACACAGATTAAGCTGTAGGTCAAGAAAAGTTAGAAAATAAACATTCATTAAAGAAAACAAATTTGTGTTCATGTAAAAAATGTTTCAATTCTGCAACTCTAAATTCAAAATAAAAGCTTTAGAATTTTTTTTTATTAATCACAACTGTCTTCATTGACCAACAATATTTTTTCCATAGTTTTATGATCAATTATATTCAGAATGTTCTTTAAAGCAACAATTGAAGACTTAGGGGAATTCTGAGTCTTGAAATATTAGATTATGCTCTGAAAAGTAAAGTACTGGTTACTATATTTTGTCTATTTAATATTTGGAAACATGTAAATCTTGCATAATGTAATAAAGATACCTAAAAATAATGCTCAAAATATATTGCTTAAAGAGATACTAAAAATAATTTGCCTGAATTTTTTTTGATTTAAAGATTAGGAAAGCCATGTTCAGATAGTTAAATGATGGCTCTTACATTTTAAAAGTTGCCAAATAGAATATTATGGTAAGGACTTGGTATCATGGCCCATTGTCTATTTTCTCTCCCAAGCTCTGTCCCTAGAATAGCCATAGTATCATAAAATCTTAATCCTGAAACAAGTTGATAATAGTGAGGTTGTGTAGTATATGTATATGTATTTTGCACATTGTGTAGGTATAAAAATGACATTTATCCTCAATTAAATGCTGAGCCTTTCCTTTTCCATTTAAAAAAAATAATTAGTAGCTGAACTGGAAAAAGCAAGCTGTCAAATATGTGTTTCTTTTTTGATACCCTAAATAGAATACTTTCATATTAATTACCTGGTAGCAGCCAGCTATACAAATTACATTAGGAAGGTAGGGCTGAAAATACTTCATAGTTATTTTGAGAAACAGTAGAAATACCTAAATGAATCTAGAGTGTAGCTTGTTATTTGCAAGCAAAAGTGATATGGTGTTTTAAAATAACCTAATTTTAACTTGAATTGCTGAAAAGTTTTGATATTCATTCATACAAATAAGAAAGCTCAATAATATGGGAGAATGTGGGAGAAAAAAAAATCCCACAATAAACCTGAGAACGCATTTTACATTATTTTCATGAGCAATGTTTGAAAGTAAATTTAATATTCTTGAACTATTTTATAGTTAGCCAAGAGAAATAATAAATATGAACAAACAATTTTGGCACTCATGAATCATTTTATATCAATGTTTTGATCATAATGGGCTTTCCTCTTCTGTGAGAAAACAGAAAGATTGAATTATTTACTTGCGATCTCACAAAAACATAATGAAGACAAAGTTTGAACCCAGGAGGTCCTGAGTCATCACTTTGAATTCATTCAGCAGCCTTTGCTTTGTTAACTCAGTATTTACCATTTTCTTTCCTGCATGTAAACCATAGTTCCCTGGCTATATGCATGTAACTAACTAGGGAAGAGAGTTATTTAAAAATATTATTAGTAGACATCACGACAGTAAAAGTGCCTGATTGTGACTAATCCCAGTATTATGATATAACTATTTCCAATTTATAGATACAGGCATGAAATACAGAGTGTGGATTTTTCTATATTAGATACCTGGTAAATATTTAATTGGTACTTTTATGTCAATCTTCTCCAACTTCATATGTCATAGATATATTGGAAACATATGCTTGTTTTCTTTGCAAGCGGCAGAAACCCAACTTGAACTAACTTAGGTTAAAAATTGGGGTATTTGTTGTCTCACAAATGGTAAAAAATGAAGAATTATCAAGCTATTGGAAGGACAGGGATAAAGTGATTAAAAATTCAGGATAATCGATGTTTTGTCCTTTATTCACTCAGACACACACAAACATTCACACATAGAGGCATCTGCTTTTCTCTGTGGTAGCTTTATCATCTTTTTACCAAAGACTTTCTCCATATAATAGGAAACGATAATACCCAAAGTGCTCCTGGAAATGGACTTTGGTTGCAGGGTCTCTCAAGAACTTCCAGTTCCAATTAGACACAATACCTGTGTCTGGACCGACTAGAGACACAGAAAGTACACACCTGCATGTATGAACGTCCTCTTCTGCTTTAGAAGCCCACTCAAGAACAAAGCAAAACTCACTAAATAAGCATCTAGTTATGTATTAACTGTAAAAAAGATGAGTTAATATTTATTCAGTGTCTTCTGTGTGACTAATTCGTGGCTAGATGCCTCATATTTTATGTTGAATTCTCACAAAAGTCCTTTAGTTTGAGCATGATGTCCTACATTACTGTTAAGAATATAGAGAGTGGATAAGATTTGAACTCTCCTCCAAGCAAACCCCAGAACCCCTGTCTATATTATCTAATAAATAGAGATTAATGTTCACGGGGTTTAAAATTTATTAAAAATAATTCATTAGGCTAATTATATTATTAACCTCTTCCCCATAAAGAGATTGAAGTTTTTTTATTATTTATTTATTTATTTTTTGAGATGGAATCTCGCTGTGTCGCCCAGGCTGGAGCGCAGTGGCGCAATCTCGGCTCACTGCAAGCTCAGCCTTCCGGGTTCACGCCATTCTCCTGCTTCAGCCTCCCGAGCAGCTGGGACTACATGCGCCCGCCACCGTGCCTGTCTAATTTTTTACGTTTTTAGTAGAGATGGGTTTTCGCCGTGTTAGCCAGGATGGTCTTGACCTCCTGATCTCGTGATCCGTCCATCTCGGCCTCCCATAGTGCTGGGATTACAGGCGTGAGCCACCGCGCCCAGGCAAGAGATTGAATTTTAAGCTATTTTGGAAAATAATAGACAGGCATGTAACTACAATCAATCAAAAGAATTGAGTTTTGCCTAAAGTTGATGCAGATTTTTTTCCTTAAAGTGCATTATGTATCAAAAAAGTTATATTTCAGATTTTAAAGTGATTTTAAAATTGAAGTATATCAATATGGTAATTATAATTTCAGTGGGGAATTTTTACATTAAGATTCGTGTTAGTAGGCTATATGTTCGTGGTATTTTAAATTTCTACATTGATTAATAACAATTGTTTCTCAACTTACAAAGTAATAAAAAAACTACAAGAAAAATAGATAGATGTTCAATAAATATAAATCAAAATAATTCCAAAACAAAGAGATGAGTTGCATGAGCATGTTTTTTTCATAACCTCAAGTGCAATAGAAAGAGGAAATAATATCTGTTGTGTCAACAACTATGCTTTATAACTTTCTCATATGGAATTTGAGATGAGATAATATTTTGTTTTGGTTGATTTTGTATTGCTGTGGTATGGTTTCTTTTATTACTCCACTGAAGAAATCATCTTAAATGATATTCCTACTTTGGCTAATAATTTTATATTCCTTTAAATGTCTGGAATTAAGCACAATTCTAAAAAAGAAGACTTAGACACACTTAACATGGCATATTTCCAATACACTCCTGACTGTGTCTTTAACGTGATATGTGAATGCTCATGCCACAGAGCTGAACTTCAGTTTCCGTCGCCAAGGATGGCAATAGAGAGATTCTGTTGAAATGTTCATTCCAGAGGCTCAAGTGCTGATATAATTTTAATAATCCATGTGCAATCTCTCTCTCTCACTTGTTAACTAATAATTAGCAATATTGTGGCTAAAATGAATCTTTCCAGTAAATGTGCAGATCAAGAAAGTATGTTATGAAAATAAGGAGAGTTAGGCATTTTACCATTTGGAAACTGAGACCATGTTGGATAAATTCTGACATGTTTAGTTATGGGAAATGATAATTTTCTCCTGATACACAACAATAATTTCCTGAAATTTTTTGAAGATTGTAGACCGTAAGAAGGCCTGCATTGACTTTCTATGCCTATTCTTCTTTTAATAGCTACCTTACAACTAAATTCTGTGTTTTCTTTATATTGTTTGTGTACATAGAATGTTACATTCTAATCGTAATAAATAAACAGGTTGAAATTTGAAGTCATGACTTAAACCACTAAAAACACAGTCATTTTTTTTCTGAGACAATCTTTCATGTTTTTGAAATTTATTAGAAAATACCTAATTCAGATTCAGGATTCCCCACAAACAGTACAAACACCTGCGATGAGTGGGAAGAAGATTATAATAAGTGGACACTGCTATGCCATTTTATTTAGAAACACATTGGATTGGATTGCATCTCTCTTTACTCCCCAAATTCCCACCATTCTGGTGGGAGTGCAACACTCATTATGAAGGGTGATCTTAAAGTAATACACATTTTTCATTTGTTTATTTTGCAGGGAAATAGGATTAAATTTATTTTTTCTATAAGGTTGGCACGTATTGCGAATGGTGTCATGTATTTTATATACTAAATTAATTTGCCTCAGCCCAGCTAAGCACACAAAGCATCAAGTCATATTTAGAGCATCAGCATAAGCACATATATGGTTTATGGAGTGCAGTGTTCTTGATGTTTTGGAAATTTATGTTCAATATTAATATTGAATTCCACTTGTTCTTTGTGATCTGTTTTTAATCAATGTAGTATTCATTTCGTTCATCAGCTTTGTGTCAGATTAATGACTTTCAAACACTCACACTGAGATCCATGGCTCATGGTAGTTCTGTTAACTGCTTGCTTCAGGGTTGCTATTTCATGCTAAACAATAGCAATTAGATTATTTTGATTTTTACCCAGTGAAGGTTGAAATTGATTCTCTGTATAGCTATTTATATTTATTTACAGTTTTTTACAGCTTGGTTTTCACCAATCTACATTTACAAAGGATGAGTGAGGTTAAGTGCCTTGCCCAGAATCATCCCAGAAGGTGAATTAAGTTGAGATTAGAGTTCCAAATTTTAATCTTCCTGTGTCACTAACCCATTCTGTTTTGGAAAGCATTAAAGGATTTCTCTGGCAATTTTCTTAAAACCCTTCAAATTTCATGATAAAGCTTAAATATTTGTTTCAAGGGAACTCCCTTATGATAAAATTTAAATGTAATAAATGTACATAATCAAATCCAGTAATAGTCATTTTAATTAACCAATTTATACATAATTTTAGCAAGACTATTAGTAATATAATTTTATGTCAAAAGAATTTTAATTTCTTTTTGTTTTATAAATAAAATATGAATTGTTTTCATATAATGGTCTGTGAATTTGATAAATAGAAGTATAAATGCTCTTTTTACCCAACAGTTATTTTTAATTTTTGATAAATATACTTAGAGCAGTTTATACTATGGTAAAGAATATTCTATACTTGTAGACTGCTAATTTGTAGCCGATTTCCATCTACAAAGGCTAATGCATTAATAACCTAAGTTACAACAGATGACCTCGAATTAAAAATAACTCTTGTTGTAAAAATGCTCGAAAGCTACTGTGAAGTGTACTTTTTTTTTTTTTCTTTTTGAGACTGAGTCTCACTCTGTCCCCCAGGCTGGAGTGCAACGGCATGATCTCTGCTCACTGCAACCTCCGCCTCCTGGGTTTAAGCGATTCTCTCGCCTCAGCCTCCGGAGTAGCTGGAATTACAGGCATGTGCCACCACGCCTGGCTAATTTTTGTATTTTTAGTTGAGACACGGTTTCACCTTGTTGGTCAGGCTGGTCTCAAACTCCTGACCTCAGGTGATCTTCCCGCCTCGGCCTCCTAAAGTACTAGGATTACAGGCGAGAGCCACCGTGCCTGGCTGAAGTGTATTCATTTTTGTATGAAAAATTATATCATGAAATGAATAAGTTAATAACATGTACTATGACTGGGGGAAAAATTCTGCAGCACAACCGTTGACCCATGGAAGACATTGTCCAGGACATATCAATGCCTTCAAATGGAGTCCTAACTGTAGAGCAGAGATCACACACATCAATTTATTCATTCAGGAGGCTTAAGTGTTTGCCTTTGCTGAGACAGCACATCTTCCCTGTGTAGATGTCTCTGACTCTGTTTCATTTCACAACCACACCTAATATTCACTTTGTCCATCACTAACAGGATTATATAATTTTGAAACTAAAAGAAAATTGGGGATCATTGAGCCTATTCTTTCACTTTTCAATAATGTAAGAGGGTTTACAAGAGTTACAGCTATCTTCCACAGTTTATTCAGTTAATCTACAGTTTTGTCATTTTCTGTTATCTTGGTCAGTGTTGTGAGTGCATGTAGGAGGCCATGATTCTGCTATGAGCTGCTTTCCCAATGCCCTGGCCTTGTTTCTTCCACAAAGAGAAGTATTTTCTTTAAGTCTGTATAATTCAGGAGAATGGTTTCAAACCTCGCAAGTTAATTAAAGTTTCTAATCTTAAAATTAAAAAAAAAAACTATTTCAAAGCACTGCCATAAAGATTACATGAGATAGTCAGTATAAACTACATCGCTAGCAGTTAGCTTTCTCTTAACCCATGACTCTTGTGCAACATATGAAACTATTACCTGAAAGGCTGCATGTAGTTACTTACACAACAGAGGCCTGAAATTGGCCGCAGTCTCTCTACATGATAATTCCGTGTGGACGCAACAGTTTGGGTTTCACACATATTGAATACTTCTGTATGTTCAGATGTTTCAATCAGTGAAAACATTGATAGGAAGATTAAACGTCTGGAGAACTAACAGGATCCCAGAGTTCATGTTGTTGCGTTTCCCTCTACATATAAAATATGGGAAAGTTTTTAAAAATATCAGAGAGTTAATTATTGGCTATCAGGAAGTTAATAGCCCTATGTCAAAAGCCTAATTAGTGCTCTCTCAAAGCTAGAAAAAGCTGATGTCGAAGAAAAACAATTTTAGATAGAGATAAAAACATTTGATCATTTTTACAAGTAACGTATTTATTTTTAGGTAACAAATGTCTTCATGTAACTATTAATGTTACTGGAAAGGGAAGAGTACACTAATGAATTCTTATTTTTTGCAGTATAATAGAGCTATAACTGACACACAATATATATATAAAATGAACAATTCTATATGTGTGTATAACCATCAAACCATCACTAAAATTAAGATGATGAGCATCTCTATTTACCCCCCAAATTTCCTTATAACCCTTTGAAATCCCTGTCTTTCACATACCTTCCTATCTGTCCTGAGGAAAAGACTGATCTGCAGTATGCCAATATCCAGTAGTTTGCATTTTTTAGAATTTCATATGAATTACATAATTCTGCATCTATTACCTTTTTCTTTGACTCAGCGTTATCGTTTTGAGACTCACCAATGTTCTTATTCACATCAATAGCTCATTTCTTTACATTACTGAGTAGTATTCCACTTAATGGGTATATCACAGTTTATTTATCTATTCATTAGATGATGGATACTTAGGTTGTTTCCAATTTAGCATTACTACAAATGAAGTTGCTATGAACATTTGTGAACTAATTCTTTTACTTTTGTGTATTTATTCTTTCATTTATTTGGGATAAAACTGAGAAATGGAAGAGCTGAAACATAACAGGCATATGTTTAACTTTTGAGGAAGTTGACAAGAGCTAGGTGGTTGTGTGATATTTTACATCCACCAGCAGAATGTGAGAGTTTTGCTTATTCCAGATCCTTACCAACCCTTGGTAGGGCCAGTCTTTTTAATTTTAGCCATTCTAATCAGTAAGTAGAATTTCATTTGCTTACCTTACATTTTCCCTTATTATTAATAGTGTTTGTGAATAAAATCATCTTTTTAAAGAATACTTTATTGAGATATAATTGAAATTTAAGAAACTGCACACATTTAAATTATACATCTTAATGTATTTTAACAAATATATACACTAGTGAAAGCATCAATAAAATCAAGAAAACAAATATATTTACCATAATGTTGCTTTGTAATCCTCATTTTCACGTCTCATCAATTCCCGCAGTCCAGAAGCAACCATCAATCTGCTATTTATTTATTTTTTTGTGATCAAGTCCCTGTTGTCCAGACTGAAATGCTGTGGTGCCATCATGGCTCACTGCAGCTCTGACTTTCCAAGTAGCTGCTGGAACCACAGGCATGCACCACTATGGCTGGCTAATTTTTTTTTTAAATAGGATCTCCCTAAGTTGCCCAGGCTGTTCTGGATCTCCTGGCCTCAAGTGATCCTCCCACCTAGGCTTCCTAAAGTGCTGGGATCAAAGGCCCCACACACCTAGACTGATCTCTTTATAATTATAAATTTGTTTCCATCTTTCTAGAACTTAACGTAAATAAAATTATACACAGCTACACAACGTACCTATTTTCTGACTTATTTCATTCAGTAAATTATTTTCAGATCTATCAATCTAAGGATCCATGTTGCATGCATCAGTAATCCATTCTTTTAATTGCAGACTAGTATCCCATTTTGTATCCCAATTGCAGACTAGATATACCACATTTTGTGTCTCCATTTATGTCTTGATAAATATTTGGATTGTTCCCAGTTTTAGGTCATTCCAAATAAATCTACTGTGAAAATTCTCATATAAGTCTTTGTATAGACTTACGTTCTCATTTGTTTGGGGTAAATACCTACAAATGGCATGGCTGGATCATGTGGCAGGTGTATGTCTACCATTTTAAGAAAGTTACAAACTATTTTCCAAAATGGCTATAAAATTTTATATTCTCCAAATAAATTCACACGCTCTCCAGTTGGTCCTCATACTCTCCAACATATTGGTAAGCGTTTTTAATTTTAGACATCTGTTAGTTGCGTAGTGGTATTTTGTTGCCGTTTAACTCCCAGTTCTGTGACGACTGATGATGTTGAACATTTTTTCATGTGCTCATTTATTATCTATATATTTCTTGTGATGAAGTGGTTAATGTGGTAGGGTTAAGTTATAAGATGTATGTCTATATATTCTGTGTATAAATTATTTATCAGATATATGATTTGAAAATATTTTCTCTTCATCTGAAGTTCGTCTTTTCATTCACGTTACTCATTTTTCATTAATTTCATCTTTGCATAAAACAAAGTCACCAAATTTTATCCTAAATTTAATTGTAGCAGATTCAGTGATTTAGATATTGCATTTCGGACTGTGATGTAGTGTGAGCCAAATTTCCAATAATGTTAATTATTTCTGTATATGGTAACTCAAACATTCTAGCACCATTTATTGAAAACCCTCTCTTCTCCGTAATGAATTTTCTTTACATAATTATAAAAAATTAGCTGTTCATGTATGTATAGATTTCCTTCTAATCTATTGTATTTCATTAATCTATTTTGTCTATTTTATTTTGATAGATAAGGCTTGAACCAGCAGTCGTTGTCTTCTAACATGTTCTGTCTATTTATGAGTTGTCTTGGTTGTGCTAGGCGAATTCCATTTACAAATGAACTTTGGAAACAGTCTGTCAAAATCACTATTAAAATAATCTGGTTCTGGAGGTTTTTTGTTAAAGTTTAGTTCTTTAAAAGATACAGAGTTTCCACAATTTCCTTAGAATATTGTGTTAACTGAGTTCGATTTTTTGTTTTTCTAGTAGTTTTCAAATATCAAGCCAAGGTCTTGATTGCACTGTTTTCCGTAAGGAATTTGCTATTATTCTTACCTATTTTCTTCCATGTATAATGGGCTTTTCTCCTCTGGCTTCTTTTAAGATGCTTTATTTACTAGTGGTTTTAAGTAATTTGATTATAATGTTTTTTTTAAATGTTGTTTACATTTATGTTTCTTGGGCTGCATAAATTTGTAGTTGCAAATTTTTCAGCAAATTTGGAAAAATGTTCACCAATATTTCTTCCATTTGTATTCCTTCTTTCTCTCTTCTCCTTGGGGGACTCCAATTACACATATGCTTGCCTACTTTAATTTCCCCACAGCTCACTGAAGTTATGCTCAATTTGCTGCCATCTTTTTTGTATCCATTTCATTTTGGATTATTTGAATTGATATGGCTTCAGTTACTTCTTCAGTCTTTAATTTGTTGTTAACTGCATTCACAGATACACTATAAGTAATTGAATAAAAATACATGGCTAACAAAGCACTAAAGTATAAATGTTATTCATTTGCCTTTTTCTATAATTTGACACATGCCAAGTAATCCAAGGGTCTCAAATTCTGCTATGCAACAAATGCAACGAATTAATAATGTCTAAAATATTTTCAAAAACTATCTTTATATAGCTTGATATTATAAGATAAGCAATCCACTCCTTTTGTGGAGAATATGCTAGGAGTGTAATCTAATTTTATACAATTAATTATCAATAGTTATGTATAATAATCAGATTATGGTAGGAAAGAGATGGCTTCCAGTTATTTCAATACTGATTTAAAATATTGTTTATTTTACAATTTTTTTAAAAAAGTAACTTGTATCCTCTCATGAAAAATTTATAATGAAAGCAAGTTTAAAAACCTGCCTATTTAGTAGTAAAATCAATATTATGCAATTGAAATTTTAAAAATCACTGGTATTCCCTGTGGAAAGTATGCTAATAAAAATAAAGATATTTCTAAGTAGGAGGTGTGTCAGGTTTGCCTCTGTGTTATAGAAAACTCAATGAAGGAGTGCTTAAGCAAAAAAAAAAAAAAAACAACTTATTTTGGAACAACAAAAAAACAGGTCAAGAATCAAGTAGACTAAGAGTATATCCTGCCTCTACAAGACTCATAAATTTAGTCTTCTTAATTCTTCTTTTCTCTCTGCTCTGCTCTTCAAAACAATGGTTCAATGCCCAAGGCGGTGGATGAAGCTCCATTCATTGGTTCTTCATTCCACAATGGAGGTAGGAGGAAGGGGGATAAGAGGGAAATGACCTTTCGTAAAATGTCGCAGAAGCTGACATATAGGACAGTACATTCATTTACATGGCAATGGCCAGAACTTCACCAGGCCACACTAACTTCATAGAAGGCTGGGATTTTCAGTTATTACTTCAAGATAAGCTAAAAAACAAATATTCTAATACCAGAAAGGAGGGTAGATATTGTAGCAGACAAGCAGCCTCTGCAATACCACAGTTAGGGTAAAAAAAAAAGCACCATATACAGTATAGCCATACTATTTCCTTAGAGCCTTTCACCTCAGATGACCTGGTCCCAGAAATTACATAAAAGAAACATTTCTGCCATTTTACGAGCCTGTCTGGCAATAGGGCCTAGTATGCTGTTTAGAGTGATTAAAGTCAGCCACAAAAAAGGAAGTTTATCTCACGCACGAATGTCAGGACTATTCTACAAAACTTTTACAAATTTTAAAGGATATGCTTAAATAACTCAATGTCATGTCAGCTATAAGGAAATATATGCTATGAATAAACTATAGACTTTTTTGAAATTCAACATACATGTATAATTTTCACACATACCCACATACACAAATTTTCAAAAGTCAGGATTTCATTTTAAATTCACTAGCTGATGAGAGTTGTAGAGATTATTTATGTATATGGTGTTTCTCAATAGAAAAAAATAGAATGGTAATAATGACCATTTATTGACCGTTTTCATTCTTTAAACACTATGCCAAGTCCTTCTCTCACATTTATCAAATTATCACCTTTAATAACTCTTGGAGGTGGTTATTATGTTAATTTTACAAATAAGGTCAATAAGATAAAGAGGGTTTGAATATTTTCATGAAGTAAAATGGAAATATGTCTGCAAAAAAAGTCCTACCCATAAATTGAAAAGACATTAAGTGCCTCAAAATTCTAAATTGAGTTTAACTTTCTAATATTAAATTGTATTATTCAAAAATTTTGAGGACTTAACATTGATTAGTGAAAATGTTCTAGTTCCTTTAAACAATGTAAATGATAAAGGAAAAGATTCATTAACTGCCTTTAGGCAGCATAGATTATGAAGATATGATATTTTACTGAAATAAATAAAATACATTTACTGTGACTTTTACCTTTCAGATATTTAATACTTTTTATTGAACTGGATATTAAAGGGAGAAAATTCATTTACTGAAACTTACAGCAAGGCTATTTTGGAGAATAAATGAGAAGTGTGAATATGAAAATTGAAAATAAAATGCAAATGTAGCAAAAATATACAATTTAGTTTGATTACAGTATAGGTCAGCTTGGCAGATGAGCTGCTTGAAATAGATGATCAAGATTGTATGAGTTAATTCTGTGGCATGCTGAGACATTACTGACAGTGTTTCTAATGCCCTGCACCAGGAAGCACGTAATTACTGCTGTTATTATGGAGGATATGAATGTGGTCTCCTAGCAATATGCTAAATATCTTATCTCTTGAGCACTTTAAATGTTTCATCTGCTCCTACTGGTAAAGACTTGATTTATATAAAAGAAGTAAAGGTATTATTAATTCCTAAAGTAGGTTATACCAATAAAGACAATGTGTATATTAAATATATAAAATAGAGATTATATATTTCATCTATATAATTGAAACTAATATTGATTTTAAGGTTATTTCTCAGTGAGTGAGTAATACAGGGAACATTTACTTGTTCTATAGGCAAAACAATCTTACCTACTAAATAGTTATTGATGAACATGAGAAACTATAAATACACATGCAAACCTGTATAATAAATGAGATTGTGGTCATTTGAATTATTGAATGTTTATTTTTTATTTTAAAATATATTATCTATATCTTTAAACTACAAACTCTTTTGTATGTCTGCAAAACACTGAGTGAAAGGTACTAGGTAAAATGAAATTTAAAAATTCAAGAAGAAATATGATCTACAAATACCACTGAAAAAAGTAATTACATAAATTATTACACAAATTACATTTTAGAAATAAGTCCTCTGTTCTAGGTGAAGCTGTCTATACAGCACGATGTCATGCTTTCCCTGTCATACAGTGCATATTGTTTATGTGTGAGGCACAATGCCAAACACCGTGAATTTTCCTCCAAAACCTAAATAAATTAGATAACATTGAAAATACAAATTAATAATAAATTACTCTTCTTCCATCCAAGTATTTGTTTCTAGAATCATGTAATGCAAAAACCTTGTATAAATTCACTAGAGGTGATACCAGAAAAATAAAACATTGCTGTTGTTTTTTTCTCCCAGATTTTCACAGGTAACTCCAGAATGTGCATTGGTCACTGGCAATATTTAATAAATATCTAAGGGATGTTCAAAGGTGTCATATAAAATCTCACCTTAATTTGTCATTTTAATTATTCTGTTAATAAAAGTTAATATCCCCCAACTAAGATCAGCATTAACAAAATAGAAGTGGGGCATTACAGTTGCTAATAGATGAGAGTTATGTTTTACTAGATTTCTATCCTAGAATACAATCCTATTGTCCTAATTCTGAGAAAAATAGGGATAGATATCTATTTACAGCTACTTCTTTAATAAATTCATAGTCTTACTTTTCTAAAAATGAGGGAATATTTGATAAATATTTTCTTACCAGGAGCATTTGAGTAATAATATTTGTAAATTAAGTATCTTTTTCTAAACTCAGATAATTTTTGTGTTAATAATTAGTATCATACAAGCATTGACTCAACTCACTGTTTATACCAAATTATTGAATTGATAGTGATTTTGTCAACTGCAGCTTTCTCTCCACAACTCTATTCCATACCATAGTTTATTATGCCCATTTGCCTAATTCTACAGAGATGAAGACCAAGTAGTCTAAATTATCATACCAGCACACATATAAAGCAAAGTAAATCTAGAAATAAGGTTAAAATAACAGATGAAGTAGGAACAAATTCTGCACTCTTGCTATATGCTGGGCTATTTATGTATATAATCAGAAATAATTTTTACAGTGACTCTGGAGGTAATGTGTTATTTTTAACCCCCCATAATAAATTGAAAAACTGAGGTGCCAAATGCTAACTTACGAAACGAACACATATTAAGGAAGTGGGGAAGCTATCTAGCCCAATATCTATATTCTCTCTGTTACTCCATAATGCATAAGGCAAAAAGTGTGACATGACATAATATGAAATGCACATAAAGGGACTGATAACAGGAACAAAAATGACCTGTAATCTCAGAAGATCCTATAGTCTACAGTCTTTCAGGAAGGCCGCCAATTTGCAAATCATACACAAAATAATAGAATAATTAAATGTTTCTCACTAAAGTGATGACAGAATATGTATATAGTCAGTGTCAGGATGCTAAGTAAAAATAGTAGTTTCATGTCCTTTATTTAATTTATTTAATAAATATTTGTTAATTTTCTTGCTGGTGTCCAGCACAGTTCTATATGTTAGGCTTTGAAATGTGAACAGAAAAAATACTTATAAAATAAGTATTCCATAGAAAATAAAGACAAGATTTAGCCAAAAAAAAAGTTAAGCAAATAAAAATTTAGCTTCAGATATTGGTAAATACTATTAGGGTGGGAAAAAAAGTAATGTGATATAGTGACTTAGAAGAGCCACTTCGAATGAGATTACATTTAAGCTAAACCCGAAGGATTCAAGTTAGTGGGCCACAACTTAAAAGTGGTCTTTCAAGACAGAAGGAATAAATGCAAAAGCTGTGACACTGTAGGAGTTTTGGTGTTTCCCGGGAACAGAAAGAAAAAAAAAGTGATAAGATATAACAATCTAGAAGGTAAGTAGAGATGAGGTTGAAGAGATAGGTGTGTACTATCCATTTGGAGCCTTGAAGGCCATTGTGAGGTGCTTGAATTTATTCTGAAAACAGTGACAAGTTAGAGGGTTTTATTCAGAAGAATGAAATGGCATGTTTCTTAAATTATTAAAAAGATTAGATCAGATGTATGCTTCTGGGAAAGATGGAATAACAAGAATGAGATTTTCTCTCCTGTCTGAACAAACAAAAAACAAACAAACGAGATAAACCAATAAGAAAGCCAAAGAACAAACACAACACAACAAACAATTGTGTTTTCAAGACAATTGGCATTAGACAAAGAACTATGATTACATCAATCAACTCAGAAAAATCATTTGACAAAATCCAATATCCATTTATTTCAAAAACTCTCAGTAGGTGCAATCAGGTAAAAAAATAAAAATAAATAAATAAAGAGAAAAATAATAGGCATACAGATTGAAAAGAACAAAGTAAAACTTTTTTCATAGTTGTCATGAAATTATTTGTGCATCATATATATAATATAGAACTTGTATCCCTAATATACAAAGCACTTTAAAAGTACAATTTTTAAAAAATTGATAAGATATTTAAACATACACTTCACGAAGATGATACACAGATATCAGTGAAGCAAATACGAAAGATAAAAAGATGACCATCATCACTAGTCGTAACAGAAATGCAAATTAAACCACAATGATATACCACCACATACCTACTAGAATGACTAAAATAAAAAATACTGGTATACCAAATGTGGGGGAGGATGTGGAGGACCTGAAACTCTCATACAATAAACATGGGAGTGCAAAATTTTATAATCACTTTGGATAATTGTATATCCATTTCTTAAAAAGGCCAGGGGCCAGGCGCAGTGGCTCATGCCTGCAATCCCAGCACTTTGGGAGGCCGAGGTAGATGAATCACAAGGTCAGGAGTTCGAGACCAGCCTGGCCAACACAGTGACACCCTGTCTCTACTAAAAATACAAAAAAATTAGCTGGGCATGGTGGCGGGCGCCTGTAATCCAGCTACTCAGGAGGCTGAGGCAGGAGAATCGTTTGAACCCGGGAGGCAGAGGTTGCAATGAGCTGAGATCGTGCACTCCAGCCCAGGCGACAGTGCGAGACTCCATCTAAAAAAAAAAAAAAAAAAAAGCCAGGAAATATAAGGACACTAAGACATAAACAGATGTGCCTTGTTTAAGAAGCAGCACATGCCAGGGGTGGTGGCTAATTCCTGTAATCCCAGTACTTTGGGAGGCCTAGAAGGGTCAATCACCTGAGGTCAGGAGTTCGAGAGCAGCCTGGCCAACATGGTGAAACCCCGTCACTTCTAAAAAATACAAAAATTAGCTGGGCGTGGTGGCGGGCACCTGTAATCCCAGCTACATGAGAGGCTGAGGCAGGAGAATCGCTTGAACCCGGGAGGCAAAGGTTGCAGTGAGCCAAGATTGGGCCATTGCACTCCAGCCTGGGCGACACAGCAAGACTCCGTCTCAAAAAAAAAAAAAAAAAAAAAAAAAAAATCAGCAAGCAATACAGTGAGTCTAGGTCTAGAGGCAGAATGGTAAAGGTAAGAAAGGTAGATCAAGTCGGAAACTCAAAGAGGACCAGATATTGCAGGGAATTGTAACCTAGTTGTTGTTAGCATATTGACCTTTACTTTGATTGAGATGAGAAGTCATTGGAGAGTTTTGTGCAGAGGACAAACATGACCAGAGTTTATAATAGAATTACTGTTTTTCATTGTGAGAATAGACTGTTGATAATAAAATGTAGTGGTCAAGGGTTTGAAACAAATAATTTAGAAGACTTTTGTAGTGCTCCAAGCAAGAGATGATAAATGGTTTGTCAAGATTGGTAAAGGTGGATATATTTTGATGCTAGATATATTTTGAAGATATGACTGATGATTTGTTGGATTAATGCCTGAGGTAAGGGTAAGTCTAGGTTAACTGCAAGAGTATTGGCTTGAATAGCTGGTAGGATGAAGTTTTCATGATCTGAAATGAGAAAGATTGCCAATGGAAAATTTTAGAAGAGAAACAAGGGATTTATTTTTTAATACTGAATAATTGTAAATTAAATATATACAAATTGCAAATTAACCTTAGCAAAAGAGCATTTGTTCACTGCTTACAAAAATAGAAGGTAAACAAATAAAAAAATACACATGCAATCAAATATTGAGGCTAGAAAGTGGGAATATTGGGAAAAGCTAAAGATGATGTAATGGTAGAGATAATACAGTAACTATATATTAAAAACGATTCTTAACATTTTGTAGATATCAGGATTAAAAAACTGGCATTTTCTGGAAAAAAATATTTTTCAATGCCTCAGAAAAGGAAAACCACATCAATTATTAAATATTGGAGAGAATTTATGATGTGAGAATTCACATTGAAAATGTCATTGAACACTGACGTGTAATACAAAAAATTCTCAGCAAGTACGGAAGTTAATTTGTAAGGCTATATTGTTAAACTAATTTTGACAAAGACAGAAGAGATATATATGCCATAATTAATGTTTAGCATGAATATATTTTGGGTGTCTATTTCTGGTACATTTTCAAACAATTTGCCAGGAGTTGCTAAAGTGTTTTCTTATTAACTCATGTTCTGCTTCTCTTTTATCTTCTCGGTTCTGAATTACCAGCTCTTGCCATACATTTTTGGGTACCTATAGTGCATTGGTAGCTCCGTGACAGCAAGGCTGATATACTCATTGTAATCATCAAAACTTATGTTTGCAATTGCTCGAAGGTTATACTTTGCTGCTTTTTATACTGCTCTAGCTACATTGTTAAAGGATTTTATTTGTAAAAATCTTTGTATAAAAGGTTTATTGTAGGTGTAAATTTTATGCATTAGATTGCACTTTATAGAAACTTTTGAAAAATATTTTGGCAATCCTTTATGTTCTCTATAATAGGTGTCCTGTATAATTTTTATTCTCAGGGAGCATGAATCCTTTCTTCTGGGCTGAGGGCAGTTGGGAATGTTATTTTCTTTTATTGTTATTATTATTACTGTTATTACTGCTGTTTCTTGTTTCTTAGTTTCAAATATCTCCTACTCTATGACATTCTGGTTAAAGTCAATGTGCCCTCTCACTGGAATAATTTGCATTATTCCAACTGATGTCATTGATACCGAAACTACTCTTATTCATCATTGAACTAATGTTTATATACACATTAAGCATCATGTAATATTTAAGTTGTTTCCTTTTCTTTCTTTCTTTTTTTTTTTTTTTGACAGTCTCGCTCTGTTGCTCAGACTGGAGTGCAGTGGTGTGATCTTGGCTCACTGCAACCTCCACCTCCTGGGTTCAAACGATTCTCCTCCCTCAGCCTCCTGAGTAGCTGGGATTATAGGCACATGTCACTATGCCTGGCTAATTTTTGTATTTTTAGTAGAGATGGGGTTTTACCATGTTGGTCAGGCGGTCTCAAACTCCTGACCTCAAGTGATCCACCCACCTCAACTTCCCAAAGTGCTGGGATTACAGGCGTGAGCCACCACACCCAGCTTCCCTTAAATTCTTAATGTCAGAAATATTCTAATTTCATTTCTAAATTTCATATAATCATGTAATGACAATACGATAAAGATTTTTTAAATAGTGCTAATTTGTACCTTAGATAATACATTAAATTCTATTTAATCATCAATTTACTCTTACCTAAATATCTTGTTACCACACTTCAGTACTCTTTGAAGGTAATCAACTGAACAATTTTTTTTTCTGGAATTTTTTTCTTTATTTAGATCAGTATAATTACTGTTCACACTCTCATTTTTGCTTCAATATTCGGTTTATTAGAAGTATGTTTTATACTGTTTTTGTCACTGTAGTGATTTAAAAAAAGTTTTTAACATGTTTTTTAAGCCCAAGTTTAGCTAAAGCTTACTGAAGACTTATTTATCTATAAACCTTCTTTTTCTTTCTCTAGATTGCACCAAAGACATTTTTATGTAATAAGTTTTCAACAAATCGTTATTGATTTCTAATTATTTTTAATTTTTTAGGATACAACTGTTTGTCTGAAATTATCTCTACTTTTTAGAAAGCTGTGGTATGTAATAATATTATAGTAATAATTTTAAGTGTATTTTTAGGATTTTTTAAAAAGTTTGTGTTTTTTCATCAAGTGTGCATCCATTCTCCTTGCCAGAAATATTGGTTTGAAGATAGCTACAGAAGTCAGGCCTGAGACCAACAGTGAGTGGCAGGTTCCTTGGCCACATAATTAGATTTCAGGGAAGCACATGACTCAATCACACGACTCAATCAGAAAGCACTTGACTCAATCAGAGAGAGTACTAGAAATCATCAGAGATAGATAGGTTGAGAATATAAAATAAAACTGGTCTTCCTTAAATTCTTATCATTAAACAGACAAACCAAGGACAACAGCAACCAGGTTCACCTCTTGATGCATTAGGAGTGATTTCCATAGGATTGCTGAGTCTCTTCCCATTTGCGCCCTAGATAACATGACTTTTTCTTTCTTAAGGATTTTTCTCTATTGATTATTCTCTACCTCCGATGCTTTTGAACATTTTCTACTTTCTTGGCTACCTTCCATTAACATTTAAATATTTTAAAACCTATTTTACCCTATCAAACTACTAACGAACTACTCTCAACTATAAAACTTCCTTTGACTCAAGTTTCCTCTTACACTACTCACATTATGATCTTATACCCATTCTCTTAAAACTTCCCTGTTGTCACCTGTTGAGCAGCAGATTGCAGGAACCACTCCACAGCATGGTCTGAGGTGAGGAATAGCTTTGATTTTGAAAGCAAAAATGTACATGGATAGAGGTCACAAGAAAAAAGAAAGCATGGGCCTCTCATTCTCCTATCATACCAGCATGAAGTGTATATGGGCCTGTATTGATCTTTATCACACAGGAGAAAGTACCTCATCAGCAGAGAAATCAGCTGCATTGCATCAGATATGTAGATTTGAATGATAGTCTATTAATAGGCATTGTGTGGGAATGCCATCTGCTCAGCACTCCTTAAGGAGTCCTTAAGGGCACATGGGACTTCCTCTGCTTGAGTGGGGGAATCTCTGCTTTTATAGGCAGCTGAAATTGGATGTAGCCTTTTTCACTGGAAGAGCTACTGTGTCCCAGGTAGCTCTTTATCTAGGCAATACGGGGCGAACACCAACACCCAGGAAGGGCAAACCTCCTTGCATCATACTTTCTAAAAGTATAACTGCTTTTCATTGTCACTTTCTTGCCTTTGGTTTTAGTTTCCTACAACTCTGAAATTCCTTCTGTGATGTCTCTCTTCTCCTATGGCTATATCCAAAGAACACTAAATTTACACTATACTTGAAATTTTGGGGGTATTCTATCACAATTGTCCTCTTACACCTTCTCAATGTGATACTTCCTCACAACCATGCTATGTGTGGTTGTAATGAGCAAAGCCTCAGGTCCAATTCTGCCATACATACAAATATATATTAAAGAAGTATTTACAAGCAAACTGGGTACAAAGCAGTTCATATATCCTGTACTGTCTAAAGATAACCATGAGCTCTCTGTCTCTTCAAGTACTCTGATTATACCTTCATGAAGTAGACACAAACATTTCAGAGCCAAGATACTGAACCCTAATTATCAGAAACATGTAATCAAAAATAAAAGCCAATGTCAGTAAACAATGGAACACAATACCCCAAGAAGAGCATTTTGAGATACAGGTTTAGGTGCCAACCCTGAGTTGAATTGTAGGGTACTTATACATAGTTTGTTATAGGTGGTGAGAATCTCCACATTATTTAAGCTAATACACATATCTTGAATACCTTCAATTTCACTAATGGGAACCAATTTTTAACATTCATCACGATAGTTAGTTACTTTTAATATTGTGTGTTAATTTGCATATAGTATCAATTGTTAGTTAACATAGGGATTTCAGAAAAGCTAGCATCAGCCACCTCTGGAGTATGATCCTGCCCTGGACAATATTGGATGACCTCCCTGGAAGGTACATTATTGATATCAGGACAACTGAGTGTCCCTGAACTATGTACTTTTGATTACCTCAACTGACTCCCACTGGAAGTCAAAGATGAGAGTAATTGATATGTGCATTGTATCCTGCCATCAATATTGAAGTGATTTAAAGAAAATTATAGGCATCATGTCCACTAGCAGCAGTGGAGTGTCATCTCACATGCTACTCAGCTGACTGCTAAAGTTTTAAAGCTTTAAAAGGGAGTGATCATGATCCTTTAAATTGGGATGGAATCTGCCATCAGGCATTCTTAATCCTAAAAGAAGAGCTAGGAACAGCCCCTGCTTTGGGATTCCCTAACTTAGAAAAACCTTTCACCCTCTATGTGGCTGAAAAACAAGAGATGGCTTTGGGTGGCCTAACTCAAAGGCTCAATAATAGCCTCATACACAGTGGCTTACTTTTATGAACTACATCCAGGTGGCAGCTGAGTGACTAGGATGCTTGTAAACAGTGGCAACCACTGCTCTATTGGTAGAAGCCAGTAAATTTACCTTGGGACACAAATGAGATGAATGAAGTACAGGGGGTCTTAGAAGCCAAATGACACCAATGGCTAACAGAAGACTGTAAATTTAACACATTTACCAAAGATAAAGTCCTTAGGTAGAGACAGGAGATTTTGGCCTATTTCCTCCATATCTGCTCATCTCTGCCTTCTTGCTTTGCTTTATATCACCACGTACTTTCCAAGCTATATGTAATTTGCTTTTAAGAAATTAATGCCCAAGTTGTCCATATTATAAAAGTAACCCTTGGAGATTTTTTCTTTGTGAATTCTTAGGCAGAGAAGTAAGCTATTAATATAGTCCTCAGTTTAACAAGTTTGATATGTGTCCTCCTAAAGTACATATTTTATATATATCATGTGTTCCTTTGTTGGTATTTGTGTTAGGCCATTCTTGTGTCACTATAAAGAAATACCTGAGACTGGGCAGTTAAATAAAAAAAGAAATTGAATTGGATCACAGTTCTACAGGCTGTACGGGAAGCATGGCACCAGCATCTGTCAGCTTCTGGGGAGGTATCAGGGAGCTTCCACTCATAGTGGAAGGTGAAGTGGGAGCAAGCATGTCACATGACTAGAGAGGGAGCAAAAGAGTGGGGGAGGTGCCACACACATTTAAACAACCAGCTCTTGTGAGAACTCACTTATTATCATGAGGAAAGCATCAAGCCATGAGGGATCCACCACCATGATCCAATCACCTCTCACCAGGCCCCACCTCCAACACTGGGGATCACAGTTCAACATGAGATTTGGGCAGAGACACAGATACAAATTATATCAGTATCTTTATTAGAAGTTATTTTTTAGAGCAGTTTTAGTTTTCTAGAAAAATTTTACAGAAAGAAGAGAAAGGGGTCCTCACCCCATTTCCCCTAATTATTACTATCTTGCAATCATGTGGTATATTTATTATAATTAATGAAGAAATAATGAACACATTATTATTAACTAAAGTTTATAGTTTACATTAGGATTAACTCCTTGGGTTGTAAAGTTCTATGGGTTTTAACAAGTGCACATGATGTCAGGTAAACATCACCATAACATCACCCAGAACCAGTTTCACCGACCTAAAAATCCCATGTGTTCTACTTATGTATCCTTCCCTTTTCTTCCCACAACCTCTGGCAACCACTGATCTTTTCACTGTCTTATAATTTTGTCTTTTCCAGAATGCCATATATTTCAAATCACACTGATTGTAGCCTTTCCAAGCTGGCTTATTTCACTTAGCAATATGCATTTAAGTTTACTCCATGCATTTCAGTGGCTTTGTAGTTCTGCCTTTACTGCTGAATAATATTCTAGTGTATGGATGCCCCACAATTTATTTATACATCCGTCTATTGAAAGACAACTGCATTGCTCCCAAGATTTGGCAATTATGAATAAAACTGCTATAAACATCTGCATGCAGATTTTTGTGTGTACATAAGCTCTTAACTTATTTGAGTAAATACCAGGAAGTATGATTGCTGGATCCAATAATGAGTACGTTTAGGTTTTTAAGAAACTGCCATATTGTCTTCCAGAGGGGCTATACGACCCTCACCAGCAATGAATGTGTTCCTGTTGTTCCAATTCCTCACCAGCATTTGATGTTGTCAATGTTTTGGATTTTGGCCATTCTAATAGACATCTTGTGGTATCTTATTTTTGTTTTACTTTGTAACTCCCTAATGACATATGATGTTGAGCATTTTTAATATGCTTATTTGCCTTTTGTATAGCTTCTTTGGTAAGATGACCATTCAGATCTTTTATGCACTCTTTAATTGGGTTATTTCCGTATTGTTGAGTTTTAAACACTCTTTCCATATTTAAAATAATAGTCTACCATATTTAAAATAAGTGTCTCCAATGGAGGATTGTGCTCCTGGTAATCTGTGATTCTCACTATCTGCCTCACTGTCAAGTTTTGGGGGCAGAGGCATGCCTTGTGATCTCAATACTCTAGTGGATCTCAGAAGAGTTTTCAATTTGTAGTTTGTTCAGGTTGTTTTTTATTATTGATGTAAGTTTAACTCAGGATCCCTGGGTTTGGGGCTATGCAGTGTGAAAAAGTACCCACTTATAAATGTTGCACCTTTAGTTTTGTTCCAAAAGATTCCAGAAAGAAGCCCAATACCTGCAAAACAAAAACCAGTTGGATCCAGAAACACTTGAGTTGGAGATGAGCCTTGGAAACCTCTCCTGACTACATACCAAAAACCCCACCCAGGGAGGAGCTTATTCACCATGTTTTATACATGTGACATATGTAGAAGAATGATCAACAACTGCATCTGCACTGCCTTTAATCCACCTCTACACACAATGACTCAGCCAACCAGCCTAAGATAAGCCCTGTTTTCACCCTCATTCAGGGAGCCAATGTTTGGGGAGTTATCCCCAGTGCCCTCTTTATTTGTTGCATGTAATAAAGCCCCCTTGTTAAGTCTTCCTTGGTTGTGGTTATTGGACTGTCACTTGTCAAACAATTGAACCCACTTGTTGTGTGGGCAATAGAAGGATGACAGTAATAACTTCGAAGGTCTTTACATGTCTAATCTAAAATCAAAAGTCTGGCATTTGTTTTTGATTAAACTAAAGTTACTTTAAATATTTAAGATCTACTCTTTTCCCTCAAAATAACCAGTCCTACCAACTAACTAATATTTTGTGATATGCACTAGCTACATATTATTTTTTCATTCTCCTAATGATGGACATCTAGGATACTTCCAACTTCCTGCTTTAACAATCATTGATAGATATATGTATACCCTAATAGATACACTCTTTCATATTTCTTAGTCTATACTTTCATTTTTATTTATAACATGCTATCTGCTTTTTCCTAAATACATTACATCTATAAACTCACTTTATTTAAAAATTATTTTATGAGGCAAATTTTATTACTATCCTAATTTTTCAAGGGAAACTGAGACACATAAAATGTATGTAAATACTACTCTCATAAGTGGGAACTGAACAATGAGAACATTTGGGCACAGGGAGGGGAACATCACACACCTGGGCCTGTGGGGGGCTGGAGGGCAAGGAGAGGGATAGCATTAGGAGAAATACCTAATGTAGATGACAGGTTGATGGGTGCAGCAAACCACCATGGTACATGTATACCTGTGTAACAAACCTGCATGTTCTGCACATGTATCCCAGAACTCAAAGTATAATAAAATTTTCTTTTAATAAACTTTTGTGACAAAATGAGAAAAAAGAAGCAATTTAAACTTAATTGGGATTTCCTTGAATGTATCGATTAGTGTTTGGAGAACTACATCTTTGTTATATTTAATCAATGCAAAAATTAACATGGTATATGTTATTCAGCTCCCTTTTTATATATTTCAATGGAGTTTATAAAATGGCTGTATTAAAAATTGTGTGTTCTTTGTTTATAAACCAAAGTATTTTTATATCAATCACTTTAATAATACAAACAAATGAATGAATTAGACATGGCAAAAATTATTAACTTATATTTACTTAAAAGAAATACTCTGGGACATTTGAGGTTCTGCCCAAGGATATATAGCTTCTCTTGCAGAGTGAAGCTTAAAAACCATGTCTTATCAATCCTAGGTAAGAGATCTTTATATTGCACTCTGTAGAATTACCTTTTGTAGAGATAGAAAGGGGCATTCACACAATCTAAAAAACTAAATTCCTGAGCCCAAAGTTTAATGGAAATAACTTTTACAAGCACTTTAGAGAAATACCTTTTTCACTTCTCTGTAGACCCATGAAGGGGTTAGTGTTCAAGGAACACTTTGCTATGTCATGTCTGATGACAAGCAAAAAATTGCTTAACTTGACTACATTATATTTTTTATTTAATGAAAGATAACCACAGATGCAGGTAACAAACTGATGGCAGTCTCGGAGAAGATACTTAAAATATTAAAACTAATGAGACATTATTATCTAGAATAAATCAGAAACTTCTAAAAATTAATAAGAACATGTTGAGAAATCACTGTAAAATGGCAAAGGATGATGACTAGAAATTTCAAAGAAGAGACAGCCCAGATTATTGTTGAGCCTTATTTGAAATTAAATAACTATATTATCAAATTAAAGTAAATAAAAACAACAGTAAGATATATGTATATACCTATCAGAATAGTGGCAAAAAGTATCGATATTAAGAACAATGGACATTAAAGTTGAGAATACAGCCCTTTGCCAGTGGAAGAGGAAATTCCCCCAAGGAAGTGCTTCCCCACTTGGGTTAGCAGCTTAGATAAAATTATTGATTTATAACTGATTATACTCTATACTTCTGTAATGCAAGCTATATAATGGCACAAAACCAAGTATCATGTAGTAGTTAAAGGCTATCTTTGAAGTCAGATAATTTGAGTGTATTCTCTACGCATCCATTACTACTAAGCAATTTACATATAATATTTTGCCTTCTGTTGAGCGCTTTTGGCATCCTATTAAAGACTCTCTTTCTACCCTAATTTACAATGATATAGGTGTGAATTTCCTTCTCTGATTTTACAGACTCTCTGCTTACATTTGGGTCTTTAATTTATCAGGGATCTTCGTTAGCTAGCAATTCAGTTTTACGTGTTTTATATAGTCAGCCTGTTTTCCCAGCACCATGTACCACTGACATATAAGGGCATCTTTACCATGTCAAAGTTTGTATTTATTCACAGGTCTATTTTTGAATACTCATTTCTGTTACAGTGATCTAGGAATATCTGACAGGGCATACCCTTTTAAAATCACTTAGCTATTAGTGGATATGTAGCCTTTGAAACCAATTTTGGAAAGATAGATTTCTCTCTGATTTTATTGCTTTTTATTAGTGATCACATTCATATCATTGAAGCAAATTCGAAGAATTGATCCAATTAAAATTTTTAGGAAAGAGACATGATTTTCAGTTGAAACCTTAAAAATTTTTAGTAAAAAATCAAAAAAGACATAAAACCCCTCCTTTGGATATTTTAACATTTGGTGCTAATGAATGAGACATTTTAGTACAAAATTTCCACCAACACATTTAAATAAAAGCATATGCCTCTCTTACCACTGTGTTTATGTACATGAATGAAAATATTTTTTCTTTGCCAGGAAATTTGTTTGCATACAATAAACACTGAATCTGTCTTTAGTTTTCAGGTTGAATAAGTTTCCCTTTTAAGGGCCATAATTTATTTTATTCAAATCATCTTGCTTGTTACTGACTGGGAGAAGATAAGTCTGGGCCATCTGGCATTCTTTAGTAGCTTATTTTGACACCTCATTCATTTGTTTAAATAATTCACTGATCCAATATAAGTGAGCATTCCAAAATGTAAAGTACTTTTATTCCTAGAATAAATCAATATATATTTACATTCTATAGTTAGGTGCAAATAAATTAATGCCTGGAACACTACTCAGTCAAATTGGCATATTTGGTTACCGTCCTCAATCTCTTCACTTGCTCTGAAAACATTTTTTTTGTTTTGTAATTTACATATTAGGCTGAATTAGATACTTGAGTTTGCTGCATAAAAGTGAGCCTGACTGACAGGATGTCAGAAATGTTCAATACTAGCATAATTGTTCTCCAATTTTGATAGTTGATATACATGTACAAGGTTTTAAACTTTGTTGATTGATACGATATAGAGATCGATCATGACAAATTCAGCAGAGGCATTTTCATTTCTCCTGACTGTTGGAATCCCACATGAACACTTTTCCGTGTTCTCCTTATTGTTAAGCTGATAAAGAAATTCAAATTTACATATTCTAAACATGTCATCCTTTCATTTTAATTATAATATACAATATACTAACTCATATACAATATACCAACCAATATTTTGGAGTATAGATTTTCTTCATATTATTTGAATTAAAAAATCTCAAAGCTTCTTTCTCCACAGACTTTACACAAATAAAATAACTTAAGATGAATCTCTTTTAACTATAAACTTTTGTATGTTTTGCAGCAAAGTGACATGTGAAGGCAACAAATATTCCTTTTTAAAATATAAACATGTCAAAGTCTTACATATGTTTTCCTATTGAAATATAAAAGTGAATTTTCAATGTCTCCAAGAGTTATTTTTGTACAATCACTTAGGTATATTTATGCTTCTTATATAACGGCATTTCTAATTAATACTATTTCTTGTAACAATGACCCATCATACTCAATGCACTGTTGGTACCAACATCATTAGAAGGCCCTAAGAAGTTGACATTTTGTTTTTAATTGCTTCACAAATATTTATTTTATGACTACCTAACTAGGCACTATAAGTAAATATTTGTCTCCTGATGAAAAACATATGTGTGTGTATATGTATATGTGTGTGTGTATATATATATGTTTAATACATATATATTTTTTCAAATAGCTTCATAATCTATTAGGGGACATGCTCACACACAACAATAATTAAAATATATCATCCTAAATGCATTGAGCAGATACCATTAATTCATCACACGTATCTCCTTTAGTGTCTATCATTTTTTTCTGTGACTGCGTAACTTCCATGGAGTAACTTCCAGCTTCTACCTAATGTGTCTCTCTGGCTGCTGGTGCTTGTTCCACCCGGGAGAAGGACAGGTCAGAAGTGTTGGGTAATTAACAACTTCCACCTTGCAGCACTCTGCTCATAATTAGTGCGAGCTGAAGATTTCCATGAGTATGTTCTATATTGACTTTCAGAATACCCAAGCAGAATTAAGCTTCAGTCACCTGCAGTGGTAACCTGTAAAAATTCATAAACCCATAATGCCTCCATTTTTGTGTGTCTCACTTCCCCACTCTGTGACCATGTTCCTGGCGTTAATTTCAAAATAAAAAGCCTACGCTTGAATCCTTGTGTATCTGCTTCTGTGAGAATGCAAATAAGATAATGTAATAATAAAGATATTTATGGATGTAGAGATGAGGGATATTTAGCATTTAGATATGATCATGAGAGACTTTCTGGACAAGGTATCTTAGTTTGTTCATGCTGTCATAACAAAATATCAAGGATTGGGTTGTTTAAACAACAGACATTTATTTTCTCACAATTCTTAAGGCTGTAAGTCTAAGGCCAAGGTGTTAGCATGATTGATTTCTGGTGAGGATTCTCTTCTTGGCTTGTAGCAGCTGCCATTTCACTGTGTCCTCACAAGGCCTCTTCTTTGTGTGTGCAGGAAGGGAGAGAGAGAGAGAGAGAGAGTGCAAGAGCAAGCTTTCTGGTATCTTTTAAAAAGTGAAACTGACTGACTTCTCAGCAACAATAGGTAGATAATAGAATAATGTATTTTAAATGTTGAGGGAAAATAACTATCAATCTAGAAATCTTTGAAGTATGCAACTGTTATTAATAATTAAGCCCAAATAAACCCATGTTGTAAAAAAGAGAAAACATCAGATCAGAATTTTGTTACTTAACTTTATTGAAAAAACATGCTTTATATACAATAAGGTATATCCATTTTAAGAGAAAAAAAATAAAAAGGAAGAACAGTAATTTTACTGTATCAGGGCCTCACCCATATGACCTTAACTTACCTTCGTTATTTCCTTAAAGGCCCTGTCTTCAAATACAGTGGCATTGTGGGTTAGGGCTTCAGCATACAAATTTTGGAAGGGACACACTTCAGTCCATAGCACAAGGTGAATGTTGGTTTGCGTCTAAAGAGACAAGTAGGACGTATTGAGGTAAAAGATGTAGGGATTTCATTTTATGAAAAGAGAAAAAAGACAGAAGTGAAGCATACCTTGGTGATGTTTCAAAAAAAAAAACAAAAAACAGAAGCAATTCTTAGCTTTAGAAAGATAAAATTGGAGGCCAGGCATGGTGGCTCATGTTTGTAATCCCAGCACTTTGGGAGGCTGAGGCAGGCAGATTACGAGGTCAGGAGATCGAGACCATCCTGGCTAACACAGTGAAACCCCGTCTCTAGTAAAAATACAAAAAAAATAGAAGGGCGTGGTGGTGGGCACCTGTAGTCCTAGCTACTCAGGAGGCTGAGGCAAGAGGATGGTGTGAACCCAGGAGGCGGAGCTTGCAGTGAGCTGAGATCGTGCCACTGCACTCCAGCCTGGGTGACAGATCGAGACTCCATCTCAGACAAACAAACAAACAAACAAAAGATAAAATTGGAGGTGGATAATGTAAGATATTTGTTGAAGAGGTAGTAACACTGTTTTTGGCTTGGAATTCTGGCAAATGCATTTGTTGAAGGATAGAGGTGAAAGAGAGTAAACGATACTTATGAGAGAACAACCTGATGACCAAGGATGGGATCTAAGGTGGTATGAAATTACACAGCAATCATTCAAGTGGGTCTGATATACTGGAAGGAAATAGCAATACCATAGTGTAGATATCTAAATGGAATTAAAGAACACGTTGGAAAAGTAAAAAAATAATAATAAATAAATAAAGTCATGATCAGAGTTTAATACTGGTGATTAAAATTATAGAGGTAGATAAGTAATGGATGATAATATGGCCACGCTGAGACCCAAGGTGTTAGCAGGCACAGAGTTGGAGAAATGACAGGGCTATGAATGACTAGCACTCCGGGATGTGTTCATTCTGGCAGCCTGAGACAGGGTTTGTGTAGAGGAAAGATTTAAGTGTAGAGTTCATCAGTGGAGAAAGGGTCAGGGGGTGATAGTCAATCAATGGGCTATGTTTCATGGTGGGACTTTCTAATTTCTTATCATTGTGTGTAACAAAGAGGACTTGACTTGAGTTTTACATAGAGTTGAAAATATCAAGCGAAAGGTGGTGTTAGTAAATGGGAGAAAGTTCTTTCCTCAGTGAGGAGCCACATTCCTAGTAAGCCTGTTAGGAAACGGACGCTGGAAATTTTAGTATAATTATTAAGTATGTTTGGGGATTTTTCTATCATTTTTCTCAAAAAATATTTCTGAGCTCCTACTGTAAGCAAGTCATCATGCCAATCAATGGCCTAATTGCCAACACACACACACATATACACACTTATTTATTTACTTTTTAAATGATTGATATAAGTGTGATCTAAAATACTATATGGACATAGGGTTAGAGGGCACAATGAAAAAGCACTGACTGATAATTTCTTTAATTAAATAGGACTCTAAACATGTAGTATTTATTCAACATCTCTGTGCTCCCAGGTTATTCAGCCTCCCTTTGTCTTTCTCTCTCTCTCTTTTTGTCTCTCCCTCCCGTCTATACGTCCATATGCATATTATCTATCTATCAATCATCTATCTACCTGCTTACCTGTCTACATTCCTACCTACCTATTCTTCATATTTTTCTTTGTGCAGTCAATTTTGATCCTCCTGGAGATTGTTTCAATTATGCCCTCATTCATAATTACACATTTTCATCATTTTTTAAGGTTTCCTGTGCTTGGATTTAGTGAAAAGAATCAGGTAAACTAGGTAATTTTAATCAATCATAATTCCATAAGTCATTATAAATACTTCAAAGAGTATTTTTAGATAGCGCATTTATGTTAATCAACCAATTTATCTCACAAAAATGGTGCCTCATAATGAAAGAACATGAAGCTGTACAGGTAATAAGATTTGGCCTTATAGAAACAAGCTTTGATTCCTGGTATTCCCAATATAAATTTAAACCTCCAGCTTTTTAAAGATAACAGTTCATATAGTTTATAATATCAGGTCACTATATATATTCTATCTGATAAGGAAAGCCTTGATGTTTGCCTTGAGGGGGGCAAATATCCTCCTTGTCCTCCAAAGCCTCATAATTACATTGGGAATATAGACATAAATACAAGTATCTTTATTACTTGGAAAGGTGAGGAGCATCTTAAATGTGAGAAAAGTATGTTTCCATTTTGCCCTGTTCATACTGAGAACACCCCATAGTATTATGTCTTTTAGACTACACAATGTCTGTAGGAGAAAATAATATATATTCCTAAAAGAGTTTTGAAATATCTAAATAATACTTTGTTTTCCCCAAGCTTCACTTAAATTGTTGAATTTGTTTCTGCTCCTCCAATTACCATACTCACGCACTGAAAAGTAAAATAAATCTATTTTCATTTTTACTTTTGAGTGTATTTTTTCCTCTAATGATAGAAAAGCTTCAAATAACAGTTATTTTAATATTTCCCTGAGATTTTTAGAGCACTTGCACTCAATCACTTGTGAAGTGAATTCTATACTCAGTTAACTTATAAATATTACAAACAATTTAATCCATGTTTACTTTGCTGTCCGTTTTAGTATTAGAGATTTTATTTTCTTCTTCTCCCTGTAACAGTACAATGGGTCAATTACAGATGTTTATTTTGTTATAAAGTATAAAACAATATTATGTATTTAAGAAGTGGCCCTTTCAAGTTTCTATCTCAGCACTACTGTATAATTCTTATTTGTATTATACTTGTAACTTGATATATAATATAATTTGAATATTTTGAAACTTTGTAGATGAAAGTCATTTAGTTACAATTTTTATTGCATAGTACTGCATCTTTTTAGCAGATATTTTAAAGAAAATGATTTATGTTTCATTGATACAGAATATGATCAATTCTTTTTTGCACATATATTTGTTACTGTTTAAAATATCTTCATTATTTTAAAGCAATTCAAGAGGAAAAAGAACTCAGTTAACATCTATATGACAATCAAATACATTTGTGATTTTACAATTACCACGAATATTATTCTGGGAATTTTATTATATATATTTTTATACATATTCATAAATATGTACACACATATCTATGTATTTCAATTACTTGAGCTAAGAAGAAAGTTTTTAGGAAAATGAAAGTGGTAAGGCTCAGAGTCCTCAAGATGGGGGTCATATTGTGAAATATTATTATATTCAGGATATTAAGTATAGAGACAATGTAGCACTAAATCTTTAAGATGTCTTCAATGGTGAGAAAAGATAGAATTAGAGACAGATACAGGGAGTGGGAGAAGGAGAGAGAACAAGAAAAATAATGAGAGAGAGAGAAGGTAAATTTAAGAACTTGAAAATTGGTAAACCTACATGAAAGTGAAAAATGTAAGAGAGTTACTTTGAAATTATTTCAAAAATAAAAGTTTTAAAATATGAGTGAAAGATGGCCTTTATGTTCCAAACTATTTTTAAATGATGCTTGTATAAAACAGCCTTGGAAGATGGGGTTAGCATCCTCTTATTAAGCAAAGGGTTAGGCATGCTTTCTGTTAAAAGATAATTTCTCCCTCCAGAACAAAGGGTAGACAAGTATACTGCCCATTATAAAATCTTTCTGTTCCCTTAATTCAGGACTTCTCTTCCATAATACAACCAACTGCTTATGTGTTTGTCATCTGGCCCTCTTTGTGTCACCATCTAGGAATCAGAGCTCAAATAACTGGTACAAGGAAACATAAGTAATCCAGCAACTGCTTTCACTATATGTATTAACATCTTTGTTTCTGATCTAGAATTCTTGTGTTTTCTGCCAGCATCTTGAAGCTGTGGCAGACTAACTTGTTGCTTTGAAAGTAGGATAAAATATCAGATTCTTCATAGTTCTTAACAGGTATACTTTTGATTAGCTAAAGTCTACTTTATCTCCTTCCTATTTTAAAACCATTTTCACATGAAATTTACATTCAACATAGGGTAAAATTAAATTTATTTACTGAGAACTGAAGTCTTTATAATACTGAGATTTTATTTCAAAAGACATAGTATTACATTCTATTTGTTTTTATTGGGAGGGTATCTTTTGTTAGCATTTAATTTTTTGATAAAGTCAATGTAAATTTAAGTCTATTTTTATATTTAAAGATTACATGTATATATTTAAACATTATATATTTATTTAAACAACATGCAGTTGATACTGTTTTATTATTCTGTTTACTATCTGAATGCAATTTAAGTATTTTTATATTTCATGTGATTATAGACACATTTGGCCACATATCTGCCATAAATGCTTGTTTTATATTTATCCAACTTTCTTGTTTCTCTTTCCTGCCTTATTTTCAGTATTGTGTATTTTATTTATACTTCTTTTTTTCTATATTGAAGTTTAGTTATAACTGTTATACCTAATAGTTTCTCTTGAGAATGAAAAGTTATCTTTAGGTTACCTATTTTTACCTCCAAGTACTATTACACTATTTTACAAACACTGTAAGAAGTTTACTATAATACGTTTTCTGAGAGTCATAATTCTCCTTAAATTCTTCCTCAGCCATAACATTCTATAGCATTTCTCCTTCCTTTGAACAATGGTAGTCGTTAAAACCACCTTGGTTAATTTGGCAGATAACATAGTTTATTTAGGTTGTTGCTTACTCTCTTTACAGGTGTATGCTCTATATTTCATCTAGATTGTGGAATCATGTAGGGTGGGGACTAGTGTTATATTTTTAGTACCTTGAATAATGTTTTGCAAATAGTAGGTTACAATGACTTTTCTTGTTCTTATTTTCATGATATGAGGATAACTTGAAACATTTAGCAAACATTTCCAAATAGGACTCATAACTAAGCAAACTTTTTAAAGTTGGTTTACAAAATTACAATAGAGCCAAACATTTGTGAATAACTGACATGAATATTGTTAGACACTGGATTATTATAATATTTTAATTATTATAATAATATGTGTAGTATTATTTTTCCTTATTTTGCAAAAATCACATAAAGTGTTTTTATTTAAATTTTGCAGCCAAGGAAATTAAAGTAGAGGTAGGTTTTAAAATCTTTAGATATATTGCAATTACCAGAACCACAATATATACATTCTTTCTAATGTATTACAAAAATACAATAGGAACATGAAATATGAGAGGAAGACAATAGAATTAGGAGCAAATTTAGAAATTAAAACAGTAAAATGCTTGAAAAAATGAAAACAATGGTATTAAGTAGCTGATTTAAAAAAAAATAGGCTGGGCATGGTGGCTCACGCCTGTAATCCCAGTACTTTGGGAGGCCAAGGTGGGCAGATCAGAAGGTCAGGAGATCAAGACCATCCTGGCCAACATGGTGGAAACCCATCTCTACTAAAAATACAAAAATTAGCCCGGTGTGGCAGTGTATGCCTGTAGTCCCAGCTACTCAGGATGCTGAGGCAGAAGAATTGCTTGAAACTGGGAGGCAGAGGCTGCAGTGAGCTTCACACCACTGCACTCCAGTCTGAGCAACAGAGTGAGACTCTGTCTCAAACAAACAAACCTACAAACAAAACACAAAAACATAGCACAAGTATAATCACAAGGAAGGTAGATTTGGAGAAAATGTCCTTAGAGAATCACAGCAAGAAAATGGAATAAATGAAGAAGAGCTTAAAACACTTGGACCAAAAAATGAGAAGGTCTAACATATGTCCAAACTCTTTACAACGGAGGCATTTTAGATAATTTTACTAGTGTGACCAATAAAATTCTCACGTAAAATATAATCCCCAATTATCTCCAAACTGAATTAGGTTATAGAATTAAAAAAAATCCAACTCATTTTATGGAGTTTACATACACTTGATATTAAAATATAATAAAAATTGTACATTTAAAGCAAATTTCATCAATTTATATTGATGAAAAAATAGTTGAAAATTAGGGAACCTAGATAAGCAATATATTTTTAAAAAACAATAATGCATTTTGACAAAGTTGGGAATGAGTGTGTTCCCAGAGATAGAAGTTGGTTTAATATTAGAAAAGCATTGAATAAAGTTCACTATAGTAATATATTAAAGGCAACACTTATATTTTCATGTCAGTGGAGATTGAGAGAACACATGATTGAATTCAATAGTCATGATAAATCCATAATTCCTAGCGAATTAAGAATAGAGGCCAACCATGATGACTCACACCTGCAATCCCAGCACCTTGGTAGACCAAGGTGGAAGGATTGCTTGAGCCCAGAGTTTGAGACCAGCTTGGGCAACATAGTGAGATCCCATCTCTATAAAAAGTTATAAAAAGTATTAGCTGGGTTTGGTGGTGCACACTTGTGGTCCAGTTATTCAAGAAGCATAGGCAGGAGGAATGCTTGAGCCTAGGAGGTTGAGGCTGCAGTGAGCCATGTATGTGCCACTGCACTCCTGCTTGGATGACAGAGTGAGAGGGTCTCACAAAAGGGAAAAAAAGAATAAAGATAACTTTTTTGTCCACACAGAATTACAGTAGCTAAACCGCAGCAACAACTTCAGCAATAGCAAGTATTATACTTAATGGTGAATATCAGCAGTGTTCCCTCTTGAAGAACAAGGCAATGCCATAAAGGGAATGCAAAGGGAAACTATGACAGAAGTAGTACTGCAAATCATTGAGTAGAGATTTTAACCTCATAATGAATAATGAAAAAATACTGAACTCAGACCCTTTTCTCACCTCATATACACACATCAATTTATAATCAATGAAGATTTAAATGTAAGAGACAAAATTACAAATATTTTAGAATAAAACAAAGGTACTATATTTACGACTGTAGGGTTGGAAAATATATTTTTAAGTGCAATGCAAATTTGCTAATAATAAAAAAGACACTAAGAACCATTAAGAAATTCTATTCTACAGCAGGTTAGTTAAGAGAGTAAAAAGACAGTTTAAAATTCAGAGAATATAGTTGCACATATAAAACCAAATTATTGTAATTCAATATGGCAGTTCTTATTGGATTTATATAATGTTCATGCAACAGGCCTAATATTCAGCCAGTAGGCTACTAAATATATAGTCTCATCTATTGTGTATTTCAATCATCAGTTTGACTGTTTGGTGCTCATGACACAAATTGTTAAGTATATGGAATATTATCTCCGATATGTAACAAAATGAATAGACCTTTAGAATATAACATTGTATTATAAAATCTAAGAAGCAGAAAACAACCTAGAGGGACAATACCACAATTAATGTACATTGGACCCACACATCAATGCCAGCCTACTTAGGTCACAATAATATATGTGTATTCTAATTGACATATATTTATCAAATTAAAGTTGATTCATATAGGAATGAAGGGAATGAGAACATACATTGGAGATGAAAAAAATCCAAAGTAGAACTAAGATGTTTCCTAGTACAGAACAATGAAACTTGTCATGTATGAACTGCAGAGTACAATGAACTCGTCTGTCTATATTTGAGTTTTTATATGTGTATGCGTGTGTGTGTGTGATGCATACAGACTGTTTCTTTCATCAGAAATTTGATGTACAACATTATCAAGCCAGAAAGAAAAATAATTTTTAGGCATGAAAATGTTAATAACAGAAAAATTTCCAAAAGGACAAGTTCTACCCACTATTTATAAGATGATCTCTTTTCCCATCACATTTAAAACATAAAACCACATTATGCAGTACAGCTAAAGAGTTTCCTCACTTTTAACTGAATTAGTGGATATTTACACAGTACCTAGCAGTGAAAATATACCAACCATTCATTTTGTTACCACAGTTTGTCCGCGATCTTGTTTTTCAGTAGGAGCTTTTCAATCTATAATCATACATTTTGGAAGAAAATCTGATCATTTTAGCATCTAACAGTTAAGTTTGCTTGTGAATTAATAGAAAAGAAATGTGTGAAGGAATTTTTCCATAGGACAATGTTTCCAGTTGTGAATCTTTAGAGAAACATGTCACTTGCTGAGAAGCAGAGACTTTAAAAATAGAACTCATTGCTATGCATATTAGTGGACAACCTGCTGTTCCAGACATTCTAAAAGAAGTTATTCTGGCTCAAGCAGTAAATCAAGCCTGAATGTGAGAGCGAATGTCCTCTCCCAAATCGTTATTATGCTGTAAGCATTATATAAGCTGCATTGGAACTAGGGCCTTGTACAATAAGTACTGAGAAGCAGAGAGCATAAGTGCTGACAACCTGCCACCCTATTTAACTTTGATTACTTTGCATCTAATCAACAACATTTGTATCAGCTTGAACTATGGCCACACTTCAATCTAGTCACACGGGAGTGATTAAAATAATGAAGATGTTCAGTGATTAATCGATATGCTTTCTTCTCATGGAAGTTCCTGTGATTTTGAAACTGGAAATCTGTTTCTACAGCTCATCTCTAGCTAAAAAAAATAAGAGTTACTATGATTTGCTACAAAATTGTTGCTTTAAAAAATTCAACAGTGACCAAAACACTCAGCTTTCATTATACTGAAGATAATTTGTACTGAGTATTCTTTGTTTTTCTAACAATCTCATTAATCTTTATCTTATTTAATTATAGCTTTGAATTTAGCTTAAGAATGTAAAAATTTCCAATTTTGGAGCAAAAATGGAAATTATAGGATAATTTTATGTAGACAAGTTGAAACTTACTCTGTGAATACAAAAAAATCTAAAATATCCAGTTTCTAGTACCACTGTCTTAGCAGTTATCAGAAATGTGAGTTATATATCATATGGTTCCTCTTTATTTGTGCAGACTTGACAATATTTAGAACTAGAATAATTAAATCAATTTTAACAGAAAAATGCAAAATTACCACTAAAATACTGTGTGTATGTAGTGCATATAAGTTTTCTTACTATTTTTATATACAGGAGCTAAGCTGTTTACATTTTCCTTTTATTGTTTCAATGTCTAATATTCCAACTAAAATGAGATAATGGTTTATATAATAATCTGTTTAAAAATATATTTTATATTAGAATTGTGCCGTCTTAAATCCATTAGTTTTAGCATTGATTCTAAATCATATTAATACACATAATCATAGTAAAAGAAATTCTATATATTTACTTGTTTCTCATAAATTTTAATTATGTGTTGTCAATAACTGGTATTGAGCAGTTTTAAAAGATTCAATTGTCTTCTTGGTAAAAATAAAAGCAAATCATAAAAATTTTTTTTCTTATTACAAGGTATGAGCAAAAACATGATGTCCATATCTATAACTATATCATATGTATCTATATATCATCACCAGACAAACAAGAAAGGAGAAAATACCTCATGCCCAAACAGGGCAGCATGTTATGGGTATCCTACCCAAACGGATTTGATTCTTTTATGATTCCTTTTAGAAGATGTTTAATAAAATTTTACCAAAATGCCCAAGCCCCGGTTTGCCAGCAAAACAATAGCCCAACCTACTCCAATTTGTCCCCATTGACTCCTCTAATAATTCCTTGAATACTCAGCCTTAAAAAGTAGATTGTGCACTTTACCTAGCCCATCAACTATGTATCAAATAGAAGGCCTACACATCTTGATAATGAGGGAAGTCAAGTAGAATTCACCCATGTTGTACTAGTGCAACTAGAAGCTAAAAAAAAAAAAACCCATATAACCATAAGTGAGATAAAATAACCAATTAACAACAGGAAGAAAGTCCCACAAAATATATGGAATTCTAACTATGCAAACAAACTTCAGAAGAGAAGGAAGACTGGAGGGAGGGAAGGAAGGAAGGAAATAAGGAAGGAAGGAAGGATGGATAATGGGAAGAAATGATAAGAATGATATTTCACCAATTTATAAATGAAATATGAAACAAAAAACAGGAGAAAATTATCATTTATCACTTTATTGAACAACTTAATATTAAAACGATTCAATAAGTATAATTCAAATATCAGATAATAAAACCACAGAATGGAGTAGCAGCTCTAAGGAAACAAAGTGAATATACTAAGTACGCCACAGAAGAAGTAAGAACTAATGGTAGAAACAAAGGAAAAAGAGCTGAAAATCTCTGACCTAATGCAAACTCATAAAACAATAGCAGTATTAGAGGAACGAAAAGATAGAAATGAACAGTAGTAGACAGTAATCAATATAGAGTACAGACAAACGTGATGCAGCAAGAGTTGGTATAATAATAATAATTTTTATAAAACTAAGAACATAGTACTTGTCTAGATTATTCAAAGTGGATTAAACATGTATGAATTTATTTCATCCACATAAAATATCAATTATAAAATACTGATATTTTCTTCATTTTATGATGGCAAAATTTGAGACAGAGAAAATTTAAATAATTTACTTAGAGGTATGCATATTCTGTGGCCAGAATTCAAATTCAGTCACCCAGATTCCAGTATTGTTTTATCTACTATGCATCCACAGTTGATGGGCACAAGACTAGAAAAAAAGCAAAGAAAGTAATTTTAATTTGTGTAGAAAAAAATTCCTGAATAGGTGAAAAAACTATGCATGTAGTATGAAAGATAATATTGCAATCAAAAAAAATAATGCAGTAAACTTACCAATGGGACACAGCTTAGTTAAGTAATTCATTTCAAGAATAAAGACTTTTAACGATGTGAGTCTGAATACATCATTCAGGTCAAACACTAGATTAGTTTTAGATTGATGCACAGTGACACTCCATATTGAAAGACAATGCAGTTTTGCTATAAAATGTTGACAGAATATATCCGTGAAAGCAGAACTCTCTAAGCTGAAAACTGAGTCTCAGTGTTACCCACGAACTTTTATTGGAGTAATTACTCAATGAAGTATAGTAAAAGACAGAGGACTCAACATTATTAAAATAAAAGTTGTTATCCAAGAGTTGTTTAAGCAAAAATAATTTTTTCTGTGTTTTAAAAGTAAAACCAACATACTTTGCTTTTTTTTTTTTTTTTTTTTTTTTTTGAGACGGAGTCTCGCTCTGTCGCCCAGGCTGGAGTGCAGTGGCGCGATCTCGGCTCACTGCAAGCTCCGCCTTCCAGGTTCACGCCATTCTCCTGCCTCAGCCTCCTGAGTAGCTGGGACTACAGGCGCCCACCACCACGCCCGGCTAATTTTTTTGTATTTTTAGTAGAGACGGGGTTTCACCGTACTAGCCAGGATGGTCTCGATCTCCTGACTTCGTGATCCGCCCACCTCGGCCTCCCAAAGTGCTGGGATTACAGGCGTGAGCCACCATGCCCAGCCCCATACTTTGAAAAATAATGTATTTTCTCTATGTTTTCAGTATTGTTACCCTATCCTCTTGTCTTATGCAAATTTGTTCTATTGAAAAACAATATGTAATAAAATTACATGTCACCACGAATTTGAATCTTTAGTATAGTACTCCTACTTATTCAATGTACTTTGTAGCATCTTTGTGTTGTAAGTCAACCTTGCCATCTTGACTATAAACTCTTAGAGTATAGAGAAAATGCAGTATTTTATGTACCATAATTAGAATTTTGCATAATTATACATTTAATAAACGTCTGATGAGGATATGTTTGCTCAATTTCTCTTACGCAGTTTAAAGTATTTCATTCAGGGAATTTTTATTTTGCAAAAAAATAAGAGTGCATGATGATGAGCATGTCTCTTTTTTACATTTTAAAAATATTTATTATTACCTGAAAAAATTAAGTAAAATAGTTTTAATATTGCTTATATTTGTTTTCTACATAGTACAAACTCCATTAATCATCACATTATTGTTTCTGCTTCTGGATTTATGTAAATTTAATTTTATCGAATAATGTGTTTTATAATACTATCCCCAAAATGCTTTTCAAAAATGGTTTCAGGTGTAGAATCTAACAATTAAACAGTGGCATAAATAATTAAATAATTTGTAGGTATAGATTGTTTCCATTCAGTCAGATATTGTGGACTTTGAGGACCTGGCTCCTATTTTCCTCTTTCCACAATTTACAATCTCATGCAATGGAATAATACAGAAAACTAGTTAAATTCTAATTTATAACAAGATGTAAGTCAAAAGAAGTATTAGTATAGCATTAGACAATATTTTAAGATAGAGAAGTTCAAGTAAAGAGATGAGTGATCAGTACCTTCCTATCAGAGACTGAGCCTTGAAAATGTGGCAGGATTTAAAGGTTTTGTGTAGTAATTTGTATTCCAGGAGAAGCAATGTGAGCAAAAGAAGAGAGGGAGAAATTTAATCATAAGTCTACTTGGATATGGGGGATAAAGGAAGGAGAAACAAATGACTAAAGATGGTGATCAGATATTGCAAGCCCTTGAAAATCAAGTGTGGTGTTGACAACACAGAAAGACTTGGAAACACGGCAACAGCAAGGTGTGAGGGATTTTATCAATAACTGGGCATTTGGAGTGTAGATATAACTTTGCTACAATCATACTAGCATGCAATCATTATTAGGAATAAAATATTAAACATTTTTGAGAATTACATTTCAATGAATATTTATTTATTTATTTCTTTATTTAGAATTGGAGTCTCACACTGTGGCCTGGGCCGGAGTGCGGTGGCACAATTTCGGCCCATTGCAACCTCTGCCTCCTGTGTTCAAGCGATTCTCCTTCCTCAGCCTCCTGAGTAGCTGGGATTACAGGCGGCTACAACCATGCCAGGCTAATTTTTTGTATTTTTAGTAGAGATAGGGTTTCACTATGTTGGCCAGGCTGGTCTCAAATGTTTGCCTGACTTCGTGATCCACCCGCCTCAGCCTCCCAAAGTGCTGGGATTACAGGTGTGAGCCACCAAGCCTGGCCTTAATGTACTGTTTATTTAATCTGATCTAATACCTTTAATTCAGATCTGAAGTCTTTTAAATATGAGTATGACTTGTCTATTGCTCTCCAATAGAGGTCATTAGAAAGCTACATAGCTTATATGTAGATCACTTAAGAGTAATGCATTACAATAAACAACCATTACAAATAAAACCACTTTTATAATTTAGCTTTTAAACCTGCCAACAAAGATAATCATAATAAAGGACATAAAAATAACTGAATACAACATTTTAAAATTCACCCAATAGTAGTTATGACGCAAGAATTGTTGCAGTCATAAATGAATTAATTCTGCTTAGAAAAGGAAAACCAAGGAGTGAAATTATACAGACAAGCATTTGCTATGTGTCAGCTGCTTGTATATCATCTTATATGATACGCATAGCACCTTATTGTACATATTTTAAGTGTAATAAATAGAAACTTTGAAAGATGCAGTAACTTGCTCAAGGTCACCGTTTATAAAACTGACAAAACTCTCTGGAGCTCATTAAACTAAACCTCATCTAACCCAAATGTCTACATACATATGCAATCTTGTTATTCATAGGTACTTCTGATGATTAGAAATGTGAAGTCATAGCATCATCTCACCTGGAGGCAGAGGCATCGATCATATGACTCACTCTACACAACTCTACAGAAATATAATTTTCTGAATGGATTAAAAAAATAAAGTTTTCATCTTTATTTATGTTAGCAAAAGCTGTTGCAACTTTTTGAAATCCTCAAAACGTCAGGATAAAAATTTGAAAGAGGAGCTTGAAGGAACTTCCTTAAACATATTTTGAAATCAAACTCATCTTTTTAGCAGCCTGTAACCCTTTTGCAATATCCTTGTAGTATTCAGCAGAACAGTCTCCCAGCAAGGCCATTGTTCCGAGGCTCTAAATCAGGGTATGTTACCTAGTAAATTACACACTTCTATATTCTACCACACAGGACTGAAATGGAGATCAAAAGAGATATTTTTGTGGGAATTCATGATAAAGAGTCAGATGTCAAGAAAAAAATTATTATGTAAATATTTTGTTAGATTTTAGTCCCTGGGCCAAATGCTATTATTTTTACTCTGTGGAAATATATTAAAAGTATTGGAATACTCTTTTTGGAATTCTCTGGTTATTATGTTTCACCTGAATTAACAGATTGAGACAAAGCCGACCAAGGCTGTGGCCTCATTGTACCAACACATACAAATAAACTCAAACCACATTAAATAACTTTCATTTTTTGTATTTAAGTTATAGGGTTTTCTATGGCGTGTGTGAGAATAGGAATGAAGATAAAGATTCAATTGTACAATATAACAAATTGTTTATTAAATTGTATAATATAGCTTAAAACATTCAGTTTGGGAACCTTGCAAATATTATTTTGATTATCACATTGTTTTAAATCAGGAATCAAATCCTACTTCTAATTTCTTTTCTAAAAAATAGAATTTTGCAAATTAATAAATGAAACCTAATATTTTTGTATGTTTTTTTAAAATAAAGGCAGGATGTAAAATAATTTCTTCAGAGTTTTACTTTAAACAGAACTTCTTTTCAGAATTTCAAGTCCTAGGCCTTTTCTTCATCCAGAGACAGAGGAAATGCCTGGGAATCCACAAAGGCCAAACAGACTCAGCTTAGATGAGTATGTTGGACAAAACTAAATAGATCATTGTAAATTGTTATAAATTTAAATTTACATTTTAATGGATTAGAAAAGTATTGCATTAAAGAAAAATAAGTTTTGTTTATAAGGTAAGTTTTCCACAGAAGTTTGTGATTATTATGGGGAAGAGAACAAACAGAGATACAGATACTAAGAGAGAATACATGTATAAAGACTCTAGTGATGATTCTGAATGATAATTATTAATTGTGTGTTGACAAGTAAAATATAAGAATAAAGAAAACTCATTGATAATCAACATAGTATGCTAACGTAGAAAATACATGTTGCAGTGATCATATTTTATCTATTTAAAATTGTTGGTCTACAATACTTATTACACTAAATCTAGAAGCTTGTTAAATTTTTTGCTTACGTCAGGAAAAGCAAAATGATAATGAATAGAAACTTAACATTATCCAAGAAATTATTAAAAAATATATAACTCATAGTCATTCACCTACCTAATAATGACATAACTTTTACTTTTGAGTCACCATTTGGCAGATACAGATATATTCACATGAAAATATATTTTATCTCTATAAATATAAAAATGGAATTGAACAGATATTCTTTTATACAGGAATGTTCATTATACTTAATGCAACTAAAAGGTAATTTATATTGATGTGGTAGATTGATAGGAAGAGAAATAAGCCTAATATTAAAAGAAATTAACATGGAAAAATGTAGAAATAAAGTTTCAAATGAGGATATTACAAAATCAGATATTAAGGTCTAAAAGGCTAATTTAAAATGAAGGGGGATTTGAATCACCAAAATAACAAACAGAAAATACTTCTGGAATATAAAAATAAGACTTCCATAATTCACAATTAAAATATCAAGGCAAATTTGGAGACATTCTCTATGTAACAACACTGTAATACAATAAATATTTTATATTTCGATAACAAAAATAAATATACCATCACAACTGACCATAACCAAGCATAGCCTAGCAAATAAGCATATTATTATCATAGTGACTATAAAGCACATATGCAAATAGGAGTTACTGGAAAAAAGGAACAGACATCAAAATTCCTGTCACTGGCTTTCATAAGGAAAGATAGTTATTGACAATTAAGCATAGTGTATCCGTTAGGATTAAATTTGGCTACATAAAACCCAAACTCCCAAAATAAAAATCGTCTAAAAGCAGAAATATATTTCTTTCATACAAAAGGTACCTAAAATTAAGCAGTCTAAGCATAATACAGTGGTTCTGTGGTCAACAGGAACCCAGTCTTTGATTTTTTAATTTATCATTCTCAGAAGGAAGCATCTGTTCCCAAGGTCACCTTGTAATCCAAGGCTCATATATAGTTAGAGTCATCATAGCCACCATTCAGGCACAGGGAAAAAATGGGGAAAAAAGAAAGGATTGCAAATTTTTTTTAATGAGCTTTCCCTGTTGTTCAACTAACATTTGAAGTTATTTCTCATTGATACAAATGTAATCACAAGGCTACACTGAATAGAAGAGATAAAACTAAAACCTAGACAGGAAAGAATACTGAATATTGGGAGACAACAAGAGTTTCTATCACATTTAAGTCAATAAATAGTAGATAGAAATTAAAGCATCTTCTAATATAATTTTGATTTTGCAGTTTAACTTTGAAATCATTGTAGGACTAGAGGCAGAGTTAAACAAATATTCAAAGACGAGAAAGGAAAGCCAAAAACAAAAACAAAATATTGGGAAGGTATTTTAAAGAAATTTCAAGTGGAGTAGAAAATAGATCTATTTTCAAAGTAATTACAGAAAGTGTAGAAAGTAAGTGAAACAAGGTTTCTATTAATTACAGAAAAGAGATATATACTATCATTAAAATTGTATTAGTATTATTCTCAAAATAATTCAATTACTTTTCAATCATTAGAAATATATTTCTATCACACTACTAAAATTATAGTACAGTAAATAAAAAATCTTATAAACTTCAGTGATTTAAAGAACAGGAGTAAAGATACTATTGGAAGAGAGAAGTCTATGAGTTTTGGAAGACAAACAGCAGTTGAAGTAATCATCTCAATCTCAGGTAAAGGAGGTAAAAACCTAACTTCTAGCAGGTAAGACTGACCAAAACAAGGGGATATGCTTTGCAAAACACTGAAGTGGGTTATAAAATTACAGGGCCAAGAAGAGTTTGGTTATAGGCAAGCCATTAAATTGGAACCATTCATGCTATAAATCCACCACAAGGAGCAAAATATAACTTAGCTAGCTTTGCTAGTATAATCTCCTGCTTATGGTGATATGTCAATATGTTATGAAGCTTTTCATTTCCACTATTAATAACCTAGCAATGTAAAGATTTACAGGTTTTAATAATTCAGTTTCATTGGAACTATCCTCAACGCTGGAGCTTTGCACTCTGCTTACAGAAGATAACTTATAAATGTTTCCTAAAGCATTCTTCACATTATTGTCTCATATGTGTCTATGTATATATGTTTGTGTGTGTGCTTGTTTCTGCCTGTGTGTGGGTATATGTGTATATGTGTGTGTGTGTGTATACACACCAACATATTACAAATATATTAAGGATACTATTACAGTACACACATATTTGTATACATGTATGTTCATACTCAAATATTAGATGTATAGCCAGGTGCAGTGGCTCATGCCTGTAATCCCAGCACTTTGGGAGGCTGAGGCAGGAGGATCACCTGAGGTTGGGAGTTCAAGACCAGCCTTACCAACATGGAGAAACCCTGTCTCTACTAAAAATACAAAATTAGCCGGGTGTGGTGGTTCATGCCTGTAATCCCAGCTACTTGGGAGGCTGAGGCAGGAAAATCAGTTGTACCTAGGAGGCGGAGGTTGTGGTGAGCCGAGATCATGTCATTGCACTCAAGCCTGGGCAACAAGAGTGAAATTCTGTCTCAAGAAAGAAAGAAAGAGAGAGAGAGAAAGAAAGAGAGAGAGAGAGAAAGAGAGAAAGAAAGAAAGGAAAGAAAGAAAGAAAGAAAGAAAGAAAGAAAGAAAGAAAGAAAGAAAGAAAGAAAGAAAGAAAGAAAAGAAAAAAGAAAGGGAGGGAGGGAGGGAGGGACGGTAGGAAGGAATGAAGGAAGGAAGGAAGGAAGGAAGGAAGGAAGGAAGGAAGGAAATGCATTTATAGACATACTTACGTTATGCATGTTACTTACATGCATACTTCGAAGAATTACTTCAAAAATACTTTTACCTGGAATTCAGACTACTTTTTCTACAAACAACCATAGTTGTTAGTCTTATTTGTAGTATAGACAAATTTTGTTCAAGCTTCCTTTTTATGATGTATCTGAAATAATAAATTGTTTTAATGTCTTCTTTGAATATAAAAAATAGTAGTTCCAAAATTTATTATGTGTCATTTAGTTTGTGTTTGACTGAAAGATGAAAGTAGCTGTTATGTTTCTACTTATGGATAATAATTCTGTTACATTGTACTACAGATATTAAATTAATTTCTGACCACATGATGGAAGAGTCCAAATAAAATAAGCTATATAATTATTTAAATCACATATAGCCTTCACTGTATTTGTTTTCACTATAGGTACATTAAATTCCATTTTTATTTATTGTTTTTTTATTCTACATGTATTTCTAAATATCATTAGTTGTGGGCAATATAAAATTTTTTTGTTAAGAACATTTGAAGTCATAATTAAGTCACTCTATTGCCAAAGTAAAGAGAGGCTTCTGGTTATTTCTGCATTCCAAATTTCTCATGTTTAAAAATACAAAAGGACATTCTTAATAATGTTAATAATGTCACTAAGTTCTTAGGGAACGATAGAATGAAATTTACAGAGAAGTGTTTCATAACATTTTGTGAAGAAAATACTTTGTACCTAGGATTTATGATTTGGGAAAAAACTCAAAAATTTGTCTTTTACAAATGTTGGTGTTTGGTAGTCATCAGTAATTATCTTGACAGGGTATATGTTTATATTTTTAGCCTCTATATAGTCAAAAGTACAAGAAGCTTTCTCAAAACATTCTTATAAATTCTATGGTTTTGAATTTGGTAATGAAACAGAGCCCACAAGCCCCAAAGTGAAGCATAATCTTCTGGGTTCTTGGCTTTTCCCAAGAAAGAATTCAAAGGTAAGACAGAAGTAGAAGAAAACAGCTTTACTGAAGAGGCAGTGTTAAAGCTCCATGAGTGTTCCTGCAAAGCAGTGTGACCTCACAGGCAGAGTAGCAGCTCAGGGCAGTTTTTCAGTCATATTTGTGCCCACTTTTGATTGCATGTAGATTAAAGGGGAGTTCATGCAGAAATTTTTAGGCAAGGGGTAATAATCATTGGGTCATTGCCATGTAAAGGGGTGGTAACTCCTAGCTGTTGCCATGGCAATAGTAAATTGAAATGGCACAATGGTGGGCATGTCTGATTGAAAGTTGCTTTCACCCCAGGCGTGTGTTAGCTGTCACTCAATCTGGTCTGATGTCCAAGCCCTGCCTCTGGAGTTGAGTCCTGCTTCCTACCTCATTTCCCCCCTCACTGATTAGATACTCCTAAAGCTTAAGGGAGCTGCAGAGGCACAAAGGATCATTTTCTGTAACTTCTTCCTGCTGAGCTTATTGCAGTTGGCCCTGTCTAGCACTGGAGTAGTGAAAATCTCTGAATACCTGATCTAAGGGGCTCAAAGGCAGGTCACTCTTTCTGGGTCAGTAGACAGGATGGGTTGGAAGTCTTGTGCCAGCATTATTTTTACGTGGAACTCTTATAATCTAGAAGACACAAACCTTGCCAAGAGGTAAAACAAGCAAGGGCAAAAACATAATAACAACAAGATAACTATCAAAGGTCGTAGGAGAGGTAAAAAACAGGTGCTGGAAAAAGAGACAAATTTAAGTTTCTATTCCCACCCATAGCATCATGTTACCACTTCTGGCTGTGTTGATTCTTTTAAATAGGCAGTGGAAGTCCTCCAAAAGCTCACAGATATAGGTTATGGTGTTCTCCTGGACAGGTATATCTGACTAGGTATTCCCTGAAGTTTAACATGAGTGGGGGTACTCAATAACACCTGATAGGGGCCCCTCCATTTTGGTTGTAATTGATCTTCAGGGGATCCTTCTTTGCAAGTTTTTAGCAGGACTAAGTCTCCTGGTTGAATAGCAGGGAGACTTATTCTTTCCTTTGTGGGAGAGGGCAATATTTGGTTTCCATATGCTTGGAGGGCTTTTTGAACCTGGCGTAATTTTACATGGCTAAAAGTGAAAGTAAAAGACATTTACTCTCAAGATCTTTTGCTATTATTTATTGGTGAATTGCAAAGTTAAAATAATTCAAAGTTAAATAAACAAGTGAGTATTGTACTATTAGAATGCATACTTTAAATTGGCCTCAAATGTAAATATTGAAATTTAAAATAAGTATATTTAACTTAAAAGGTGAATATAAAATATTCTATACAGATAAAAACAATCAGAAAACTTTCACTGGGGACAGCGAATGCATGCACACGAACATGCACCCATCCACATGGATGAGAATAAGAAAAATGCAAGGTCAAAACAAACTTAGAAACTTACTTGAATGCCAAACTAAAGTTCACCTGGAAAGATATTCAAGTGTAAATCAGTGCAGGCTTTTTTTCTTGAAGCTGTAATCCCAGTGCATTGTTACCACATAGGGCCTTAATCATGTGGAATCAATAAATACAGATTAAAAGACATTTACTAGGATTCCAAATAAAGCCTCAAATCCTCTGCCAAGAGCGAGGAACTTTCTCACAAGATGTTTTATTTTTAACCTGGCAATCTGATATGAATCAACTTTTTTTTCATAAAAAAGGATCTTGATTTTAAGCTTCAGACCAAAGGGATTTCAAATTGCAAGAAAAGGAGGTATCAATAGTGTGCATGTTACGGTAACTAAAAATTCATTGTCTAATTCATAGTAATTCCTCAGTAAATATTTACTGAAAAATTTACAAAAAAGAAAGTGAAACAAAAACTTCCTTTAGCTCTCAAAAAAAGTCAGCTCACTAACAAATAGACATAATAATGAAGTAAGTCAACACACTTAAATCTCATGAAATAAAAAGTCATGTTTTATATAATTACTACTTGATTTCCTATATGTACTGTATGTATATTATCAAATCATTGATTGCTTAGACATTTCATGCTATGAAAAACCTTTTAGCAATAATATGTATTTCTAGTTGTTGATTGAAATGTGTATGTATAATGATTCTACCTGTACAGGTTGATAATCATGGAATTATTTTGCCAATTTCAGAGAATAATTTATTAAACATTTATTTAATTAGTGTTATGCTTTTCTGAGTAGTGTTTTCACTGGAATAAAACAAATGTTATTTTACTTAACTTTTTTTATTTGCGAAAGAAGCAGAGTACATTGGAAAGTTCTTTGTCAGACAGACCTAAGTTCAGACCCCTCTTTCTTATTTCAGCTTTATATATTTTTCAGAAAGCTACTTAAACTTTTTAAATTTCAGGTTAGATATTATTAAATTTTTATGATTGGAGATAATGTATGCTTAATATCTAGCACAGTTTCTGGCACATATTTTTGTGTCAAAATATTAGTTACGTGTGCTCTGAGTGGAAAATAGGGATGTTGCAATGCATTTTCGATGATTAACTTGCAAAATCAATCATAAATGAAAAAAATTGGTAGCTATACAGATAGAATTTTAAGTCACCCAGTGAAATCACTTTCCTGGAAAAGCTAACTTCCTGATTACATAAGATGAAGACGTGTAGCATTTCTTGAACATGTACTGTTTGTCAAACATATTTGAAATTGAAGTCATCATCAAGGAACAGGAATTTTAAAGAAGTGTTTAGTCAGGTCATTGTATGCTCAAAAATATTTCTGAAAATAAAAATACTAAATTTGATATTTAATTTATTATTTGTATTGAGAATATTACTGCTGTAAATATTTATTTTCAACATATCAATCTGTAACTTCTATGGCATATTGTTGGCTTACAAAATCTCTACAAATCTCAGATACTGAATGTTGAAAAAAGTCAATGACATGTTTTTGTATCCAATTAGATAGTACAAATTTTGTTAGTTGCTACTGCATTTGTGACTGTAAGGGTTATTGTCATGAGAAATATAAATAATCATGATTAAAAACTGTATGAATTAGTAGAAAGATAAGACATTCCTTACAAAGTGATTCAGATCGTGGGCATCTCAACTTTCATTAACAAGGACTGAAAAAAAAAGAGTTATATTCTTAGAATGATACTCCTACAAACACCACATAACACTGCAAAGGGCCAGGTGTTTATAATAATTGGATTTTCCCATGTCCTCCTAGATGAGAAAATAATGATAAATTACATGTTAACAGTTTTATTAAAATATAATTGAAAGGAAGTAAATTGTATGTAAAATGTACAATTTGATAAGTTTTGACAGAATATACACTTGTGCAACCAACACCACAATAAAAAATCTATCACTCCCAAATGTTTCCTTGTGCTTGTTCCTAATCCTTCCCTTCTGCCACTTCATGTTCCCACCATCTACATACAATACTGATACGTTTGCTTCTACTGCATATTAGTTTGTATTCTTCTAAAATTTTACATAAATAGGATTATACAGTATGTACTTTTTGGTGGTGGAGGGATTTAATTTCTTTCACTCAGCATAATAATTTCAAAATCTGACCATGTATGTCAGTATTTTCTTTTTTTTGCTGAGCAGTATTACATTTTTGTGTATTTATTTATGAGTTTACAGACATTTGAGTTGTTTCTTGTTTGGACTACTAAAAATAAGACTATTTTAAATATTCATATGCAAATATTTTTATGGATATCTGCTTCATTCTTCTTCAGTAAGTAGGAATAGAATGGCTAGTATATACAGTAAGTGTATATATAACTAAAAAATCTGCCAAGTAGTTTTCCAAATTGGTTGAGCCATTTACATTCTCACTAACAATGTAAGAGATTTCCAGTTCCTCTGTATCTTCACCAACATTCAATAGAAACATGCTTTTTACATTTAGTCATTTTCTATGCCCATGAGTTTAATTGATTTGATTTTTATATCCCACAAATAAATGAGAAGATACAATGGTTGTCTTTCTGTGCCTGGCTTATTTCACTTAACATAATTATCTCCAGTGCCATCCATGTTGTTGCAAATGATGCGATCTCATTTTTTATTGTGACTTAATAGTACTCCATTATGTATGTGTTCCACATTTTCTTTATCCAGTCATCTGTTGATGGACACTTAGGGTGCTTTCACACAGTAGAAGATTGCCAGAGGCTGGGCAGAGTAGTGGGGGGAGGTTGTAGGGGAGTGGTGGGAATGGTTAATGAATACAAAAAATAGAATTAACAAGACTTACTATTTGATAGCACAATACAGTGACTATAGTCAATAATAACACAATTATATATTTTAAAATAACTTAAATAATGTAAATGGATTGTTTGTAACTCAAAGGATAAATGCCTGAGAAAATGGATACCCCATTCACCATGATGTGCTTATTTCATATTGCATGTCTATATCAAAACATCTGATGTACCCCATAAATACATACACCAACTATGTATCCACAAAATGTTTTAAAGATAAAAATAAATGTCATTTTAATAACATAATATTGGCATTTTAATAAGTTTAATTCACATCCCCTAATGCTTAAACATGTTGAGTATCTTTTTATGTATTATATGCTATCCTTATATTTTTAGCTAAATATTTGTCTATAACACATCCTTTGTCCATTTTAATTATCTCATTTTTATATTGTTGAGTTTTGATAAGCTTTTATATATTCTGGAGGTTTTACATTAGATATATGATTTGAAAAAACCGTCTCCCAGATTGTGGTTTGTCTTTTCAGTCTTAGTGTCTTTACAGAAACGTAAGTGATTCAGGTCATTTTGGAATTTGAGTTTGATGTAGTAAATTCATTCTTGTAAATACAAAACCAATTACTTCTGGAAAGAATATTAAACTGTATATATACCTTCCACACCTGTGTATATAAACAATGTAAGAATGGATTGCAAAAGTGGCAGAAAAGCTTTTCTAATTGACTAGAGTAAAAACCATATCAAGAGCTTACAGAAAAATAATTTTATAAACAATTACTTGCCAAAGAAGGCTACATTCTGGAATTATTAAATGTAAATGAATTCTCGTGTGTTCTAAAACTCACATTTTTTGGAATTTGGTATAAATATTTCCATAAGAGCTTTGTATAAATGTGTGTTGTTAAAGCTGGTTATCTAATATTAATGATGGATATCAGTAGTATTGATGATGCCTTTGAGTCACATCAGGGCTCTGAAACCTAAATCACTGTGAGAAGGTTCTATTTTCCCCAATACCAATTCTTTTCACTAAAGTCTACAAGAAGGGTATATCAAGACTTGTGTTAGTAATGTCTTTAGGTGACATTATTTCTACGAAAATTAGGGCAGAAGACACCTAAGTCATGTTATTTCCTAAAAGCGATTAACATCATGCATGGATCATTTCTCAACTGAGTGTTTAGGACTGTAATTTCCTGGATAGCCTGAATATCATCAATAGAATGCCTTCCATAGTGGGCTTTAGAAGATAAGTGTCTGACAGGAATGGAAATAGATGTATCTATTCACCCTTATATCTTCCATTTTCATTATCTAAGGACACTTTTAACAATGGATAGACACAATTTCATTGAATAATAACATTTTTAGACTGAAAAAATTAAACAAAGTATAAAATAAGTATAATATTTACTGTTTTTGGAATGCGTGAATTATACAACATGTATATAGACATAGAAGCCATTCTTATGGAAAAGAAAAATCTAAGTTATAACTAGCCCGTAAGTATTTTAGTCTATATTTTGCAATTTTTAATTGTGGCTGTGTGGCCTCATAACTAGAGACACAGGGTTCACATATTTATGTGTGAAGAAAAGAGCAGAATTAATCCTTTGGGGGAAGCAATGGTGTTTCCTGTTTTATCACCTCCTATGCCCTGCCTCAATTTTTTTATTTTAATTGAAGAGAATCAACTCTGTGCTGGTACCCTCAGGGAATGAGAGAATAACAAAGAAAAGAATCATATACAGCAATAAGTAATCACAAAGAATATGTTTATTACCGGAAATAATAAAATTGACAAAGATAAGCAATGTTGGCTACAACTAATAATAAATGACCATGTGATATTTTTATAACTACAAAAATAAAAAGATTTTAAATGGCTTAGAACTGAAAGACTAAACATTCTTGTTTGTGTAGAACAATCCCAGTTAACCCTTTTTCTTCTGGCATACCATTAAGCTTAGCAGTTGTCCTATGCTTCCTTGGTTTCCTAATAAAATAATATTAATGATTGCAATTAATAAGCCAAGATGTGATTAGTACATCTTCAGTTTATATTTTAGTCATCCACAATAGTTTCAAATACTAAAGTGCTAGTCACACTATAGTGAGCACAAGTCTAAAATAATACATGCATAAATCTGAGGCAATCAAGATAGTCTTTTTCTCTTTTAACCAAAACATACTAACATTTGCAAAAAGGAAAAAAACTTAACACTAGTAAACCTCATCAAATCCTGACTATTAAAATTATGTCTGAAAAAGTTCAGAATGTACTAAAGCCTTTATGAAACTCTGACTACAAGAACAAATATAATGGACAAGGGTTAATCAGCTGTTACATGATCCCAGTGTTTATAGCTGTGATTTCTTCTCTGTTTTGTGATGTGATTTTGACTCCTTTCTTCAAACTGATTCCATCTACTTTCAATACTTGGTGGAAATTTTCAAAATTTCTGATGTATTTATGTACTATTACACTGTACAAAGTGTCTCTTTTTGTATTCTAATATTATTATAAATACCTTATTTTTAATATTCATCTTCTATAATGTCTTAAGATTTTGATATAAAATGGTGAGTTTGTGGTCTATCAGGTAGCAAGATCAATTAATACTTAGAAATCTTCATCTACTGCAGATTTATATGGAAGCATGGCATGTTCTTATTTAGATAATTTTCTAACTAGTAGAGAATCAAGCTTGAAGTTCTTGTATAATTCAGAGATGAGGTACTCAGGAGAAATTAGCACAAACCCTGGGACTTCTTCTTAGTTCTGCAACTCCCTGTATGGTCTTCTCTGCAAGAATCAATTGGCCTCTCTGGCCAATATTTCTTAACCTGGACTATCTTTAAGTTTCTTTGATATTAATATTCAATATATCTTTGACACTAGTCTAACCTCAACAAATTATATTTAAAAAATCATAGTATTGGTGCCATAAGTTTCACTATTTTTTTCATAAAAGTAAAATCTGTCCCAAATTCAGAATAAAAAGTTTTGTAAAAGTCAAAACTGTAATCCAGGTTTCTGTATTGTATTATACTGAGTAAAGCTTTATTTGTGCCTGTTTAGGAATCTTAAATGACAGTCAATGTTAACACAAATGACAATTTGGGACAATCACTTTGGATGCAGTGGTTTGCAATGGACAGATACTTTTTCCAGCACTCTTCACACTCTCTTAAGGTCCTGGGGAGATTAATGAGGCTGTTTTAGCTGCATGCCAGTAGGGACATGTCTGAAAGTTCAATTCAGGCTATGGGGACTCAGAGATTTTAGGGAGAGCTGCTCTCTTGAAACCATATAATACTTTGCATCTTAATTAACATAAGGACTACTGGGAGTCAATTAACACCAGTTATATACTTTTGTGGGCGTTGATTATGTGCTGTTTCACTTGAGGCTCCATTTAATCTGAAGCACAAGGATATTTGCATACTGAGTTTAGATCATGAGGTAACAGGGGATAAATAAGGCTCTTCTTTCTCATATTCTTAACACTTCCCTGCTCAAAGCCTGGGCCACAGGCCAGCAGCACCAGCAGCATCTGGGAGTTTGTTAGAAATGCAGAATCTTAGGCCTCACTCAAGTCCCATGGAATTAGCAAATGCATCTTAACAGGATCCCCAGGTGATTTGAGTGCACATTCAGGTTTGAACAGCACTGCTCTGAAAGGTGCGCAGAGAGAATTCTATTGCATTCTAATTTCCTAATACCATTATATTATCATTCTATTGTGTTTGATTTTCATAGCTATTTACTGTCATTTCAGTTTATTTTTGTTTCCTACTTTTATCACTTATCTATAAAATTGGGATCTCTCATGATGGTTTCACAACTCTAAAAAGTGTTCTCATGCAGAGCACTATGTCTGTAATCCTTAAAATACAGGTTTTGCTAAGGCTTTGTTTAATTTGGATCCCAATATGGTGTAAAATGCACATCATATTATTTTTAAAGTCTCTTGATATAAGTATTCATTTAAAAATTTCATGACTGCATTTTTTGCTTTATTGGCCCTTCTTGAAATACAAGCAAGATTAATTTTACTGTAGCAGCAGTAATTGCCTAGGTTAACACATCTAACAACTTGGTTGAGCTATTTATTATGGTCCATGATCGCTCATTCTAATAAATAAAAATTGGTTGATGTGCATTTCTTCTGATAAAAAGCTAAGCAAATAAATTCTTGAGCAAACGAGGAGAAATAGCCCATTTAAAATTACTTTTATTCATTTGGAAGGAAATTTAAAAACATAAAGTACATTTGTTCAACACTTTCTGCACACCTTTCAAGACTACTAATTATATCTTTCAGATATTAACAATGGATTTAGGCATAGATGACATTAAAATTTGTCTCAATTTTTTCATATTACCAGGGCCTTTATAGTACTCTGTATTTAGTATATATTACTATGTTGTTTTTGTATCTGAGGTGACAAAATCACTGCAAGCAACATATTATTATTTTACACTTAATTTACATCCCAGTTGTGAAAGGAAACAGAAAATGTTGACATGGTAGCTGTAAAATAATTTTTAATAGAATAAAATGTCTATAAAGCAAAAAAATGAGACAATGCAACCAATGATCCACTGTTGAAAGGCAGTTAGGATTTCTTTTTTCCATCTGAGATGTAATTCAAGACAGTTGTTAAGCCAAGTAAAATCCAATTACTTTGTCTAGCTAATCATCAACTACCTCTCAACCATATGGGTGCTTATAGCAGTATTCTAAGTTTATGTAATCTTCTTAGCAGAATGAAAGCAGGCCAATATTGCAGGCTAATTCAGGACAGTGCTGCTTTTGGAAATATTTATCGATGCTTGTGCTTTGAATACCTGTTATTTTTTAAAGGGTGTATTAGTTTCCTCTGACTACTATAACAAACCACCACAAATGTTGTGGGTTAAAGCCACAGAACTTCATTTTCTCTTAGTTCTGGAGGCCAGAAGTCTGCAATCTATACTACTGAACAAAAATCACATTGTTATCAGGGCTGCAATCTCTCCAGAAACACTAGGGGAGAAGCCATTCTTTGCCTTTTCCATCTTCTGGTGGCTGCCAGCATTTCTTGGCTGCTGGCTATATCATACTAATCTTCAAAATGAGCATCTTTAAATCTATCTGCCTTGTCAAATCTCCCCATACCTCTCTGTTTTGAAGACAAATGTGATTGCATTCATAATCCACCTGGATCATCTAGGATAACCACCCCATTTCAAGATCCTTACTCATGTCCCAAAGACTTTGCCTTATATGGTCACATACACAGGTACCAGAGGCTAAGACATAAATATTTGGGGTGGGGGAGGGGAATCATTTTTTATCCTACCACCAATAGTAATGGAGAAAATTCTTAGAATTTTTGGCTTTTCAACTTAGACTGCTTTTTTTTTTTTTTTTTTGACGGACTTTTGCTCTTTTTGCGCAGGCTGGAGTGCAATGGCCCAATCTCAATTCACTGCAACCTCTGCCTCCTGGGTTCAAGCTATTCTCCTGCCTCAGCCTCCCGACTAGCTAGGATTACAGGCATGTACCACCATGCCCGGCTAATTTTGTATTTTTAGTAGAGACAGTGTTTCTCCATGTTGGTCAGGCTGGTCCTGAACTCCCGACCTCATGTCATCCGTCTGCCTCGGCCTCCCAAAGTGCTGCGATTACAGACATGAGGCACTTTGCCTGGCCTAGACTACTATTAAACAAATGTGTTAACTTTATGATTCTGGAAAATGTTGAAGTTTTCATTTTATTCTTACTGTTAGCACTCAACATAATGTCAGGATATTTCTGCATGGTGAAAATCTTCACATGCTAAGATATCTCAATGTCTGATTCTCTGAATATGAATTTGAAGAAACATCTATTCACATAGTTCTTTCCAATAAGCAATTTGAGCTTCAAAGACAGCTGAGACACTGCTAAATTTGTCCATCTTTAGAACAGAAACACTGTAACTGTTAGGTTATAAAATTGTATCAGATCTAGAGAAAAATCTCTTTGAATTATTTAACTTCACAAATGTTGAAAGTCTAGCAATGTGTTCTCAAAAACACGTTACATAAACAACTCTATTAGAGCTACAAGTCATAGGATAAAGCACTCAGCATAACGGTTGTTTTTTTTGTTTTCTCTTTATAAACATCATTGACACTTCTATGGAAGTAACTAGAAAGTCAGTATAAAATTCTGTTTCACAGATTCACAAAATATTTTTCTGTCATATCATGGAAATACCTAAATGTCTCTAATATACAAGATTTAATTCATGCATTCTGATTTATTCTTGTAGGTGAAGAATTGATAACTGTATGTGTTGAGAGGCAAAATGGAAAAATATAACATTAATATTGTGCCATGGGCTGTTCACTTATGATCTTTTGTGAGAATCTAAGAATTGAGACTGAAATCTGTACTTTCTACTGATTGCCACATGATTTCAGACTCATTAGAGTAGTATTTTGGTAGATGATATCCTAACAAAATTAGCAGTGGTATATTCTTGGCAATATGTAAATGTTTTAATTAAACTTCATTTTGAATAAGACTTTTCTTACCTACTCCATTTTTAATGCATAAAAGATAACAGCTGTGGACACTGGCATACAATACAGCCCTTTCCGGTGAGGAAGATAAGGGCTCCAAACACAATTACCTCTTTGCTGTCTAAGCAGTGACTCACCTTCACAGAGTTCAGTGTCCTATTTGTACAGTGGAAATGGTAGAAAAATTAAACATGATCTAAATGCAAATGATTTAGCATGCATCCTATCTGACATATTGATATTGTAGGAGCCAGTTAATGTTAGTGTCCTTCTGTTTATGTCCCTAAAGTTGTTTAACTAATGAATTATGTGGATCTTAAAATCAACCTTAGCTCCAATTTCTACTGGGGAATTCAAAGAACTGAAAAGATCACCAACCAGTCATAAAAAAAAAGAAAGAAACAAAAGAAGTTACAAATTGTAAACCTTTTTTTGAACTCATTAAATAGATAGGATAACCTGTAATCTTGAGGAGACTGGTTCAATAGTGAGCGAGGGATGCAAGTATTTGCTTACTCAAAATAATGTAGCTGGATATTAATAAGAAGAATTGAGCTAGAAGAATTAAAGAACTAGTGAAGTTTGAAGGCAGGCCATTGTGAGAATGTGAAAAGTTGAGTACTCTCTTTCAGGCTATCCCCAATTACACCATCAGAGAATAATAGGAGAATCCTGAAAAAGTTGCATACTTAGTGCCAGCCTTGGGAAAGGGGAATAGCAGCAACTGAGTAAGAGACAGAAAACTTCTCCCTGTCCTTTATCTCTTACCTCCTCAAAGCAAGGGAGCCCCAGTTTTCTGGGAAAATGTCAGTAAAAATTGGTGTCTTTGTGGTAGCTGAAACATGAAAACAAACAAACAAAAAATACCATTATCCCTGAGAAAACGGAAGGAATATTAACTGGGTCCAGACACAGAGTTGGAAGAGGGTCAGAGACACTTGGTAAGTTTTCACTTTCAAGAAAGCAGAACAAATTACCTGCTTAAAATTGAGGCTTAATCAAAATATACCCCTCTCCCATCTCTACCACCAGTCAAGAAAGCATCAACTAAAATTAACAGTACAATACTGCTCTGATAGTGGCAAGAGAGAGACTGTCTCTGAGGCATAACACAAAGGAAAAATCTAATGCTAAGATAGAACAGACATTGAGAAAATATTATGGCCAAGCAATGAATACAATGTATTGCTAGAGCAATTTGAAGCCTGTAATACAATGAGGGTGAGAATAGTGACATTAAACCTCAAAGATAACCCAACTCCTTTACAAGAATGATGCAAATCTTCACACTAAAGTCATAGCAGATGAAAAGATGAGACCATTTGTTAAGCCATAAACCTACTTACTTCTTTTTTACTGTCTTAAACAAAATGTACAACAAGAAAATGACAAGGTATCTTTGGGAGAAATAAAATAACTAGGTAATATGTTGAAGACTGTAATGAAAAAGGTGAACAATATGTAAGAACAGATGGGCAATTTCAGCAGAAGGAATCAAAAGGTAATTACAGGAATAAAACACAGTAACCATAATGAAGAATGCTTTCAATGGGCTCTTCAAATAGCAACAATTTAATGTACATTTATGTAGAATATATAAAAATAAAATATATATAAACAATAGTGAAATAATGAGAAGGAGGTAGCAGGACTATATTATGAGAGAATTTCACTACAAGTGGAGAAGTATGATGTTATTTGAAGGTAGCTCTGTTCAACAAAAATGCATAAGTAAACATTAATTAATAAATTGTTATTAATAATAAACATATATGAGATAAAATGGAGTCATAATAATTCAAAATGCAGAAATGGAGGATAAAAATCCTATGAACAGATAAATAAATAGAAAGGAGCAAGCAATGTTGTAGATTTTAATCAAAATATATCAATTATCACGTTAAATGTGAAAGATCTAAAGAGACAAATTAAGGATAGAAAACTGTCAGAATGGACCATAAAATGCACAATCAACTATATGTTGTATACTAAGTATCTACTTTAATTATAAATGCATAGATTAGTTTGCAGCAAAGGGATGGGAAAAGATATATTATGCAATCCCAACCAAAAGACAGCCAAAGTAGTTACATTGATATCAGACACAGTAGACTTCAGAACCAAGAACATTTTCAATGGAACAATCTATCAGAGGAATACACATAATGATAAATGAAGTCTCTTTTTTAAGAAAAAAAATAATAATTATAAACAAGCAAGTACCTAACAGCAGTTCTTCAAAATACATAGCATTATAACTCATAAAACTCAGAGGAGAAATAAACAAATCTACAATAGTACTTGAAGTCTTCAACATGGCTATTTCAATAAAGACTAATGTTATATAGCGAGAAAAAAAGTAATCCTTACTGGGTGTAGAGAACAAGGAGAAGGAAAGGGTTGACTACAAAGAAGTATGACAAAAAAATAGGGATTAAAACTAGCAGAGTTAGCAATTCTGAAACTAATTCATCTATATAGTAAGGTTTTTTAAAATAAGTAAATGTGTAATAGGTGACAGCCAGATTTCTCATTGTCAGAGGAAGAAGTTACAAATAAGGAAAAAGAGAAGACTAGAACGTGCCAGAAAGGAGACATATCCTTTCAGATTTCTAATTATTGGGGTTGGATTCAGAAATGATTAGCCATGAGTCATCAACACATTTTAAACACTTAGCTCTCATTTAAGAAGGAAACGCTTTGGCAGGGCACAATGGCTCATACCTGTAATCCCAGCACTTTGGGACGCCAAGGCAGGCAGATCACCTGAGGGCGGGAGTTCAAGACCAGCGTGACCAACATGGGGAAACCGCGTCTCTACTAAAAATACAAAATTAGCCTGGAATGGTGGCACATGCCTGTAATCCCAGCTACTTGGGAGCCTGAGGCAGGAGGATTGTTTGGACCCGGAAGGTGGAGGTTGTGGTGAGCCAAGATCGCACCGTTGCACTCCCAGCCTGGGCAACAAGAGTGGAACTCCATCTCAAAAAAAAAAAAAAAAAAAAAAAATGAAAAGCTTTGTCCTCTTCATTTTTCCTTTTTTCTTTTTTTCTTACATTTCAACTTTTAGATACGAGGGTACATGTGTAGATTTGTTTTATGAGAACATTGTGGGATGCTGAGGTTTTGAGTACAGATTCCATCATCACTTTGGTAGTGAGAAAGTACCTGGTACATAGGTTTTTACTCCATTCCCTCTTCCTTCACTATATAGTAGTGTCCATTATTGTTCCTATATTTATTTCCATGTGTGTTCCTATCTTTATTTCCATGTGTGTTCAATACTTAGTTCCCACTTATAAGTGAGAACACTCTTTTTTAAAAAATAATGAACAGAAGAGACTTGTATGTCTTATTTTCATATTTCATAGGCAACTTGATTACTCTAAATTTAGATTGGATAAAAGCATGAGGTTAAAGTCAAAGGAAGTCTCACACTATAACCAAAACAAATGAACTAGATAGATAGTAAAAGTATTTCCAGAATGATATTATAAGATTACTTTGGTTGGATTTTACAAGGTATTTTTTAGGTTCTTTCTTTCATCAAACATCCTGAAACACTTAACTAATACAAAACTGCCTCCGCAAAGCCATCATAATTCTTACACTCCCTTCTTGTTCCCTGAGAAACAAAAAGTATCTGAATATTTGTGTTGGAAATTATGTTTTTGTTGTATAGTTCTGTGTCCATTTCCAATAAAGATTTTTTTAATTACTGACTTTGTATTTTATTTAATGACTTGTATTACGGAAGAGAAATATAAGAATTTGTAAATTACAAATATGCTAATTTTCCATGTTGAAACTTACCTTTCAAAAAAGTCAGCATATTCACTTATATATGCAGTCATGAATTCACAAACATAGAAAAGACTTTGCATCAATTACTGCAGTTCACTAGTAATTGCTTCACTTGATAGATATAATTTACCATCCATCAGCAGTTGTAGCATTTACATTTTAATGTAATCCTTGAAGCGATAAATACATCCTTAATCAGGGTTAATGTAATACAATTACAAAATAAACATTTGATTAGTACATTTAAATTTCAATGTAATAAGTAACTACCAAGTTAATTAGTAAGGAAAGTGAATTTGATGCAGGTCTTTAGTTGAGGTAATTTAATATTATACAGAAGACTGGAGCTCATGCTGGGGGATGCTGTTTGTTTTTTATTTTTATTTTTTGAGAAACTCTATGAATAAAATTATTAATTAAAATTTGAAAGAAAATCAGAAAAACAAGTTTTCTTGGGATTATTTTTTTCTTCTAAATGTGCCATTCTTCAATATAAAATAAACAAAATATCTAATAACAATTTATTCAGAAATAATTCAAACATACAGATAATGAAGGCTAATAACTGAATCTAATAATAACAGGCAGGCGACATCTAAATACGTGATGGAGCCAATAAATGTTTACCTTTACATAATGTCACATACATTAATGTTTATTCTTCCCTGTCACTCTAAACTTTCTTTACCCAACACCGCTCTTTTGGAGGATTCATCTGTGGGTTACTTTATCTAAAAGCTCTCTGCCAATTCTTACCTCCCAAATAATGCCCATATTCCTTTCCTATATTGTTTGTTCATATTGATTTTAAGGAAATTCAAAACAAGATGAGATAATTGGGTAATTGGAAAGTGAGATGAAATTTATGATTAGTTTTTTTTTCTTGCTAATAATAGGGAACAACAACAACAAAAATGAGGAGGATTATTGAAAGTCTTTTATGTTCCACTGTGTTGTCAAAATATTGTCTAAGTTAGCATGTGGCATTAATAAATTGAACGCAAATGCTCTATTCTAAAAAAAATAGTTAAAATATTTTTGAAAAACTTACTGTGGACTAACCCACATTTTTAGAGATGCATTGATACAGCTCAAAATAAAATTTTCTTCACAGACTCTAAAACAGAGGAAAAAATGTGAAAGGAAATTATAAATATTTCAGTTTTTTTTGCTTTTACAAAATAATAAACATTATTTAATATTTTAGCTATTTCTCAACTAAAAATGATCTCCTAGGGAAGTGAAGCAAGATGACTTAATGGAACCCTTCAGTAATCATTGCCACAGCAGGAACACGAAAGTGAACAACTATCCACACAAGAAAGCACCTTCATAAAAACCAAAAATAAGATGAGTGATCACAGTACCTGATTTTACCATCATATCAAGAAAAGATGCACTGAGGAGGGTAGAAAAAACAGTCTTGAATTGCCATCACCACCCTTCCCCTCTGTCCCCCATCCCCCAACTCCCCACAGCAGCCACAATGCACAGAGAGGGAATTCACATCCCTGACATGCCTGGGAGAGGGAGAGTGTGGTGATTGTGGGACCTTGCACCGGAACTCATCACTGCCCTTTCACAGCAGAAAGCAACACAGGGCAAAATTAAGGTGGCACTTACAGAGTGAGAATTTAGGCTAGCCTTTGTCAGAGGAGAATCATCCATCACAGTGGTTAGAACTTGAGTTCTGGCTAGCCACACCACTATGGGATAAAGTGCTCTGGGGTTCTAAATAAACTTGAAAGACAGTCTAGGTGACAAGGACTGCAACTGCTAGGCAAGTCCTGGTTGTTCTGGGCTCAGTGCCAGTGACCTTGGAGAGCATATAACCTACTAAGACATGAGCTGGGGCAGCCAAGGGAGTGCTTATGTCACTCCTCCCCCAACGCCAGGCAAAACAGGTTGAAGCTCCTGAGAGAGACTCCTTCCTTCCACTTGGGAAGAGGGGAGGGGAGGGTAAGGAGCACTTCTTGCAACTCAGATATTAGCTCAGCCACAGCACAACAAAGCAAGAAGTAGACTCATAAAGTTTCTAACTCCAGGACCTAGCTGCCAGACAGCATTTCTAGACCCATCCTGGGCCAGAAGGGAACTTGCTGCCATGAAGCAAAAGACACAAGCTGGGCTAGATTCACCACTTGCAGATTAAAAGCCCCTTGACCTTGAATAAACATTAGCAGTAACCAGGCAACAGTCACCACAGGCCTTGGGCCAAATTCTATATTATGCTGGCTTCAGGTCTGACCCATAACAGTTACAATGGTGATGGCCAAAAGGGTACTTTGTCTTCCCTCCCCCAACTCCAGGTAGCTCAGCATGGAGAGAGACACCCCATTTATTTGGGAGTAAACTAAAAGAAGAGAACAAGAGCCTCTGCCTGATAATCCAGGGAATTCTCCTAGATCTTACCTAAGACCCCCAAGGTGGAAGTTCTACAAGAGAAACAGCATAACTGCCCTTTGGGTGTCGCCTAATGCAGATACAGCTTCAGTGACTAAATAGTTAGATTACAACACTCAATTCTCTTTGAATACTTGGAAAGCCTTCACAAGAAGTATGGATACAAACAAATCTACACTGTGAAGATTAAAATAAACACCTCATTCTTCAATGCCCAGACATCAGCAAATATCCATAAGCATTAAGACCATCCAGGAAAACCAACCCTCAACAAAAAACTAAATAAGGCACCAGTGATCAATCCCAGAATGACAGAGATGTAAACTTTCACACAGAGAATTCAAAACAACTGCCTTGAGGAAACTCAGTGATCTTCAGGATAACACAGAGAAGGAATTCAGAGTCCTATTAGACAAATTTAACAGAGATTGAAATAATTTTAAAATGAAGTAGAAATTCTAGAGCTGAAAGATGCAATTAACATGCTAAAGAATGCATCAGAGTCTCTCAATAGCAGAACTGGTCAAGCAGAAGAATGAATTAGTAAGTTTGAATACAGGTTATTTGAAAATACACAGTAAGAGGGGACAGAAAAAAAAGAATAAAAAAGAATAAAACACACCTACAAGATCTAGAAAATATGCTCACAAGGGCAAATCTAAATTATTGGCCTTAAAGAGGAGGTAAAGAGAGAGATAATGGTAGAAGGTTTATTAAAAGGGAAGCAAGAACTTCTCAAGCCTAGAGAAAGGTATCAATATACAAGTATAAGATAATTATAGAACACTAGGCAGATTTAAATGAAAGTAGACTACCTCAAGAATTTTAATGGTCAAACTCCCAAATGTCAAGGATAAATAAAAGATCATAAGGCAGCAAGAGAAAAGAAACAAATAAAAAACAAAAGAGCTCCAATATGTCTGGCCGCAGACTTATCTATAGAAACTTCAGAAGCCAGGAGAGAGTGACATGGCATATTTAAAGTACTGAAGAAAAAAACAACAAAAAAACCCCTTTTAATTCTGGAATAGTATATGCAGTGAAAATATCCTTCAAACTTGGAGAGATACTTTCTCAGACAAACAAAAACTGAGCAATCTCATCAACACTAGAACTGTTCCACAAGAAATACTAAAAAGAGTTATTCAATCTGAAAGTAAGGGATGTTAATGAGCAATAAGAAACATATGAAGGTACAAAACTCACTGATAATAATAAGCACACTGACAAGTAGAGAATATTACAACACTGTAATTATGTTGTGTAAACTACTCATATCTTCATTAGGGATATTTTTCAAAAAAAACTGGCAATTTTTCAAGATATAGATGGTATAATCAGATAAATAGACAAAAAATAAAAATCAGGGGAAATAAAGTTAAAGTGTAGTTTTTATTACTTTTCTAACTGCTTGTTTGTTTCTTTTTGCAGTGTTGTCACCAGTTTACCATAAGGAGTTATAAGCTGTTTTTTCAAACCTCATGGTAACCTCAAACCAAAAACCTACAATATATATACATAAAAAATACAAAAAATAAGATATACTACCAGAAAAAATCATCTTCATAAAAAGTAAGACAAGAAGGAAAGAAGGAAGAGAAGACTCAAAACAACCAGAAAATAAATACCAGAATGGCAGTAGTAAATCTTGATCAATAATTACATTAAGTGTAAATGGGTCAAACTCTCCAATCAAAAGTCACAGATTGGCTGAATGGATAAAAATAAAATTTCAACTATATGCTACTTACAAGAAACACACTTCACCTATGAAGACACATGTAGACTAATAATAAATAGGTGGAAAAAAATACTCCATGCAAATGGAAACCAAAAAGTGCAGGAGTAGCTAAACTTATATCAGATAAAATCAATTTTTAATATAAAAACAATAAAAAGAGACAACATTATTACATATTAATATAAGGGTCAATTCAGCAAGAGACTATAACAATTTAATAGCCACCCAACACTGAACCACCAAGATATATAAAGCAAATATTATTAAAGTTAAAGAGAGAGATAGACCTCAGTACAAAAATAGCTGGAGACTTCAACATCTACTTTTCAGCATTGGACAGATCATCCAAACAGAAAGTCAACAAAGAAACAGTGGACTTAAACTGCACTATAGACCAAATGGACCTAATATATATTTACAGGACTTTTCATCCAATGGCTGTAGAATAAACATTCTTCTCATCATGTGGAGCATTCTAATGGATAGACCATATGTTAGACCACAAAACCAGTCTTAAACATTCAAATATATTGAAATAATATCAAATGCCTTCTCTGACCACAATGGAATAAAACTACAAATCAATAAAAACAGATACTTTGGAAACTATACCTACACATGGAAATTAAAAAATATGCTCCTGAATGACCTGAATGTCAATAAAGAAATAAAGAAGACCATTTAAAAAAATTGTAACACAAACTATAATAGAAACATAGCATACCAAAATGTACAGGACACAACAAAAACAGTACTAAGAGAGACTTTTATAGCTATAATAAATAACCTAATGATGCATCTTAAAGAGCTAGAAAAGCAAGAGCAAGTCAAACACAAAATTAGAAGAAAAGAATTAACAAATATCAGCAGAAATAAATGAAATTAAAATTTAAAAAACCCCAAAAGATCAACAAAAAAAAATTTTGTTTTTTGGAAAGATAAAAATTAAAAAAAAAAAAAAACTTAGCCAGACTAAGAAAAAGAAAAGAAGACCCAGATAAATAAAATCAGAGAGGATAGAGGAGACATTATAATTGATACCACAGCAATTCAGAAGGTTATTAGAGAATACTATGAGAAACTATATGCCAATAAATTTAAAAATCTAGAAGAAATGGATCCATTTCCAGACACATGCAAACTACCAAGATTGAAATGTGAAGAAATCCAAAACCTGAATAGACCAATAACAAGTCATGAGATCAAAATCATAATAAAAGTCTCCTAGAAAAGCAAAGCCTGGGAGCTGATGACTGCACTGATAAATTTTACCAAACATTTAAAGAACTGATACCAATCCTCCTCGAAGTATTCTGAAAAACAGAGGAAGAGGGAATACTAGAAGCTTATTTTATGAAGCCAATGTGAGCCTCACAGCCTGATACCAAAACCAGAAAATGACACACCAAATAAATAAATAAAACTACAGGCCAATATCTCTGATAAACATTGATGCAAAAATCCTCAATAAAAGTACTAGCTAACTGAATTCAGCAACACCTTAATAAGATCACTCCTCATGACCAGGTGGGATTTATCCCAGGGATGCGAGGATGGTTTAATATACACTAATCAATCTATATGATACATCGTGTCAACAAAATGAAGGACAAAACCCACATGATTATTGCAATTGATGCTAAAAAAGCAAAGGATAAAATTCGCATCCGTTCATAACAAAAACTCTCAAAAACTAGGTAAAGAAGAAACATACCTCAACACAATACTTTTCATATTAGATTCACTTCATTTGGTTATAGCCTTCTTAGGGCTCTGGTTATTCACAACTTCTGGGTGTCATTACAAGAGAAAGGTTAGTGAAAGTAAATATAGGGTCTCAGTGCTCTAGTTGGTCCACATTCCTTAACAGATATTCATTACCTTGGTATTCTACTGGTTCCCTCTTCCACTTAGCTGGCACTTCTGCTAATTCCAATGGCTTGTCTGTTGAGTTGGACCAAATCCTCATTCCCAAAGTGTTTAAAGACCAAGTTAGAATGTAATTATCAATTTATAGGATCTGTTCTTGTTCATTTACTAATAAAAATTTTTATGGAAGAATAAAAATTACCTCAAGGGATCACTTGAATGTCATACATAATGTCAACTGCGCCATAATGTAGAAGCAATACAAACGCAATACAAACTCTTTATAATGATCAGGGTAATTTAATTCTGCCAGACTGGTAGGCCATTGCTCTAATTTCTGTCCTACTGGCATGGGGAGCCGAATGCGATCAGGCAGTAGCAAAGTTTGTTTTGTGGGTGTCTTCTCTCTGATCCTTGATATAAGCTTTCTCTCTCTCTGAAAACCTGGGACCCTAGATTAATGCACCTGGAATTGCAGAGATGGGAAGCACATATACTTCTCCAGAGTCACTGGGGCCACTCCAGTTACCTCTTGGTTCCTGTTTCCTATATTTTGGAACAGGATTACATTGACAACACAGTATTACATAATGACCACTGTTTTAGGATATTGCTAAACCCTCAACACATTTTGTTCAGAGTATTATTTTCAAGCTGTCACCTCAACTATATCTTCCAGAGGCTGTTCATCATAAGGCTGGCAGCTTCTAGAATACTGCACTATGTAGTAGAGTCAATAATTCCCATGTTTATGTTTTCAATGCCATACTTGCTTTAGTGTGAAGTAATATTATTCAAGAACTCATATCATTTGAAGAGATATTTTATGAGTCCTTGCAAATTAGTGTTTGCTGAGACACTGTAGGAAGCAGAGGTATATAATAACTGCAATATATATCAACTCACATATTTATACGATGTATTTCAAAAGATTCAAGTATTCTTTATTCCTCATTGTGTAACTACCAAAATAAATAGAATAATTAACCACAATGACTTTAAGTCCCTTTCTGGAAAAAGTCAGGTAATTTATACTGTATACAATTGCTATAGTGTTGTGGAGAACTTTTTCATGGGTAGCTGGGGTGTCTCTTTTTATGGGTATATTCTGAATCTGAGAATTGATGCAGGTTTTCAAACTGAGCAAAGGACTGTAAATTTTCATTAGAGAAGATAGAACCTTCTGCTCATCCATTCTTCATCTCATCTGATTATAAATATTAAACAATACTCCTGTTTTTACCCCCATCTGCTTGTCCGCTTAAAAAAATTAGCCATATTCACAGATTTCCTGAAGACCAAGTTACCATGAGTAACATGTTGAACATTTTGTTTTCATGGTAATTATTTCTATCTTACTTTTGATGCTTAGCTGTCAGTTGGATGGAGAGATTGAGGAGCACTGAGGGAAAATAAGATCTTTTTTAGGAAGTCAAGGAGCCTTTATGCTATCTGAAACTTAAGAAATTAACAGATTATTCAGTCTTGGAAATTTAATTAACAGGATTTCTCTCAAGAATAAAAACAAGTTAGTAAAGAGGTTACTTGAAATCTTTATTGAGTTTATATTTTCAGTTGAGTGAGAGGTATTGTTATATACTGTGGAAACACGCTGAAAATTTCATGTAAAGTATTTTTATTTTCTATTTTGGTTCATTACCATTTATAAATAATTTTTTCTTAAGTAGTTTACAGTATCTTATAAACCATACACATACACAAATATCTGTCTAAGAGAGAAAGATAAATAAGCCAGTAGTTTATATGTTTCATGAGTAATGTCATATTCTGATACCTGAGAAAATACCATTATTAAAGTTATTTATAACAAATTATTTTATCTCTATAGAAGTTGTAATTTTTAAACTTTTAAATAGAAAAATAATGTTTATATTTATGTGGAAATGATACATCGATAGCGTAAATATTGTGTTTTACTATGTAAGTCCTTAAAAGCAAATGTAGTCAAACACTTTAGCTTCAGGTCATGTTTGCAAAAATATTTGCATTTTTCATTATGTAGGTTTTTGAATTTTCAAGTATCAGGTTGTCACTATTCAAATGTTTTCTCTATGCAAAAAAAAAATTTCTTATTTTTCTCCTTCATATTGCTAAGGTTTTTACACTCCAAAGATAAAATTTCAATAGGCAGAATATGTCTGTCAACTGAAAGTTATACATTAGATTTGAATCTGAATTTAAAAATCCGTACGACTTGTTAGGCAAAAGCCTGTTAGATCTCTGTTTCTGTAGAAGATAAAGGAAAATGAGAAGGAATATATATATACAGAATAAAGTTTAGTCTAATAATTCATTTCTCCAGTTTGAATTTTTAAAAATATGCCTGGCAAGCTATTGAAAAACATGCATATACTTGTTTCAGAGTTATCTTAGAATTAGCTATCTGTTTTCACTGTTAGAGGGTGAATATAAGCAAATTCATGCAAAATATGGTGCAGATAGCATCATATAGACATATATACATATATAATAGTCTCTCATTAAATGTAAGTTTTATTTAAATTTAAATTTTACTCTTTATTTAAGATCTAGATTTATGAGCATTTAAATAGTTATTGTTATTCATAAAATGTGTGCTTCCTAATGAAAAGAAAACCAAATTTGGGGGAAAAGATAAAAAGCAAATTCTAACATAGCATTTAAATTCATGAGGTATAGAAATGGAGAAATGATGATGATTGATGATAAACTATGAGACGGAAAGAAATTACTAAGCCCTAGAAATCTAATTCTAAAATTATACAACAGTAGTAAAGGGAAAAAAGATTTTCAAGGTTACGGCATTCCAAAGTTTTATTAAAGAAAAGTGTAGTGGATTATATTACCAAAAATTACTTTTTAGATATCAAAATGCACTTGAAGTAGATTCATACATATTTATTTTATATTGAAATTTAAATATGTCATTCATGGAAAGCAGTTATATATCTGCTGAAAAAGCTAGGAAAAGTCAAATGTTGCAATCTGTCAGGTCTTTCAAACAGGTACTAGAAACAACAACTTTAAACAAGGGTAACCTATGGAGATTCTCCACTGAGAGAAGATACAGTTGCTTCTTACATTTCATTCATTCCTAAGGCCTTCCAACAAGCAGAAATCACACACCGTTGTGGAGGTCTATTAATTTAGATTGAGCAGAGGACTTTAGTAATGATCTTCTGTAGACTTGGCTTGTGATACTGTGGAAGTCATTTCACCTCTCTGGAAATCAGTTTCCTGTTGTGTAAAACCGAAGGTGTTCAACTAAATGACCTCAAATGTGGGCATAATATTAAAAAATTATACTAAATATATGAGAAAGCTTCTGAAGCGTACGAAAAAAATTCAAACTATTGGTGTGAAAAACTTTACTGTAAATGTCTTCTAAAAAGTGAAATGCAATATTGAACTTACTTAACATGTGGACAGTTCATCTAATGCTTGACCAAATGATCCTGAATACCTTGTATATCCTTACAGACTAAATGGTGCTAGAGGTTACATGGGGTCCATTCTCCATGCAGGTAAATCTTTGCTCTCTAAAACTATCTCCGATATTGGAACACGTGTGTCTGGAATTTATTCCTTCTGGTGGGTTCTTGGTCTCACTGACCTCAAGAATGAAGCCGTGGACCTTCGTGGTGAGTGTTACAGCTCATAAAGGTAGTGCAGACCCAAAGAGTGAGCAGCAGTAAGATTTATTGTGAAGAGCAAAAGGACGAAGCTTCTGCAGCGTGGAAGGGGACCCGAGCAGGTTGCTGCTGCTGGTTGGGGTGGCCAGCTTTTATTCCCTTATTTGGCCCTGTCCATGTTCTGCTGATTGGTCCATTTTACAGAGCGCTGATTGGTGCATTTTTACAGAGTGCTGATTGGTGCATTTACAATCCTTTAGCTATACACAGAGTGCTGAATGCTGTGTTTTTACAGAGTGCTGATTGGTACATTTACAATCCTCTAGCTAGACAGAAAAGTTCTCCAAGTCCCCACTCGACCCAGGAAATCCAGCTGGCTTCACCTCTCACTTGGACCAGAACCAGGCTGTCATACTTATCAGTTTGCAAGCCTTTTTTTTTTTTTTTTATCATTTATCTGTGTTTGTTCACTAGATGTGTTACCAAGTAGAGATTATGCCCTTGACTACTATTTGTTTATTCATTATTCTCTATCATATTCTGCTCAAGGCTATAAATAATTTAATAAATAAAGTCAAATCACATTACTGTTCCTTCCTCCCCACACAAACATGTATTAATTTACTCTTCTGTGAGCTTATGTTATTTTTATTGCTTAGAATTACAAACTCCATACCCATTTAAATTCTGCCCATTCTTAGAAACTCAACACAAACCAGTGTATTACAAGCATGATTATTAGAGGTACACCCACACGTGCATACACACAGTCTCTCTCTCTAAATAGAGCACTTTTTATATATTTTCTATTTCCTTTATATTCACCCCAACACTTATTATTTAAAATTTTGTCTAGGCTCTTGTTAAATGATATCTCACATTTGATCTGATTTGCATCATTTTAATACTTATGTTTTGCATTTCTAAACTGCCTAATTCATGTCATTGGATAATTAATACTAAATTTCATAATATTTTTCTTATTGGTTTACAAGAGTTTTTCATTTTTTGCTAGTTTTATACATTGTAAATATTATCATACAATCATTAACCTAGAAAAACACATCTTACTTTGTGTTTTACCTTTGACATTCAAATCATTATTCTGTGTAATACTTATTTTAAATATGTGCACTCAGTGATGTTCATTTTTACTTTTTATATGGTGAGTCAATTTCTAAGCATTATCTTCCAAATAACCCTATTTTTCTGTGATTTGTTTTTAAAATTTTACTATAAAATTTATTTCAAATATAAACCATAATGCAATGTACTTCTTTGTACTTATTACCTAGCTTTAATAATCATCAATGCATGAACACATTTTTATATATAACCCTCAAATACTCAACCACGTCTTCATCCCCTCTTGATCCTAAGACAAACATAAATCTTATGTCACTTCATCGACAGTGAGTAATCATTAATATGTATTTCTAAGATATAGGTTTCTATAAACCTTAACATAATCTAATATTGATTTGTTATTTATATTTTCTCAAATATACATTTTTGGTGCTTTCCAATGTTTGATAAATCCAGATAAGAAATCCCTGTGTCTTACATTTGATTAATATATTGCTTAAATCCTTTAATATCTGTAATATAATTTTTGAAAAAATCAGGTCATTGATTCTGTAGACTTTCCTGACTCTGGATTTTATTTTATACAACACCATTTAATATATTCTTCTATCCCTTGTATTTCTTATACAATGGTAGTTAAGTTTACAGCCTTCATCATACGAGGTTCAATTTCGGTAAGAATACTGCTTAGGCAGTGATGTGTACTTCCTATTGTATATCACCAGCAGGCAAAATATATTTATCTTTTTATAATGTGAAGATAAATCACTGTCGTAAATCTCAGCCATATGTTATAAAATTCCCTACTACTACATTTTTCTCTAATGGATAAGTTAAATATATAATCAAAAGCATGACCCTCACACCTTACTTAAGATGCACACAAAGAATAGAAAGAAAGAAGAGACTAAAGGGAGGGCAAACATAATGTGTTAAATCTAAAACATATATTAAGAGATGTGAACATGTCCACTCAATAAACAAGAAGACTTCAGGGTTCAGGAGAGTTGTATTAAAGAAGGGAATGACTATACCAGACTTAGAACAAACCATGGGCTCCCAAGTCTCTTAAGGAAGGGAAAAGTCTACAAAAGTTACTTCGTCTTCAGAAAAGGTATATTAACCAAAAGTCACATTTAGATGTGGCCAAGAAGATTATTGGAGACTTAGGCCATCCAAGAACATGTAAACAGTGTTCATCAAGAAGAATGGATTTAAAACTCTCTCCCTGAGATCAGGATTTAGGCCTCATCAAAGAATACATTCAATTCCCATGGTAGCTGACTCTCATAATGTCTGGCCAGAAGAATTTCTTACTTTCCATAGACCAGTGACTGTGGACTGCTGTATCTTACTGTATATCTCTTTCTTAATGTGGGATATTTATTCTGGTAGCCTGTGTCTGTTTTACTGAAACTGCATGCTGAGTGTGTGTGTGTGTGTGTGTGTGTGTGTGTGTGCATGTGTGCGGGTGTGTGAGAGAGAGAGAGAGTGTGTGTGTGTGCACGACGCGCATATGAAAAAGAAAAAGAAGGAGGGAGGAAAACATATTTTAATGATTGGACGGCTGAATATTAAACTGAAGTTTCATTTCATCTTTTATAAAACAAAAGTAAGGCTATCATTTGTGTCCTTTCAATACAAAGTCTTATAGATTTTTCCAGTTCTGTATAATTTCTGAGATGATATTCTCTCCTTTACTATGTCTATTCCTTTCTTCTGGAACATGTGTTACATATATGTGGGGTGTCTGGGTTGAATTCCCATAAGTTCTATCTTCTCATGCTTTTATCATTCTGCCTTACTGCTGTACTTATTAAGCAGGCCATTACTTTATCTTCCAGATAAGCTTTGCCATAAATGTTTTTTACTTGGTTCATACATTGAATTTTTTAAAAAAAATCAACTGTCATAATTGTATGTTTAAAACATTCTCTTATTGTAGCTTTCTTGATGGCAGGCTATTATTATTGATGTTTGCAATAACAGCTCAAATCTTTCTAAAGAATCTAAATAGAGTGACAAACTGCCTTCAATTTTTAAAATAATTTTTGAACTGTTTCTTTTAAACAATTATAGACTCAAAAGAAATTATTCAGGCTTGTACAACAGTAATCTCTAGGTCCCCAGAATCAGACTCTGAATGAAGGTTACCATATCCCAGTGAAAGATATTAATTAGGGTGTCCTTTGGATCCTCATCTGTAGAAGGGAGGGAGCAGAAGTAAGTTGGAGCAGAGGGACAAATTGAGCTGTGAGGCAATCACAATGAGTATCTCAGATGCACAGGTTCCTTGAAGCTGGGACACTGCCTTAAGAGTTGTCAGGAATGGTTTCATGCGTACTGTAGCACTATTCACAATAGGTAAGATAAGGAATCATTCTAAGTCTCCGTCAATATATGAATGGATAAAGAAAACATGATATATCTACATAATAGAATATTATTCATAAGTAAAAAGAATGAAATCATTACATTTGCAGCAACATAGATAGAACTAGAGGTTGTTAGTTAAACGAAATAATCTAGGCACAGATACACAAATCTTAAATGCTTTCACTCACATGTGGGAGCTAGAAGAGTTGATCTCATAGAGGAAGAAAGTAGAGTGGTGGCTACCAGAAGCTTGGAAGCGTAGAGTGAAGAGGAGATAAAGAGAGGTTGGTTAATGGATACAAAAATAGTTTGATGAAAGCAGTAAATTCTTGTATTCCGTAGTACAGCGGGGTGACTATAGTTGACAATAATATATTGTATATTTCAATATAGCTAGAAGAAAGATTTGAAATATACCCAACAAAAAGAAACGATAAGTTTTTTAGGTCACGAATAGCCCAATCACCCTGATTTGATCACTAGGTATTGAATGTATGTACCAAAATTTCGCATGTATCTCAGAAATATGTGCAATCATTATGTATTAATAAAAAATTAATAAGAAATGACATTTCCTGAAAGGGAGCAAGAAGCCCAGATTTTCATAGTCTCACTTTAAGTGAGTGGATGAAGGCAGTCTCTAAAAAAGGTATGAACTTGGATATGGAAGTTTTCGTTTGCTTGTTGTTTTTCTTTTTTACTGAGGCAACTCCTAGTGAGAGTTGAGAGCTGAGTACCATCTCCCAGCATCATTCACAGTAATTTGCGAAATAAGTATTCTATTCATAAAGAGCGATCACAGAATATCACAACATCCATTACATCAGCCAATTGTATCCTGAAATCAGATCTTGTTTATAATACCTTACCACATTGATCAAACAGCAATCAGAAGAGTATCCACATTCTAATCTTCAGCTACTTTACCTAAAACCATTATTTTTTTTTCAAAATGAGGCCCATGATAAGCTTCCCAAGTTGGAGCAAGTAACAGTTTTGTTAAATGCTTTGTCGCTTCATAAAATCAGTTTCTCATTTTCCTGAGCGCTGATAATAATTTCCTCACTTCCTACGAAGCAACAAGCCAAACAATATTGTGTATATATATGTTTGCAAAATCACCTTGCAGTTGCCAATTACTATCTCATTATCTAAGTTATGCCGTAAAAATAAACATCCCCAAAACACAGCGGCATATATAAAAGGTTTTTTTCTTGCTCAAGCTCCATATGTTTGGAGATCAGCTGGCAGCTGTGCTCCACAGTGTTCTTAATCCAGAAAAGAAACTACGCAGAGTGGCCACCATCTGAAACATTGCCTGGCAGAAGGAAAAACAGTGTGAAAAATTGCTCAGTTACTCTTAAAAATAATCCATTCAAATGTTACATATACCATTTTAAATTCAATTTCCACTAAATCATTTGCCCACAATTAACTTCAAAGGGTTGGGAATACACAGTTATGTGAACAGGAAGAAACATAAACTATTTGATAAACTAAACTAAAAATTACCAAAGCTCACATCTATGTATTATTTCAGGGAAAAATTACTTCAGGATTTTTCCATATAGAAATAAATTTGTAAGGGAGAATCTATGCGATTCAAAAGGACAATGAAGAAGAAACCAAAATGATTATAAATTAAGCTGCGTTGAAAATTTTGCAGTAAAGTTTCATTCAAGATTAAGAAAGAATCCCTAAAGAAAAAGCATATATATAAAACTAATAATTTTCTATGCTTTAATAAAGAGGTGGAAATGAAACAGAAGTTAATAAAATATTGCCCACCAGTTTCAGGCGACACTTTTGCCCAGAGTTTGCCTATTGTTGTTTCTGGATATATCGAAGTTTCCAGAAAAGCACAAGCATAATATTGTTTAAAAACACCTAAGGGTAAGTATAGAAGATAGTAACATGATTCTTGAGTTCTGAATCATTAAAAAAAAAAAAAAGATAGGGCAAAGACAATGCTACTAGTATAACAAAATCATGAAGTCCAAAAAAGAAATGTGAAAACATATAATAATAAAACTAAAAAAGAAGACAGAATATATAGAAACCTACCAGAAATTACGTAACATATGAATAGGTTACACACCTTTACTGAAAGATATATAGACTCTTAGAATGAGTGTTTAAAAGACCAACTTAAACATATTTACATATATCATGAAAAAAAGTTAATATCTGTAATATACAAAAAACTTCCTACAAATCAAGTGATGAGAAAATAATAAAAAGTAGAGTAACAATATGTTCAATAGTTATGAGCCAGCTAGACATAAAAGAAAAAGTAACAAAAATGAACATTAATAATACAAAAAAATTAGATTATCTATTGCACTGATACTTATTTCAATAAGATTGGTAATTCATACTATCAAGGCGGTACATGAACCAGACAGTTGGTAAAAGAGTAAAAATGCCAATATATATATATATATGTATAATATAAAAACTATGGTAATTTTAATTATTAATACTCCTCATATTAATAAAATAAGAAATGACATTTCTGATTGCTCTTAGAAACTGTGCCAAGAACATTCCCCAGGCAGATCACCTGAAGTCAGGAGTTTGAGACCAGCCTTGCTAACACGGTAAAACACTGTTTCTGCTAAAAATACAAAAAAATTAACTGGGCATGGGTCTGTAATCCCAGCTACTCAGGAGGCTGGGGCAGGAGAATCGCTTGAACCCTGGAGACAGAGGTTGCAGTGAGCCAAGATCACACCATTGCACTCCAGCTTGGGCAACAAGAGCGAAACTCCATCTCAAAAATATGTATATATATATGTATATTGTTCTATCTGAAAAAATTGCACTAAATATGTATAATAGGATTTATTTTGCAAATTCTGTTAAATCTTTTATTAAGTCAAAACCAAGCCCAACTATGAATGCTTATTAATGCATAGCTGAATGACCAAAAGAAGTGACCCCAAACTGTTAACAATAGGGAGTGTGGTGTGAAGTGTGGAATTGGGTGTATTGAAAAGGTGCTATTTTTTATTTCTTTACAAGCTTCTATATTATTTTGATTTTATGAGCATGTATTCATTTTAATCTATAAAAACAATATAAGAAGAGTGTGACTAGCTCCATAATAGGTGTAAAAGTTTCTGTAATTTGAGTCATTATCACCTCCAAAGTATTAAAGTGCCAAGGACAGAGATTAATGCCATCTGCTTTCATTTTAAGGGCTTGCTAATATCAGTGATTCATGAAAATGTAACAAATATTAGTAACTTTTTGCAATGAGAAGAAGAATGGTTGAGTAGAGGATGATATACTATAATTTTGTAGGGCATTATGGCTAATAAAATTATGTGTGGAGAAGTATATGGGTTAGAATCAGAATATTACCTACCACGGGTCTTGGTTATTGAAATTTTTTCCTTGTTTTTTCTCTGTTTACTACACATATTTGATATGGGGGTCTCATGTCATTGACTTTTGCTTAAGATAAAATATATTAATAAGCCTTGACCAAGTAATTTTGTCATTCTGTAGAATAGTAATCAACTTCAATTGTACTTAATAAAACATTTCCCACCTCTTCAATTTATCCCCTTTGTAAAGCCTATTCCTTACATTGATGAATCAAAACACCACAAATAAAATTAACCAGTGTCCAAGAGGTTCAGACTATTCTCATAAACATGAAGGGTTTAATTAAAAATAAAATATAATTTGAAAAGTAGGATTGCATTTCTTTCTTGCACCTAGAAATAAGCCAAATTGCACATTTTAAAGAAACTGACAGAAATGAAGCAGTTTCTATTAGTGACTAAACCCACAAAGATTGTAAACTTCTTAAATATAAAACATAACTGCAATAACATTTTTCTTTTTTCTGTACATACATAATAATTAATTCAGTTTAAATATCTGATGAATATAATTTGAAATGGAATATTAATTCTAAAGTTCTATAGTAATAAACATAGAATCTTTGCTTCCTGAGCTCTTGCTTTTCTCAAGCCAATTCAACATCCTTAAGTCTGAGAGTTTGCAGGTTTTCCTTCACAGCCTGTCTAGATGTTAGTCATTGGAATATCAACACACTTATTAATTAGCATTCTAAAATATTATAACTGAAAATATTTATCACTGTTGCTGCCTGATCTAATTTAAACAAATAAATTCTAGATTTCAGATTAGTAAATAGTGCAACCATGGACAGAGTGGTTGACAACTTTTACTTTTACTTAGTTGTTAAATAGAAAACGAGCATCAGTGGCCTTCCATACTAGGGCAGAGCAAAGCATTTTACTTTTGGTAGATGTGTTTTTCTGAAACATGCACATGTGACTTTATATTTCATTGCTTGAAATGTATATGACACTCCATTATATAAGTTTTGTTTTCATTCGCTCAATTGGGAAAGGTTCAGTAATGCCCTTTACTTTTTAGCTGTCTTGCTTAAAGATACATCTTGCAATTAACTTCATAAACTATGATAATGAAAATATAAATAATTCATAAGTATAGTTTGTTTTATCTATCATTTCATCATTTTTTCATTCAACAAATTTTTATTGAGAATAAAGTCCTTATCAAGGACTGTTGTTTTTCGGGCTTCTTTCAGAAGTTGGTCAGATGAATGCTATTTTATACTTGAGCACAGAATAAAATCCCCCTCTACCTTCTCTGCCAGAATTGCTTTGCAGTCAGCAGGGAAGAGGTAGAAAGTGACACTCAGGCTGAATGAAAGGGCATTTGAATCTGTCCTGGGAATATATAGTTTAAAGAGGTTACAGTATTTATTCAGTAAAACACTAAATATTGATCATTATTTTTAGATTTCCCTAGCTATTGGCATACCAGGTTGTCCTACCACAAAGTTGTTGTTTCTTTAAAATCAATATATTATTTGAGATACTCTTTCTCTTTTGTAAAAAAGTAACTACAATATACTGAAGCTACAATACAATTTCCATGAGCTAGGTAGAAAAGCTCTTTGTGAAGGCCACTTAAAAAACATACACGTATTAATATGATTCAGTGACTGTCAAATTTAAATTAACACACATTCAGATTCAACCAATAAGGGTAGAGTGGTAATATTTATAACATTTTTTGGCAGTTTTTCAACCTTTATTTAATTCCTACTTCACTTTGTATTACATTGTATATGGCAAAGATTCAAAGCTTGAATTCAACTCTAAGGATAATTTATATCTCATTTTCCTCAAAGGAAAATAGTAACATACTTCATTAAAAAACATAGAACTATATTTATATATTTAAATAAATAACATAAGTTTTCTATAGAAATGTAAATTACCAAAATTAATACAAGAAAGCATAGAATATCTATAGACTAATAAAAATAAAATCTTTTTGCTATTTAACTTGTTTTATCTGTACAGAAAGAAAAGATTTTCTTACCTTTAAAACATTTATTAAATATACATTTTAACAGTTTTTGAAATAATTATAGTTTATAGGAAATCAAATCCATTTTTATATTCATGTTTTTGTAAAGTTTAATAGATTTCAAATCTATTTTTTACATTCTATTTGAGATAATTATGTAAAGGTAAGTCATCTTTTTATCTAAAGATATACATTACACACACAGTCACATATCTATGTGTGTAGATGTTTATGTATGTGTGTATATATATACCTGTGTGTGTGTGTGTGTGTGTGTGTATACATATATATATATATATAGAGAGAGAGAGAGAGAGAGAGAGAGGACGAGAGCAGGAGAAGAGAGAATGAGAAAAAGAGAGGGAGATTCACTTCTTTATTTAATATGAAATTGAGAAAATATGATTAACTTTATACTATTTCTGAAATGAGAAGACATTTTAATATGGTCAGAGCTTGTATTGAGTTGCTGACAATATTCTTTTCTATATTCAATAATGCTGAAAATCTCAGAATTGCCTCAGTACCAGTTGGCAGTGTATACATTTCCAAATCCTGTTACACCCCTTTACTAAATCAAGAAATGTAAACAGGACTTAAAGCAAAAGAAAGCACATTTGAAAACCTTAGAAAATAAACTGACTAAAACCTCAAAGTTACATATTGCTTTTGCATTCCTGCTACTGTTATTTCTAGAATGCAGAACATTTGATTTGTGTGCACTTAGCAATAAAAATCAACTCTTGAATTTATTTTTGCTGACTTTCTTGTCAAATTTGGGGTCTGGCTTCTTTCTGTATAATAAAACAGCTGCTTACTATTTAAGAGAAGATGCACATACATAAAAACATCAAATACGTTCTTCAATTCTTCTACCATAGGCTTAAGATTTAAGTTTGCTGATTGGGTTGCAATCAGCACCATTTATTGTTTTCATTGTACTCTCCTCTGTTCCTGCCAATTTTGATAATTTGGTTCTACTGGAATTATCAACTTCAAAGGATTTGTAAAATTCTGTGAATAAGAACTTATACTTCTTAATTCCAAATTGTAATTGAAAATCCCATCTGCTCCCTTACTTTTGTTTGGCACCGCGTTTACCGACATTGTCATCTTGTTATGTCTCCCGACTGGATGAACACAGAACTCATTATCAAGTGTGTGATGTATTTTAAAAGTAGATACCTGCCTCTTCTACATCTCTATTCTTCATCTCACCATCTCTTGGTTATCATCTCTTATAGAGGAGCCCATATCTAGGTTTTGTGGGAGCCGCGTATTTTCTTTAAATGTTGGTATAACCATCTGAAAATACAAGTTTAGATTTAAAAGAGAATATATCAGAAGTCACATCCTCCTCTTTCTTCTCCTCTTTCCTTTGCTTGTCTCTCCAACACTACCCTCGCTGTAGGAATGGTGAGTTACAGCACAACTACTATCCTTTCCTTCTTATTAACATTTATTGAATCTTTTAGCACATTTTGTGTTTGTTTTTTTCTCTCACTAGATTAGAGCTTCTTTGTGTCACAATTCATTTAACTTTGTGTCCTCAGAGTGAAACTAGGAAAGCATGTTTATTGTGTGTCTGAAATAGGCCAGACTTAATCATAGATACTAGACCTATCATTTTGTTTCATGTTTACAATACCCTGGTGAATTTATATATATTCCATTTTGCAAAAGAGAAACATGAAGCTAACATAGATTAAATAATTTTACCAAGGCTCAGAAACAGTAGGACCTAGATTCGGGGTTATGATCCAGGCTTTTTGAACTCAAAGCTTTTTTCTTTCAAGGAGCAAATACCAAGTCAATATACATGATTTAGCTCTAAGTCAGCAAATAATTCCCATTTTTTTTCTTAATTTGAATAGAACAAAATTATAATGCTTATAATATTAGGTGGGTATTTTGTAGCTCATTCTGTTTGGGTGGATAAGTAATTTTAAAGTCAAGAATTTTGAAAAATATAATGTTAAAACACAAACATTAAGTGATGGTCTATGCTTTAGTGTTAAAACCAATGGTAGCTCACAGTACTCAAAGCAGCTAGCATTAGTATCCAAATGGGAAAACACAGCAATCAGTATTTCTTCTCAAACAATTTGTTGTTTGTACAATGAGCAATTAGGTCTATTCTGTGTCCCAGGTTTGTCTCAAATTGATTTTTCTCCCTCTGTTTTACCTGCTAACTTATTCAGCTTGGACCCTCTCATCTCTTGCCTAAATTATTATATTATCTTTGTAATACAGAGTCTGACTCCTTTTTTTTTTTTTTTTTTTTTTTTTTTTGAGATGGAGTCTCACTCTGTCGCCCAGGCTGGAGTGCAATGGTGCAATCTCGGCTCACTGCAACCTCCACCTCCAGGATTCAAGCAATTATCTGCCTCAGCCTCCCTAGTAGCTGGGATTACAGGCACCCATCACCGCGCGCAGCTGATTTTTTTGTATTTTTAGTAGAGCCAGGATTTCACCATCTTGGCCAGGCTGGTCTTGACCTCCTGACCTCGTGATCCACCCACCTTGGCCTCCCAAAGAGGTGGGATTACAGGCGTGAGACACCACGCCCGGCCCTGACTCCATTTTTTTTTAAATGCTTGAGTCCTGATGGCTCTGAAACCCACCATTTTCTCGTCCTCTTTGCCCCACCTTTGGGCAGCTGATATAAGACCCAGAATGTTATATCCCAGGGCACCTGCAAATAGTTCAAACCACATATAGGAACACTTACCCTGGCCTTGCCATTGAACCACCATAAAGATACAAAGCCACTCTTCCCACTGTTGTCTCAACCTATATTCCAAAACTGCTTAGAATTCACTGTTCTCCCACAAAGTCTCATTACGTAAATGCTAAAGATTTTCATACCCTCTTGGGCTGTGTGTGTGGGGGTGGGAGGGGGGTCGTCATCAGTTTTAATATCTAAACCAAATTTTGAATGAGAGTCCACGCTGCTTTTGTGGGTGGCCATACTATCCTCCTGAGTAAATGCTCCACTGATGCCCCCTCCAAATCAATATTCCATTCTCCATTTAAAGCAAAAGTAGAGTTTTAAAGAGTTAATCTTCCTAAAAACATTAGATTACTTATTTGAATATTCTCAGTCTCTGTCTTAAAATGAAATGCCCAGTCTTTGTCTACAAGCCCTCCATGACCAGAGACTTGCTCATTTTTCCAACCTCACTGAGTACTATATTCTACTAAGATATCAAACCCCAGCTATAATTATTCTTTATATTTTTTTTAATATCTCCATTTTTTTCTACCTCCAGGACTTTGTGCATTCTCTTCTCTCTTCTTGGAATAATCTTCTTCCCTCATGTCCTCTTTACTTCAAATGGTAAACCATTTGTCTTTCTTTAAGTTTTAGCTTACATGCTACCTTTTTAGAGAGTTGTTCATTGTCTACTGTCTGAAGAAGGTACACTTCTCATACTTCCTACCTCAGTCTGTAATTTGTTATCCTCCAAGCTTCAGGAAGGCAGAGACTGTGTCTTTTTTCATTTACTCTATAAACTAGTCCCTAGCAGAGTATCTACCACATAATAAATATTGTTAAATGAATGAATGAATGACCAACTGGTTCAGAAGTTAAGTCCTTATACATACGTCACTTAAAGAATGATTAAGATTAAATTCAATCAACTGAATGACATGGAAATGGTATGCAGTCACCCACAAAATAGTCAAAAACAAATAAGCAAAACAAAACTACTGCCTTGGGATAAAAAATTATAGACACTTTCTCCCTGTGTATGCTAATGTAGACAGGCAACAGATGGATCTAAAAGTATAAAAAGAATGTTTTATTTCCCCCCTGAGGTTGGAAAGGTAGAAATGCAGTGAATATGATGAAGGCAGCTGTTCTATTTCTCAGAAAGAGAATTAAAATGAGGAAATAGATTATCTCCTTTCTAAAATAAAAGCCACGGCACCTTCTTTTTTAGTTTTTCAGACCAAAAATAAAATTGCCCATTCAGTAGAGGATTATATAGTTATTACACATCAACATCTTTTACTTTACTTAATATAGACCTCTGATCACTGAAACAATGTATACTAAATTAACCAAAAAATCTGTATAGCCATGCTTATTGATATTATGTACACTTGTATATAAATATAAAACCTGGAAAGATCACTTCACTGGAAGGAAAGCACATGCTCAGGCAATTTATCCATTGAGTTTGACTCATGTATAATGAAGAAATTATGACCAACACTCCCAATAATACAATGAGTTAATGTTCAGTTTGGTGGAATTATCTGGACTGAATGTTTCAGGGGGAATAATGAATGCTTTTGGCAATAATCTGTATTTTTTCTCCAGCGATAAGTTGTTATTTCCATTATCCAGAAGTTTTCTTCAATCTTTTTAATTTTTTGTAGAGGCAGGGTCTTGCTGTGTTGCCCAGGCTGGTTTCAAACTCCTGGCTTCAAGTGATTCTCGTGTCTCAACCTCTCTAAGTGCTGTTATTATAGGTGTGAGCCACCATGCCTGGCCAGAAAGTTTTTTTAAGTGTCACATTTTCATGAAATATAATTGATTGAATCTAGTTTTTTTCTCTATTTTTCATTTTAACTGCATAGAGTTAAATAGCTTTTAATTCACACAGCATCTTTGGTAACTGTGATTACCTTTCTCTTAATGGTTCATATTTTTGTATTTTCATTTTCTCGTTTTTTCTTGATAAAGTTTATTTGCCCACCACATATAAGCTCTTTGTTTCCTACTTTTGTCTTTATTGTTAGTTTAACTAATTTTTTGGTTTTTAATTATAAAAATTCAACTAATAAATTATGTTTCTTCTTTCTACTACAATATTTCACTTCACTGTTTAATTAAATTAGAAAATTAGCCCAGAATAGAAAAATTGTTATGTCAGGAAATAAAATAAGTAGAAAATCAAACTTAATTTGGGACAAAAGAAACAACAAAACCAAATTACAAAATAGCTAAAAAATTATCAAAAAATAGTATACATGAAGACATATTGAATGCAGCATGAAAACAGTGTTTAGAGAAAAAAAGTCAAACTTAATCTATATTGTTAAATCATAGAGTCTAATGATAATTTTAGTAAGCTTTAAACCATAGATGTTTTGATAAATACAACAAAATAAGCCTAAGTATTGCAAACATTTTAATTTAGTAATTTAAAATAAAAAATTAGTAAACAAGGAAACAAAAATGTGGAACTACTAAATAAGTTCAACAGATACAAGTAAACATTGGTGAAATAACAACCAATTGACCAAAAGAATAATTATAAAAGTCAAATAAATGCTTTAAAAATATCTAAAAATCAATCATGTAAAGATAAATGATACTAATACATGACGATGATTATGAAAGCCTGCTAAATTTCAGTAGCAATCAAGTACATACTAAAAGAGTCATAAATTACCACTTTCTTCCTCTCAAGTTTTCAAACATTAACAAAAACGCTATTTCAAGCTGTTTGATTACATTAGATTAATGAATAATTTCATCAACAATTTGGCGGCACTGTTTCATCAGTATCATGTTTCTGGTTTTATGTATTATTTTTTAAGCAGACAGACATATATTGTTTAACATCCTGTTTCATTGCAACCGGAGGCAAAGCAATGTTATCATAGGCATAGATAACATCTTTGATGTTTCACAATCTTGATATTTCTAGAGCAAATTCAGCATCCCTGGCCTATGGTCTTCAAAGGCCTTGGGGAGTCAGAGCTCTATGTGGCTGGCATGTCTGCCTCGCTCGGGGGACATTGCTGTTCAGTGGGCTCACTAGCTGACAAAGCTTCACTAAGGATCATGCCATTTCACTTGAGGAAATTGGCTTAAATCCTGTTGTTAAGAACTGAAATAATCCCATTTCCCTCTTCACCTAATGTGAGCTTATTTCTGAGATTTAGGCTTCTAAAGCATGAGAGCAGGTTAGTTCAGCAAATTCTGTAAATAGTTCAGTATCATAAATGTTTGCTAAATAACAAAGCTGCTTTTTTTCCCCAGGGACATGGAAGTAAAGATGTTATTTTTCAGATACACAAAGTGCAATCTGATGAGGATGGTGTTGGCATGTAGCCAAGTATGAGCTCTGCAGAAACCATGAGGCTGGGCTGGCCTTTCTTTATAGTTTTAGTTCTCTGGATCAAATTGTACCAGTCCATTAATTCAAGAGTCTTAAAAATGTCCCTCTCTTTTAGTCCTGTGGTCTTTTTCAGGACATATATCTAAGGAAACAGATGATAATCCTCAGCCTATAGCTAAAAGTGGATTTCAAAAGGACAGCTGCAATAATTACTTCAGTGTGAAAAGATAAAAGTTGACACACCACAAGCTAAAATGGCTCCTGGAGCTTGTCTGGAAATCCAATAGAAACCTAATACGACCACACTGAGAGTGAAATGAGTGTTGGGAAGACTGACTATTCCATCAGTAACTGGATGTTCCATCAGTAACACTAGTCATGCAGCCAGCAGTATCTGAGCTCATCTGATTGTAGAAATCCAAAATGTCTCCTAGTGAACGCCTCAGTGAAAGGTAACCACACACACACACACTAAATCATAAATATTTTCCTTGAAGAGAGAGGTAGGTGAATGTAGGCTAGTGATCTCGTTCAAAAGGCCAGGCAGGAAGCTCTGGAGTCTTTAAGCTGCAGTGGAACTGGCAACAGTCAGGATTTAAAATCACTGGTACACTGTTGAGTGCTTAAAACTCTCAAGTTGACAGTAAGCTAGCATTATGCCATGAATGGGACAAGGGGCATTGGAACCATAATTAGAACATTCTACAAAGATGTCTGAAAGATGGACATCATAGGAGCCAGAGATAAACTGCTACAGTCCAGCTATTATGTATGGACTGCCTTGAGGTTTTGTATGTGGGTTCAATGTGTGTGTATGACTGGGATTCATCTGCCGAAGTCATTACTAGCCATAAATAAACAGGAAAAAACTGTTTACTTACTCCTCTGATTTCCAGTCAGAATTATGATGCTGTATCATTTTCCTGTGCACTAATAGGCTTAGAGAAATAATCTTTAAACTTTTTTTTTTGCTTGCATGCCCCCTTGCGCAAATATATTTTTAAATGTTCCCTTTCATATTCATTACAAATATTATTGGCACATAATTTACAAAATCAATACATAGTACATTATTTGATGAATAATCATACAAAACATAAAATTTTGAAGCAAAATTTAAATGTTATTGGAAATCTATTGTTTAACGAGATAAATAGACATTTGGAAAATAATAATTCACTCATCTGAAGATACATGAATATAATTTATTTCTAGAATGAGACAGAATGGTGTGAATTCTATTCCTCTATTTTTGTTTTTATAGATGTAAATGCTGAGTAAATACATAGAGGGAAATAAATGAGTTTAGTTATGGCAATGCCAATCAAGATTTTCATTTCCATTGGAAGTTTTTTTTTTTGTTTCTTAACCAAAAGTTATCCGGTGATCTATAAAAATTGTTTTCAAAGGCAAAAGCAAAATTAAAGAAGAGATAAAACATCTGACCTACATGTGACTTGTTACACAATTGTTCACTTTGACAATTTTTGGGAAGCATAAGAAAAAGAAAAGTAAAAAAGACTTATCATGTGATTATAATTATTCCTGCTCTTCTTTATTTCTTTCAATTTGACACACCCTGTTTGACCGCATACTCAGAAAGAGTTTGAAAAATAAAATATTAATTTAAGTACATTTGTCAATATACTATTTTAGACAAAATTTTTGTCACATTTATATATTGTAAACCTAACTAATAAAACCAGATTTCATTTTGAAGCAATCAGTTAAATCACAATTTTTTTGGTCTCATAAAATCTAAATTTATTTTTCAACTGAAATGTGTTACTATGCATTTTGAGGAATATTATTAATAAAACAGTGAATAAATAAATAATTCACCTTGTCATAAATACCACTAAAATGGTCAAATAAACATTATAATTATGTCAACATAATGTAATTATCACTTTTACATGAAGTGGGGTATATAGTAAAACACATGGTACTCCTTTTTTTACTAAATGTATGTACATGAGTCTATTGAAATTTGGCATTCAGCTTTTGAGGATAATTAAATAAGAATGCCTATGTTTAGCAATTTATACATTATAAATTTCCTTAGACATATAACCAAGCACTTTCAATTTTTTAATAGAAGGAGAAGGTATATTCTGCTTAAACTAATCCATTCAGTAGGTAGCCTAACACTTTTTAAAAAGGGTTCAAAACATTAAAATATGTAAGATGAAAATAAGATGATAATTCAGTTTCATGAAATATAGTTTAAATACTGTTAAATGCTCACTTAGTCTGAAGAAGTTACATAACATTTTATTTTGGGCTTGAATTATATCCAATGATACTTGAAAATACTTTTAATTCCAGAAAAGTTTTTAGTTTCATCTATAGTGATCCACGTCTCTACTCTCTGTTTCTTCAGCTGACTGAAGATGTTTTGCTTTTCAGCAAGTCCTAATATTGAATATTAGAAGAGCTAATACAAATTATGTTTCAATTATGTGAAAACTTTTAGCACTTTTACACAAATCTTCCTTCCCTCTCTCCCTTAATAGTGTGCTTTCATTTATGATAGTCAAGGGACAGGAGAAGTCAGGTGGTTAAAAGAAAATTTCTATTACTCCCAGTGCTCCTATTCTACAGTATGTTTGATTTCAGTTCTTCCTAGTATGAACTAAAATATTTTTATGGCATATTTCATGCTTATAAGATATATTTAATACCCTAAAAGACAGGAGACCCTGTCTTGATATCTGGTACTTTGATTACTCACTAAAGAAGTCTTTACACAACACAGGAGATTAGAGCACTGAAAGGTTTACCAAGAGGGACATGCGATATAAATTGGGAGAATGAGGGCTATTCTTTTCGTTTGAAAAGTGAGAGTACTGTTGTGAAAACGAAGGTAGAGAGAACAACAATCGTGGGGTGAGTTCATATAGAAGCAGAAGATCAGAAAACCGATTCCTCTGAAATTGGCAGTACCCACAAAGTCTCTTGGGGAGTATTCCAGTTTAAACTGGCCTGCTATCGGGGCTCAGAAGTTTGTAAACTGAGCCTATACAGAGACAATATAAATGGAAAATAGAAAATTGCTTCTCCTAGGACCCAGTGAAAATTCTGTAGTTATTGAATCTGTAACTGCAGAAGAGAAAGGACAAAAAAATCTGTTAGTCAACAACAAATAAGTCTTTCTCTGAAATCCAGTCAACGATCCTGGAGTGATTTAGGAAAACTATAGAAGCTATTGAAATCATTAAGTATAGCCCAAGAACGGTGGACCAGCTGGAAGAAAAAAATAGAGCTCCAGTCTCAATATAGGGAACCATCTGTGGCAGTGGTTTTCAACCCAGATTGCATATTGCTATCAGAATTCACCAGAGGGCTTTAAAAACTACCAGTGCCTGGGACTCACCCAAGACCAATTAAGTTAGCATCTTTGTGGTTGGGATCTAAGAATTTGAATATTTGAAATGCTCCCCAAGGATTCTGATATGCAGTATAGATTGAGAATCACTGGTCTAGATCATTTTAATCTAGGGAAATTGTGCAGTTGAACAAATCAGATGAAATAAAAATAAGAGAATACTTCTAATTTTGAGGCACTAAATAGAAGTGACTATAAAAGTATAGTAAACATTAAAAAGGACAAGGGTGAATCTTGCCACATCCCTTTAAAATTTTAGACAGAAATTAGTGCAGTAAATTTATAGGGTCATACTTTCTTAAAAGACCATCAGAGCAGGGATAGACTGGAGGATGGAACAGGAGTCATAGTTTAATAAATGCTACATCAAAAGTGTAGGCTAATATTTGTGTAAAAATAGGATGACAGCAAAATAAATTATAATTGAAAACTATGTGCTACAATATGACAATGGCTGCATTAAGTTGCCTTTATTTGATGGAATATAATGTACTTATTAAAATGATATTTTTATAAGATATTCAATGTATTTCATAAAACATGAATATTTTAAGGCACTAGATAATATAACATATAAAATATATGTACATTTGTATATATGTATATCCAATTTATATAAATATCTCTATATGTAATTTATGTATATGTAACATATACACAATTTGTATATATGTAAAATTTTTAAATTGTTAAACAAAGATTTTTTTATTATACTTTAAGTTCTGGTGTACATGTGTAGAACGTGCAGGTTTGCTACATAGGTATATACGTGCCATGGTGGTTTGCTGCACCCATCAACCCGTCATCTACATTAGATATTTCTCCTAATGCTATCCCTCTTCTAGCCCCCAGCTCTCTGACAGGCCCTGGTGTGTGATGTTACCCTCCTTGTGTCCATGTGTTCTCATTGTTCACCTCCCACTTATGAGTGAGAACATGTGGTGTTTGGTTTTCTGTTCTTGTGTTAGTTTGCTAAGAATGATGGTTTCCAGCTTCATCCATATCCCTGCAAAGGACATGAACTCATCCTTTTTTAGGGCTGCATAGTATTCCATGGTGTATATGTACCACAATTTCTTTATCCAGTCTATCATTGATGGGTATTTGGGTTGGTTCCAAGTCTTTGCTATCGTGAACAGTGCTGCAATAAACATATGTGTGCATGTGTCTTTATAGCAGAATGATTTATAATTCTTTGGGTACATACCCAATAATGGGATTGCTGGATCAAATGGTATTTCTAGTTCTAGATCCTTGAAAAGTGACCACACTGTCTTGCACAATGGTTGAACTAATTTACACCCCAGCAACAGTGTAAAAGAGTTCCTATTTCTCCACATCGTCTCCAGCATCTGTTGTTTTCTGACTTTTTAATGCTCGCCATTCCAACTGGTGTGAGATAGTATCTCACTGTGGTTTTGATTTGCATTTCTCTAATGACCAGTGATGATGAGCTAAGCAGGGTCAGGCCTGGTTAGTACTTGGATGGGAAATCAAAGCTATTGAGGGGCTTCTTATTGTATTTTCTTCTTGTATTTTAAAATTTTACTTTTTAAATAAGAGGACAAGGAAAAAATAATGTGCTTAATGTTTAAATATTTAACATTTTTCCAAGACTGGATCGGAATGGCATTAGTCACATTACTGTGATTCATTAGTATTCCCTGTCATGTTTTAAAATAACTCTGCCAAGATAAAGAATGTTTAATAATAAATGCAAAAATGTATACCATTCTCTCAAACATACATCTATTCCCAGGGTGATATGCCTAGAAAAGTTTATGTGCATGTGGGTGTGTAATAAATTGAATAGCCATTCATCAAGTACACACTTATAGTGGCTTGATGGCTCAATTTTTTGCTGGTTGTTTTCTAACAATATAGTAAGTTAAACATGTTGGGAATTTCTGAATAATGTATTCAGGACACAATATATCACTTTTATTTTAAGAATACTACTTGATTATTTTTAGCCATTAGTAAAATTGAGGTAACAGAAAATCATGATAGAAAAGTTCAGGATATTTTAAAAAGGTTAAAAAAATTTATAATCACTCAAGAATAATGTAATAACTGTTATTATTGTTGTGTATTACCTTAGAATGCATTTTAAAACATAATTAGATCAATTTTATTGAAGTATAATTTACTTAAAGAAAATTTACCAAATATGAAAGTATAGTTTGATGAGTTTTATGAAATGTATGCAATCATGTAAACACCACCAGTATCAATCTATAGAACATTTACATCATCCCAACTGTGTTTCTGATGGAAGCAGATAGTATGCAGTATTTTGTGTCTGCTTCTCTTATTTAGCATAATACTTTTCATGATTCATTCATGTTGCTGTATCATTAGCACAGTTCTTTTTATTGCTATAATATTCCAGCCTTTGGGTGATACACAATTTGTTTACCCATTTACCTGTTGATAGGCATGTGGGCTTTTCCTAGTTTTTTGGCTACTATTAGAAAAATGACTGTAAACAGCTTACTACAATTCTGACTGTAAATGTTTTAAATTTTCTTGAGTAAATACGTAAGAGCAGTTTCTAGGTTATATGGCAAACATATATTTAACTTATATGAAAATGCCAAATTAGTTTTCAAAGTGGTTGTACCACCAACAACGTATGAGAGGTCTAATTCCTTCACATCCTTCTGAACAATTAGTATTTTCAGCCTTTTTAAATTTTTCGCCATTTTAGTGATTATGAAGATGTACATAATTGGTTTTTTAACTGACATTTACATAATAATTAATGATATTGAGTGATTTTCATGTGGTTGTTGGCAACTTATATAGTCATTGGTATGTCTTATATCATGAAGTATCTAATCATTTGTTAATTTTAAAAATGTTCATTTTTTTCATTCAGTTGCAAAATTTCTTTAATATATACATATATTTGCAAATATGTATTCTCAGTCTAATAAGACATGCTTTTCTATTTAAGTGTACAACTTCTTTTCAAAAGCAAATGGTTTAAATTTTATGTTCAGTTTAACAATTGATGAATTGTCAATATTTATTGTTCAGTGTTTCTTGTTCTGTATAAACATTGTCATCTTATCCTTGCTCACAAAGACTTCTATGTCTTTTTTTCAGACTTCTGTAATTTAGCTTTCAAATTTAGCTCTGTGTCTCAGTATGGAGTATATAGTGAGAGGTAAGAGCAGAGTTTAGTTTGATTTTTGCATATGGATATTCAATCTTTACCTGATGAAATGTCACCAGAGACTTTTGTCAAAATCAACTGACCATACTGTAGTGTTTGTATTTCAGAAATCATTTCTCTAATCTACTGATTGATATGGGCTTCCTTGAGCCAATACTACACAATCTTAATAATGTAGTTTTATATTGTCTTTAAATTAAGAATTTGTATTTTAACTTTGCTATTTTTTCAAATTATTTTGACAATGTTTGGTCTTTTGTATTTCCATATAAATTTTCAAATCAGCTTGTCAATATGTATAAAAAATTTTTAGTGTTGACTGGGATTATGTAAAATATATAAATAAATTTGAAAACTGACATCTTCATACTGACTGTTTTATTTGGTGAACATATGTCATTACCATTTATTTAGATGATCTGTAGTTCTTCCAGTAAACTTTGTTGTTTAGTGTTCAGGTCTTACACACGTGTTCTTAAATTAATTCCTCAGTATTGAATATTTTGATGCTATTGTAATGGCATTATTTAAGTTTTTAATTCCAAAATTATCTTGGTACTATGTAAAAATAAATATTTTTATATATTGACCTTGTATCCTACAATTTTGAATATTGCCAGATTTACTTATTAATTTAAGAAACTTGTTTCTATAATTTTTAGTAATTTTCTCCATCATGTAATTTATGAATAAAGAAAGTTTTCCTCTCTAACTTTCTATTCTTATAGTTTTTTACTTATTTTGGGTTTTGTATTGAACAGGCTAGAACCTAAAAACTATATTAAATAGAAGTGATGAGAGCACACAGCTTTATTTTTTCCCATTCTTAGGGGAAAAAAAAAACTTTTGTCTTTCTTGGGTAATAATAAAAAACTTTTGTCTTTCTTGGGTAATAAATAAATAAATAAATAGTTCCTTTATTACCAGTCTTCTGACAGCTTTCTTTTCTTAAATATAAATGTCTGTTATTTTTTTTAAATCTATAGGTTAATCGTATGTCTTTTTCCTCCTTACATACTATCAACATTTTGTATTACATTGATTGATTTCTAGAATGTAAAATCAATTTTGCATTGCTGAAATGGACCCCACTTGGAAGTTGAGGTTATTTGCAAACTGAAAAATGAAGGAACTGAAAGAGGGCTCTTATAGGAAGAGAGTACATAATGATATCTGTAGATAAATGATATAAATGAGATAAGGACAGGGCAGTTAGTGAAGATTACAAAATTTGAGATATTTCTCAGAGATTGAAGGAACTGGTGGTTACTGGAGTTGAGGAGCTTGTGATATTCAGGCCTAGGTGGTATATAGGTCATACACTTGGATATAAATATTACAAAAAAATGATGGTGATTATGGGGTAGAGAGAATGATATAGATCCAGGACTGAACATATTTAGTAAGTAAGAAATGACTAGAAAGTAGACAGATATAACAAGGAGAAGAGGGTGTCCAGGATTTAAGTGAGCAGAGATTTTGCTGGAATGCCAGTTTGGAAATGAGATTGGTCTAAAACCTTAGATAGCTGTGCAATATTTCTAGAATACTAATTTTTTCTTCACGTAGTCTTTTGAAACCAACAAGAAATGTGTGGGCCTTATTTTACACCAGTTACCAACTACTTGCACTTGGCGGACAGACAGGCTCACCTGCCAGACCTTCCGTAGCAATCTATTTGCTCAGCATGACATCACTGCAGCAGGGTCATGATAGCTCATGAGATCTGATGGCTCAGTTTGGGGGACTTTTTTCAAGTTAGTGATTAAACATAGTCATTATTAAAAATTAAATTATATAATCCTACAGTTTTAATAATTACATTAAAACACAGGTAATAAGTAATTCAAAACTCATCGGTATCAATTTCTACTATATTTCTACATTTCACTATTATCTCTTCCCTGAAGGTTATCTTTATTATAACTGTATAGTAGAAATTTTTTTTTGTTTTTGAGATGGAGTCTCGCTCTATCGCCCAGGCTGGAGTGCAGTGGCGCGATCTCAGCTCACTGCAAACTCCTCCTCCCAGGCTCACGCCATTCTCCTGCTGCAGCCTCCCGAGTAGCTGGGATTACAGGCGCCCACCACCATGCCCTTCTAATTTTTTTGTATTTTTAGTAGAGACGGGGTTTCACTGTGTTAGCCAGGATGGTCTCGATATCCTGACCTCATGATCCACCCGCCTTGGCCTCCCAAAGTGCTGGGATTACAGGCGTGAGCCACCGTGCCCGGCCAACTGTATGGTAGAAATATTATGTAATGTTTTGCTCCTGCATATCTCTTCTCAACTCTGTATACGGTAGTATTATATTGATAGCTTGAAAACTAGCCTTCCTGGAGTAGTTACCTTACAGAAATGGTTAAATATTACAAATCAGGATTTCCTTGTTGTTTTGTTGTTTTTCTGGGCTTATAAAAGTAATTAAAAAACTGTTAAAATGTGGAATAAAGCTAAAAATATGTTGCATCTGTAGCCATTATATTATAAATAATGCAAAGATATTGAATTTTTTTTCACTTTTTAAAACCCATTATGTGATTCAGCAAAGTAACATGACATTACAAATGAGTATGGTTCTGATATAAGTTGATCTCTATAGTTTCATTTTTGTTTAACGTGTTAATATAAATAAAAATATCAAACCAACATACAAAAAGCATTTTGGAACTTTACTTGCAAACATAGTTGGCTGAAGATACAAGAGTTTAGCAAAATCAACAAACACACCACAAGACTCAATGGAATTTATAATAAATATGTTGTGTATTTTATTATTATTTATAAATTGTATGGTATTCCCTCTTCATATGAATAAAATTAATAACATACACATTATATATATGTATACATACACATATATTTCTATATATATTTTGGAGGTGGTTATTAGATACTTACCACTGTATTAGTCAGGTTTCTCTAGAGGGACAGAACTATGGAATAGATATATATAAATTGCAACATTAAATGCAGAGTCTCTAGGTAGTGGGCCAAAATCAATAAATTCAGCCTGATCCAACTCTATGTTCTATCCAGGATTATCCCACACTCTTAATATCCATTCCCATGCCTGTTCTCCAGATTTCTGTTTATCTAAATTAGAAAATTCAGGCAGTTCTTTTCAAGTGTATTGCACCTCCTCGTGGTTCACACTCTCAACCTCACTTCTAGGGGCCGGCCGGAACTTCAGTCTTGTTAAAGGTCTAGAAGCAAACAGAGGTGTTGGGGTGGCTCCTGAGGAGAATCAACATTATCTCGCCTGGCAACCGCCTCAGAGGAGACCATCACTGTTGCCTCAGGCAGCACAGGGTGTATGTATCTCTTCAGACAGAGGTGGAAAGGCTGATGGCAGCAGGGGTCTGGGGCGGGGGGATGTTGCCACTACTGGAGATGAGAAAGCTGTTTTTTCTGGCATAAAAGATACATCAGAGTTTACAAACTCAGTGTCCCCATTTTCATCAGGGTCCTCCCACATGTCCTCATTCTAAGTTGCAGGGTCCCATTCTTTTCTAATCAATGCCCACATTTTAACAGTAGACACCTGGTGAGGCTGTGCATGCACTTTTTGTTGCAGGTCAGTCACTCGCATGATAAATCTTGTGTCTGTTTTTCCCCAATTTTAACTCTTTCTCTACAGGAGATAACACTCTCACTCAGGGCACTCTTAAGCAGATTTGAGGCTCAGTATCCCCTTCTGAAGCTGGGAGACAGAATCTCTGAGTTCATTATTTTCTTTCATCACGTTGTCCTCTGAATTTAGGAGTAACCTCCCAGCTTAATTATGTTCCTTGGTTCTCCACATATGGTCAAAGGTATTATGTATAGAGTCAAAATACTTCTTCCCTCTCATGAGTGACGAATCAGAAGTGTCAAACGCATTTATTTTGTAACATTCTAAACAGTTCACACCAAGGATTATCAGTGTCCTCCATACTATTAGAAGTAGAGTTCTTGGCATTTTTTGTCTAATTATATTAAGCAGCCAACTCCAGAAACCCCTTTTTATATATATATATGTAAATATATATATATAAAGTTTATTTAGTATTAACTCACATGATCACTAGGTCCCACAATAGGCATCTGCAGGCTGAGGAGCAAGGAGAGCCAGTCCAAGTTCCAAAACTGAAGAACTTGGAGTGCAATGTTCAAGGGCAGGAAGCATCCAGCACTGAAGAAAGATGTAGGCTGGGAGGCTAGGCCAGTCTCTCTTTACACATTTTTCTGCCTGCTTATATTCTAGCCATACTGGCAGCTGATTAGAATGTGCCCACCCAGATTAAGGGGGGGTCTGCCTTTCCCAGCCAATGGACTCAAACGTTAATTTCCATTGGCAACACCCTCACAGACCCACCCAAGATCAATACTTTGTATCCTTGTATCCTTCAATCCAATCCAGTTGACACTCAGTATTAACCATCACACCAATATACTGCTAAATGTGTGAGTGATAAAAGTTGGTCCAAGGAGTGATACTGGGAATGCTTGTCATTAATGAAGTAAAATAATTAGGACAAATGATGGCCTTAATCCTCAGATTTTTCAATGGAAGTTTGAAATTCTCTTCTGGCGTAGTGAACCTATTATTTAATTTGCAACTCTGAAAGCTTTGCAGGAGCTGCTCTCTTCAACCCTGTGAATCTTTGTGTTGCATTTGTGGTCTGCACTCTGAGGCTTTCTCTATCAGCAGTCTGGGTGGTTACTGCAACTCACTACTGTTTGATTACATGGCAAGAAACAGCAATTTTATGTGGAGCCTGTTGTGATTAAGATGTTCTATATTAAAATGAAAATAAATAATAAAAAGTACTGATTATATATTTCTGAGAGGCAGAATTGTATTGGCATGATAAAGTTTCCCTTTTGAAGGGTGAATGTTCTCAAGAAGCCTGGGGTCTCTGGTGGTAAATATGGGGCATGCTCCATGAGAATGTAATGCTTGCTAAGCAATAACTCTCATAATTCATTCTGGGAGCATTTTCATGATTGGAGCAAAAACTGTAGAACCAAGGTCACATAAAAATGATTAGTCTCTTATTTGCATGTCTGGAATATCATTAGAAGGCACATCTCATATCTCCTAAACCTCTCTCTTTGCCACTATAAAGAACCTTTCAGTATTGAAGGCAGCTTCTCGCTGTATTTACTCAAAACCTTCAGAAAAGAAATTCTTCCCCACTAAACTGATCTCTTCCCAACCACTTACTGCTCTTTAGAATTGCTGTCTAAAGAAAGAAGTCATAAAATATAGGCTCAATCAAAAACAATAACCTTAAGCCAAACTGCCCATATTAAAATACAGTAGTTTCCCTTTATCCAAGTAAGATCCCATCCAAGACATCCAGTGGATGCCTAAAACTGTGGATATTACTGAATCCTGTAGGTACTATGTGGCTTCCTATACATACGTACAGTACCTACGATAAAGTTTAATTTATGAATTAGGCACAGCAAGAGATAAATTATAACTAATAAAATGGAACAACTATAACAATATACTATAATAAAAGTTACATAAATATGCGCTCTGTTTTTCTCTCACTCTCTCTCAAAATATATTTTTGTACTGTGCTCACCCTTCTTTTTCTTGTGATCTATTGATACATTAACCAAGAAGACTGCTAAGTAACTCAAGGGTGGGTAGCATATATAGGTGGATATGGTAGACAAAAGACGGATTCACATGCCCAGTGAGACACAGCAGATCAGTGTAAGATTTCATCATGCTACTCACAATGGTGTTTCAAAACTTATAAATTGTCTATTTCTGGAATTTTCCATTTAATATTTTGGACCACAGTTGACCACAGGTAGTAAATGAAACCACAGAAACCGGGCGTGGTGGCTAACGCCTGTAATCCCAGCACTTTGGGAGGTCCAGGCAGGCAGATCACCTGAGGTCAGGAGTTCGAAACCAGCCTGGCCAATGTGGTGAACCCCATCTCCATCTCTACTTAAAATAGAAAAATTAGCCAGGCATGGTGGCAGGTGCCTGTAATCCCAGTTACTCTGGAGGCTGAGACAGGAGAGTCACTTGAACCCAGGAGTCGGAGGTTGCAGGGAGCCAAGATCACGCCATTGCACTCCAGCCTGGGCAACAAGAGTGAAATTCCATTTCAAAAAAAAAAAAAAAAAAAAAAGTGAAACAGCCTATAAGTGGGACTACTGTACTGATTCTGTCACTTAGTAGTTTTGTGAATAGCCATGTAACTTTCTCATCTTTAAACAAGGATAATAATATTAGCATATCACAAGGATTTGTTGTAATGACTAATTAAAAATAGCTGAGACAGAGCTTGCTATAGCGTAAGTACTCAGACGTATTAGCTATTATGCTCTCATCTCTTTCTCTTTTTCTTCTGAATGGGCAACACATCCTGACAAGGTTGGACTCTCCTCCAGGAGATGAGGTCAAAGCAAGCTTTAAAGAGAGGGAGTAATATTAGAAACCTTTATATGATGTTATTATTAATATCTCCACAAAAAGTTCCTAGGAGCCCATGCAGAAAAAAAATATATATATATGATAAATATCAAAGTGAAAGACTTCCAGAAAGAAAGTCTCCTCTTCAGTGACATTTATGTTCTGGGATTACTCACTGTTTAGAGAAATATTATTGTAAAACTGTATCAATCATGTGCATGTCAAATACCTCATTTTTTTGTTAAAATTGACATCACTTTCCAAACCATTACAATGAATTGTAAGAAATGCAGAATTATTAATCCTTTGGCTCAAGTGGTATATGAGTACTATATACCTCCCCACTTCCACGTTAAATATAGCCTAATTGCTGACTGCAAGAGGACCTCTCACATAGCTTATATACGCTAATTAAAACACAAAATAATGTTTCACACTTGCATAGGTCTCTCCACAGGGGTTAATATATTTGTGTTGAAAATCAGGCATTTCCACATTCAATTTTTCAGTAGTATACTAACACCTTGGGCAAGAAAATTTTTAATTCTTGTTTACAATTTGCACAAATAAAATTGATGGCTCATTAACAACTCTACAGAAATACTGCAAAACACACACATGCATGAGAAAAACAACTAGATGTGACAGGAAGAATAAAGTCTGTGTCAATCATTTCCAATCCTCTATTGCATTGCAAGTGAGATGTTTGAAAACACTTTGGGTAATACATTAGCATAAATAAAAAATAATCACATAAATTATGCTTTCTAATGGCATTCATAATTTCCAAAGCCATATAATAAACAGATGCTTTTTTCTTGTGCTCTACTTAGACATTTATTTTCTCTTAAAATATACTTGTTCGAATGCCAATGCCAATTTGAAGATATGATACTTGATTACTGTGGGAGTTCAGTCAGGATGGTGGGAGAAATTGTAAAATTATAGGAAATAAACACAAACCCTCTTGGAAGGCCTGGAGGTTTGCATAAAAATGTTTGGCTGAAGGCAGCTGAATCCACTTAATAACTTAGGGCTCAAATACAAAGGAATGTAGAGTAGTTTATCTATATAGCTTGTTTACTCACGTGGTCCTAAGACCAACTTTGATCAACCATAGATGCATAATTGCTCTCTACTTGGGTGGGGGGTTAGCAACCAGGTTAATTACCCACAGATGTGTTGACTGAAAGCTTTTGTCAATTAAATATATACTAAATAAATGCAAACATTGCCAGCTTAGAGGGGCGGCAAACTCTCTTCGGTCCCTAATGCCCACAGCCCTCTGGCCTGCTCTTTTGCTGAATATCGGTGTTGGAGTACACATCTCATCTGTCATGCAGCTGGGGTCTGCAGGACAGACCCCCACAGATTATGACTTTAGAATATTAGATTCATGTGATGAAATGTAATAATAAATAAGTACATACTTTTCTTTACAGATATTTGGGAAGTAAGCTTTACCATTTGGATAAGACTATCTTGACAGAGCCTAAAAATATGTCACAATACAGTTTTGAGAAACTTGTTTTTGAAAAGAATGACATAGGTAGATCATTATTATATGTCAATATCTGGAATTTAACTTGAAAGATATTAAGTAGCTATAGCTGGAATCCTGTACACCATTTTATGTGTGAGCAAATTTTTTCCTGCTTAACAGAATTTTCAGTTACCAAGTAGAGTATGTTATGATAACAGACCTTAGAAGTTGAGAAGGTGGCCGGGCATGGTGGCTCACACCTATAACCCCAGCACTTTGGGAGGCCGAGGTGGGCAGATCACGAGGTCAGGAGATTGAGACCATCCTGGTTAACACAGTGAAACCCCATCTCTACTAAAAATACAGAAAATTAGGTGGGCATGGTGGCGGGCGCCTGTAGTCCCAGCTACTCGGGAGGCAGAGGCAGGAGAATGGCGTGAACCAGACAGGCGGAGCTTGCAGTGAGCCGAGATTGCGCCACTGCACTCCAGCCTGGGCGACAGAGCGAGACTCCATCTCAAAAAAAAAAAAAAGAAGAAGAAGTTGAGAAGGCAAGAAGTATGGCAATATTTATTTAATGAAAAAAAGATTGACATTTTGTTTATAGACACAATAGTCTTTTAACTCTTTACGTCATGGCAACATTTTTAAGTGCTAAAATTCAGTGATAGCAAGTAAAATGTTGTTAAAATAAAGAAGAAAAATAGACTGTTTCTTATTGTTTGCTTATTTGAACATGAAATTGTGACTTAGTCTTCAGCCTGAGGACTAAGCTCTGATTTTTTATTTTGCCAAATTCCTATTTAAGGGATCTGGGGAGTCATGCCCTACAAACCATATATTCTCATCAGATGGGTTTTATTTAACCCTATATATTATTACTTACTTTCCAACTTGACTCTGGCATAACATTACAAGACAAGGAAGAAAATCAAAATATTTTACCCCAAAACATGTTTCTTTGCCATATCTTGAAAAGGCCCTCCAAAGCTGTCCTTTGTGGGGGAAAATTTGCATCTGTAAAGAATTTCTATTAACATAGCTAGATCTTTTTCTTCCAGGCCCTCCCCAATCCTAAAGAGATTAACTAAAAGTCTAGCAACTTTTGAAGAGCTGAGTAAGAAACAATTGTCATCTATTGTCTCAAGGGGCAGCTACTGTAAGACTTCAAAAGAACCTTGGTCTCCACAGTCTTTTATCTTAGCCTGAACATTTCCTTTCTGTTGATCCCAGATCTTTAGACAAACTCAACTAATTTTCAACCAGAAAATGTTTAAATATACCTATAGCCTGGAAGCCCCCTCCCCACAGCAACCACCCTGCTTTGAGTTTCCCCACCTTTCTGGACCAAACCAATGTATTTCTTATATGTATTTGATTGACGTTTCATGAAATGTATAAAACCAAGCTGCACCCGGACCACATTGGGCAAATGTTCTCAGGGCCTCCTGCGGGCTGTGTCATGGGGCATGGTCACTCATATTTGGCTCAGAATAAGTTTTTTTCAAATATTTTAGAGTTTGACTCTTTTTGTTTGACAAGCTCATCTGGAATAAAATATAGAGAGGTTATCTGAAATGTTCTGATATTTACATTTCCATAGGAAATTCCTCTCTGTTCCCATGGCACTTGCTGGATGAAGTATAGATAGAAATTATAACTTGCAAGGGTTTTTGTTGGTTTGCCCCCTCCCTCATCCTCCCAACACCTCCCTTCCACAAACCCACACTTCAACCATGCAACAGAAACCATAACTTGCCCAAGTGACATCCACTGGGCTATTGTCTCTTCCTTTTTGGGGGCCACTTACACTGCCTAAACATCTACTACCCCAGCAAACCGAACTTCAGTCTAAAGTGAGCTTTACCTTTCCTACTCATCTAATTTACTCCAAGCCATCATTCCAGACTCAGCTCAGGTATTACAGCCTCCAAGAAGCAGTTTCATGGACCACAGCCTTCTCTAACAGGAAGTAAATCATCCTCAATGCTTTTCTACCTTCTGATTTATCATTAATCACTACATATTGTAGTTGTCTGTTTAGTCATCTATTTCTCCCATGAGGTGGAAGTCTGTGAGGAGATTATGTTTTACATCTTTATATTCCCCTTATAACCCATAAATATGAAAATGGCACATAACTTCTATATTCTCCTCTCTCTTTGACAATTTCATTTACTTCCATGTCTTCAGTGCCCATCTGTTTACTGAAAATTCTCTAACCTAAATATTTCAGCCACCATTGTCTCCTGAATTGTAAACCCATATAACCCAAATACGCACTGGAAATTTCCACTTGGCTATATCATGGCTCTTCAAAACCAAATCCAAAACGAAACTCATTTTTCTTTCTGAAATCCATATAGAATCCTCCTCCAGGGTCTCTGTCTCAGTAAATATCACATCAATCAAGGCAAAAGAGCAAAACGACTAAAAGGCTGGACTCTGAGGGAGCCAGGTATGCAAGTTCTGTTATGTATACTAACTACAGAGTCCCGGACAATTTGTATGCCTCACACTTCCTACATGTAAAATGAGGATAATAACACCTCTCCCAAATGATTTTTGTGAATATTAAATTAATTAGTACATGTAAAAACTTAGAATACTGCATAACGAACAGTATGTGGTCAATAAATACGAGCAATTATTTCAATTTATTCAGTTCCTCAAGCCAAAATCCTAAATTATCCCTGACTCTTTTCTCTCCCCCATATCCACCTTTCAAATGTAATATATATATAAAACAGGAAAATGTATATTTATGTTAAATATATAATATATAAATATATATCCACCAAAACTCTTTATAAATCACTTAAATTTTACCACATCTCTCAGTATCCATTTCACCATCCTATTGAAAAGCTACCATTGTTTATCAGCTAGATTGTTCTTAAAAGCATTCCAACTCACTTTCTTCTGCTCAGTCTGTCTTTCTCTAGTCTATACACTGCACTGCTGGCAGTGCAATTTTAATGCGTACCTCATCACATGGCAAGGATGGTTACAATCCTTCCATCTTCCCTTTGGTGTTAATATAATTCTAAAATATCTTGCCTCTTGAGTTCTTCCAAGGCCTAGCATTTGTCTACCTGAACTTTTTTTTCTAGCTACTGTCCCCCATTCTGCCTCTCCTTCTCCAGCTCAGACTACATGGAATTTTTTTTTAATTCTTCTAAAGCACCAGATTCTCATTCACCTCTCTGGCCTCTCAGCCTTTGTCATGTGACACTCCTTTTTCTTGGATACTTCTCAGAACACAAAGCTATTCAATTTTCTACAGCAGCTCAGGTCTCTCTTATAACTTATTTATTTAGTGTCTTTAATAATATACAATATTAAAATGCAATATTCATTAAGCAGATTCAATATTTTTCATTCCCTTTGTCTTGATAGTGACTGTCACAATACCTAATTCATAATGAAAATTCAATTTTAAAAATGAATGAGTTAATGGATGCAAAAAGATCTTTCTAATAGATGACTAACAAATATCTACTTAGTAAGTGAGTAGAATTTTGTTATTTTTCTCAAAATAAAATTTTATTTGGGTAAAAACTGTGACAGTAATAATGGTTCCCTTCTATACGGCATAAACTTAAATATTAGGCATAAAGTAAAATCTTTTAATAATAAAACCATAACTTATGATTAACTACTTCTCTATATTATTTGGACAATTGAGAACCATGCTCTTTGCATTGAAATCAGGACAAAACCTCTCATCAAAAATTCAAAATTTGTAGATTGACAATCTTCATTAAAATTAACATATAGGCCCCACACTTAAAGAACTTTGTCAGAAAGCCTGAGTCCAAATTGATGCTCTGCCATATATCTACCTGTGTAAACTGTTGTATGTAAAAATGGATATCATCATATTAATCAACTCATAAATTTGTATTAAAATGAAAGTTTTTGATATATGGAAAGCTTTTATGATGCTCAGTATAAATAGTCAATGAAATTAGTAACTGTTAATGTTTGTTTTTATCTTACGTATCTTAAGGATTCCTCAGGTCTTTTTTCTCACTTAGCTGGTGCTACATAGTCATTTCTCTACTTGCATATAGCACTAGATATAAGCGTTAAAATGGAGACATCTATTGTTGATGTATATACATGTGACTAGCTATGTGTCATAATCCCCTTTAATTCTAATATATTCCAGTCTAGTGAGGTTGCTCTCAAAGTAGGTGGCTCACAACCATGTCACTTTCTAGTGGAGGAGCTGAGATGTAACCAGGGTACCTAGTACAAAGCCCATGCATTTAAGCACTTTATCATGTTATAACTGTAAAAGCTGCTCTATCATTCATTTGTATCAGAGTTAATGCTTGAACATTTGTTGTAGCACATTTATAGAACACATGCTTCTGACTTTGTTTGTTAGTGTGTTTCCATGTAGTTGAAAATAGATTTGTCGAGAATAGGAAATGATTTTCTTTATTCTATTTTGGTTTATATCTAGAAGTATATGTTACATAGTTATGTATATATATCATATATAATTATATATAATATATAATATAATATAATTATATATGATATATATTATATATATACATATACATACACATAATTTCCCTTATTCTCTATTATTATAAAATAATCTTTAATTTATAGTAAATAATTTCATTCTTTAAAAGCTATGTACACTTGATTTATAGTTACAGAGAATGAAGTTAAGAATTTCCCTAAGGTAAATATTCAGGGCAAAATAATTTGTATCTATATTACTCATTACATTAAAAAATTTATTTTTATTGAGTGATAGATAAAACTATTCTGTTTATAATGTTTATATTTAGTAGTAAATGAAAATAAATATATTACTTATTAACTCTAATATATTTTAAGATTCACACTCCAGATCATGATGGTATAAAAAGTGCTTAAAAAGAAGTGTTTTAAGAGCATGAATAAAGAGAAACATAATTCTAACTGGAGTAAAATAATGTCTCGTGGGGGAAAAGACATTTGTCCTGGTACATTAAGGATGAGAGTTTCAGTGTGTGAGACAGTAATGTCATTTCAGAAAAGGAATCATTGTCATGAAAGGCAAAGTTTGGAGAAAGTCATGGAAAATTTAGAGTCCATGTCACTGGTATATTGGGAGCAATGTGGTAGGATGGAAACCCTTTGGTAATCAAGCCAAAGCTACAAGTTGGCATTGAAATTTAGAAGGCTCTGAATATGACGTTAAGAAGTTTTGCAAAAGGTAATAAAACAATTTTTTAGCCAGACATTAACACTATTACATTTGCGCTTCAGCAATTAATCCATGACCATGTTATGTAAGATTATGAGACAAACGGAGGGCAGTGGATAACATTTTTAATAAACTTAAAAATATCTACAGCGATCTATTGAAGTGAAAACGAAGAAAAAATATTTAAAGGAGCCTTTTTTTTTCAGGAGGAGTACTTATGGGTTTTTGCTAATTATGTTATATGAGGTTCGATGATGTGGTAAAATTGAAAATTGTTACCAAAATTTCATTTTTGGTTTATTGGAAGTACACTGATATCATTAGGTGGGAGAGGTAACAGAGATGAAGAAGCAGATTATAGAAAAAAAGATAAATTTCTTAGGGATGAAATTGAGCTCTGAAAAGAGACAGAACTTTGGTGCCATTCTTGAACAGTTTATAGCTCATATGATGGAAGTGAATAAAATAGTCGCAAGAAGGATGAGAGTGAAATGATAAAAGGATCTTACTTTAAATTCTAGAAGCACAGATATTTAAGGAATTTTAGTTAGCTATTAGAGAAAAAGCTTAGTCACTGAAGAAGGCTACAAATGGTAAAAGATACTGACCAGATTAAAAGAAGAATTGGGAAACAAACAGAAATAATTTCAAGGGGGAGAAATTTTATGGCCAAATGTTACAGACACTTGTGTTAGTCCATTCTTACATTGCTGTAAAGAAATATCTGAGAATGAGTAATTTATAAAGAAAAGAGCTTTAATGGACTCACGATTTTGCAGGCTGTACAGGAGGCATACTGCTGGCATCTGCTTCTGGGGAGGCTTCAGGAAAGTTACAATCATGGTGGACAGTGAAGGGTGAGCAGGCAAGTCTTACACGATGGGAGCAGGAAGAAGAGAGAGAGAGGATGGTGCCACAAACTTTTAAACAGCCAGATCTCATGAGAAATTGTCACTATCACAAGGATAGCACCAAGAGTATGAAATCCACCCCCATGATCCAATCGCTTCCCACCAAGCTCCACCTATAATACTGGAGATTACAGTTCAACAAGAGATTTGGACAGGGACACAATTGAAACTATATTAATAGTGTTCTTTGAAATGTTAAAAAACAATCTAGTTCTATTAGTCTGTTCTCAAACTGCTATAAAGAACTGCCCAACTGGGTAATTTATAGAGGAAAGAGGTTTAATTGGCTCTGTTCTGCATGGATGGGGAGGCCTCTGGAAACTTACACTCATGGTGGAAGGGGAAGCAAACACATCCTTCTTCAAATGGGGGCATGAGAGAGAAGTGCTGAGCAAAAGGGTAAAAGCTGCGCCCTATAAAACCATCAGATCTCATTAGAACTACTCACGATCATGACAACAGCATGGAGGTAATTACCCTCATGATTTAATTATCTCCCACCAGGTCCCTCCCATGACACATGGGGATTATGGGAACTACTATTCAAGATGATATTTGGGTGGGGACACAGCCAAAGCATACCATTCCACCCATGGGCCCTCCCAAATCTCATGTTCTCCCATTTCAAAACACAATCATGCCTTTCCACCAGTCCCCCAAATTGACAGCTCATTCCAACACTAACACAAAAGTCCAAGTCCAAAATCTCATCTGAGACCAAAAAAGTCTATTCACTGATGAGCCTGTAAAATCAAAAGCAAGTGAGTTCCACCCTGGATACAATGGGGGTATAGGCATTGAGTAAACACAGCAGTTTCAAATGGGAGAAATTGGCCCAAAATAAAGGGGCTACAGGGCCTATGCAAGTCCAATAGGATAGCCATTAAATCTTAAAGTTTCAAAATGATATCCTTTGACTCCATGCCTCACATCCAGGTCACACTGATGCAAGAAGTGGGCTCCCATGAATTTGGGCAGCTCTGCCCCTGTGGCTTTTCAGGGTATAGCCACCCTCCCAGCTGCTTTCACGGCTGGTGTTGTCTGTGGCTTTTTTCCAGGCACAAGGTACAAGCTATTGGTAAATCTACCATTGTGGGGTCTGGAGGAAGCTGGCCATCTTCTCACAGCTCTGCTAGGCAGTGCTCCACTGGGGACACTGTGTGGGGGCTCCTAATCCACATTTCCTTTCCACATTGTTCTAGCAGAGGGTCTTCACATGGGCTGTGCCCCTGCAGCAGAACTCTGCCTGGATATCCAGGCATTTCTATACATCCTCTGAAATCTAGGCAGGAGTTTCCAAACCTCAGTTCTTGACTTCTCTTTACCCACAGACTCAATACTATGGAAAGTTGCTGAGGCTTGGGGCTTGCACCCTTTGAAGCATGGCCAGAGCTGTACCTTGGCCCCTTTTAGCCACTGCTAGAGTAGTTGGGACATAGGGCATCAAGTCCTGAAGCTGCACACAGCAGGGGAATCCTGGACCCAGCCTAGGAAACCATTTTTCCCTCCTAGACCTCTAGGCTTATAATAGAAGAGGCTGCCATGAAGGTCTCTGACATGCCCTAGAGACATTTTCATCATTGTCTTGGTAATTAACATTTAGCTACTCGTTACATATGCAAATTTCTGCAGCGGGCTTGAATTACTTCCCAGAAAATGGTTTTTTCTTCCCAGAAAATGGGTTTTTCTTTTCTATCACATCATCAGGCTGCAAATTTTCCAAACTTCTATGCTCTGCTTCCTCTTGAATACTTTGCCACTTAGAAATTTCTTTCAATAGATACCCTAAATCATCTCTCTCAAGTTCAAAGTATCACAGATTTTTAGGGCAGGGGCAAAATGCCACCAGTCTCTTTGCAAAGCAAGAATAACCTTTACTCCAGTTTCCAACAAGTTTCTCATCTCTGTCTGAGAACACCTTAGCCTGGACTTCATTGCCCTTATCACTATCAGCATGTTGGTCAAAGCCATTCAACAGGTCTCTAGGAAGTTCCAAACTTTCCCACATCTTTCTGTCTTCTAAACCCTCCAAGTCTCTTGAAAGTTCCAATGTTCCTATATTTTCCATCCTCATCTGAGCCCTCCAAACTGCTCCAACCTCTGCCTGTTACCCAGTTCCAAAGTTGTTTCCACATTTCAGGTGGAAAATGTTATAGCAGTACCCCACTCCCAGCACTAATTTAGTATATTAGTCCATTTTCATGCTGCTATAAAGAACTACTTGGGACTGGGGAGGATTCAGAAAACTTGCAACCATGGAAGAAAGAGAAACAAACACATCCTTCTTCACATGACAGGAGGAGAGAAAAGTGCCAACCAAAGGGGGGAAAGCCCCTTATAAAACCATCAAATCTCATGAGAACTCACTCACTGTCATGAGAACAGAATGGGTTCAATTACCTCCCACCAGGTCCCTACCATGACCCATGGTTATTACGGGAACTACAGTTCAAGATGAGATTTGAGTGGGGCACAGCCAAACCATATCATTAGTATTGCAAATTCCATCCAACTTACAGAGACTTGATAACAAGTCTGACTTAATTTTAAAGAAAATCCCATAATAAATTAAAATGCTACATGTGTTTACTTATTATTATTATTATTATAAAAGGTTCTTTGCATTACTGATAGTTTACTTAAGTTTGTTTAATCATAATCTAATATCTTTGAAATACTTTCATTACTTAGTACATGGAATGCAGAGTTTCTGCAAATTCACCTGTGGATATTTTTACAACAATATAGTAGAGAATCTCTGCAACATCTAAATGTTATTATTCTATTTCAAAGCACAAAACTCTTGAAACAAAACTAAAGTTACATTTTAAAATAAATGTGAAACTTTAATGTTTATTTTTTGAGCAATAAAGTATGCTATTATGATTACTTTTCTCTCTGAGTATTAAGTCAAGAATGTGTCAGCATGTGTTTGTAATCATGCTAATATAAAAAAACATGTTAATTACTTTATAAATATTTTGTAATTACTCATTTTGTATATAACCTATTACCTACAAATTTATAAAGGTAGATATTTTATTACACTTAGGGAACATGGAGAAAATGAAAGTTTTCTGTGAAGAGTTATTCATCTCGATTTGTTGAAAATACTAATTTGAAAGGTATTTTATACTTTATGAGAACTTGAATTTCACCATCTGCTTTAGGGTCTGTTTCCTATGCTGTATTCTGTGGTTTATAATAATTAGAGAAGTATTTTAATAAGCAAAATTTTTCAGTAAGAAGAAAGCACATGTGCACACTGAAATTCTGTTTGAATATGTTTTGATTGTTAGATTATCTTATCAAGGCATGTGGGATGGAATGAAAAGAAAGGCAAAATTAAAACATACTTGAAGTTTCTTAGAAATATTTGAGGTTTGTTTGTAAGGCCCCTCATTTGACTATTTTATCATCATTGACCACAACTATTGAGTCATCTTGATATGTTTTGGCTGTTTTCCCACCCAAATCTCATCTTGAATTGTAACTCCCACAATTCCCACATGTCTCACAGTGGACTCACAGTTCTGTGTGGCTCAAGAGGCCTCAGGACACTTACAATTATGATGGAAGGTGGTGAGGGAGCAATGCACCTTCTTCATAAAGCAGCAGTGATGCAGGATTTTTTCTCCTTACTTAGTTCAGCTACATTCTGGGTTATTGTCTCACAGCCAGGAAAAATTAGTCATGTGGACAAATTGAAAGCTGAGGAGAGTGGAATTTATTAAAAGAAGGCTCACAGCACAAAAGAAGGAGGTCCTGCCAAAAGGATCCCACCTTACAGACTAAATACCAGACCATCACACATGAGCTGAAGATGCCAGGTTCTTACCCCCTGCATAAAATGTGACTTCCTGGTGTCTCCACCCCATTCTCCCAGTGTGCACGTGGGCCCTTAGTCTGAGCCACTCCACATTGATTTATCTCCCTTAACACACATGAGACAGAATTTTTCACCTTGGGCATGTTTAGGCAAGCCCCCTGTGCACAAGGACCAGGGTGAGATTTGGCTATCTTCTAACTCTATCATTCCCCTCATTAAAGAAGTACATTTAACTCTCATTAGAATAAGTACATGGATAAAGATGAAGACAATCCTTAACAGCTTCTTGCTGATGGAGGGTGCTGTCTTGGGAAAATGGCAGTCAGAGCTCCTTCAGAAGCCTATCTAAGAGTCCCCAGAAAAAAGGGGCCATCACTGAAGGCTTTCTTGCATGGTTGTTTGGAGTTTGATGGCCTGAAGGCAAGAAGAGACAAACCAGGTTATTAGAAAACATGTATCAAAACAAAACGAGGGGTGGGGCATAAGAACAGCTCAAAAATCCTGAGGTCTTTTACCAGTGTGTACAGGAAGATGGAGGCCAAAAGCCTGACTTATACCCTTTTACCCTTTTGCTGGCATTTCAGGCTTCTGGGCTCTTTTCCCCCAAGCACAATTCTAAGCCAACAAGTTTAAGGTTGGAAAATTAACTTTTCCCAGTTTGAAGGATGAATCCGAGAGGAGTGTCCTGTAGTACAGAGACACAATTACCTATTAGTAAAGAGAGGACAGAGGAGGAAAATGGGGGAAAAAAAACCCACAATTTTTTCAAGGAGTTCCAAGGGTTCAGGATGCATTTGAAAGGAGTACTGACTGAAGATAAATGTCTACTCATCTAGAATGAGGAGATTAGGCACCCTTGGTTCCTTTCTCTTCCTAGCAAATACCCAGGGTACATGAGGAAGAAAATACTAAGTGTCTCTTTCTTTGTTCCATCCTTATATCCTCGAGTTCCAGAGTATTGTTTGCAAAATACAATTTATTCTTATACTTGGCCTGATTATTTGCATAAAGTGCAGCAAGAATAATTATTTTTACATATTTGTAAAAGATGTAAAATATTTTTGATTGACTTTGAGAGAACTCTGTTCCACAAGGAATCTCAGATAGGACTGATCAGCAATATTTTCAGCAAAAGTTAATAAAAGTTTATTTTACCTTTTTATTACATTAGTTCATCTTATTCAGTTAACTCTTGTTTTGTTTGATATTCATGAACATTTCAGCTCTTTATGAGATCTGTATATTTTTCCTTGATTCCAATGTCAAAATTTCCAAGGTTATCAGAAATCTGCATTTGAGAGTGCCTATCAAAGTTCTATAGCTGATTAGAAACCATCTTTGAAGAGGGCCAAAACAAGACAACAATTATCTGTGAATAAAAAAATGTCCAGGGTAGTTACAGTTAAAACACGATTGGCAAAAAAATTTGGTCATCTCTGTGGTTTACAATAACTTAACATAACAGCTTTATATGATTGATAGCATATACTCACACAATAGAATTTTAGAAATCCCATAGAATTTTGGGACTTGTATTAATATTCTTCCCTAAAGTATAAACTGAAGAAGATTAAACATTATTTTAGCAATCCCATGTACTTAAACACATCTGGTAATCCTGTTTACCTCTCTTCTAGATGCTCCAGGGCCCCACTGCAGCATCAAAAGCTAGGGGTCAGGAAAGACGATTTTTGAAGCTGATGTTTGATTTTTGGGAGCCTGTTAAATGTTAGACGTTTAAAACACTTGATGTTATGAAATAGAATTTCAGATTACCGTAAGTTATTTATTCTGCTGAAATGATGACTCAAAAACTTTTAAAAAGCAAAAACATCTCATAACCCTTTACAATTTTGCTAAAGAGCAGATTAATTTCTTAATAGAACCTTGTTATGCTTTTATTTCAATGTTCAATTTATGTAAAACCATGTAATACTCTTTTGACTTTAGTCAATATGTTCATACAAGGAATTTCTTTGCAAGATTAATTTTTACAATCTTTCCACAACATTTTAAAACTTTTAGCTTTATCTTATCTAATTCAAAACAATCTTTTATCCCAAGGCAAAAATCTATATTTTGACAACATCAGCATTTTACCAACAATCTTTAAGGCTATTTTTTTTTCAAAGATTAAAGTCATGTGCATTAAAATGTATCACAGCTTTTATCTTCCCTTTAAAACATATTTGATACAAGCGCTTGTATTTCTTTAAGTCAATTAATTAGGGCTCTTTTTATAGACACTACACACAACATACATATAACTAGACAATTAGGAGTTCCAGCAGCTAAAAGATTTTTCATTTGCCAATCTCCTAATTAGGTTATTGGCCTCTGGGTGGAGCCCTGTAAGAGCAAATTTAGGAAAGCATGCTGTTTCCAGGGCCCAATCAACAGTTATAGCTGGAAGACAAAAACAGATTTTGAGAGGGATCCATCTGCCTCTAATTCCTGGGGGTCCATGAGGAAATCAGAAGTCTCTCCCAAAATTGAATCTGTGATACCTTTTCTGCTTTTTCTAAGGAGTCCCAGGCCATCAGAAAATATCTTAGGGCCTCTCCTGTGTGCATTAATAGTGGCAAGGCAAAATGAGAAAAAATAATTTAGTTGACTGAGAAAAAAAACAAAAACAAAAAACTTTTTCCAGCAAAACAAGATTCAAAAAGAAAAAAACATAATGGCTCTTTAAATATAATCTGGATATTGATATGGTTTTGTTGTGCCCCCACCCAAATCTCACCTTGACTTGTTGATTTTGTGTCTGAAAGATTTGTCCAGTGCTGAAGGTGGGGAGATGAAGTCTCCAGCTATCGCTGTATTGGAGCTAATCTCTTTCTTTCTTCGTTTTTTTTTTTTTTTTTTTTTTTTTTTTTTTTTTTTTTTGAGATGGAGTCTAGCTCTGTTGCCCAGGCTGGAGTGCAGTGGCATGATCTCAGCTCACTGCAAGCTCTGCCTCCTAGGTTTAGCCATTCTCTTGCCTCAGCCTCCTGAGTAGCTGGGACTACAGGCACCCGGCACCACACCCGGCTAATTTTTTGTATTTTTTGTAGAGATGGGGTTTCACCACATTAGCCAGGATGGTCTCGATCTCCTGACCTTGTGACCTGCCTGCCTCAGCCTCCCAAAGTGCTGGGATTACAGGCATGAGCCACCGTGCCCGGCCTCTTTCTTTAGCTTTCATAACATTTCCTTTATCTATCTGGGTGCTCCTGTGTTAGATGTATGAGTATTTAAAATTATTATATCCTCTTGCTGAATTGACCCCTTTAACATTCTGTAGTGAAATTTTTTGTATCTTCTCATAAATCTTGCCTCAAAATCTGTTTTGTTTGACATAAGTATAGTGACTTCTGCTCCTTTGTGTTTCCATTGGCATGGAATACCTTTTTCCATCATTTTATTTTAAATCTATGTGTGTCTTTATAGATCAAGTGTGTTTCTTGTAGGCAACAGTTCAATGGGCTTTGCTTTGTCATCCATTCAGCCAGTCTTTGTCTTTTGTCTGGAGAGTTTAGTTCATTTACATTTAATGTTAGTATTGATAAGTAGAGACTTAACCCTGATATTTTGTAATTTGTTTTCTGGTTGTTTTATGGTATTCTCTTCCTTCTTTTTTTTTTATTCTGTCTTCTTTGAATGAAGATTATTTTCTCTGGTACTATGATTTAGTTTTTTGCTTTTTATTTTTTATGTATACACTGTATGTTTTTTGGTTGGAGCTTACCACAAAGCTTTCAAATACTAGCTTATAACTCATTATTTTAATTTGATAACAACTTAACACTATTTGCATAAACAAGCAAAAAGAAAACTAATAAAAATCAACTTTATTTCTCCACTTTTTAACTTTTGTTGTTTGTATTTATGTCTTATTGTGCTGATTGTCTCTTGAAATTTTTTTGTAGTCATTATTGTTGATTGGCTCATTGTTTAGTCTTTATTCTTAGGATAAGAGTAGTTTACCCACCACAGTTACAGTGTTATAATATTCTGTGTTTATCTGTGTGCTTACTATTACCAGTAAGTTTTTTACCCTCAGGTAATTACTTATTGTTCATTAATATGATTAATGTCCTTTTCTTTCTGATTGAAGCACTCTCTTTAGCATTTTTAGTAGTATGTGTTTGGTATTGATGAAATCCCTCAGCTTTTGTTTGGAAGTCTTTATTTCTCCTTCTTGTTTGAAAGATATGTTTGCTGCATATATATTCTAGGGTAATTTTTTTTTTCCTTCAGCACTTTAAATATTCCACACCACTCTCTCCAGGCCCATAAAGTTTTCACTGGAGAGTCTTCTGCCAAACGTACTGAAGCTCCATTGTATGTTATTTTGTTCTTTTCTTTTGCTACTTTTAAGACCCTTTCTTTATCTTTGACTTTTGGGAGTTAAAATACCTTGAGGAAATCTTCTTTAGGTTAAATCTGCTCAGTGTTCTATAATCTTGTATTTGGATATTTATCTCTATCTCTAAGTTTGGGAAGTTGTTATCCCTTTGAATGAACTGTGGCCTCTTTAAGGCCAATAACTCTTAGAGTTGCCCTTTTTTGGCTATTTCCTAGATCCCATAGGCTTGCTTCTTTTTTTTATTTTTTATTTTTTGTCCTCTGACTGTGTATTTCAAAAGGCCTGTCTTCAAGCTCACTATTTTTTTCTTTTGCTTAATTCATTCTGCTATTAAACAACTCTGATGCAGTTTTTAGTATGCCAGTTGCATTTTTCAGCTCCAGGATTTCTGCTTCTTTTTAATTATGCCAATCTCTTTGTTAAAAGTACCTGATATAATTCTGAATTTCTTCTCTGTGTTATTTTGAATTTGTTTTAGTTTAATCAACACAGCAATTTTGAATTCTGTGTCTCAAAGGTCATATATCTCTGTTTCTCCAGGATTCATTCCAGATGCTTTATTTAGTTCATTTGATGAGTCCATGTTTTCCTGGATGGTGTTGATGCTAGTAGATGTTCTTCAGTGTGTGGGCATTGAAGAGTCAGGTATTTATGTAGTCTTCACTGGAAGGCTGTCCAGATATTTGAAAGGACTTGGGTGTTGAAATCTAGGCTGTTTCCACTTTAGAGAGTACCTGAAACTCAGTAACATGGTGGTTCTTGCAAACTTGTAGAGGTACAGTCTTGATGGTCTTGGACAAAATCCAGGAGAATTCTCTGGGTTAACAGGCATAGACTCTTGTTCTCTCCTCTTACTTTCTCACAAACATACAGAGTCTCTGTCTGAGCCACCTAAAACTTGGGGTGGAATGACACAAGCAGGCCTGTGGCCATCATTACTATGTCTGTGTTGGGTTGGACCTAAAGCTGTAATAGCACTAGGTGTCACTCAAGTCCCCTTTACTTTTCTCTCTGCTTTTCTCAGGCAGGAGTTTTGCCCCATAGCAATCACAGCTGGTTATATCCTGAGTCTCACCTGAAGCCAGCAAGCGTCAGAGACTCATGAGGTCCTTGGTGTAGTAGCTGGGTATAGTTGCTGGTTATTCAGGGCCAAGAGGCTCTTCAGTTAGCAGATGATGAATGCTGGCCGAGCTAGGTCCTTTCCTTTGAGGTAGCTGATTTCCTTCTATCCCAGAGCGTGTCTAGAAATATCATCTGTGGGTTAGGGGCTGGAACAGGGGCCTCTTGACTCTGATCAGTGCCGTATCCTACTGTAGCTGAGCTGTTTTCTAAAATGCAAGGCAGAGTCCTCCCCACTCTTTCCTCTCTTCTCCTCAAGCAGAATGAAGGGATATCTTTTGGAGCCCTAAGCTGTGAAGCCTGGGGTTAGAGGAGGAGTGATGACAGCACTCCCTTGGCTGCCCTTGGCTGTAACATGCCTCCCCTAGTCCACAGCCTCTGGACCTAGCTCAGACATAAGACTTTCCTATGAGCTATGGTTCTTATGGCCTAGATTACCTTTCAGGTTTACTTAGAGACCAATAGTACTTTGGTTGGTGAGGTTTGCAGGCACTCAAGTTCAAAATGCTAGATTTTGCAATTCCCTTCTGGCTAGGGCTGGTTTACATGCTCCCTCCATGGGCATGCAACAGCTGAATTTTGTCTGGCTTGCCTTTCTGCTCTAACGGAATAGCACTGAGTTTAATGCCTCACAACTGGTGTGTTCTCTCTTTCTAAGCATCAGAGAAGCTCTCTGTACCATGTCTTTGCTGCCAGGGGTGGAAGGCGGGTGGTGGCAGTGATTCAAGACTGTTTTTTCTATATCTTTAGTGCCTCTCTCAGCAGTATGAAGTTAAAACCAGATACTGTGAGTGCTCACCTGATTTTTGGTTGTTATAAAGGTATTTTTTTTCCATGTAGATAGTTGTTAACTTGGTGTTCTTGTTGGAAGTGTGGGTGATTGGTGGAGCTTTCTACTCTGCAATCTTCCTCTGTCTCTTTATATATTTATTTTTCTTAATAAATGGGTAGAATAATTTTTTTCCAGGTTGACAGTAATTTTTTTTTTTTTTTTGCCAGATTGTAAGTTTGTCACATGAAATTACCCCAGGAACCAATAAAACAAATGTCCGTGTTTTAACAGTCCTTGAGATCCACATCTCAGGCAACAGAGTTTATTTAGTTGGCTAAAGCAGGCAAATTCACCTAAGCATAGCTGTAGAGATTCATTTGGCTCTGAATTGAGATCCAAGGCCCTTTCACTGCAATCCAAAAAGAGTTTTTTGTCTCCAATTAAACTAATATTTTTCTTCTTATTAGAAAAACATGTTTTCTGTTTTTATGAACATTCTGAAACATCATTAGACCCTTAAGAACTCAAGCTATGTCTGCACTTCATCCAAAAAACTAAACAACATTTTAATTTTACAGGAATTATTTTCAGCAGAATTTTAATTTTGCTTATTAATTTCTTAGTTTCTCCTACATTTTGAATAACTTATTTTAAATTCTTTTCAGGATTCTCACTCTGGTAAGGAGAAAACTATCGAGTTCAGATTCTACATGAAGAAGCCCTGAACTCAGCAAGTCATCACATAAAAATGTTAAGAGGTCTATGTCTCACAAAAAAATTCAAGCCCAAGCTGGACTGAGGGTAAATTAGCTCAAACTCAGAAAGAATTCAGCTCAACAGCTAATAGGATTAAGGCAATTATCCCCAAGTCTAGATGTCTAGCAGAGGCCAATAATCCACCATATTAGAAGATAGCCATATCTGGAACTTACATGATTTTTATTTAACCATTGCCATTCTGGTTCTGGCCATGATGGAGAAGCTAGTATCAGATTTCACTCCCATAATAAACAAATATAAAAATGACCAATACATATGAAGCAACTATTTTCAGACTTCAACAGTGATAAACATAGGACTGTGCTCATTGAGAAATGATAAACACAAGTCCCACTTTTACCAATTTTATTCTTAAGACATTTGCATAAGTGTATCACAGAGAAGTGGAGTCAAAGTAGGAAGCAGCAATTTTGATATTGGAAGAAAAATGGATTAGAGTTTAAAGACACCAGCACAGAAAGAAAGCCCTAAACTTAGGAGGTGAGCAGCAGAGAAAGTCCTAAACTTTTTTGTAGGGTTTTTTCCTTAGGTCGCTGTCCAATTTTTAAGATGCATACGCAGCTGGCAAGGCTTTTGGAGGTTTGGTATTGAACAGCTTCTGCATTCACTCACTGCTAGGAAACCCTGAATTTCTGACTTAGCCAAGGTTCAAAGACCATACAAGTGTCAGGCATGTATTTAAGACCACTGATATGGTTTGGTTGTGTCCCCACTCAAATCTCACCTTGAATTGTAATAATCTTTATGTGTCAAGGGCAGGGACAGGTGGAGATAACTGAATCATGAGGGTGGTTCCCCCATACTGTTCTTATGGTAGTGAATAAGTCTCAGGGTATCTGTTGGTTTTACAAATGAGAGGTCCCCTACACAAGCTCTCTGGCCCACCACCATGTAAGAAGTCCCTTTGCTCTTCCTTCATCTTCCTCAATGATTGTGAGGCCTCCGTAGCCATGTGGAGTTGTGAGTCCATTAAACGTCTTTCCTTTATAGATTACCCAGTCTCGGGTATGTCTTCATTAGCAGCATGAGAACAAACTAATACTTTTAATTAAGCTGAGCACTCTTTAAGAAAATCCTTTTAAATTCCTTATTACCCAATTTCAGCCATGACAAGTGGCCAATATTTCTGGCTTTCTTTTTTTTTAAATTTAATTTTATTTATTTATTATTATTATACTTTAAGTTTTAGGGTACATGTGCACAATGTGCAGGTTAGTTACATAAGTACACATGTGCCATGCTGGTGTGCTGCACCCACTAACTCATCATCTAGCATTAGGTATATCTCCCAATGCTATCCCTCCCCCCTCCCCCGACCCCACAACAGTCCCCAGAGTGTGATGTTCCCCTTCCTGTGTCCACGTGTTCTCATTGTTCAATTCCCACCTATGAGTGAGAATATGCGGTGTTTGGTTTTTTGTTCTTGCGATAGTTTACTGAGAATGATGATTTCCAATTTCATCCATGTCCCTACAAAGGACATGAACTCATCCTTTTTTATGGCAGCATAGTATTCCATGGTGTATATGTGCCACATTTTCTTAATCCAGTCTATCATTGTTGGACATTTGGGTTGGTTCCAAGTCTTTGCTATTGTGAATAATGCCGCAATAAACATACGTGTGCATGTGTCTTTAAAGCAGCATGATTTACAGTCCTTTGGGTATATACCCAGTAATGGGATGGCTGGGTCAAATGGTATTTCTAGTTCTAGATCCCTGAGGAATCGCCACACTGACTTCCACAATGGTTGAACTAGTTTACAGTCCCACCAACAGTGTAAAAGTGTTCCTATTTCTCCACATCCTCTCCAGCACCTGTTGTTTCCTGACTTTTTAATGATTGCCATTCTAACTGGTGTGAGATGGTATCTCATTGTGGTTTTGATTTGCATTTCTCTGATGGCCAGTGATGGTGAGCATTTTTTCATGTGTTTTTTGGCAGCATAAATGTCTTCTTTTGAGAAGTGTCTGTTCATGTCCTTCACCCACTTTTTGATGGGGTTGTTTGTTTTTTTCTTGTAAATTTGTTTGAGTGCATTGTAGATTCTGGATATTAGCCCTTTGTCAGATGAGTAGGTTGTGAAAATTTTCTCCCATTTTGTAGGTTGCCTGTTCACTCTGATGGTAGTTTGTTTTGCTGGGCAGAAGCTCTTTAGTTTAATTAGATCTCATTTGTCAATTTTGGTTTTGTTGCCATTGCTTTTGGTGTTTTAGACATGAAGTCCTTGCCCATGCCTATGTCCAGAATGGTAATGCCTAGGTTTTCCTCTAGGGTTTTTATGGTTTTAGGTCTAACGTTTAAGTCTTTAATCCATCTTGAATTAATTTTTGTATAAGGTGTAAGGAAGGGATCCAGTTTCAGCTTTCTACATATAGCTAGCCAGTTTTCCCAGCACCATTTATGGAACAGGGAATCCTCTCGCCATTGCTTATTTTTCTCAGGTTTGTCAAAGATCAGATAGTTGTAGATATGCGGCATTATTTCTGAGGGCTCTGTTCTGTTCCATTGATCTATATCTCTGTTTTGGTACCAGTACCATGCTGTTTTGGTTACTGTAGCCTTGTAGTATAGTTTGAAGTCAGGTAGCGTGATGCCTCCAGCTTTGTTCTTTTGGCTTAGGATTGACTTGGCGATGCGGGCTCTTTTTTGGTTCCATATGAACTTTAAAGTAGTTTTTTCCAATTCTGTGAAGAAAGTCATTGGTAGCTTGATGGAGATGGCATTGAATCTATATATTACCTTGGGCAGTATGGCCATTTTCACGATATTGATTCTTCCTACCCATGAGCATGGAATGTTCTTCCATTTGTTTGTTTCTTCTTTTATTTCACTGAGCAGTGGTTTGTAGTTCTCCTTGAAGAGGTCCTTCGTGTCCCTTGTAAGTTGGATTCCTAGGTATTTTATTCTCTTTGAAGCAATTGTGAATGGGATTTCACTCATGATTTGGCTCTCTGTTTGTCTGTTGTTGGTGTATAAGAATGCTTGTGATTTTTGTACATTGATTTTATATCCTGAGACTTTGCTGAAGTTGCTTATCAGCTTAAGGAGATTTTGGGCTGAGACAATGGGGTTTTCTAGATATTCAATCATGTCATCTGAAAACGGGGACAATTTGACTTCCTCTTTTCCTAATTGAATACCATTTATTTCCTTCTCCTGCCTAATTGCCCTGGCCAGAACTTCCAACACTATGTTGAATAGGAGTGGTGAGAGAGGGCATCCCTGTCTTGTGCCAGTTTTCAAAGGGAATGCTTCCAGTTTGTGGCCATTCAGTATGATATTGGCTGTGGGTTTGTCATAGATAGCTCTTATTATTTTGAAATACGTCCCATCAATACCTAATTCATTGAGAGTTTTTAGCATGAAGGGTTGTTGAATTTTGTCAAAGGCCTTTTCTGCATCTATTGAGATAATCATGTGGTTTTTGTCTTTGGTTCTGTTTATATGCTGGATTATGTTTATTGATTTGCATATATTGAACCAGCCTTGCATCCCAGGGATGAAGCCCACTTGATCATGGTGGATAAGCTTTTTGATGTGCTGCTGGATTCGGTTTGCCAGTATTTTATTGAGGATTTTTGCATCAATATTCATCAAGGATATTGGTCTAAAATTCTCTTTTTTGGTTGTGTCTCTGCCCGGCTTTGGTATCAGGATGATGCTGGCCTCATTAAATGAGTTAGGGAGGATTCTCTCTTTTTCTATTGATTGGAATAGTTTCAGAAGGAATGGTACCAGTTCCTCCTTGTACCTCTGTTAGAATTCGTCTGTAAATCCATCTGGTCCTGGACTCTTTTTGGTTGGTAAGCTATTGATTATTGCCACAATTTCAGATCCTGTTATTGGTCTATTCAGAGATTCAACTTCTTCCTGGTTTAGTCTTGGGAGAGTGTATGTGTTGAGGAATTTATTTATTTCTTCTAGATTTTCTAGTTTATTTGCATAGAGGTGTTTGTAGTATTCTCTGATGGTAGTTTGTATTTCTGTGGGATCGGTGGTGATATCCACTTTATCATTTTTTATTGTGTCTATTTGATTCTTCACTCTTTTTTTCTTTATTAGTCTTGCTAGCGGTCTGTCAATTTTGTTGATCCTTTCAAAAAACCAGCTCCTGGATTCATTAATTTTTTGAAGGGTTTTTTGTGTCTCTATTTCCTTCAGTTCTGCTCTGATTTTAGTTATTTCTTGCCTTCTGCTAGCTTTTGAATGTGTTTGCTCTTGCTTTTCTAGCTCTTTTAATTGTGATGTTAGGGTGTCAATTTTAGATCTTTCCTGCTTTCTCTTGTGGGCATTTAGTGCTATAAATTTCCCTCTACACACTGCTTTGAACGCATCCCAGAGATTCTGGTATGTTGTGTCTTTGTTCTCGTTGGTTTCAAAGAACATCTTTATTTCTGCCTTCATTTCATTATGTACCCAGTAGTCATTCAGGAGCAGGTTGTTCAGTTTCCATGTAGTTGAGCGGTTTTGAGTGAGATTCTTAATCCTGAGTTCTAGTTTGATTGCACTGTGGTCTGAGAGATAGTTTGTTATAATTTCTGTTGTTTTACATTTGCTGAGGAGAGCTTTACTTCCAAGTATGTGGTCAATTTTGGAATAGGTGTGGTGTGGTGCTGAAAAAAATGTATATTCTGTTGATTTGGGGTGGAGAGTTCTGTAGATGTCTATTAGGTCTGCTTGGTGCAGAGCTGAGTTCAATTCCTGGGTATCCTTGTTAACTTTCTGTCTCATTGATCTGTCTAATGTTGACAGTGGGGTGTTAAAGTTTCCCATTATTAATGTGTGGGAGTGTAAGTCTCTTTGTAGGTCACTCAGGACTTGCTTTATGAATCTGGGTGCTCCTGTATTGGGTGCATATATATTTAGGATAGTTAGCTCTTCTTGTTGAATTGATCCCTTTACCATTAAGTAATGGCCTTCTTTGTCTCTTTTGATCTTTGTTGGTTTAAAGTCTGTTTTATCAGAGACTAGGATTGCAACCCCTGCCTTTTTTTGTTTTCCATTTGCTTGGTAGATCTTCCTCCATCCTTTTATTTTGAGCCTATGTGTGTCTCTGCACATGAGATGGGTTTCCTGAATACAGCACACTGATGGGTCTTGACTCTTTATCCAATTTGCCAGTCTGTGTCTTTTAATTGGAGCATTTAGTCCATTCACATTTAAAGTTAATATGGTTATGTATGAATTTGATCCTGTCATTATGATGTTAGCTTGTTATTTTGCTCGTTAGTTGATACAGTTTCTTCCTAGTCTCGATGGTCTTTACATTTTGGCATGATTTTGCAGCGGCTGGTACCGGTTGTTCCTTTCCATGTTTAGCACTTCCTTCAGGAGCTCTTTTAGGGCAGGCCCGGTGGTGACAAAATCTCTCAGCATTTGCTTGTCTGTGAAGTATTTTATTTCTCCTTCACTTATGAAGCTTAGTTTGGCTGGATATGAAATTCTGGATTGAAAATTCTTTTCTTTAAGAATGTTGAATATTGGCCCCCATGCTCTTCTGGCTTGTAGAGTTTCTGCCGAGAGATCCGCTGTTAGTCTGATGGGCTTCCCTTTGAGGGTAACCTGACCTTTCTCTCTGGCTGCCCTTAACATTTTTTCCTTCATTTCAACTTTGGTGAATCTGACAATTATGTGTCTTGGAGTTGCTCTTCTCAAGGAGTATCTTTGTGGCGTTCTCTGTATTTCCTGAATCTGAATGTTGGCCTGCCTTGCTAGATTGGGGAAGTTCTCCTGGATAATATCCTGCAGAATGTTTTCCAACTTGTTTCCATTCTCCCTGTCACTTTCAGGTACACCAATCAGACGTAGATTTGGTCTTTTCACATAGTCCCATATTTCTTGGAGGCTTTGCTCATTTCTTTTTATTCTTTTTTCTCTAAACTTCCCTTCTCGCTTCATTTCATTCATTTCATCTTCCATCACTGATACCCTTTCTTCCAGTTGATCACATCGGTTCCTGAGGCTTCTGCATTCTTCACGTAGTTCTCCAGCCTTGGTTTTCAGCCCCATCAGCTCCTTTAAGCACTTCTCTGTATTGGTTATTCTAGTTATACCTTCTTCTAAATTTTTTTCAAAGTTTTCAACTTCTTTGCCTTTGGTTTGAATGTCCTCCCATAGCTCGGAGTAATTTGATCATCTGAAGACTTCTCTCAGCTCGTCAAAATCATTCTCTGTCCAGCTTTGTTCTGTTGCTGGTGAGGAACTGCATTCTTTTGGAGGAGGAGAGGCGCTCTGCTTTTCAGAGTTTCCAGTTTTTCTGCTCTGTTTTTTCCCCATCTTTGTGGTTTTATCTACTTTTGGTCTTTGATGATGGTAATGTACAGATGGGTTTTTGGTGTGGATGTCCTTTCTGTTTGTTAGTTTTCCTTCTAACAGACAGGACCCTCAGCTGCAGGTCTGTTGGAGTACCCAGCCGTGTGAGCTGTCAGTCTGCCGCTGCTGGGGGTGCCTCCCAGTTACGCTGCTCGGGGGTCAGGGGTCAGGGACCCACTTGAGGAGGCAGTCTCAGATCTCCAGCTGCATGCTGGGAGAACCACTGCTCTCTTCACAGCTGTCAGACAGGGACATTTAAGTCTGCAGAGGTTACTGCTGTGTTTCTGTTTGTCTGTGCCCTGCCCCCAGAGGTGGAGCCTACAGAGGCAGGCAGGCCTCCTTGAGCTGTGGAGGGCTCCACCCAGTTCCAGCTTCCCCACTGCTTTGTTTACCTAAGCAAGCCTGGGCAATGGCGGGCGCCCCTCCCCCAGCCTAGCTGCTGCCTTGCAGTTTGATCTCAGACTGCTGTACTAGCAGTCAGCGAGACTCTGTGGGCGTAGGACCCTCCGAGCCAGGTGCGGGATGTAATCTCCTGGTGCGCCGTTTTTTAAGCCCGTCGGAAAAGCGCAGTATTCGGGTGGGAGTGACCTGATTTTCCAGGTGCCCTCTGTCACCCCTTTCTTTGACTGGGAAAGGGAACTCCCTGACCCCTTGCGCTTCCCGAGTGAGGCAATGCCTCGCCCTGCCTTGGCTCGCACACGGTGCACGCACCCACTGACCTGCGCCCACTGTCTGGCACTCCCTAGTGAGGTGAACCCGGTACCTCAGATGGAAATGCAGAAATCCCCCGTCTTCTGTGTCACTCACGCTGGGAGCTGTAGACCGGAGCTGTTCCTATTCGGCCATCCATCAATATTTCTGGCTTTCAAGGTTTACTAAAGGTAACTTCCCAGGTGCTGAGAGAAAAAAAAATTTAAGGCGGTTCATGGAGGGGAAGAGAGTCAACAAATGGTAAAGTTCACATAGATATCAAAACAGAAAGGACTCATTCCCTAAGCCAAGATTGAACCTGGGCCACCATTACAAAATGCAGGAGGCTAAAACAAAGCACTGCCACATGGTTACATGTCACACTTCCAAGGACATAAAACAAGATGTAGGTCTGCAGCAAAGTTTGCCATTGAACAGTTTGCTGGGCTGGCTTGAACAACAGGGTTATGGAGTCATAGGCCTACATTCCTTCCTAAGGTATCCCTCTTTCTGACAGAATCATACAGAAAGACACACAAAGCACACCAGATTGGCTGCAGCTTAAGACATACGTCACAAATCATTTTTTATAATTAAAACTTTACAGAGAATATAAACAGTGATAGTTGGGGTCCTGGCCTACTAATACATCTTCTAAAAGGAAAAAAGAAAAAGGCCTCTCACATAAAAGTTAATTCCTGGTCTAGTGGGGAATAGAAAAAAAAAACCAGCTGAAATTGCAGGGCTGTGTTAACTGCTGACAGAGTGTAGAAAATAAAAAAACAACTTAAAGTGCAGGGCTGGAAAGATGTCTTGAGGAAGACCTTCCTATTCTTATGCAAATGAGCTTCTCCAAAAGGGAGAGAAAAGTTTAATTGCTGTTTCTTCCCTGGGGCTCCATCCAGCCAGACTCTTTGGCTGGGGAAGGGGGAGACACTGTGGACTCCTGGCAGGGAACACTGGCCAGCCTGCTGTATAGGGGGGCCTTGGGCCATGTGTCCCATCCCCAGCTGTGAGGGAAGGTGAGGTGAGCCACGGCTCTCCTGTTTGTCCCATGTGCACACCTATGGCCATTAGGGTAAAGATAAGATAGGTGCCATTACAGTCCCAAATAGAAGAAAAATATCATAGAAATGATGGAGTTTGAGCGAGGCCAACATTCCTAAATCCTGAGAGTTTTGGCAGGTTGCTGGGTGCAGTTTCCTCTATCCTCAGAAGAAGTCTGCTGACAAGAAAAAGCTCAAAAATGAAAGGGAAAGAGATTTTTTGGTCTGCATTTTACTCACATTTTCTCATATCCTTGTATGGCACCAAAATGATGCAGAATTTTTTGCTCCCTACGTCAGCTAAAATTTAGGTTCTTGTCTCAATACTAGGAAAACTTAGGCACATGGACACACTGAAAGGTGAGGAGAGTGGAATTTATTTTTAAAAAGCTCTCAGAAAACAAGAGTGGGGTCCTGCCAACAGGCTCCCACCTCAAAGACTGAATACTAGGCCATCACACATCAGCTGAAGAGATGAGGCTCCCCCCTACTGAATAAGGTATGACTTCCCAGTGGCTCCACCCCATTCTCCCAGTGTGCAGGTGGGCCCTTAGTCTCAGCCACTCCACATTGATTTATTTTTCTTACTACACATGTGTTAAGGGTGGAATTTTTCACCATAGGCATGTGTAGGCAAGCCACCAATGTACAATTACCTGGGCAGCATTTGGCTGTCTCCTGTCTTTACCAGCAACAGTGAGAATGAACACAGAAGGAACTACCAAATACTTATAAAATCATCAGATCTTGTGAGAACTCACCTGCTATCATAAGAATCGCATGGGGGAAACCACCCCTATGATTCAATCACCTCACCTGGTTTCTCCCTTGACATGTTGGGATTATGGGGATTATGGGAATTCAAGATGAGATTTGGGGTGGGGATAGAGCCAAGCCATATCATCAGTTATAATGATGATGAAACCAATTCTTTCTTTTCTAGGGGGACACAAATTCCACATTTGAAAGACACTATACCTACAGTAGGTAACAAGCACCTGAAGTTTAACTAGAAAAACTACTCTTTAATATGTGACATCAAAGGATAAGTAATCATGGAATCTTATTTTTTCTTCCTTAATGGAATATTGTATTGCTTATGTCCCTGCATAGATATGTCTGGGTATAATAGTGATTTGCATAAAGGTAAGAAAGTTGTGGAGAAGAAAAGAAAGTTTAAAACCATATCATGTGATTGTGGCCAGATGGGAAAGGAAGAAAATTGGAGAGAACAGTCAAAATTTTTGTTACGAGACAGGCCTCAGTAATAGAAAAAAAATTTTCTCCTTCCTTCTATATATTAGCTAGACACCAGTAAACTGAGGTCTGGAGGAAATACATTGTCATATTGCCACCCTAAAACATGTAAGAGAACCCAGAGCCCTCACCCTAGTCATCACATCACTCCCTGGTTAGACTGGAATCAGTTTAGCACCTGAAAGCATGGTTGTGTCCTGCTGCACATGGCAGGCCTCACCAAACATTCAAGAGCCTCACTAGCCATCCAACACAAGAGGCTGTATTAGAATTGCCAAGCTTTTCTGAGCATGGGTGAAGTGTCAGAAAACCACTTTCAAATAGAACTGGGAAAACTAGCCGTGATCCTGTGGAGAGGTCAGAAACATCTTAACAGAGTTAGATGTAAAGAGTGGTGTGGATTTATTTACACTTATTTATACCCAATAACATATAGATTTGAGAACTTTTAAACTATTCTGTACTTATTGTACATTTTCTTTAGAATTGTCACAACAGCACTGCAGGGTGATAATAGAATTGCCTTGTTTTTTTTCAGGTGAAAATAATAAAGCTTTGCAAGTGTAGGTAATATATCCAAAGACAGAGATAATAAGTAAATAGACCCCAACCCAAATTCAGATCTGCTACCTCCAAAAGCCATTTACATTTTACTGCGCTGTTCTGAGTTTACAAAAGCATTTTGTAAAATGAAAGGTGTTATGTGAGAGCAAATTATATTATTTCTCACATTTTAATATTTTATGGAAATTATTGATGAACATTTTTGGGTCTTAGTCACAAGGTGTGTCAATTATATATTTTTAAAATTACTTCTAAATATCCAATGATCTTCACTGATTCTCAAACATATGTACTGTTTACACTTGATCTTAGCCAAAAGGTCAAGAAGTGATAAATTCTTTATGTAATAATCATTAAAAGTTTACTTAATATAATATTTTATAGCTATAATTAAATATAGAATCCACATGTTTATATTCCTGGAGTTTGTCATTTTTATTGATGAAAACTATCTCACTTTAGTAAACTTTTCATCATAATGTAATAAAAGTCTTTATAGTTATTAAACATTTAGACATATTGTCTGGTTATCTGATTCTCTAAATACAGGTTGGAAGGTTTAATCGATTCTTTTTTGGAAGAGATAGGAGAATTAGGATAATTTCTTCCAGGAAAATAAATGGGATATGACTCTTTCTTTTTTTATTTTTATTTTTAAATTTTGAGACGGAGATTCACTCTTGTTGTCCAGGCTAGAGTGCAATGGTGCGATCTCAGCTCACTGCAACCTCTGCCTCCTTGGTTCAAGTGATTCTCCTGCCTCAGCCTCCTGAGTAGCTGGGATTACAGGCCTGGCCAATTTTGTATTTTTAGTAGAGACGGGGTTTCTGCATGTTGGTCAGGCTGGTCTCAAACTCCTGACCTCAGGCGATCCGCCCGCCTCTGCCTCCCAAAGCGCTAGGATTACAGGCATGAGCCACCGTGCCCACCTCGGATATGACTCTTTCTAGCTCTCTCTGAAAAGCCATGCACTTGTTCTACTTTTAGTATATTGGTATGCAGAATTGAAGTTACAATGTCACATATCTTATACAATGCCTAGTTAAGCATATATTAATTACATACTATTTGTTTTTGAAAATCAGTGTAGGCAATTGAAAGAATCCTTGCTCTGGAGCCAGAGCAGGCTTAAATTCTGCCTTTGCCACTACTGCATAAGACTATGGAAAACTAGTTTGTTTGTTTTTTCTGGGTCTCAGTTTTAGCTTTTCCTGGCTGAAAAAGTGAATAATAGTGCTCCCATGTGATAGTAATAAATGTTAGATTGATTTAATGAAATACATGTCAAACACCACGTTAATATTTGGACTTGCAGGTGACAATTAATAGCTGATTGCTGTCTTTAATATTGTTTTGTGAAGTTGGAAAATGCATTGGCAAATATATTTACAGAAGTCAATTTTTCATACTTCATATCAAAATCTAAATATTCCCAAAATCTTAGCTATATTGGGAGTCATGAGTAATCATGTGACTAATCATTTTATTTATAGTAAAAATATGTGCAAATTGGATAGAGAATATCTCATCTCTGGAAATAGAAGCCTCAGCAACTAGTCTGTCTGGTTGTAGTTGCTATTCAAAGGTTAGTCTCCATCATCATAGATCTCCAATGGAATAAAAAGGGTCTCTTTTTTCTTACAGCACTCATCTTTCTATATCCCTCTCTTTCAAATTATAGCCATGACTCTCAATGTTGAAGTAATTCAGAAGCAAGATAGTAATCAGTGAAATTTCATTAAACAAAGAATTCATAAAAATGTACCTGTTGCCCTAAGTGGCAGTTTAAATAACAACAAAGAGCAAAATGTAAAGAAATATAAAAATACATCTATTTTATATGCAGCTGTTTAATAACCCATACACTTAATGTATGTCAATAAAGTCAATGACAAAATGATTACTAATTCCTTTAAATTGAGTACATGTCTTTAAAAGGTAATATCTCAAACAATAAATCATAAAGCCAAATATACATAGGAAAACTTGTCAAACAAATTAAAAATAGGCTGGGCATTGTGGCTCATGCCTGTAATCCCAGCAGTTTGGGAGGCCAAGGCAGGTGAATCACCTGAGGTCAGGAATTCGAGACCAGCCTGGCCAACATAGTGAAACCCCACCTCTACTAAAAATGCAAAAATTTGCCAGCTATGGTGGTTCATGCCTGTAATCCCAGCTACTCAGGAGGCTGAGGCAGGAGAACTGCTTGAACTCAGGAGGCAGAGGTTGCAGGGAGCCGAGATTGTGCCACTGCACTCCAGCCTGGGCAACAGAGCAAGACTCCCTCTCAAAAAATAAATAAATAAATAAATAAATAAATAAATAAATAAATAAATAAATATTAACAGAAAAACTAGTACAAACAATGGGATTCCACTTTCCTTTCATCAGGTTTAATTAAAAATATTACATATATTTTTACTTATGTAGAATAATGGCAATGTGCATGATGGTTACTGGGACAGTCTGGAAAATACCAACCAGTTTTTATTCCAAGCTCTGTCACTTACTGGAACAGCTACTTAACATCTTTTTGCCTCAGTTTCCTCACCAGTTAAGTAAGGTGTAATATTTTGTTAAGTAATATTTTGTTTTACTGAATTATTGTAAGTATTAAATGAGTAATTATATTGGACGAGATTATAATAGCGGTTGGCATTCATTTCAATCTGCAAAGTGTTATTTTTCCCATTCTCTTCCTCTTCTTTCTTCATATGGGAGAGTAAATTGCCCAAACATTCTCGAAAACAATTATATTACAGAATATGTGAATATATTTATGTCCTGTGAATTTTGACATCTAAAATATCATCCTTAGTAACAATGATGATGATAAGTGCAATGATGAAAATAATATTGTACGAATAACAATATTGCCCTTATCATTTGTTGCATGCTTATTAAATATCATAGATAAACATCATCTAATTTTGCCATACAAGAGCTCAATGAAGAACATATTTCCATTCTTAGTTGAAGAAACTAAGATTTATGGTGTAAAAATCTTCCTTAAATTTACATGAAAAAGAGACATTTTGATTCAGGTCCATTGATCTAAATTACTGCACAGATTTTTGCGTCTTCAAATCTGTTCATTGCACTATTCTTAAGAAAAAGATGTGGAAAAAAATGTGTGAAAAACCTTAAAATGTCCAAAGATAAAAATATTTAAATAAATATTTTATACCAAGGTGCTTAGAACGATAACAATTAATAGGCAAGATATTCAAACTGTAGGAAAAATTAGACTTCAAAAGAGCGGAGTAGATGATCACGTTTTAAAGAGAAAAAATAGAGAAAACTGGGAGAAAATAATCTGATATATCAACATTAATTTTTTCTTGGTTATTTATAACTTTTTTCTTTTAGGTTATTGTAAGGTTCTCCACTCTTCTGTATTAGTCATATATTACCTTTGTACTTAAAGGGAAAAAAGATTTATTAAAATGTTGAGGGTTACACTTCTAAAATTAAATGAAGGACAATAAATATGCCAGTTATTTCTCAAGTATTTCAGAGATGATTGATTGTATTTCTATATATTTTTAACATTTTATAATTTACATATTTTATTTTTATATTAGATTTTTAGTTTTGTTTTGTTTTTTTGCCAGGCTTTGTGTAGTAACGTTAGGTGTTTTTATTTTTCTCTTTTAAATAAGATAACTAGATATAATAATTATTAGTTGAAATATGAAAAATCTAGCCTATTGGGAAAGTTTATAAAACTCTATATAATGTAAAATTGGTGAGAAAAATTGATTTCATGGGTTACAAATTGGAGTTGACAATTATATAGATTGTTTCTCCACCCTAAAAGATGAGAAAGTTTTTGCTCATTAATTTAAATATCTCTATCTCTATTTATGTTGTATACATATATAATTGTATATGTGTTTGTGTGTGTATGTCTATTAATACTGAAAAAGTTAAGTAAGATAATTATTAAAAAAATAAAATAATAGCTAGATGCTGCAATTCTAGAATGTCAAAGTAATGAGCTTAGTAGACCCTCTCTGCCTTAGTTTGGGGTGCTATAGATTTGTGCCTTAAACAGAAAACATGTATTTCCTACATTTCTGCAGACTGGAAGTCTGATATCAGGATGCCAGTATGGTTGGGTTCTGGTGAAGGCCCTCTTTCATATGGTGGACAGCCAGCTGTATCCTAATTTGGCAAAAAGAGGGTGAACTTTCTGGTCTTTTCTTATAAGGGCACTAATCCCATTTGTGAGGGCTCTACCCTCATGACCTAATTATCTCCCAAAGACCTCACCTCCAAATAGTATCACATTGAACATTCAGTTTCAACATATGAATTTTGAGGAAACAGAAACATTCAATTCATTCAAACATTTAACAATCCATTCAAATATATAACACTTCCTTTATGAAAACAACAATGTAAGTCCTGATAATTATTTTTTAAATTAACTGGAAATTGTCCTAAGAGCACACCAAAATGGAGAAATATTCTTTTAAGGAAATCTACTAAATCTTGGTAAAAACAGAGAATCTGTATTATTTGATACATGACCTGCCCTTTTACCTGCCTCTACCACTCCCCCCAAGCCAAGATCCATATAGGAGCTCGGCTGCAGGTGCTTTAACTCCTGGCAGGTGCACTCAATAAGACAAGGGCTCCCTGTCTCCTACTAGTCTCTTGTCTGAGCTATGATTTCATTCTCGAAGGGTCAGAATGCTGGAGTTTCTCATCCTCCTATGTGGCAGAAGCTCCATTCTAGGCAGGGCTGAGAAGAATGAGTCTCTTCCCGTACCCAGTCCCACTCATAGGTTAAAAGCTGTACTGGCACATTGGGGTGAAGAAGAAGTCCCAATTACCCTACTCTAGCATACTCATAGGGTAGAAGTTTCCACTCCAGGAAAGAGAAGCCAAGACCAGGGGCTGACACTTTTGCAGGCCAATATGCACCATATGTAAGGGCACTGTTAAAAACAATGGAGATGTTGGTGGAGCACAATTAAAAGGAAGCTAGTAGTTCCATGATACATCAATATCTGAAAGCAATCAGAAGTTTAATGGAGACTACCACGAAAATTGACAATCAGGAGAACTCTCCTGGGTCACAGGCAACTTCAGAGTGGTAGCAAGGACGGAGGAGGGAGGTAGGGGTGAGAGAATAGCTGTGTATATGCTCTACTAGGTGTTCGCTTACAAAAGCAATTATAGCAGGATGAAACTACTGACCTGAGAGCGTTCCTAAGTCACACAGACTCATCAACAGAGGGCAGCAGCCTTAAAGGCAAAAGGGGCCAGTTAAATACAACTTCTGACCAAATCCACAGAAAAGCAAGACAAGGGAACCAGGTCGATGAAAAAAAATATAAAAGTAACAGAAGACAAATGCCAAGTTCAAATACTAACGTATCACTTACCTTAAATGTGCATGGTCTAAATATACCATTTTAAAGGTTTAGATTGATGTAATAACATAACAGATAAATGACAAAACAAAACCAAAAAACACAATACAGCTATTTGCTCTTTACAAGTAACTCCCTTCAAATACAATCACATAAGTAAGGTGAAAGTAAAAGGATGGAAAGCGTGTGCCATGAAAAATTAAACAAGGACAAAAATAAGAGTGGCTACATTAATGTCAGAAAAAGTAGATTTCAGAGAAAATTACTAGACAAAAAGAACAATATTACACAATGATGAAATGATTAATTCACTCAAAAGACATAACAATTTAAAAGTGTATCCATTAAAAAGTCTCAAGATACATGAAACATACATTAGTAGAGCTGAAAGGATGCATAGACCAATTTCAGTTTATAATAAAGACCCCACCGGTACACTCTCAGCGACTGATACAACTACTAGCCAAAAAATCACCAAGGATATAGAAGATCTAAATAACTGAAGCAATTAATGATTTTGAATTGATGCATATAAACACTCCACAAAACAAGAGAAATACACTTTTTTTTCAAGCAACCATGGAACATACTTAAAATGCCAAAAGTGGAGAACAATGTAGTAGTTACCTGGACTAAAGGGCAGACGGGTGGTGGGAGGGAGGTGAAGGTGGCAATAAAGGGGCTACATGAAAGATCCTTATGGTGATGGAACTAACCTATATTTGGATGATATCAATTTCAATATACTCATTATAATATTGTACTACAGTTTTACAAGATGTTACTATTGGGCAAACTGGGCAACAAGTACATGGGAATGTTTGTATTATTTTTCACAATTATATGGGATCTATAATAATCTCAAAATGAAAAGTATAATTTAAAAATAAAGATGCGATAATTTGCTTTCTAAACTAGGAAGAGACTTATCACTCAAGAGATGTGTCTCCGAGAGCTGAAAGTGGGTTCTGGAAGGCTCATATATTTATATGTGCATGCTTAGGACATGACAAATATTTTATGTTACAGGGGTTTAAGTACTCAATCAAATAATGTGGTTTTTGTTGTAAGGGTTGTACATTAAAGAAATTCAGAAATTTTTCCCAGTATAGAAATGGGACAAGAATTCCTTATTGAGTCAGAAAAATGAATAAATAATCTAATATGGGAAAAGAAGGAAATAGTTACTTCTAGGATTTAAAAAAAGGCAAAACACCTTAACGGTCTTAAAATCAACTTTGATTTCGAAACTAATGATTGTGTTTGAAAGTTTGAGGGTAGAGCATTATTAATATACAACATTACTGATATGAAAGATAGCATATTGTAGAAATAGTGGCATAGATCTCAATTACGGGCATGTTTGTTTGGATTTTCTAGTTTTTGATGGCATGGTCTTAAACATGTAATTAAACCTCTCTAAGCTTCGGTTTCATACAGACAATAATACATCCATAACAGTGTTGTTTTGACCTGTATCCAGTCAGAAGAGCTAGGTACTTAGCCTGATTTTCTCTTAAGCTATAATATTTTATTTTGAACAAATTTTTCATCATTTAAATAGACACCAACTTACATTCAAACATTAGTATCAAATTCACTGTGTTAAATTGCAGTGGTTCTCAACCTGTCTGTACTCTAGAATCAACTAGAGAGCATACAAAAACAGTGACATATTGAACCAACTACAAAGATTATATTTTGACTATTCATGATGGAACTTGCAGGGTAGTATTTTATTTTTAAAGCTTGTCATTTAATGATAATGATTATTCAGAGCTGAGAAACGTTATGTTAACTTAGCTTTGTGGGATTATACTTTTCCATTGACTTTTGCTTGTCGATTCTTATGTATGTAATACCAATTAAAACACATAAAATACTCTAACAATCAATCTGTATGAAGAATATTGTAGTTTTCTGTGATAATTTTTTAGCACAAGAAGTTTAAGTATCAACAACTAGTTAAAATATTATTTCCTTCATATTGTTTCATACAGAAGATATAGCCTCAAATAGTTGGGCAAATAGTTGAGGAAATTAAATATATCACTTCGGAGTTTTACCTAAACTTGCTTCTCCTAATTTTTGCTGGAATATAGAGATGTTCTATTTTTTTACTACAAACTATATTATATTTCCAAGTTTTAGTGACTGCCTGGAAAATTGTTTCTCTTGAATGAGGCAAACGACTTTCTTTCATTTTATTTTTAAAAAATCTATAATATAAGGTTTTTAATGAGAAACTCAAACACACGTTGCCTGCAAACCAATACTAGACCAGACTCAACTAGACAGTCTGGCATATCTCATTCTGTCATATATGTCATATACAGATGTCTCCAACTTGCAATGGTCCAACTTATGATTTTTCAACTTTATTGATGGTGCAAAAGGAAAATTTTAATCTTTTCCAGAGCTAATGATATGCAGTACAATATTTTCTATGCTGGGCAGCCGCAGAAAGCCGCAACTCCAGTCAGCCAAATGATCACAGGATAAACAGCCAATACTCTATGGTGTACTGTGTTGCCAGAATTTTGTAGATATTGTGTTTTGTGATTTTGCATCTCATCATGTCTGCAAAATGACCATCTGTGCCTCATGCTACCAATGGAACGAAAAAGTGGAAGGAAGGCAATTACTCTTGAGTTGAAACTAAGGATAATTTCCCAGCATGCAGGCAGCAAGCCAGCAATGGCCATTGCCTGTGATTTAGGGCTTTTCCCAGTGCATGATCTTGACCATCTTAAGGGATAAGAAGCAGATCAGTGATGCAATGAAATTATTAACATTGGCTAAATCCACTGTCATCACAAATAAAAGAGCTGGGTCAATTGATAATATGAAAAAATTACTTTCAACGTGGATGGAAAACCAGATACAGAAGTTCATGCTGCTTAGCTTACTAACAGTCCAACCTAGGTCAAGAAATGTTTTCTGTATGGTACCTGAGCATGTCAATGATCCTACACATACAGAAATGTTTATAACAAGTCATAGGTGGTTCCAACACTTCAAAAGGCATCACATCATAATTTTCAAAATGTGGAGGTCAGCAGTGAGGCAGCAAATGCCAATACTAAAGGTGCTAAACCTTTTAGGGAGAGATATAAAATAGATGTGGGTGAGAAATATTTGTCAGAACAAATATTTAATGTTGATGAAACAAGCTTGTTCTGGAAATTTATGCTGGATTGTCCTTACATTCATCAAGAGTCTAAGACAATGACAGGATTCAAGGGATTCAGACTATATAAGGCTACTTTTGGGTGGAAATGTTTCAGAGTTCAAATTAAAGCCTTTCCTAATCTACAACTCAGAGAATTCTAGAGCATTCAAGAATGTGAACAAGCATATGTTTCTTGTTTATTATTGCCATAACAAGAAAGCCTGGATGGCATCTGCTTGTTTGAAGGGTGGTTTTTGAGCTGTTTTATTCTTTAGGCAAAAGAATATTGTGGGCAAAACAACATCTTCTTCAAGATTTCTCTGGTTTTAACAATGTCCCAGGGCATCCCTAGCATATAGGTGACTTGCATCCTGGTGGAAGGCTGTGTATTTGTAACTGAATATACCGCACTCATTTAACCAATGACCAAGGCACAATGGCTACATTCAAAGGATACTATTTACACCAAATACTTTTCACAAACTGTTGAAGCAACTGAATCTGGCTGAACACTTATAGAGTTTTGGAAACGTTTTGAACAATCTAAATGCTGTCCGAAACATTGCAGCAGCATGGAAATAAGTCAAACAGCAATGCATGAATGACATTTGGAAGAAAGCTTTGAGACATGTGGACACATCCAAAGGCTTCAACATAGATTCAGCTATTGATGAAATAGTATGTAACAAGATATTATTGCTTGTGAAACAGCTAGAACTGAACATTAATGAAGAAGTTATTCATGAACTTGTTGGCATTGATGCTGAAGAGTTTTCCAGTGAGGAGAAGATCAAACTGGAGAAAGTAAAGATGTTGAGACAAAGAAAGAAAAGGCATCAAGAAGTTCACAGTGAAGAAACTTGTGGAGGTGTTTGCTACTCTCGGCAATAGTACATGAATGTTAGCAAAAATGGACATCAATTCCAAGAAAGTTGCAAGAGCTGACAGGCAGAAACAGGATGCTCTTGCTTGCTATTGAGAAATATATAAAAATAAGAAGAAACAAACTCAACATCGAAACTTGCTATCCTCCTAAACAGCACTACACCTACTAAATTATCAAAAAGTGGAGATTCCCAGTGCCTTCTATCAGCTGTTCTTAAGATTCATTAGAACAGGGAAAAATTAATGAAGCTATTGCTGCAGGACCCCCACCATACAACATTTAATTTTAGTTCAATGCTTCAAACATTCTTTAGGTCTTGTGTGCTTTCAGCTGTGTATGCTAATGGTTAGTAACCAAAAAGACATTCTGATTCTCACTTTCATCATAGAGTCCAATAAATTGCAGGATACACATGTACTCAACATATTATTTTAAAATAGTTTTTTGTGTTGGGATGATTTTGGCCAAGTGTAGATTAATGTAAGTGTCCTGAGCATGTTTAAGCTATGCTGGGCTAAGCTATGATGTTTGGTTGGTTGGATATATTAAACTTATTTTTGTCTTACAGGATTTTCAATTTCTAATGCTTTTGGAAGATGTAATCCGTAGTAACTTGAGGAATATTTGTGTATAATTTTGCCTAGATTATTCATATATTTTCCTAGATAATTAAAATGTGACAACAGTGGTTATATTTTAGAGAAGCCTACATGTCATTATAGTATCATGGGTAGATATATACATTTCCCGCTTTTATAAAACTACATTTGAAGACACTCTCCATGTTTGCTAAAGTCATATACAAAAAAAAGGCATAATGAATGATGCCATAGTTTAGTTTGGAAGTGGGAAACATTACCTAAAATAATTTACTTTCATCTATAACATTCATCTAAGTTGATGTAATTTTTTTTTGCCATAGGTGCAAGGAAGTGCAAATTATAACACATGTAAAATTAGAAAATCTTTGCTACCATGAAATGTCTTTTCTTTTTTCCTTCCTTCCTTCTCTCTCTATCTCTCTCTTTCTTTCTTTCTCTCTTTCTTTCTTGTTTAGTTGATATTTTCTCACCTTAATATATACCTTCACTGGAATTAGCAGTCTCAGATTTTGTTCAAAGTTCTCAGGATTATATTAAAATTGTATGTGAATATATGTGATATTGTGTAAACAGGTCCATTCTTCATTTTAAGCTAAATTGTTAATTCTAGAGCTGATGTCCCTGTTGGCCAACACCCAGTTCTTGGTATCACCACTTGCTACCTCACTTCTCTTACTACCTAGTAGTTGTCAGATGAGTCATCATTATTCCAGATTTTGTTGCTTTTCCGCATGTTTATATGCTCCAATAGAAAATATACAGTGTTTTTGTGTGCATGTTTAAACATAAATAAAATACCATACCTAAGGTTCTTAAACTTTTTAAAAGCTTCTATACTATCTCAGGAGGGTCTGCTAAGAAAATCTATGTACCTCCAAAGTACTAAGCCTCTCTCTCTCTGTCTCTCTTTCCCTGCCACAGACACATTCATATGCATACACACACACACACACACGTATACACAGTACTATACAGCGTATTCAGTCACTATCATTTAAAAAGTCATTTAAGTCAACACATGTGTGAGTTTTATCTGTGGAAGACACAAAGAAATAGAATTTCTGGGTTATTGGAAATTCACGTTTTAATTTTACAGAACACTCAAATTTGTTCCAAATGGGCTTTTTTTTTTTAATTATACTTTAAGTTTTAGGGTACATGTGCACATTGTGCAGGTTAGTTACATATGTATACATGTGCCATGCTGGTGCGCTGCACCCACTAACTCGTCATCTAGCATTAGGTATATCTCCCAATGCTATCCTTCCCCCTCCCCCCTCCCCCCTCCCCCCTCCCCACCTCCTTGGATGAGATTCTAGCAGCTTCTAAGCTTTCCAAGGCCACACAGCTGTGTTACAATTGTTGTTTCACCCCTAAGGAAAATCTTCAACTTGCTATCCTTAAAGCTGTAGTCCCAGTGCCTTTTTGGAAGCAGTTTTTATTGTATTAGCTCAACGCTCTTTAGGGAGAACATGTTTTCTTCAAGTCTTATTTACGTCATGGTGAATTCTTTTGGAGATTCAACAGCGTTCCAGATGTTTCAGTGTAGCATTTATTATTTCTCCCAGAAGACAACTGGGACACAGAGTTTCACATGCTTTCAATTGCTTGGCAAGCCTGCAGTATACTCTGGGAACTTAAGAATTATCTTAGCCTGATAAGTGCATTTTTCTCATATTTTTTCCCCAGTAATACCCCTACCTCAAACTATGATGTAAATTTGCCATTAACTCCACATTGGTTCACTACTATATTTTGAATTAATAATGGCTTATAACCCAAAGTTAATAAAAAATTAGAGCAGGGTTATATTTGTCCTGGGCACTCTGAGAAGTTGAAACATTGTTTCTAGTTTTTCATATATATATATATATCATATATATATATATCATATATATATGATATATATATATCATATATATGATATATATATATCATATATATGATATATATATATCATATATATGATATATATATCATATATATATGAGATATATATATCATATATATGATATATAATATCATATATATATCATATATATATCATATATATGATATATAATATCATATATATATCATATATATGATATATAATATCATATATATATCATATATATGATATATAATATCATATATATATCATATATATGATATATAATATCATATATATACACACAATATATAGAATACATTTGTATGTACATATATATTTATATTTACATTCCTTTAGAATTTTTAATGCCAATTTTGGCACCTAAGGACTTTCATTAACTGCATTAACATGAGACTTCCTAACCTACAAAAATATTTTATTTTTGTAATGCTCTGCAGTGCTTTCCTCCACATACATTATAAAAAAGAGGAACATATGTCTTTCTGTTTATCTCTCTAGATGTGTGAAATACATTTTGTAAAATAATTCTTATCTTCTCAGCAGAATATATGTAAACCTCATAAAATATTGTTACATTATTATCTTCAGAATTGATGAGTAAATCTAGTTTTTACAGACCCAACATTAATATAATGGTAAAAACACTAACTGCCTTTTAGAAAATTATAGTTTCTTATTTAGAAGTAGATATGTAAAAATGAATTTGTTCTTATAAGTAAAATTATTAGTAGGTTAAATTCCTGGAGATTTCTTAAAAAAGTGAACAAAAATCTAATTCTCATTGGCAAAACTATTGACTCTAACTTGCATGGATAGTAGAGTAAAAGCCTGGCTTATTTGTAAAATCAGTAATAGTTTTTTATTGTATTCATCTTAATATATTCATGGATGTTTTCCCCCCAATAATATTTACATTGCCCTAACCACCACTACTTTACTAAATTTCTTTTTCTCACCAAACACATTATTCTTGTCAAGAGAAGCCCGCATGTAATATATTGTCAGTACATTTATCAATACAAATGCTTTAACAACAAATTACTTGGTTGGTTATATTCACTATTGTGAAAATTATTTTAAAACTTGAAATGAAAAGTTAATGTGCCCACTGGCATTTGACTTGGTGGGCTATTTTGAAGAAAAAATGTAAACAATTTTCCATGTCTTTTCCTCTCCCAAATATGTCAGAAATTAACTTATTAAAGAAAATTAGAAACTGGAAGATCCTGATTGCTCAAAATTCTTATTAGCCATGTGCTCTTGTGCTCTTCGCACAGAAGATTTAGAGTCAGATACTTTTTTGTGTTTTGAAATTGAACTACTAGGTCATGCTACGGTGCAAAGTATGCTGATTTGTAAATTAACAGGTAAGTGTTTACATTTTATTATAAGAGTATTCTGAAAATTCAATATCAAATGCAAAACTAATATATAATTATGAAATTTGGCATGCCAACAAGGGTACTATTTGTGGCAGAGAACAAATTTCTAAAAGATTATTTTCAAATTGAAACCATTGTTGGGTAGCTCAACTCCCTGTTGCATTTCTGCTTTTCCATTAAGCAGTCAGTGAAAAATATCTAGCTCCAGATCATTTAGTTTGAGCAACTTCATGAGGCACATAAAATATTCCATGAACTGCAGGACCCCCAGACTCATAAAAAAAAATCTGGATCATACTAATGAAGTGTACAAAACCATGAAAACTTACAAAATTGAAAAGAAAAAGTAATTTCAATTAATTAAAGATTGATTAATTTCAATCTTTAACACATACATTATCCACATCACTTTGTGTCCCAAAATTAAGATCATTCTGTTAATAATACTGAAATATTAATACTCATGTTTCTGAATCACACTCTATTGATTGACCTTTGAAGATGTTATTTGTGAGTCTGACATAATGCCTGATTCTGTTTGTTCACCTAGCTGACATCCATTCACACTTCAATACTTCAATATTCAAAATAAAGAGGTATCACCATAATAATTTTGTCTAGACTTGGCAAACGATAGTCTTCTGTGCATTTAGTTATCATCTGTCTTTAATATAACAAATACATGTCTTCAATATTGCAATGCTTTTAAATTAATAGAATGGTGTTTTTACTGATAAATGGATAACTTAGATCAAGTATGAATAAAACCACAAAATAGTTCAGTAGTTACCATGAGTGCTCAGTAAGAGAGAAAGTCAGATAAAGAGAGGGATTTTGGTTTGCACTTTGCATCGTGCTATGTGTGTCCAAATCCTCTGGCCAATAGTCAGTAGTGCAAATTTTCCAGCCAATAATCAGTAGCTGCTAAGCTCATTCTAACCTCTAAGTCCATACACTAATCTAACTTCTGATGTTCGCCCTTAGCCTGAGCCTTGTAGTCTAAAGGGACAGGAAACAGAGATTGGCTTTCTTCTCTGGTAGCAAAATCTGTGCCCTCTTTCTCCCTACATAGCCACTGCTCTGGCCTTAAATATCGAACATACATGCACATGTGAGCACATATGCATATAAACACATTCAAAGCCTCTTCCATCAGTTATATGTCTCATGCTCAGGGAACTGCATTACCAGTTACCTCACATCTCTCAGTTTTGTTAATTATTCTTCATCAAATTATGCTCCCTAGAAACTTCACTCTTAACCTGCCTAAATTTTACCAATCTAAGCAGACTTCAGCTTAGATAAGACTTCATCTAGAAAGTCTCTGCTAAACACTGAAGTGTAGATTAAATGTACCTCTAGTGTGCTCTCAAAGCACAGTTATTCCAGTTCACACCAGAACACAGATTGTTTTCTTGTCTGTATCTACCAAAAGACTCTCAGGCCTGGGAGTAGAGGAGCTATGTCTAGGTTAATTATTTCATAATAACAATAAAGATGATGAAATATGCTTTTTCCAGGGCCCCAGACCTCACATGGATTTAGTAATAAAATTCATTAAATGAATGAGCAAAGGACAAATTTGACCCTACTTATTTAGGGCTTTGTGAGACAAGACAGAAGTTCCTAAAGTTCTTTCCTTTAGTTACTAGAAGGACATAGTATAATCATATTAGTCATTCCCATTATAGTAAAAATGACTCATCTGTTTCAAATAAGTGAGAACTCATGTTGTATTAGTCTGTTCTCATGCTACTAATAAAAACATACCTGAGACTGGGTAATTTATAAAGGAAAGAGGTTTAATTGATTCACAGGTTCACATGGCTGTGGAGGCCTCACAATCATGGCAGAAGGCAAAGGAGGAGCAAAGTCATTTCTTACATGGCAGCAGGCAAGAGAGAGAGCATGTGCAGGGAAAATCCCCTTTATAAAATCATCAGATCTCTTGAGACTTATTCACTATCATGAGAACAGCATGGGAAAAACCTGCCTCCATGATTCAATTACCTCCCACAACGTGTGGGAATATGAGAGCTACAATTCAAGATGAGATTTGGGTGGGCAAACAGCCAAACCATATCACATGGCCATTCTCATCATTTTCCCTCCAATGATTGGTGTTCTTTTAATTCTTTTTTAAAAAATTTTATGTTACCTGTTAGAAGAGAATGCAACATTCTACTTCAAAACTGCATTACCACTTAGGGCTGTTGATTATTCAATGACTTCACCTCTGGAGCTGGTTAATTTCAAAGTCCTGAGATTGAGACTGTACTCTTGGCACATAAGGATCCCAAATCTTAGACATGGTGTTACATTCTCACTGGATGGTTTTACTAATTTATGCTAAATGAGGAAGAATGGCATTTAGGTGATCAACTCCTTATTGAGGTTGCCTGATTTTCAAATGTATAAGATTATTTCAGGGAGTAGCAGCTCTTTATTTGTAGTTTACTCCTGACATCAAACCAATTGGCCTGGATGACATAAGACAGAAAACCTGGAACAGGTTTTCCTTAATAATGACTTTTAGTGATTAATTACATTTTACTAAGATAACTGCAGGCTTCCCTGAATCACACATCTGTCTTTAATTAGTTTAACCTACTATTTTTCTAAAGGATAAAGTGACTTGTTTGAAGTCACATATATATTTAGTGGATTACTGGTTTTAGGAGTCCTGTGTTCCTATTTTCCAGCCTATTGAGATTTAGAATTTAATGCCCTGTTCTCTGTTGTTTATACTAGGAAGTGTGAGGTATTTTTCCCTAATTTGGTTCCGAAAGTGTGTTGAAGAATACTCCAGCAAAAAGAAGCAGTTATGATTTATGTTCACAATAATAAATAACTCCCCTTTGAATTATGGGTTTTATTGATAGCAGTTACCTAATTTTCTGTCATTTTTTGACAGATGGGGAAGAGATGGTTATTAGCTTCATAAAAATAATCATGAAATTCAGTATTAAAATATTTATTGGACTTCATTCAGAAGTCTCAACAGGATAAATTTTATTGGCAAAGTTTGTTTGTTGCAAACTCTACAAAGCTAGTCAGACCCTGCAACCACATCATGCTTCTGGCCAAACAAGGTAGATATAATTCGCTTTCTTTTAGAGCTTCTGGACTTGACAATAAACAAAGTTATTAATGTATCACACCTCTGGAAAAAAAACATTAAATTTTGTTTCCCTTACATGTGCAAATTTGCAAAATTGCCTGCATTACATGATTCAACAACATGGAATTTAACAATTACACCAAACCAGAGTGCGTGGGGAGATTTTTTTTTTTTAGCAGAGATATAGTCTATCTCATGTATGATGTGTACAAACACTGTGATTTATATTTCTATAGATGGTTTTTCCTTCTAATCAGGTGGTTTATACATTTGAGAAATATTTCAAATTTTTCTTCACTTTATTTGCAAATTCTTTATGCCTTGTTACAATGGGAAGACTACAAATACAAACATTTATCATTTTCAAACTATTTAAACAAAACCATTCAAAAAGATTCATACTTTATCTATAGAGCTGTGCTTTTCAGGGAATCAGATATGCAAATATTGCCTGAGTCCAACTGAATACAGTTTATGGGAGTCTCAACTGATAATTATCCAAAGTCTTCTAACACGTGAGAAAAAATATTCTAGTATTGGAGTGCTGTGTGTTGTTACATAATGTGTGTGTGTAATGCCAGGATTTATTAGAGCTGGTCCCTCTACCTTTTAAGACTATGGTTTATTCATCTGCTGAATGAGAAAAAAATTTACTCTAAATTTTATTTGCTTTGTTTAAAAACCATTTTAATGTATTGAAATGAGACAAGATCATGATTCTCTTATAAATGTGAGGTCAAGAATCAATAGAGTCATTTGACATGTCACTGACATATAACACATATCATAATTGATTCTGCACCTGTAAAGAGATGCCAAAAATGCTTTATTTAAGTCCTGTGGATCTTGGCTCACAGTATAAAAGAAGTTATTAACTTTCAATTATAATAGAACATGTAATATTTCTTTACTCTTTTTATCTTAAATTAAGTAAGCCTTAGAAAATAAAATTTTGAGATTTTTAAGTTTCTGTTTAACCTAATTCACATTAACGAAAGATTAAAATTACTCACTTTAATGCAACTTGTGTGTGTGTGTGTGTGTATATATATATATAAACACAATGTGTATGTATACAACTATATATGTGCAGGCACACATACAAAACTTTTTAATGTAGATGTATACTTCCTGTTAACTTAATGTAAAACTTAATGTAAAAGTGAAATAATTACTATGGTATGTTACTGGTATACATGTAGACATTTAGCTAAGTGGAATGGACTTGAAAGCCCAGAAATAAGCATTTTAATTTACTGTCAATTGATTTCTGACAAAGTTGACAAAACCACTTAATGGAGAAAGAAGAGTCTTTGCAAAAATTTGTTGGGAGAGGTGTATATCCAGATATAAAGACTGAAGTTGGACAATGACTATACATAAAAAATTAACTCAAAAGTGATTATAAATCTAAATATAAGAGCTAAAACTATAAAACTTTTAGAAAAAAACATTAAAGTAAATTTTATGAGCTTTGGTTAGGGAATGGTTTCTTGGATACGGTACAAAAAGCACAAGAGACAAAATTAAATACAGATAAAACTATTGTTTCCACATTTTAGCTATTGTAAATAACGTTGCAATAAATATGGGGGTGCAGATATCTCTTTGAGATATTTTATTTCCTTTATTTGTACATCCCAAAATAGGATTGCTAGTAGTTCTATTTTTTGAGGTACTTCCTTATTGTTTTCCATAATGTTATACCAATTTACATACGTACCTACCAAAAATTTATAAGGGTTCCTTGGTGTCCATAAACAGATGAGTGGATAAATAAATGTTAATCACACACACACATACATACACACACGCACACACACACACACACACACAACAAAATGGAATATTATTTAGCCGTTAAAGGAAGAACATCCTGACATTTGCAACACTATAGATGAACCCTGAGGACATTATGCTAAGTGCAGTAAGTCAGACACAGAAAAACAAATACTGCATGATCTTCTTATAGGTGGAATGTAAAAAATGTCAAATTTATAGAACCAGAAAGTAGAAGAGTGATTGCCAAAGACTGAGGGTTGGAAGAAATGGACAGGTACACACTTTGAAGTTATAGGATAAACAAGTTCTAGTGATCTGATGTTTAGCATGAGTGGTAACAAATGTGCTAATTATATTAATGATGTAATTATTACACAATGTATATAGGTATCAAACAATCATACTGTGTACCTTAAATATATAGCAATCTTTGTCAATTACATATTTTAAATTATAATAGATCAATAAATTGGGCTGTTTCGAAATTAAAATATTCTGTTCTTTAAGGAGCACCACCAAAAAAGTGAAAAACAACCCACAGAATAGGAGAAAGTATTTAAAATTCATATATTTGATAAGATATTTATTCAGTTATATAAATAACTCGTACAACTTACTAATAAAAAGACAATCCAAATTCAGTAACTTTGGAAATCTGTTCGGCAGTTCTTTGAAATTTTAATAGTTACCATATTAGATAGTAGTTCCTTCCCATAGGTATATTCAAGAGAAATGAAAATATGCACCACATAAAAACTTACACACAAATGTTCATAGTAGCATTCTTCATAATAGCCCCAAAATGAAAACAACTCAAATATCCACCAATCTATGAATGGATAATTGAATATGATCTATCCTCTCAATGGAATATTACTCATAATAAAAATAAATGAAGGACTGATACATGTTTGACCATAGAATAACTCGAAAATCATATGCTAATTGAAATAAGCCAGTTACAAAAGGCCACATGTTGTATTATCCCACGTATACAAAATGTCCAGTGTAGACACATTTATAGTGACAAAGAGTATGTGAGTGGTTGCTTAGAGTTTTGAGGAGGGACAAATATGATGTGATAGTTAACATGTACAAAGCGTTCCTTTGAGGAGGGACATAAGTGTTCTAAAATTATATTTTGCTGATAGTTCCACAAATCTGAATATACTAAAAAACATTGAATCATACACTGTGAGTGGGTGAATGAAATGGTATGTAACTTATATCTCAATAAAATTGAAAAGAAACTTCAGAACAGAGCTTGAAAAGAAAGAGGAAACAGAATGTGAAAAAACACATACTTTAAAAATGTCTAATCTTGTATAATTTTGCTTTCTTTATCAAAATTATATGTAATGTTAAACATTTAAAAATTGAAATTTCATATATTGAGTACATAAGAGGATAAAATGGCTAATATTAAGATAATTATTAAGCATATTTAAGTAGATTTTCTCCCATATTTTTCAATAATAAAGACAAAATAGACCTTATTTCCTTGGGGGAAAATATACTTCATTCCCAGATTCAGTATTTTTTTTAATAAAATTTGTCCAACCATAATAGAGAAGTAAATAATAGAATATTTTAATTTGATTTTTATATATTATTGAATATAATCCTATAGCTATTGCAAGACGTTTGCATAGGTAAAAATTGCTAAAGTATTTTTTTAAGAAATCAATAATTTAGCTAAAGATTATTAAAGACCACTTCAAAAATCACTAAAATTATGTTTATATAAAGTGTAATTGAATTCATTTGTATAACAATTGTAAACTTAAGTTTTTGAAACAATATGATATAAAGTGGAAATATAAAATCAAGTGTGTTAGTGAATATGATATTCATAGTAAATATTGCAAGTGAGAAAACTATTTATTAAAATTTAAGATAAAATTTTTAATAACCACTGTCATCTTATCTTTTTCTTTCAAAATCATCTGAAATTTTGAATTTTCAAATATATTTTTGTGTTAACAAAATTTAATTTATCATATAAGACTAAAACTCTTTAGACAAACATATGGAATCGTGAGCTATTTATTTATAGTTTAAAATGTAAATTAAGGTAAATTAAAATTAACCATAGATGTCAAAATGTGACCATGTCTACCAAGGTTATCTAGACTTAACTTGAGTCACTGTTAAGGACAATAAACATAAGTGAATAGATTTTTGTTTCTCTTTTTCTCATGTCCTTTTTTCCCATAAAATATGTGTATTAATGAGAACTTTAATTTGCAGAATAATTACATAAATAATTTTTTACCTACTTCTAAATAAATTTCTTTACTATTTGTCATTATTTTTTAATTAATCTTGAAATGGTTCTCATTCTTTATTCTTTTCACATTAAACCCCTAAAGCAAAGCTTCTCTTAGCAGAAACACACCACTTACTATAGAGTATTTTGAGTGATGCTAACACAAAAGTCAGCACTACCCCAGGCATATTTAAGCCTTCAAACTAAACCATTGGTTTCATTTATTTTTTCCTCTGTGCCATTTAAAGGGAAATCACAGCATTTGAAAAATTTTATCCACTTTTCAATCTCTTATCTCATCTTTTTATTTCCTTCTATTATAACTCTTCTGTAGTCTTGATTACACCTTTTATACTTCTCTTTCAGGGGAAATAGCAAGCTACTGAAAAGAGTAATTCCATTAAAAAATAGCAAAGCATCTCATTAAAAACAGACAGTTATGCAAGTGAAAGAAAAGAGAAAAAATAGAGACAGCTGCATTTCAATTATCATTTTAATATAATCTTTTCTTATTCACTTTGAGCTACATAAGTATCAAGCACGGACTGTTTTTTTAACATGTATTTTATAGTGTGTTCAATTTTTTCTTGTTGCTAAATTATTTATGCTCTCACAAACCTATCATGATGTTTACCAAAACTGTATCTAGTAGTCATTATTGAATTTCACCAAATATTTTTTCCTTTGCTGTAACGTCACATTGCATTTCTCTGCTTGATTCCCTTGAGTGGCAACATTATTTCAACTCTGCTTCTGTGAAGTCAACATTTTGTAGTTTCCACATATGACTGAGAACACGCAGTATTTATCTTTCTGAGTATGGTTTATTTCACTTAACATAATGTCCTCCAGGCTCATCCATATTGCTGCAAATGACAGGATTTCATTCTTATATGCTGAATTGTGTATATATACCACATTTTCTTTATCCATTTACCTGTTGATAGGCACTTAGGTTGATATCATATCTTGACTACTGTGAAAAGTGCTGCAATAAACATGAGGATACAGATATCACTTTGACATACTGATTTCCATTCCTTTTGATATATACCCAATGGTGGTATTACTGAATCATATGATAGTTTTATTTTTAGTTTTGTTAGGAATCTCTATACGGTTTTCCATAATTACTATACTAATTTTTACTCTTATCAGCAGTGTATAGAAGGGCCCCTTTCTCCACATCTTTACCAGCATCTGTTATTTTTTCTCTTTTTGGTAATAGCCATTCTAACTGTGGTTAGATGATATCCCATTGTGCTTTTGATTTGCATTTCCCTGATAATTAATTAGTGATGTTGAGCAATTTTTCATGTACTTATTGGCCATTTGTATGTCTCAGTTTCAGAAATGTTTATTCAGGTCACTTGTCCATTTGTAATTAGATTATTATATTTTGCTCTTGAGTTACTTTTATATTTTGAGTTCCTTGTATATATATATAATTTCATTTATCAATTTTTGTTTATGTTGCCTATGCTTTTGAAATATTTTCCATAAAATCTTTGCCCAGACCAATATCCTCAAGTGTTCCTCCTAAGTTGTTTTTAGTAGTTTAGTAGTTTTTGGTCTTATAATTAAGTCTCTAATCTATTTTGAGTTGATTTTTGTATATAATAAGAGATAGGGGTCTAATGTCATTCTTCTGCATATGGATATCCAGTTTTCCTAACACCATGTATTGAAGAGGTTGTCCTTCCCCTAATGAATGTTTATGTTGCCTTTGCTGAAAATCAATTGGCTGTAAATATATGGATTTATATCTGGATTTTTTATTCTGTTCCATTGATCTATGTCTGTATTTATGTCAGTACTGTGCTGTTTTTAACTATAGCTTTGTAGTATATTTTGAAGTCAGGTAATGTGATGCCTCCAGTTTTGCTCTTTTTGTTTAGTTTGCTTTGGCTAGTCAGGAGCCTTAATGGTCCCATACAAATTTTAGGATTATTGTTTCTATTTCTGTGAGAATGTCATTGACATTTTGATAGGAACTGCATTGAATCTGCAGATTGCTTTGGGTAATATAGTCATTTTAACAATATTAATTCTAGTAACCCATGAATCACATAAAATGCCTTTCCATTTGTTAGTGTCTTTTAAAATTTATATCATCACTGTTTCATAGTTTTTCATGTAGAGATCTTTTACCTCCTTGCTTAAATTTATTCCCACATTTATTTTATAGCTATTGTTAATGGGGTTGCTTTTGTTATTGCTTTTAACGCTGTTTGATGTTGGCATATAGAAACACGAATGATTTTTCTACGTTGATACTGTATTCTGCAACTTTACAGAATTATTAGCTCTAAGAGTTTTTCTGTGAAGTCTTTCGGTTTTTTAATACATAAGATTATGTCATTTGCAAACAACGACAATATGGCTTTCTCTTTTCAAATTTGAATTCCCTTTATTTTGTTCTCTTTCTGAATTGCTCTGATGAGAATTGCAAGTACTGAGTCTAATAAGAGGGGGAAGAGTGGGCATTTTTGTCGTACTCTAGTTCTTAGAGAAAAAGATTTCAGCTTTTTTTCATTCAGTACAATATTAGCTGTGAGTTTGTCAAATGTGGCCTTTATCGTTGAGGTGTGTTCCTTCTGCCTGCACCTAATTTGGTGAGAGTTCTTATCATGAAGCATTGATGAAATGTATCAAATGCTTTTTCTGCATCTATTAAGATAATCATATGGTTTTTAACTTCATTCTGTTGATATATTATGTGTGTTGATTTGCATATGTTGGATTCTCCTTGCATTCCTGAGATGAATCCCACTTGATTATGGTGTATAATCTTTTTGATGTACTGCTACATTTGGTTGGCTAGTATTTTGTTTAGGAGTTTTGCATCTATTTATCAGAGATATTGGCCTATAGTTTTCTTTTTTGTGTTGTGACCTTATCTGTTTTTGGTATCAAGATAATGCTGGATTCATAGAACGAATTTGAAATAATTTTATCTTTTCAATTTTTTGAATAGTTTGAGAAAAATTGGCTTCCAAGTTGATTGATTGATTGATTGATTGATTTATAGACATGGGGTTTTACTATGTTTGCCAGGCTGGTCTCAAACTCCTGGCCTCAAGTGGTCTGTCTGCCTTGGTCTCCCCAGAGTGCTGGGATTACAGGCATGCTTCATCACACTCGGCCTAAGCAACCAGACTTCTCAATTTTCCTTAATACTTTGATAGAATTAATCAGTGGAAGCCATCAGAAGATTATTGTTTAATTTTTATGTATTTGTGCAGCTTTAAATGTTCCTCTTGTTATTGACTTCTAGTTTTATTTCATTACACATAATATGATTTTTATTTTTAAAACATTTGTTGGAAACTTGTTTTGTGGCTTTATATATGGTCAATGCTGAAGAATGTTCTATGCAGTGATAAGAACATGTATTCTGTAGCTGTTGGATGAAAGGTTCTTCAAATGTCTGTCAGGTCAATTTGGTCTATAGTGCAGTTTAAATCCAATGATTTTATTTTCTTCATTTTCTGTCTGGATAATCTGTCCAATGCGGAGGGTTGGGTGTTGAAGTTCCCAACTATTATTGTATTGAATTCTCTCTCTTCTTTTAGATCTAATATTATTTCATTTATATATCTAGGTGTTCAGGAATTGGGTGTATATATTTATAAATAATAAATTCTCAACTGACCCCGTTATCATTATATATTCATATTATTTGTCCCTTTTTATACTTTTTGTCTTAAAGTTTGTTTTATCTGATATAAGTATAATTATTCCTGCTTGCATTTGGTTTTCTTTGTGTGAAATAACTTATTTCACCTTTTCATTTTTAGTCTATTGTGTCTTTACATGTAAAGTATATTTCATAGTCAGTGTATAGTTGGATCTTATTTTTCATTCAGTTAGTCAGTCTACAACTTTCATTATTTATTTCGATTTTTTTCATTTTTTAAAAGAGCTAGAGTCTTGCTCTGTCACCTAGCCTGGAGTGTAGTGGCGTGATCACAGCTCACTGTAACCTTGAACTCCTGGGCTCAAGCAATCCTCTTACCTCAGCCTCCTTAGTAATTCAAACTATAGGTGTGTACCAATATGCCTGATTATTATTATTTTTTTATTATACTTTAAGTTCTATGGTACATGTGCACAACATGCAGGTTTGTTACATATGTATACATGTGCCATGTTGGTGTGCTGCACCCATTAACTCATCATTTACATTAGGTGTTATCTCCTAATTCTATCCCTCCCCCTTCCCTCCACCCCACAACAGGCCCCAGTGTGTGATGTTCCCCACCCTGTGTCCAAGTGTTCTCATTGTTCAGTTCCCACCTATAAGTGAGAGCATGCAGTGTTTGGTTTTCTGTCCTTGCGATAGTTTGCTCAGAATGATGATTTCCAGCTTCATCCATGTCCCACAAATGATATGAACTCATCCTTTTTTATGGCTGCATAGTATTCCATGGTGTATATGTGCCACATTTTCTTAATCCAGTCTATCATTGATGGACATTTGGGTTGGTTCCAAGTCTTTGCTATTGTGAATAGTGCCGCAATAAACATACGTGTGCATGTGTCTTTATAGCAGCATGATTTATAACCCTTTGGGTATATACCCTGTAATGGGATGGCTGGGTCAAATGGTATTTCTAGTTCTAGATCCTTGAGGAATCACCACACCGTCTTCCACAATGGTTGAACTAGTTTACAGTCCCACCAACTGTGTAAAAGCATTCCCATTTCTCCACATCCTCTCCAGCAACTGTTGTTTCTTGACTTTTTAATGATTGCCATTCTAACTGGTGTGAGATCGTAACTCATTGTGGTTTTGTTATGTGTTTCTCTGATGGCCAGTGATGAGGAGTATTTTTTCATGTGTCTGTTGGATTTCTTAAAATTATTTGTAGAGAGGAAGTCTAACTAAATTGCCCATACTAGGATTACAGGCATGAGGCACCATGTCCAACCTATAACTTTCAATTGGGGAATTTAATTCATTTACAGTCAAGGTTATGATAGGTGAAGAGTTAATCCTGTCATTTGGTTAATTGTTTTCTGCTTGTTTCATATATGATTATTTCTTTCTTCCTCTCTTATTGCTTATCTTTGTAGTTTGGTAGAGTTTTGTAGTGATGAGGTTTGATTCCTTTCTCTTTCAAATGTGTATTTCTCCTTTCTGTGTGAGTTTTATGCTATTGCATCTCTTTATGGTGGCAGTTACTGTCTTTTGTTTCTAGATGTAGGCCCCTCTTAAATATTTCTGGTACAGTCAGTCTAGTGGTGGTGAATTCCCTCAGGTTTCACTTGTCTGGGAAATACTTTATTTCTCTCTCATTTCTGAAATTTGGTTTTACTGTTCATAGTATTGTTGTCAGACAGTTTTTCTTTCGCTTTTTAAATATATCCTATTCTCTCATGGCCTGTAAGCCTTCTGTTGAGAATTCTGCTGTTAGTGTAATGGGAGTTCCTTTAAATGTGACTTGATGCTTTTATCCTGTTCCTTTTAGAGTTCTTTTTCTTTCACTTCTGAAAATTTGAATATAATGTACCTCAGAGCAGCTTTTTGGGTTATATCTATTTAGGAACCTTTGAGCTTCCTTGGTCTGGACATCTGTAGATCTCCCAAGACATAAGAAGTCTTTAGCTCTTACTTTATTAGGTAGGTTGTCTATGCCTTTTCCAATCGCTTTTCCTTCTAAAACTTCCATAATGTAAAAATGCATGGGCTTAATTATGTCCCATAAGTTCTGTGGTCTTTTTTTCTTGTGTGTGTGTGTGTGTGTGTGTGTGTGTGTGTGTGTGTATTTGTGGGTGTTCCTGGATTCTTTCAAAAGACCTGGCCTCAAATTCAGAAATTATTTCTTCTGCTTCATCTATTCTGTTGTTGAATATCTTGATCATTTTTAATTTCATTAATTGAATTATTCTTGTTTCTTTTTTATTACATTTCTTTGGTAAAATTTCCATTCAGATCATGAATTGCTTTATTGATTTTATTAAATTGCCTGTCTGTATTTCCTTGTATTTTACTGAGTTTCCTTAAGATCATTATTTTGAATACCTTTTCCTGCAATTTGCAGAATTCCTTTTTAGGGATGTTTATTTATGTAGAATTACTGTGTTCCTTTGGTGTTGCCATTATCCTTGCTTTCTCATGTTTCTTGTGTCCTACGGTAATGTGTGTGCATCTGGTGGAAGAATCACCTATTCTAAACTTTATAGAGCGTCTCTAGTAGATACAAACTTTCACCTGCTGATTGGTCTTAATTGCCGTTTGGGAAGAATGTGGTGACTGTGGTTCCAAGAGATACAGTGGTATAGACTCTGTGTAGCTTCTTTAGCAGCAATAAATGTCAGCTATGACAGTGGGTTAATTAGTGGCCTAGGCTGTAGAAGTTTTTGATATTGACAGGGTAAGTTTAGGTTGCTAGGATTCTTGTTTGAAAGGGATTTAAGGGTCCTCTTATTCTTATTTTCCCCACAATGATGATATTTAGCCAAGAGGTTCCCACTTTATGTTGGGTGTGACGTGGCTTACAAGCAGTTGTAGTGGCTCTGGTTCCAGGTACAAGTGTTTATAGTGGGTGTAAAGCTGAGGTCCTCCGCTCAGTGTGTCATAAATTAATTTTGGCATCTTGGCCTTGGGGTTCAGGTTCACTATTTGTGGCAGGGTTGGATGTGAATTGTTTACAGAGCCAGGACCTGTAATACTGACATACTCCTTAGCAGCTTGGTCAGCAGGGACTAAGTTCTAGCTATGACTCTGATACTGGGTAGCAGGGGTACAGCACTGGGACAGCTCCAAGGAAGAAAGGGTACTCTGGAGGTTTGCACCTGAGGAACAGAGTTGGCTGTAGTTTGGACCCAGAGTCAAAAGAGCTCAGTAGCACCTTGTGTCTCAGAGGTATTGTGTGGTGGTGACTCTGGACCCTGGGACTGTGGAACTCTGCACTATGCCAGGCTGTGAGGACAAAGCAGCAGTAGAATGGCTGAACACAGCTATTATATGGCTGTTTGAGGGGCAGGGAACAACACAGTAATGACTCTACTCTCCGTGGAAGAAGGTGTCTTAGCAACTCAGACTCTTGGGGGATAGTTCAGCTCAAGGGAAGCAGAGTACTGGAACTGTCTGACCTATAGAGTTGAGTGTCTCAGCTCAACCACTGCTCTGCTTCTTTGGCACACGAAGTCACAAGTCAGTCAGCCTAGGGATGTGCAGCTGCTTGGCTTAGCCAAGGCAATGATTCCCCTAGAGGCAATGCATTGCTTCAGCTGAGGCCTGGTGTTGGGGGCAGTGTGTCTGCTCTGAGCGGGCATAATGCCATTTAAGCTTAGGTATGGGTTGGGTGGCTGATCTAGATGGCCAAGACACTGTTTCCCAGGAGGCAGGCCACTGCTTTAACTTAGGCTTGGGCTTCAGGGGATGCATAAATGCCCTGGGCATCCAAGGTACTGTTTTCTCGAGAGGCAGGTTACCAGTTGAGTTCAGGTACAGGGAGGTATGGTTCCTTTGGATGGACAAAGCACCATTTTCCTGGGATGCAGAATGCTGCTTCAACTCTGGTTGGGGGGCCAGGGAGCAACAATGACTGGGAGGGGTAGATAAAGTGATTTCACCAAGGTACCATTTCCTTGGGAGGTAGTATGTAGCTTTGGCTTAGGCTCTAAGGTGCCGGGTGCGGCTGTATCTGAGAGTGGTAGATGGGGTGGCTTTACCAAGGCACTATTTCACCAGGATGGAGTACACAGCTTTAGCTTGGGACCCCAAGGACAGGGCTCAGCAGCGACTGGGAAAGGTACATGGTACAGCAGCTCAGCTCCGGGAGATGGAGCCACTGGTCAAGGGTGGTTCTGCAGTGGCTAAGCCTCAAGGATGGAAAGGTGATGTGGCCACTCACTCCTAGAGCAGAATAAACTCCAAGACTAGTTTCAGTTCCAAAATGACATAGCATCACATCCATGCAGGCCACAGGAGCTGGAGCATCCTGTGAGCTCCTCCTCTGGGGAGACCATAGCTTTCTGAATTTCAGACAGCTCTCTCAGCTGGGCTTAGCACCTCTGAGGACTGCGGGAGTCCTAGTGGTGAGGAATGTAGCTGTCCAAGCTGCTGATGGACCTGTTGGGAATCTTCTTGGTTACTTTTTCCCTGTTGGGAGAAGCAATTTCTGGCTCAGAGCTTATCCTGTCTATGGAGTAGGGTGATGGAGGCCAGGTGTTTTTTTCTCTCTTTTTTTTTTTTCTCCATTTTCTATGAGACTCTCCTGGGTTTCTGTGGCCTACAGGGCTTCTGCTACTTCATTGATGTACTCCTCCACTCTCCTTTAGTTATTTGCATCAAAAAGTAGTTGTCTATTTGTAGTTTAGGTTGCATTTGTGGGAAAGATGAGTACTAAGGGCTTTTAGTCAGCCATCTTGCTGACTAGTCAAATTTTACATCAAATGTTTTAAGGTCTTTAAACATATCTAGGTCTTATTCAGACTAATCTTAATTTACTGACGGTTCAGAAAACTTAGTATTTTCACTGATGTCACTTTTTCTAATGTAGACACCTTTCATCAATATAAAATACCTTCTTTAATAAATCCAATTCTCCTTTTTGGAAGTTTCTATCCACTGATCCTGTTTTTATTTATTTTGTCTATGTAGAACAAGTACAACACTATCTGCTTATATTAAACCCTTTAAATGTCAAATACTTGAAGAAACCAAATGGATTTAAGTGGTTTTTGTGGTAACTCTGCTGAATTTATTCTATTTTCCTCTGTCTATTTTTAAATGATGCTAACTGGAATACTACAAACAAGTCTTATTAGTTTCTAAATTCCTAAAGGCTTGTTTCCAATAATGCAATCTAATTTCCGTAAAGTATTTTTGTAACCATTTTAAATATAAGGCATATTAAATTGCAAACCTTAATTGTGCTTATTGTCTTCTAACATTCTTATTTTTTTTTAATTCTCCTAATTAAATCTTGCCTCCCTCATCCCTTGTCTTTGTAAATTTTCTTTGTGGCTCTCAGCTACATATTCCAATTAATTTAATTATTTTAGGTTTGATCTGCAATTTCACATTCTTAATGAAGCTTTGGAATATGATTCTGTCAGAGATTCTTCTAGCAATATATGTTAACACTCCAAATGATATCTCTCCAAGTTTATTAAGGCTACATTCTGAATTTACATTGATGTATTGATAAAAAGGTAGAACAGAACAGATCAGGACCTCCAAAAAATGCACTCTAATGTAACACCAGTTTTATTACAAAGATTGACGAATCCTGAATGTTATGAGTAATTCACATAAATATTCTAGTTTCCACCCTATTTTGATGGTATTTGCCTCCCTAAATCCCAAAGGGAACCTTGTCACAATAGCTTTCCAAGGGAAGCGAAACAGATTTAATAATTTTGTTTGAGCACGTTGAAGATTAAAAGCAAATTTCGTGAGTACAAAGCATGGAAAAAGGCTAAGAGAGGGAATGCAAAGTGTTCTCACCACAAAAATGACAACTATTTGAGATGATGCATGTTAATTAACTAGATTTAATCACTCCACAATGTATATATACTTCAAAATAATATGTTGTACATGGTAAATACAATTTATCTGTCAATTAAAGGCAAATAAGATATTTCAATTAAACAATTAAAAAGGCAAATTTCCTACATTTGAGTTTATTTAATGTGATCAGAAACAGCAAAGGCAAGGTCTAGGACATAGGAGATGTTAAGAGTCATTACTTTCTTGGGTAAACAAATTAATGGATAAGTTACTCAGAGAAAGGTGAAATATGTAAAAGAAGACATCTAGAGTATGAGTAAAAAACACTCAAAATTAGGAACAGTTAGTTAATAAAACTTATTTGGCACCTGATGTATGCCAAAAATCATTGCTGAATTAGTAGGTAAATGAATAAAGCAAATAGTATTTTATTATTTTATTTTATTTTTTGAGATGGAGTCTCGCTCTGTCACACAGGCTGGAGTGCAGTGGCGTGATCTTGGCTCACAGCAACTTCCGCCTCCTGGGTTCAAGCAATTCTCCTGCCTCAGCCTCCCAAGTAGCTGGGATTACAGGCACACTCCACCATGCCCGGCTAATTTTTTGTATTTTTAGTAGAGATGGGGTTTCACCGTGTTAGCCACGATGGTCTCGATCTCCTGATCTCGTGATCCGCCCGCCTCGGCTTCCCAAAGTGCTGGGATTACAGGCGTGAGCCACGGTGCCCGGCCGCTCTTTCATTCTTTTACGAGTGACAGAAAGTTCTCTTCAGTGGAAACTCAATCATGCAGGTAAGATACAAACAGCTCTTTGGATATACAGGTCTATATCTGAAGTATTTATATTTAAAAAAAAAAAAGTAAAATCTTACAGTCTGGCATCTTCCCTGTATCCAAAATTAATGAAATTTTGTAATACCCTTCATCACTCTTAAAGTGACTATTTTTAAGCTTATTTTCTTGTGTCTGTCTGAAAAATTTTTTGCCCTTAGGAATTTATAAGTCATTCTGCTTATTAAATTTTCAGAATGATAAGTGTAAATCTGGATCAAGTATTATCAATTCAATCAATCCGACATAGTCAAAATAAAATGTTTAACAAAAATTCTCTATAATTCTATTGTACTTTTAACTTATTTGCTCTCCACACTCTCAACTCTCCCTAAACCGTATAGATTTTACTTTATTTTATTCCACAGTCCCCTCATAACTTTGTCTTTAATAAATATTTTATTTTTTAGTTATTAATTTTTTAACAAAATATAATTTGCATACTGGGGAGAAAAAGTGATCAACACAACCCCTGTTGGATTATATTTAAGGAGCTAGTTTTTTATAAGGGGAGAAAAAACATGCAAACCATAAGCTATGCAAGCCATTTAAAGTAAATATTTATTTCTTGAGGATGCTTACCTTTAAAATATAAAAGTTTTAATTATTTTCTAGTCACTTCATCATTGACTAGTATGTAACATTGGGATGGACACAATAGAAGTAAATGAAAATTTCAAGGGAAAGTTGCCTGTTTTGGAGAGTATGCTTCGTTTATAAATGGTGATATTAATTTGTGAAAGTGTTCATTATTTTCATGGAAAGTTCTTATTATGTTTAAAATTGATAAAGTAGTAATATTTACTGTAAAATCCTTTTTATGTTGAACAAAAAGCCAGTGGAAAACTCATAGAGGAGCCATTGAACATTTAATGTCTTTACATTCTTCATGATCCAAGGCTATGCAATTTTCTATAGAAAGGAGGAAGAGAAATTTAATACATCTTACACACCTAACATTGTTTTTCTCTACATGAGCCTAAGATACATGGCTGAGTCTATTTAAAATTTAAAATTGACTGAGTTGAACTGGCAGCCAAAAATATTTCTGTTCTTATATTATCATTTTAAAACAATTTAATGCCTTGCAGCAGATCTTACATATTTAATTTAAATTTAATTCAGCTTGTTTGGGAAGGGGGATTAAAAGTCAGATATACAATGGCATTTTTTGGCAAGTATATAGATCCAATATAAGCAAGATTTTTATTATTATTAAAAAAATGAACTATCAAAAATACTCATTTAAGAAATTTTTAATATCAGTAAGGAAGTGAATGCTGAATGGAGTCTAAATTATAACAGGTAGAACAGTAAAAATGACTTGCTTTTATTTAAATTTATTTCTAAAATTATTCCTCTCCCTTATGAATATTCCCCTCCATTCAAAGCAAGTTCTGTATGTGTGCAGAGAAAATGCAATGTTCAATACAGGTCTTTGCTACTATAGTGTAACCACTTCTAAATAGATGTTGTCATTGACATAGTAAAACATGTTGTTCATCTGATTCTACATGCCAGAGCCCACCACAGTAATGGATCTAACGAAAACAAATGTGTATATTTATTAGAATATCTGCATTCTCCAAAGCCAATGAGTCCAAGCTGAGTAAAGCATAGTGAAAGCCTTTGTTCTCAATAAAAACAAGGAAAGAGAAACCATTGCTTAAAATCATTGAGAATTAACATCAACAGTAAAATGTCTTATAGAGAGTATGATAGAATGTAATTGAGAAACCCCATAATATATCAACTTTTAAATTGTAAACGTCATCTTTCTGACAAAGAGTACCTGCCTTCAAGTAATTTCCTCTGTATACGAGACGTGTAATTTGCTTCACTCCATGTTTTCCCACATGTATAAAACCTATGTTTCTGATTGACTCTGGATGCCCTCAGAACTTTTGAGAAAACTTGCCAAGTTTAGAAGGTTTATGGGGTCAGCCTTCTGCTGATTCACAAGGCTTCCACTAGTAACTTGAGGGGACTATGGGGTGCAGGTGACTCTCAGTAAATTGGAGACATTTTCAATCTGAGTCCATCTACTTTGAAAGCTTGTGCCTCTTGGGGCGAAAGCAAAGGAAATGCATGTGAATTAATTTCAGATAAGTTTCTATGGTGGCTACTGTAACAAGTAGCAGAGTTAGCTGCAGAATACTTTGTTGTCCCTCAAGCACTTTTATTTCTGTCATTTCAGGACTCTTTTTATGTGAATACAGTCATTCCTACTTCAATGGTTTTGACTGATAAAACAAGCAATAAATTCACAAAACTGAGAAGTCACCATCATCTGCTTAGAAACCTTTTCCGTATTAAAATAAAGCCAAGAGTTTGCGTGAATTTAATTCTCAGCCAGAGGACCTGAAACTTTTCCTGCGAAATCTCCTGGCATAGAAGGGGTAGCATTCTCCATCTAATAGCAGTTTACTCCTTTCAAATGGTCATTTTCTGACAAGCCAGGGCCCCCTGGGAAACTGTAATTCTGATGTGTCATTTATAACTTAACCAACAATACACCAAGTCACATATCTTTGCCATGTAAAGCACAGTTCCAATTAGTCTTATTCCATGGGTTTATGGTTTGCTGTGTTCTCTAGTATCTCTGATGAATAGGTGCCATCTGTGTTTCTTTATCTGCACCTCGCTGTTAATGGAGGCAGACAAGGAACTAGCCAGGGTTGAGATTATAAATCAGAAAGTTTCTGAAGTGCTACAGTGGTGGTGTCAGCACAGCCATGACCTCTTTTTCATAATGCCCTAATTAGCCACATAATGAGACTGTATACCAAATACACTAAATATATCATGTGTATATCAGCAGAGGCAGAAGGCACTAGGTCATTTTCAAAGAGACTAATGCCTGAGTGACAGTTATATTGTATTTGATGCAACAAATAATTAATATAGTGGGTTAGGAAAGAGATGAACTCTGCTCAGGCTCTACGCTGCAATGAATACCAAATGTAGGCCTTAAGAAAATAACGGCTTTAGTTTATTTGGAATATGTTTACAAGGAATATATTTATACACTCAAAAACAAAAGTTTATTTTTTTTTCTTTCCTGTCTGGCCAAATAGTCATATAACAGGCATGAAATATATAGGACAGATAGAGTGAAGCTAAGTTCTAAGGAAGTTGTAAGGTTGTCTAGCCCTTGTAAAGAATAGATTATATCTAATTCAAAGTACTTCAAACACTGAGATTGCACAAATGGTGAATCCAGTATCACCTGGAAGGTCAATATGATTTGCAAACATATTAGGCATAAGTAATGTTGTAGGCTTAAGTGTGTAATCATTCCAGTGATTCACATCTTTGCATAAGGCAACCAATTTTGCAATGTTATGATTCTCATTTCAAATTTTGGTCTAGCTATTTTAGATATTTAATGATAGAAAAGAAACATAGAAAAGAAACAGGTATTTTTGAATGGTCTATCAAGAATCCTGAAGCGGAGAAAATCTAACTAAAAATTATTTTATACAAATTTGAGTGGTAGTGAAGCGAACAAAACTTATTTCTATGGTTAGGAAAGTAATATATATTTATTATAAAAATAGAAATAGGCTGCGCATGGTGGCTCACACCTGTAATACCAGCACTTTGGGAGGCTGAGGCAGCAGATCACGAAGTCAGGAATTCAAGACCAGCCTGACCAGCATGGTGAAACTCCATCTCTACTAAAAATACAAAAATTAGCCAGACATAGCGGCACCCGCCTGTAATTCCAGATACTGAGGAGGCTGAGGCAGGACAATCACTTGAACTTGGGAGGTGGAGGTTGCAGTGAGCCATGATTGCGCCACTGCATTCCAGCCTGGGTTGAGAGAGTGAGACTCCATCTCAAAATAATAATAATAATAATAATAATAAAATGCAAATCAGTGATAAATGACTTGTAACCCTGCCATTTGATGATGCCACCGTATATACATTGACGTTTCCTTACAGTACATTTTATAGAATTTTATAGAATTTTGAAGAAAAAGAATGCCAGTTTATTTCATGTAGGCAGTTTATTTCATCACAAAGGCAGAAATAAACCCATACATTTGTCTTCAATTTTTTTTTTTTTGACAGATTCTCACTCTGTCACCCAGGCTGGAGTGCAGTGGCATGATCTCAGCTCACTGCAGCCTTGATCTCTGGGGCTCAGATGATTCTCCCACATCGGCCTCCTGGGTGTGAGACACCTGTAATTTCCAGCCTGAAATGATTTTGAAAAGGTTCCAAGAACACACAACAGAAAAAAACACAGTTTCCAATAAATTATGTTGAGAAAACTGTTTTATCTGCCTGCGGAAGAGTTAAATTAGATCTTTACATCACACTATATATAAAAATGAACTAAAATGCATTAAAGACTAATATAACACTTCAACCTGTAAAATTACTAGAAGAAAACATAGTGGAAATGCTCTAGGACATTGATATGGACAATGAATTTTTAGACATGATTCCAAGAGCACAGGCAACAAAAGAAAAACACACAAATGAGATTATATAAAACTCACAAGCATCTGAGCAACAAAGGAAATAGCAAGAGGAAACAGACACTCTATGGAATAAGAGAAAATATTTGCAAACTATGTATCTGATAAAGGGTTAACATCCAAAAATATATAATAAACTCAACTCAATAGCAGGAAAACAAATAACCTGATTAGAAAATGAACAGAGGACCTGAAAAGATATTTCTCAAAAGAATACATACAAATGACCAACAGGTATATAGGAAAATACTCAACATCCCTCCAGGGAAATGCGGATTCAAAACACAATGAGATATTCGCTCACATCTGCTAGAATGGCTCTTATCCAAAAGACAAAATGTAACAAGTAGTGGTGAAGATGTGAGGAAAAGGGAACCTTTGTACACTGTTTATAGGAAAGTGAATTATTACATCCAGTATGGAAAACAGTATGGAGGTTACTCAAAAAATTAAAATAGAATTACTATATGACCTAGCAATCCCACTATTGAATATACATACCCCCCAAAAATAGCCAACATATAAAATCAACCTAAGTGTCCATCAAGGGATAGAGATAGATTGATGATAGATAGGTAGATAGATAGATAGATAGATAGATAGATAGATAGATAGATAGATAGGCAGATAGATAGATAGATAGAATACTATCCAGCATTAAAAATGAAGGAAGTCTCGTCATTTGCACCAACATGGATGAACCTGGAGGACATCACATTAAGTGAAATAAACCAGGCATGGAAACGAAAATACTACATGACATCATTTACATGTGGAATCTACAGAAGTCCAATTCATAGAAGCAGAGAATCAAATGGAGTTACAAGGGCCTGAGGGTGGAGTGTGAGGAGATCAGAGAAATATTGACCAAAGAATGCAAAATTTCAGTTAGACAAGAGTAATAATAATGTATTACATGCTTTAAAATTCCTAAAAATGTAAATTTTAAGTGTTCTCATAAAAAAGTGATGTAATACATATGTTAATTAGCTTGATTTAACCAATCCACAATGTATACATACATTCAAACATTATGTACACAATAATTATATACTATTTGTTGTATTTGTTGTCAATTGAATGTGTATATGTGAATGTGTATATATATGTGTATATATGTGTGTGCATATATATGTATATATGTGTGTGTATATATTTGTGTATATGTGTGTGTGTGTATATATATATATACACACATTTTAGAAAATTTGTTTTGCTTAGTCCATCAAGGTACATAACTCATTATAGAGATTTTTTTAGTTATTATCATTGCCCACAAGCTAGTGAACTCCACAGAAAGCAAAATTAGAAGGTATGCATTTTTATAGCCATGGTGCATTGCACAGTGGCTTGCATATTGCGGCCTTCAGTAAACATTTGTTCGATGAATGACTGAATGCTAATCTTAGAAAAGTGTACAAGATAGATGGGCAGAGACAGACAGGCTATGGCAAAGTGTGCAATGATTTTACCAAAATATAATTTATTTTCCTCTTAGGCAAAAAACTAGCTTACATTTCCCAGCTTCTCTTGTAGTTACAAGAAACCACATGACTGAGTTCTGGCCAATACCATTCTACAGAATCCATGGGTACAGCCTTCGCACCTGGCCTTGAAATCCTCCTGCACAATCATCTATACACTCTCTCTTCCCTCATCTGCCAGCTGGAGGCTGATGGAACAGTGAACTCTGAGGCTCCAGGGATGGTGGAGCTATAGAACTAGGCTCCACTATATGAAGCCTAGATCCCTAAAAGACTACATAGAACATTTTTTTTATCTTGCCACACCCCAGCCTATATTCTGCATTAAATTATGATGTGAATGAAAAATAAGCCTTTTTGTGTTATGTTATTGTATATTTTGCTTAAAGATTCTTAAGGATCTAGCAACATATCTGAGATACAGTAAAGAAAATTTTAAAAATGTGTTGAATTATGGGACAAAATACAAAAGACTGTTACAGTAATGTAAAAGATGTTTTTATTACTAAGGCAAGTTTGAGAACATTTCACAGAGAAAATCAGAATTTAGATGGAATTGAAAGATACATCTGTGGCAAACAAAGAACAATATTCCAAGGAGATCACATGGTATAAACAAAGGCTGGGAGATAGTGGACTGTAAAATATATTTGAAAATTAAAAGCAGCCAGAGGAAATATCCTACCAAGATGGTAGGATAAATGAAGAGAAAGTTATGCAAGCACATTAGGTATTAGGATTGTATGTTTTCTCTGTATCACGATTATTAGAGAAATCTTTAGTAAATAATGCTTAAAAATATTTCTAAATAAATGAGTGAATAGATGACTGAATGACTGAATAAATGATTCATTTCAAGACGTACTTTTGAAAACCTTGACAGTCTGATCGTGAAGTTTATTTGATACAAATTCTGTCCATGCGCCTAGTGAATAAAGAAGCAAATCAATTGAAGTAAAAGGAAATCAACTTGATGGCAGCATTGACAATGGAGTAGAGGAGAATGAGCTTAGAGGCAAACAGTTCAATTAAGCGATTTATGCAGTAATCTATGAATTATTGCCTTTTTTTCCTGCTGCATAACAAAGTTGGTTGGCATGATAATTTAATTAGCTATGCTGACAGCAGGTTCAGTTAGTAAGATGAAGGTTGCATAACTTTTAAAATATTTGAGAAAAATTAATATAATTTCTGGCCCATTCCCATCATATAAAGCGTACTATTTTATAGGTAAGTAGAATTAGATTCTAGTATAAAGTAAACAAGGATGCTAATATCTAAGTGCATATTTGCATAGTGTTTGTTCATTTATCTTCTTTTGAACTTTAGGATATTAAAGTAAACTGTTGTTTAAACACAATTTTGTCCTAGCTTTAGTGAACACAGAGATAATGGCAGAGTAATCTGACAAATAGATGAGAGTTATAAAGCAATCTAAAATCGTTTTTAAGAAATGGATGAGCCAAAGTATAATTGATTCTTGTTTTTAAGAATTGGATGAGCCAAGCATAATAGATTCTTGTATGTGAGTAGTGTATTGAAGAGGAAACCACTAGCAGTCAAACACTCCGTTCTCTTCTAAATTAATCTTAATGAGAAAGGAAAAATCATAATTTGCTAAGTGAAAAAACACTGGAATAGAAATGAGTCCACATGAGTGTAAAGTGCTTTCCATCTGATTTGTTCTAAGGGAACAAATCAAGACACTTAAATTTTCTAATTGAGTATGTGGGTAAGTAGGCATCTGTTGAGTGGAAGGGTATTATTTTTACATTCATTCTTTTAAAATTTTCGTGATTGGCAGTTTATGCATGCCAAACTTAATTTTTTCAGTGATTTTTATTCAGCTGTCTAAGCTAATTCTATTTAAAAATATCTTTACATAGAATTAAGATATTTTTCTTTATTGCAGAAATATTTCTTTTTCCTTTTTCTTTTCTTTTTTTTTGAGACAGAGTCTTGCTCTGTCGCCCAGGCCCCATCTCGGCTCACTGCAAGCTCCGCCTCCTGGGTCCACGCCATTCTCCTGCCTCAGCCTCCCGAGTAGCTGGGACTACAGGCGCCCGCCACCACGCCTGGCTAATTTTTTTGTATTTTTAGTAGAGACAGGGTTTCACCATGTTAGCCAGGATGGCCTTGATCTTCTGACCTCATGATCCACCAGCCTTGGCCTCCCAAAGTGCTGGGATTACAGGCCTGAGCCACCCCGCCCGGACTCTCCTTTTTCTGTTTCATTCTGCATGGCCTACCTCTTTCAATGTTAAAACACTCTTAGAGAAGATGTGTGTCTATAGATTATATTAAAATGGTTAAGAATATAAAAATAATTAGAATTTAAAAATGACATATCCTGAAAGAAACATGTACAGATCACTTATTAAACAGTGCAGGGAAACTTAAAAAAAAAATAAAAAATTCGAGTCAAAAGTTTCTTTGCTGGAATTTCACATATGATTTTTCACAAATGAGAGTGGAATAATCTCTTGCCAACAAGACACATTTTATCGAGTGATGTGCTAGACCAGTGTGCAGGAGTTGATTGTTCACATCAATTCCCAGCTCTGCATGATGCCCTGCTAGTAATCTGAGATTAACTCCTGCAGCAGTATTAATTTTGCTGTTATTAATGTTACTGACAGTATTAATGTTACTGTCTTGCAGTTAATTAATGAAATTAACTCCTGAAGGAGTATTATTTATTTTATGTATTAATTTTATAAAATTATAATGGAAATCAGCAAACCCTATCAATGAAAGCATTCTTTCACCCCAATCATGTTTTAAAATAATTACCAGCACATCACTGATTTTTATTTGGCTTAAAAAACGAGTTTAGGATTGCACACTGTGGCTTTCAAAAGGGATTTCTTCATCAGCACAGTAAGCTATGTTGGTGACCGCCAAACTTTTGAACATGCATCTGTCAATTTAAAAAAAGTTGCCTATGCACTAAGGCATGTATTTTTATTTAATTACAATTGTAGAGGTTTATATGCCAAAAAAGCAAAACCAAAAATGTATACTAATGTGTCAAAATAACATTTTAATGAATAGTTTTATGTATGATTCTATTAAATATTTTGGTCTTTATTAAAACATTATAAATAGTTTAATAATTTGTATAGCAACACACTTACATTTGCTTTATTTCACATTTATGATTAAAACATTGGAAAAGCAGTTTAGTTTTAAATGCATTGGGAGGTTTTCAAAAACTCAGTTTATTTTGATATTTGGTTATATTATCTGTCACACAATGATATGTAGATAAAAATGGTAGAAGAGTATTGGCTGAGCATAAATGTATTACTTTTTCAATTTGTATGTGCAAGTATATAAAGACTTTTGTTAAAATTGAGAGCTCAAAATTCTATCTTCTTTGATGTTGCTCTTCTAAACCCAATTTTGAAAATATGTACATTTTATATAAGTAACAAATTGCTTCAAAGCCCGTTGTAAATCTTCATTTTGAAACATTTTAAATAGATTAGAAGTTTTAAACTTTTTAAGAATAGATATTTTAAAGTACTGTTGTAAGTCATACAAATTTTAGCCAATAAAATCCTAAAATGTTGGGAAATATTCATATCTCAAAAGTGTTCCTAATTAACAGAAATTTCTTTCAAAAACATTATTTTCATACCCATTTTTGAATCATGACCTTTGCATTGCAGCAATAGATTATATTTTCAAAATTATCTGCCAATGGTACACTACTGAGAGACATTTATCATAAAAAAATTCAACAAATTTGTAGTGTTTTGCTGACAAATGCACCTCATTTTTGGTTCAACCATTTTATATACTTTGCCACAAGAGAACCAGCATACTTCTCTGTGGTTAAAAGATTTTCAGTTTTTCATCATCTCCTTATAAAACAGTATAAAAGCCTCCTACTGCACATGTTTTAAAGATCTCGTTTTGTAAAATAATTATCATGAATGTCATCACGTATAACATGTACACCTCTGGCTTCTATAATACTTCTCTGATGGGACGATTGCTTTCTTCTGAATGATATTGTAAAATTCATGCATGAAAACTTCTTTGTGCCCTTAGCTCAGAACACTTAGCTTTTTCCTAAATTAATTCAAAAGAGTCATTTACTTTTTAAAAGACATGCATTTCCAGTGCACCTTTCCTTTAGTAGCTTACCAAAAGCAGTTTTGATGCATTGGTTTGCAAAATAAAATGTAGAAAATGAAGTGAGATGTTAGAAACATCTGGGCTGTCATGCAGTTTTACAGTAAACCTCCCACAGTAAATAATTTTTCTAAAAATTTTTATTTAGATCATCAATAATACACTGTAGTACCTGTCAACAATGCATACTGAAAAATAATGCATTTTTGTCTCTGTTTTGCTTTCTGTGTACTATTCTACCTAATTTTATGCTTCTGTAAGAGTTAATATTTCAACAATGCTATGTGGCCTTTGTCTTCCATTACTGAGTGGGAAACATGAAAAAATATCATTATTTTTCTGAAATACTGCCTTTGGGTCTCAATTCTGTCTTTTAATGTGGTTGTTCAATAAGAACTACTGGCATTGCCATTTCTTTTTATCAGTAACACATTCTGAAATTGTTGTTATTGGTTTTAATTACTAATTTTTTGTAGGAATACTAGATCAATTTTATGTTTTCTAAATATTGGTTCAGTTAAGATTAGAGACCAGAATCTGTAAACCAATTTAAGTGGAAATATATAGACGGTCTTGTAATGCACCACACAGACGGTGAGGGAAGATGGCCCTCACAAGTACTCTGCCTGTGGAAACCCAGCACTTCTTTAAAGCTATCCCACACGTTAACTGGCCGTGTGACTATCCAAGTATACAAGTTCTATTCCATGCATTAAATAATAAGTAGTTCATCTTTATTGTTAGGTTAAAACAAACAGAACAAAACAAAACAAAAATAAGTCCTAATATTTAATCCCAATGCCACATTAAATTGTTTTGTGCTTGAAAACAACTCAAATAATGGAATGAATTGTCTAGTAACTCAATGGCACTCAAATGTCAATATATGTAAGAAATACTCTGGCATGCATTAAAATGCATATTCTCACACTCCACTCTAGACCTACTGCATCAACATCATTGGGAGGTGGATGAGGCTTTACAACTGGGTTATTTTTAATAAATATTCCAGCTTATTTTAATAAATATTCTATCAATTACACATCGGTAAATATTGACTTAGAGTATAGAAAGTAGTCACTGGAGTAGAACATATGAAGACACATGACTTTTCCAAAGTGCATAAGGGCAAATAGAACTACGTTGTTTCCCAACAAATAATTCCAACATTCTAAGGGTGGTATAGATGGAAATATAAATAGCTCCAAGGGTGCTTTATTTACATCGGGGTAATAGTTTATAATGCCTAAAATTGCAGGTCACGTTATAGGTAGAAGGAATCATAAGATACAAATATACTATGTTTTGGAACAGAATCATTAAGTATTTTTTAGTAGTATATGTCTGTGTGTTTTCTATGCCACAATTCAAATTTAACTTTATAAAATTTGCTTTTCCCCTCTTTTTAATGTTATAGCTACTAGTATTGATGAAGATTTCACAATGTTTTCCTGTTGAGTTGGTTGTGCTGAGAGATAGCAAATTTAATTCAATTTGGATTACTGTTAAGATAATTAGCCTTGGGAGGCAGAGACTGGGACATTTATCAGTTCTGCAGTACTGTTGAGCAAAAATGATATGGAAGTGATTGTAGCAAAATAATGGTCCATATCAGACTCAAGGTACAGCTTTAGAAAAGAAAATAATTGAGTAAAAGAGCCACTAAGGTTAAGAGATAAGACATGTTTTTCAGATGAAATTGCACACATTACTGCAACACAATGACATTGAAAGTTTGGGCAGATGACAAGATAACTGGGCTCCCCAAAGACCAGGTGAGAGGTTAAAAAGTAAAATGTTTAGGAGTTACTAACAAGGTGATGATTAATGTTAAAAACAAGAATCAAATTCTGTTATGCCATAATATTACAATTGGCTTGACCTTTAAGGCAGGCATCTGATATAAATAAATAAATAAATAAAGCCTCTAAATTAAGGCAAAGTAAATTCAACATTTCTATAGTGTGAAACTGATAGAAGTTTGGAAATTATAAACTATATATTCAGATTCTCTAACTTTTTGAACTAACCTTTAAACTTATGTATGCTTTCTGTTTTAAATTCTTTCCTTCTTTATTTCTAATAGCAAAGGGAATGACATATGTTTGTAAAAAAATGTGTAGTGATACAAAATACTTTAAATAACATGTACATCTACATCATGAACAAAATCTTCTAGGAAATGTTAAGTAGAAGAATTTTGATATAGCTAGAAGAATTAGCCTAGCTTAGTATCCGTAAATTTATGAGAATAGTCACACTTCCTGTTTGAAGGAATCCTCATTTCATATATCTTCAAATTTTAGCTAGACAAATGCATAACTGGATAATTGTATTCTCTCAGAATCCTGTGGCATAATGTCAAGTAAACTAGAATTCAAGTTTAAATAATTCAACAGTGCTAAATGGAATGTTGTATATTGTCAACAGAAATATTCTACAGTGAAAATACCAATTTATAAAGTTCACATGTATCTTACAACATGGCTTCCAAATATTGATCTAGTAGCCCCTTTTTATAAACAAAAAATAAAAATACTACTGATCTCAGACTTATCCATTAGCAATTTGATAAATTTGAGCTTCAACTTTCTGTTCATCCTAGAGATAGGAGCTTTAGGTATTAATACTTTAGGTATTAATTAAATAGTAAGTAATAATTCAGCATAATTTTATCATTTAGCTCTTCACAGATTCCAAGCAATGAAAATTCACAAGAAGTAGTGTCAGTTTCTCTTGTTTTCTCCCCCATTGTCTATTTTAAGACACTAGGAATTTACTCTTAGACATAGTACAAACTTTCCCTCCTCTCAAATTAGACCAATATTGAACATAAGATTAGGTTAAGAATTTGTTTTAGACATAAAATTAAGAATAGGGTTATGATTGACCAACTTTTATCGCATCAATTGGTCAACTGTGATTAAAAAATAAAATGTTCTTTCATTGACAAACATCTTCTTTGCTTTTCTCGTTTTTGTTCCTTTTCTCTCATTTCCATTTATAGGCACATTGGCATACATTGTATTGGGGATAAAAATCTTTTAACTGCAGCATACGTTGCAAATACTTTCTCCCAGTTTCTCACTTGTTATTTTTGTTCATAACATCTTTTATTATATAAATTGATTGAATTTATCATCCTTTTATGTATTCTTTATGGTTTTGTTTCCAAAAAACATCAGGTTGTTATATTCTCAAGTGTCTAGAATCATTTTACTCTCTTGGGTCAAATGCACATTCTATCAAAATTGTATTTTACTCTTGGTCTCTTTCTACGTTTTTTGCCTTGGACTATTTTTAGTTATATTGCACTACTAAAAAATTATTAGTATTATTAATGTTAGTGTTACTATGATGGAAGTGACCAGTTTTCTACAAAAGCCCCTTTCTCCTTAGCCAGTCTTATTACCTTACCCATCTTCCACTTCCTCAAGCACATATCTACTGAAATTGTTTAAGTAATTCATTTACTTGCCTATTTTAGTATGCATATTTGTTTTCTATTAGTTTCCTATTGTATTTTTTCTGTTTAGTATGTATATTATATACTATTAGTGTATTTCATATGTGTATTAGTATTCATATTGATATACAAATAACACATACTAAAATAGTCAAGTAAATTATCACAACAATTGCCACAAAATTAGTGACTTAACACATATTTAATATCTTACAGTTTAAAAGGTCAGAAATCTGAAATGGATCTCACTGGGCTAAAATCAAGGTGTAGGCAGTGCTATATGCCTCCTGCAGGGCCTACAGGAGATTCTGTTGCCTTATCTTTTCCAGATTCTAGAGTATGCCCACATTTCTTGACTCATGGTCCCCCTGTATCTTCAAAACCAGCAATTTTATCACTTTGACTCTGCATTTGTGGTCATATCTCCACATCTCCATTTCTGCTTCTTACTTTCCTGCCTCACTGTTTCACTAACAAGGCCCATCTGGATATTCCAGAATAATCCCACATCTTAAGGTCATTATTTTGATTACTTCTGCAAAGCCTCTTTTGTATTTAAGGTAACATATTCATAGGTTTCTGGGATTGGGAGACATATCTTTTTAGGGGTCCATTATTCTCCCTACCATGGTGTGAAAGTCTTTTAGTTAAAAAAGTCTCCTCTAATTTACTGCTAAATCCACATCATGTGGAGCAATACATGGAATAGAACTATGTTTTTTTTTTTAAATTTTGAATATTTTTAAGACAAATACTTGGAAAAACATAAGGAGAACAATTTTCGTATAAGTATACTATGTGAAATTAAAGCAAATAAATCAGAACTTCCTGCCTTTTTCCCTAAATAACTTTCTCAGCAATAAAATGACCCACAAATTAAAAATTAAAAAACAAATTACAAAGTGGGAGAAAATGTTTACAACACTTACAATATACACAGGAAAATTTTCCAGTATACACAGCAGATCCCTAAAAATGACAAGATACTGATGTTTAATCTAAATAGTGGCCAAAGATATATACATTAAAACAAAAATGTATATATAAAAATATCAAATAATGTAGTATAGAGGAGGGGCTGTAATGTAATTCATTCATACTCCATTTGTGGAAGTGAAAAATGTATGACATTTGGAGGAAAAATTACATTTGTGAGTGGTTAAAATACTTCTACAATTAAATATTCTAGAGACATACTCACAAATGAGCACAAAAAAATCATGTTTTAAGCGTGTTTGTGAACCATGATTTTAAATAGGCAATATGTTGTAGAGAATATAGTTACACAACAATAAAGAGATGGTTGCATTAATATTCCTCAAAATTAAAATGAATGGGCTGTATCTATCTAGTATCTATCTATATATCAGCATTGAAATAACTCATAGAGTTTCCCTTTGTCAAGTTGTGTCACTGAAGTACCTGGCCTCACCTCCACAGGCCACTATAGCTGGTCCCATCAGATCTTTAGAGTATGTGGCTGCTCATCTGTGAAGATGATGCACTAACTAAGAATTATTTTATTGTGTACAACAAGGTAAACTCCATTTTAAAAGCCCATTCTCTTCTCCCCATATTAATTTTTAGTTTTACAGAATAAAGGGGGAGTAGAGTATTGGAAAAATCTTGACACACAAGTAAGTTTTGAGCATTCAAGCCAATGATGCAGTCCAGCTTTTCCTAGATTTTAGTTAGCAACTATTGCAGTTCCCATGTCATAGGAACCAAGAGTGGCTCAAATGAGAAAAAGAGCTGAGTCAGGAGAATATTTTAGTTCATTGGCCCATGAATGTAAATAGCTGTGTGTGGCTTGACTTGTCAACATTTTGAAAGCTATGTATTAGCAGATATTGCTTTAGATGATAGGAGGAGAGTTTGTATTGGTGTTCATTTCACTTTCTGTTATAAGCCATTACATGTTTATTGTATGCATTATCTTTTTCTATTTCTGATAGCCTTATTTCCTCACTGGTTTTTCATTCTGAGTTCACCAAAAATCTGAATTCAGAGTAATTTCAAGTAACATTTAGGTTTATTTTAAAAATGTTTTTCTAACTGAGCCGATTTTGTAGTCTTTTATCTGTCCCATCTTTCTCATACTTCCCTCCTGAGATACTTTTTCATGTCACCTTGTCTTCCTAAGCCTGATGGCCATCATCTTTAATGATATCATTTCTTTTTTTTTTCCTTGGGAAACAAAGTGAATCTATATTTTTGTAGCATTTTTTTTTGTAGAATGCCAGACACTTCAACTGTCTCTGGCGACTCTTGAATTTCTAAATCTCATTTTTGTCTCATTCCCTTTTACTAGAACTCTCTCTCCCTCCCACTGTCTCTCTCTGCCTCTCATTCTTTTTCTTGCTGTCTTTTTCCTCCACCCTCACCCTCAATAGAAGGATGAATTTGATAAAAAATATTTATAGGTGAGGAATATTCTTTCTGTGTGGTTTTTCTTACTTCGACAATCTTTTAATGTTGTTGATTTTCTTATTTTTCTATTTATTTGGTGGTGGTTCATTATTGGTTAGCATTCTTTTCTGCCATCCCAGTTTTTTATACTTTTATTTATTTTATCATGTTTTCCAAGCTTATATCTCTTATCTCTGTACATCTAGGACCATACTAAAATGTATTAATATTTGGCAAAGTAATTTGTTCTTTTGATCCAAATCTGAAAAATTTTTTGTTTGCTTTTTAATTTCCTCTGGTTGCAACAACTTGCATATCACAGTATGTCACACATAATATTTGTAATATAAACACAAGATTTCTCATCAAATTTAAGGAAATTTTTTGACATATAATTATACATATTGTCAAATATATTTTAAAATTTCTTGAATGTTTTGTAGCAATTAATAATAATAGTGTGTGGCTTAGTAAATATTATTGTAGAATATCTCATTCTATATCAGTAGTCCAACATTGGAAGCAGCACAAATGTTTTTCAATGTGTGAATGGATAAACAAATTGTGTTATATCATACTACAGAATAATATTTTGAAATAACAAATAACAAACTGTTGGTACAAAGTTTAATTATTTGAGTTCTAACTTGCATATAACTCAGAGGGATTATGCTGAATGGAATATGCCAATCTCAAAGGATTATAAAGTGCATGGTTCCATGGTTCCACTTATATAACATCCTCAAGGTGACAAAATTGTGGTGATGGAGAACAGACTATTTATTTTCAGGTGTTAGACATGTGAAAGGGTATGACTGTTAAGGGGTTATTGGAAGGATCTTGCCTGTGATGATAAAGGTATTCTGATTATGATGATGGTCACGCAAATCTGCCTATGTGGTATGTGTTCACAGAACAAATCATAAAAAGTTTCATGCAAAAACTGGTAAATCTGAATAAGATCTGTACCTGAGTTACCATTAGTAAATAGTCAATATCCTGGTTTTGACAATGTGCTATGGCTATATTAAATATTGTATTTGGAGAAAGTTGAATGAAGCATACATGAGAACTGCATACCATTTTTAATAACTTCTTGTGACTTTTAAACTAATTTAAGATAAAAAGGCATAATACTGTTGAAAGAAAAAGTTGTATCCCTAAAAGAAAGACTTAGGGTAAGAAAAAAATGTTAATAAAAATCTAAGACTTGCATTAGTTGAAGCATTTTCACATTTTGTATCTCAGTTATCTCCTAATGCTATCAATCATGAGAGGAGCCAAGCATCATTACTCCATGCACAGTCAAGACCACAGTTGCATTCCAACTCAGAATCTGCGTTTGAAGGAAGAAGACACATTTGAGCAAATTGTTGACCTAGGTATCCCCAAAAGAGGAAAGGGCTGAGAAAGATGGTAGGTGGTAGTTGAGAAATCTGGCAGCAGGTGGTAGGAAGTAAAGTCTCAGTGTGAAACCTAAAGTGCACAGCTGAGATTTCATTCGTCATTGTCATAGCAACAAGACAAAACGTATCTTGGTGGGATATTAGAACACTCAACACTGAATAACACTGGTATTCAATCTTTGTAAGCTAATATCTTAGCCACCAGAGCTGGCATCGCATTTACTGTCATCAGGCTTCTAATTTCTTTCTATGTTAGATTAAGACTAGTCTCAGAACCTGGGCAAAAACTCTAAGGAGAGAACAAGTGACCTACCCATAGCTTGTAAGATCTATTTCGTAGTACCACATAGTACACCATAAATAACCACATGCCTTATATTTTACATTTTCATGTTCATAATTCTGCAGAATCAGACTAAAATTAGATAAGCAATAAGAATAAACAATTCATATTTTTGTACTCAGCTTTTCAGATGACTACTTTTTCTGAATCATTATAATTTTCGATTTTTACATAATTTTTGTACATTTGGTCTGGCATTAGAAACAATAGACTATGATTTATTTAATCACTTCCCAACATTAAATAAATAATGATCTCTTAACATGGAATTCTATTTTATTTTCATGACATGCTCTCCTGTTATGTATAATAGTATTCGTCTTTTAGTGTGATGTAGTCAAAGGCAATGAGAATAGAAATAAAGACCAGCCTACCGATTAAAAAAATATTTACTCCCCAAGTTGCCTAGACCTACTGAATGAGTTGTCACATTAAAACTGAAGTTTAATCAATCTATTGCACAATGGCAATTCAAAGCATTTGCTTCAGAATTAGAAGGCAGCAGAATCACAATAACCGTGTTAGTTCTCTGAAATCCTAACTCTAGTAAATATTTTTCAAGGTTTTCTCAGCCCCCATATAGACATGTGTAATTTCAAACCAACATATTTTACAAGGAAAATGTTTCTGAGTGGTACTGTTTAGCAATTCAAATTATATGTCATCAGAAAGATGAATCGAGAATATAGCTATTAAAGATAAGGAAAGGCAATTGGAATCAAGAAAGGCACATACATTTCTTTCTAGCTGTCAGTGTTAAATCGGTAGAGAAATGATAAATGATCACTGTTTCGAGGAAAATTATAAGCTTTAAAAATACTTACGGCCGGGCATGGTGGCTCACACCTGTAATCCCAGCACTTTGGGAGGCCCAGGCAGGTGGATCACCTGAAGTCAGGAGTTGAAGACCAGCCTGGCCAACATGACGAAAACCCATTTCTACTAAAAATACGAAAATTAGTGGGACGTGGTGGCACGTGCCTGTAATTCCAGCTTCTCGGGAGGCTGAGGCAGGAGAATCGCTTCAACTTGGGAGGCAGAGGTTGCAATGAGCGGAGATCACACCACTTGCTCTCCAGCCTGGGCGACAGGGAGACTCCTTCTCAAAAAACAAACAAACAAAACAAACAAGCAAACACATCTTACATTTTCATTTTACAATATTTCTAAAAAAATACTACTTTAAGTGTCTCGCCTGTCATGGGCACCAAACCCTGCTTTCAATGTCAGACAGACTACTACAGAACACAGAAAAGATGTGTTGGAAACACATTCTTTCCTAAAAGTTCAGGGGCGATTGTACTACTTCACATAACCCTTCAACTTTGAATACATTTAAATAGCACAGAATCTAATTAAAGGAGAATAAGCGACTCAGGTGGCCATCAAGGCCAGTAATTATTTTGCTGTACTGCAAGTACAGATGAATAAGCTCCATCTTGCAAGTTCAATAATGTGTATTTAACAAATATATTCCTAATGTGCAAGCTCATGGCAGAGAATTTCTCCTTAGCAAGGAGACTGTCCCTAGGATGCCAGATGTTTCCTACACCAGAGCAATATTTCTGGCACAATCTTGGAATATCAATTCCAGGATTCGCTCAGTATCCTTTACACTTCCGTGTCATCCATGATGAATAATGTCTTATTACTGACCACATATATTGAAATTGCATAACTGGCTTCTCCACTAGATTGAGAATTTCATAAAGACCAAGAATGCCTTTAATCTCTGTATTTCTGGGGTCTAGTGCAGTGTAGGATCCTATCAGGTCTGGAATATATTTGTTCCATTTATTCTGTAGAAACTAATTTTTAAGTAAAATAGTCTATAATACTCAAAAAGTGTGCTATTGATGATCCATAAAAGTTGTTACACAATCTTATTGATACAAATACAATTATTATTACTTTGATATTTTAAGAAAAATAAGATTTTAAAAGGAAAAAGAAAAATTTTTAAATATAGTAATTAAAAGTTAAGTGTTTTAGAAATTTTTTATAATCTGACAGACAAATTTTATGTCTGTTGAATCTAAAAAATAAAGATTTGGCCTTATGTATCTTTTCTAGTTATTCTGGATTCCTGGTTATAATAACTATTTCCCTGATTATTTACTTTTATTACATCTTTAAAAGTATCAATCCATAATGTATTAGAAGAACATATGGAAATATAAACTCATACTTCATCAATGAGAATTTAAGAAAAATGTTCTGGATTATTTTTGTCCACTATGCCTAATCCACATAAATCTGCCTTTGCCAATGGAGTTAGATTAATGCTAACTTAAAACACAATATCACAGGAACAATCTCTAGTGTTTCTCTTTTGGTGCAATGTAGTAAAAGGCAATGAGACTAGAAATAAAGACCAGCCTATTAATTAAAAAAAAAATACTACCCAGGTTGCCTAAACCTATGGAATGAATTATTACAAATGAATTTAGGACACTTTGATAATGCTATCAAAAGTGACAAATGCTAGAAATCTGCAACTTTAACTACAGCACACAGCAAAGATGTGTTGGAAACACATTCTTTCCTAAAAGTTCAGTTGCCATTGTGCTATTTGGCATAACCCTTGGACTTTAAAACAGCACTCACATTAATTTTTAAAAGTTATTACTTAATATGTTGCAAATGCATAGCAGAGCCAGTCCCTCTTTCTGAGCAGACTGAACACATTCCTGTTATTTTTGTTTCCAACCCAGGGGTCCCGGTAGTTACTGCTAAGTAACTAGAGTTGGCAAGGGAGATAGAAACTAACTGCTATTTTGATACCTGTGAATTCATGGGGAGGAAAGCTTGAAACAGCTTATCTCAACCTCAGCTCTATTGATATATGGGGCCAAATAATTTTTTGTTTTCGGTGCTGTCCTTGGATTGTAAGATATTTAGCATCCAGTAGCTGCCAGTGGCAATTCTTCGTCACACTCCATGCATCTATAAAAATTTAAAACATCTCCAGAGAAAACAGACAACTTGAATTCTAGCTAATCAAAATTATCTGTGTGACCAAGATTACAACTTGCGTTCTTACATCTCTGGACCTCATCATCAACATGCGTTGAAGTTCTGAAATTCCATGTTTTCTGACTTTGTGAAGAAATACCTTATTTTTATAGCATCTGCAATATTTATAATCTAGTGCATTAATCTGTCCTTGGACTAATATCATTCTATAAAGAAATATGACCTATTAAATGGTAGATTTTTCTATCTAATCTCTAATAAAGCTTCATTTCAGGAAATTAGATAAATAACCTAAATGCCATTGGCTTTATATCATATTATAATAAATAAGAAGCATGTTTATAGATTGTAATAGAAAGCTATTACTTATGTGGGCATTTAATTTAAATTACACTAATTTTATAAAAAGGTAGCAGCAATAATATTCATCATATTCACTTTTGGAATAGATACTATGTGGCTGCAGGCTTTCATAACCCGAAATGATGGATCAAGAACTCCTCGAGTTTATTTATTAAATTGAATTTACCCCAAATTGCAGATGATGCCATTGATTGCATGGGTTTCTGATTCATTAAGATGTCTTAAAAATTGTCAAAGCAGAACCAAATGAAATTTGCACAATATTTTCTTTACACTTAACAGAGAGTTATAAACATTTTAAATTTTTTCATTTTTAATTTTTGTGGGTACATATTAGGTATACATATATATTTGCAGGGTATATGAGAGAACATTTTGTATAAAATAGTATTTTTAAAAAGTAATAAACAATCATAAATGATTCTAAAAATACCACTTTTGTTTTCTAAACTTAGAATTGCTTTATGTCTACTGCTTATATATGTGTATGTGGAGGCCACATAATTTTGATTTTTGTGGTGGGCTGGACTTTCTTCTCTCCTTTATCATAATCATGTACATTTAGAACTTGAATGTTAGAATGAGGGATCAAGCACTTTTACATTTGTTCACATCACACACACATACACACATTTGAAACCAAAATGAATAGGAATTTAGGTCACTGCCACTATTGCATTGAGTCACCGATATACATACATAATGGTACATGGGATGGGAAAAGGGAGGTTCCTGAGAAATACCACATCAAATAGGTTGACATTATCTTGACAAGTAAAACATGCTCTGCTTCAAAGACTGAGGATCAGAGAGCAGGGATGACTCTGTATAGCAAGTAGCTGATATTAGAACTTCTTTGGACATAGAAGGTTACTGCAAGTGACTGAGAAAATGGCCGTATATGTCAGAAAGGAAATATGCTTACCAAAAAATAAATAAATAAAAGAGTTTATGGGGTAGAGAAGAGGATTTTTTTTGGTTTGCATTTCCTCTGAGGGTAATAAAGAAGAACTTAGCATGCTTTAACTCCTCACTACCACCATCTCCCAGAAATCTTGTTTACTGTTGTAATCAGCAACCTTATGAGTGAAGGCCAATAGAGTTGTCCTGCCATGACCAAAGAGTGGGGGCAGCATCCAGTGTTGCTTCAGAGCAGAGTGAGAAGATCAAAATAGAGAAAATCAAAATAGATTTACAGAAGGAATTTTGAGGTAACCAAGCCCTTAAGATGTATTGGGGAGGACAAACTGCATAGCTTGATTTGAAAAGTACTGTGGAAGTACTCATTCTCCCAGCAGGCAGCAGCAGGTCTGTATAGAGTTGTGTTGACTTATTTCAAGAGCCTGTGCATGTTCTGAGGAAAAGAAAAACACTAATAAACTGGAATTCCTATTAGTGAACTGAATATGGGCTCAGAGGCATCATAAATTTGTTAGTTTAATATAAACATCGTAACATTTTCATCTATATATTAAGAAGGTCTCAAAACCTCAAGTTATAATGACTTCATCTCTTTTCCTTTTTGTACAAAGTTACGGGGAACATGTAAAATTTTATTACATGTATATAATTCATAGTGATCAAGGCAGGGTAATTAGCATGTCTACCACCAGAGTAAAATATGTTTTCTTCAACTGTAGACACCCAGTCTTCTATTTAAGATTGAATTTATTTTTACAATCTTACTGTATATTTACACCTTTTAACCCACTTCTCTTTACCTTCATCTCCCTTTCCCTCTACTTATGCTTCCCAGTCTCTATTTTCTATCTTTTCCACTCCCTATCTCCATATGAGCAAATATTTTAGCTCTTGTAAGACTATGTCTTATTTGTCTTTTTGTGCCTGGATTGTGTAACCTAAAATGCAAATGATATGATGTTATTCTTTGTTATGCCAGAATAGTGTTATATTGTTGTATATATACTACATATTCTTTATCCATTCATTGGCTGATGGCATTTAAGTTGATTTCACATCTATGCTATTATGAATAGTGCTGCAGTAAACATGGGAGTGCAGATATCCCTTTGATATATTGAGTTATTTTCTTTTGGTAGATACCTAGCAGTGGGATTGCTGGCTCTAACAGTAATTCTATTTTTATTTTTTTGAGAAATATCTATACTGCTTTTTATAGTAGCTATATTAGTTTACATCCCTACCACAAATATGTGGGCACTCTCTCTTCTCTGCATCCTAGCCGACACCTATTTTTTGTCTTTTTAATAATAGCTATTGTGACTGGTGTGAGATGATATCTCATTTTGGTTTTGATTTGGATTTCTCTGATGATTAATTATGTTTAGCATTTCATTATATACCTCTTGAGTGTTTGTTTGTCTTAATTAGAGAAATATCTATTAGTGGTTTTTGTCTAATTTTTAATGGAATTATTTATATTTTTCCTGTTGAGCTGTTGGAGTTTCCCATATATTCTCAATATCAGTCCTCATTGGATGAATAGTTTGCAATTATTTTCTCTCATTCAACAGATTGTTCACTCTGTTGATTATTTGTTTTGTGGAGCAGAAGCTTTTTAGTTTAATTGGGTCCCATTTGTCTATATTTCTTTACCTATGTTTGATTGCCTGTATTTTGAGGTCTTAGTCATAAATTATTTGCCTAGACCAGTTTCTGGAAGTGTTTTCCTCCAGTATTTTTAGTTTCAGGTCTTAATATTTAAATATTTAATCGATTTTGAGTTGATTTATGTATGTGGTGCAAAATAGGGGCCCAATTTCATTCTTCTGCAAGTGGCTATCCAATTTCCCCAGCATCATTTCTTGAAGGGTTTTTTTTTTCCCCAGTGGAATTTCCTGTTTACTTTGTTGAAGATCAGATGGATGTAAATATGTGACTTTATTATCGGGGGAACCAGCCCCCAATATTTCAACATAGGTTCTTTTCTATTTTCCCTAAGTGTCGGCTGGTCTAAGAAATAAAGAGAAAAAGTACAAAGAAATTTTACAGCTGGGCCTCCAGGGGTGCCATCGCATATTGATAGGACCATGATAGCGACCCCGAGCCACAAAACCAGCAAGTTTTTATTAGGGATTTCAAAAGGGGAGGGGTGTACGAATAGGGAGTGGGTCACAGAGATCACATGTTTTAAAGAGCAATAAAAGATCACAAGGCAAAAGGGCAGAGCAAGATCACAAGGCAAGGGTGAAATTAGAATTACTGATGAGGGTCCATGTCCCACTGGGCACGCATTGTCTTGATAAACATTTTAACAGGAAACAGAGTTCAAGAGCAGAGAACTGGTCTGACTAGAATTCACCAGGCTGGAATTTCCCAGTCTGAGCAAGCCTGAGGGTGCTGCAGGAGACCAGGGCGTATTTCATCCCTGCATAAGACAGACAATCCCAGAGTGGTCGTCTATAGGCCTACCCCTGGGAATGCATTCCTTCCCCAGGGTTATCAATTATTAATATTCCTTGCTGGGAAAAGAATTCAGTGATATTTCTCCTACTCACATGTCCATTTATAGGCTCCCTGCAAGAAGAAAAATATGGCTCTATTCTGCCAGACTCCACAGGCAGTCAGACCTTATGGTTATCTTTCCTTGTTCCCTGAAAATCACTGTTATTCTGTTCTTTTTCAGGGTGTCCTGATTTCATATTGTTCAAACACCCATTTTTTACAATCAGATTTCATATTGTGCAAACATACGTTTTACAATTTGTACAGTTAATGCAATCATCACAGGGTCCTGAGGCGACATACATCCTCAGTTTACGAAGATGACAGGATTAAGAGATTAAAGTAAAGACAGGCATAGTAAATTATAAGAATATTGATTGGGGAAGTGAATAAATGTCCATGAAATCTTCACAATTTATGTTCTTCTGACGCAGCTTCAGCTGATCCCTCCTTTGGGGTCCCTGACTTCCTGCAACACTTTATTTCTGGGTTTGCTATTCTGTTCCATTGGTGTATGTGTCTTTTTTAAATAATACCATACTGTTTTTATTACTATGGCCTTGTAATGTATTTTAAAGTCAGGTAATGTGCTGCATCCAGCTTTGTTCTTTTCGCTCAGAATTTCTTTCAGTATTCAGCTGTTTTTTGTTTCCATGTAAATTTTAGGAATTTTTTCTTATTCTGTGAAAAATAACATTAATATTTCAATAAGCATTGTGTTGAACTCATAGATTACTTTGGGCAGTATGATCTTTTTAATAATATTAATTTTTCTAATCCATGAGAATGGGATGCTATTTTCATTTGTGTCTTCTATAATTTTCTTCATCAGTGTTTTATAGTTTTTTCTTGTAGAGATCTTTCACGTCCTTGGTTAAACTTATTCCCAAGTATTTTTGTGGCTGTTATAAATGTGATTGGCTTCTTGATTTGGTCCTTAGCTAGATCACTCTTGGTTTATAAAAATTCTACTGACTTTTGTGCACTGATTTTGTATCCTGAAACTTTACTGAATTCATTTGTCAAATCTAAGAGTTTTTTGGTGGAGTCTTTAGGTATTTTTATGTAAAAGATCTTATCAGCAATGAGGCACTATTTGACTTTCTGTTTTCAATTTTAATGTCTTTTATTTCTTTATCTAGCCTGATCACTCTGGCTGGGACTTCCAGTACTATGTTAAATAAGAGTTGGAAAAGTGGGCATCCTTGACTTGTACCAGGTCTTAGAATGAAGGCTTTAAACATTTCTCCATTCAGCATAATGTTATCTGTGGTATTAATGTGATCTTTGTGTTTTGGGATTTGTTCCTTCTATCCCTAGTTTTTTGAGAGTTTTTATCATACAAGAATGTTGAATTTTATTAATGCTTTTTCTGTGTCTATTGAGATAATCATGTGATTTTTGTTCTTCATTCTGCTCATGTGATATATCATGTTTATTGATGTGCATATGCTGATGCATCTCTGGTATAAATCCCACGGTATCATTTTGTATTATCATTCTGATGTGCCGTTGGATTTGATTTGCTGGCATTTTGTTGAGGATTTTTGTGTCTAGGTATATTAGGATTATTAACGTGTAGTTTTCTTGTTGTTGTTGTTGTTGTGCCCTTGTCTGGTTTGCGTTTCAAGGTGATGCTCCCTCACCAAATAAGGCCTCTTCAATTTCACTGGATTAGCTCCAAGAGTATTGCTCTTAGTCTTCAGCTGTGAATCTATATTTTAATAAACTTTTCTTTCTTGGGAGACTTTCTACTACTGATTCAATCTCACTGCTCATTATTAATCTGTTCGGGTTTTCTGTATCTTTCCGGCTTAATCTTGGTAGCTTGTATGGTTACAATAATTTCACTGTTTCCTTTAGGTTTTTCAGTTTGTAGTTGTATAGTTGTTATTTTAGTCTCTGGTGATTTCTTTTGCATTTCTATGGTATTAGTTGTAATGTATCCTTTATCATTTCTAAATTTATTTAAGTGATCTCTCTTCTTTTCTTGGTTAGTCTAGCTAGTGGTTTATAGTTTTTGTGTACCTTTTCAAATAATTAACTTTTTGATTCATTGATTCCCTGTAATTTTTTTGGTCTCTATTTCATTTAGTTTTTCTTTGATCTTTATTATTTCTTTCTTCTGGTACTTTTGGATTTGGCTGATTCTTACTTTTCTAGTTTTCTGAAATTCATTGTTAAGACTGTTAATTTGTAATCTTTCTACTTCATTGATATAGGTATTTGTTTCCATAAGCTTCTCTCTTAGAAGTGCTTTTGCTGAATCCAACAGCTTTTGGTATGTTGTATTTTGATTTCATTTGTTTCAATAATGTTTTTGATTTCCATCTTAATTTTTTCATTGACCCAATTGTCATTGAAGAATATGTTCATTAGGTTCTATGTGTTTGTATAGTTTCTAAACATTCTTTTGGTATTGATTTCTAGTTTTATTCTATTAAGGTCTGAGTAGATACTGACATGATTTCATTTTTTCCATTCTTTGAGATGTGTTTTGTGCCCTTACATATGGTTTATTTTGGGCAATATTCTATGTGCTAATAAAACAACAGTATATTGTGTATTTGCTGGATATAATGTTTTGTAAATGTCTGTTAGGTCCATTTGGTCTAATGTTCAGTTTAAATTCCATGTTTCTTAGCTGATTATCTGTCAAAATGATCTTTCTAATGCTGTGAAAGGCATGTTCAAGTCTCTCACTATACTGTATGTCAGTCTCTCTTTAGATCAAGGAGTATTCACTTCATGAATCTAATGCTCCAGTGTTGGCTGAATACATATTTAAAATTCTTATACCCTTTTACTGTACTCATTATTTTATCATTATATAATTACCTTGTCTTTATTCTACTGTTATTGCTTTGAAGTCTCTTTTATCTTATATGGGAATACAGACTCCTGATCATTTCCATTTGTAGAGAATGTCTTTTTTCAACCCTTTACTTTTAGTCTATATGTGTCTTTACAGGAAAGCCAGTTTCTTCTAGGCAGCGTATTTTTGAATCATGGTTTTTGTTTGTTTGTTTGTTTTGTTTTGTTTTCAGAATCTATTCAGTCATTTCTTTATAAGTGAGTAGGCACTTTTCTCTTGATACTTTTTGGATTTACTCTTTATCTTTTACTTTAGATTGTCTGATTATAATTTACCATGGAGAAGACATTTTGCATTGTATCTGGCTGAAGATCTATGAGCCTCCTATATCTGAATGTCTACATCTTTTGCTAGACATTGCGGGGTTTTCATCTGTTGTTTTATTAAATAGATTTTCTAATCCTTTTATTTTCTCTTCATCCTCAGAAAAACCCAAAATTCATATATTTAATTGCTTTATGTTGTCCCAAATATCACCACGATTTGCTTATTTTTTTTTATTCTTTAGTTTTGTTTGATTGGGTTATTTCAAAAGTCCTGTCTTTAAGTTCTGACATTCTTTTTCCTGCCTGCTCTTATCTACTTTTTAAAATTTTCAAATGTATTTTGTTTTTTCTTCAATTAATTATTTAGTTCTAGAATGTCTGTTTTTAATACTATATCTTGTGTATAAATTTCTCATTAATATCGTAATTGTTTTTCTGATTTCTTTGTATTGTTGTTTAAAATTATCTTATTTCTTACTGAACTTCTATAAATCAATGTTTTGTATTCTTTAACTGAAAATTTACAGATTTTTAAGAATTAAGATAAATTGCTGCAGAGTTATTGTGTTTCCTTGTAGATGTCATATTTCCTTGTTTTTTCATGTTTCCTGTGTCCTTATGTTGATAGTTGTGCATTTGGTATAACAGTCATTTCATCCTATTTTTGAATTTAATGACATAGTGGAATAGTTTTTATTGAAGATATATCTGCTGTGAATAGGGCACTTTGGCTTTGATTCTCGGTGCATGCAGTAATGTAGCCTCTGTATGATTTCTTTGGCTGTAAACAGCATTAATACTTTTGCTGATTTCTATGGAGGATTAAAGTGCACTTATTAGTGGAAGTTGCAGTAAAGTTTTGTTGGGAACTGAGAAGCTAGGTCAGCCAGTCTTTGGGCCCAGTGGTGGCAGCAGTGGCCTGAATGTGCCTGGTTTTGTGCCCCAAAGGTGTGTATTATGGCACCGGTGTTTGTGGTTACTTGTGGGCTGATTCTTGGGCCTTCAGGAGGCTTGCTTAAATTCTAGTTGTGACAGCAGTGGGCCAGACAAGTGAGCAGGTTCTCAGGTCTTGGGGTAGGCAATGACAGTAGCAGCGGTAAAATGACCCTATGGGTCCCAAGAGGATAATGAAAGGACTCTGGGGAATGCAATAGCTCCCAGGATGTGGAGTAACAGGGATGCTTGTTCCCAGGGAAGGATGCAGTCTTGTGACAGCTGCACTTCAAAATGGTGCCCTGCCACAAATGTTCAGGTTTCATGGGAGGAGGTGACTGACAGCATGAGTTCCCTCTCTGCTGCAAGGCATTCACTGGGTCTCCAAATTACTACCCATACTTGTGTTAGGATTTGTGTGCATAGAGGATCTCTCCCATGCTTCAGAATACAATAGTCTGTGAGTGGACTGCTTAAGCCCTTTTATTTACTCGTTCCATATAATACTGAACCCCTCCAGGCTTCTGGCCAAACTTAGCCACACTGGCTAGTTGCTTCCTTCTCCTTCTGTTTCTCAGTTTTTTCTGTGAGTTCTCTGTTGGACTCTAGTGTTGCCTCCTAGATATTCTATTTGAGGCATGATTGTCTATTCATACATTTTTTTTTCTAGAGAGGGAAAGTGTCTGATCTGGGCAGTCACAAATATATGACTTTATCAAATTCAGGTATGAAGAAACTTTTTGTAAATCTCCTTATGTGTAGAAGGTATTCTTATTATTATTATCATTATTCAGAAAGAGTCTCTCTCTGTCACTCAGGCTGGAGTGCAGTTACACGATCTCCACTCAGTGCAACCTCTGCCTCCCAGGTTCAAGTGATTCTCCTGCCTCAGCCTCCTGAGTAGCTGGGATTACAGGTGTGCACCACCATACCCAGCTAATTTTTGGATTTTAATAGAGATGGGGTTTCACCATGTAGGCCAGGCTGGTCTGAAACTCCTGACCTCAAGTGATCTGCCCACCTCAACCTCCCAAAGTGCTGAGATTACAGGCATGAGCCACCGTATTATCATTAATACCCTGTTTCTCTAATACAACCTAAATAGAAGGAAACATATTCAATAAGCTACAGTATGTTCTTTTAAATTATACAGTATATTAAGCTCTTCTTAAATATCCATAAGACCAAAAACATCAAGGAGTAATTATGTTCTCCATAGTATTTCCATTGCCTGAAAGTTTTATTGAACCTTCTAAAATTTTTGGTTGTTTGGTTAATAGTGTGTTCCTGTAATTTTCCAGAAACACTTTTAATTCTAACCATCTATCAATCTATCAAACAAACCACCAAGTTAACATCAAAGTACAAAAAATGCACGTTGTGTCTTGTCTCTACATATAATAATAAGTCGTAACCAGTAATAACTGAGGTGTGCTTTATACTTCTAAACACTTCACTAATTTCACGTCATACAGTCCTGTTTACTAATTCACTGTGCATGTTGGAATATATTAGAGGAAGAAGAGGACAATAGGCTATCAGAAAGCAGATGGGCCTTGGAGTTAGATGATCCTGACATCCAAATTCTGCTTTCTAAATGTACTAGGGTTATGAGCTTATAAACAGTACTAAAACTCTGAACATCAGAATATCCATCCATAAAAAAGATCTAAAAACTATGAACTTCCAAAACTCAAAACTTCCAAGGTGTTATAAAGGTTATATTTTTAGAAAAACTATGTGTTAGAAACCACCTTACAGAAGCTTTTGCACTGGTGTATATTTTCTTCACTTTTACAGTGAATTGTTAAATTAATTTTACTATTACAGTGAATTATTATTTTATCACGTAGCCCTGGGGTCCATGGGCTGTTTCTAAAGGAAACTCACACTCTATGATGCTTATTTGGTGTTCAATAGTACTATTGCTATATGCAATCAAAACCTGTACCAAAGTGAATTAACTTGGGAAGCTTGACAGAAAATGATGTCCACAAACTTGGTTGACAAATTAAAGAATGCTGCTGAATTTTAGTAGTGAATTCATCCAGATTGAGTCTCATTAAGGTAGAGGATTTATTTTATGCTATTTACTCAGTGAGTCTCTATCTCATTTTTTCTAATTATATTCGTGGATACCATTGTGGAATAATGATGATTGTAAGCTCTATTTCATAAATGGACTAAATGTATTTATAAGAATTTGTAATTTTCCTAAAGTTACCCAGGTAGTAAGAACAAAAAATGCAAAATTAACCCTTTTCTTTATTTTTCCTCCTCTGTAGTTATCCTTCATATCAGGCCTTAAACTCAAATAACATTTAGACTTTTTTCTTTAAACAGGATTGGAAGTAGTAGAATGTATGTTACTTGAACTGCATTTTGTCATCAGAATATGATCCTTGAAACTAATGATTTTCAAAATGCTCACTTTCTACATCTTCCTGCACAGAGCATTCCCTAGACTCAATGTTCCAAAATCAAAACTAAAAAACAAGCCAGAAACTAATGTGAAACTGACTTTTGCTGCTTGACTGTTTGCTGTTATTTGTTTATGAAGGTTACTGAAGGGAAGACCAAGACATTTCCACTTGAAAGTACACAATACCCTGGATAGCTCTAAGATCCTAAAGGTAGCAAAGACAATATTGGAATGAAGGAAATCAATAGTCACACTGAGTTACTAAACTAAAACCAAGAAACAATCCTGAACTCCAGGGCTATGTGATAAAATAACTTAATAATTCACTGCAATAGTAAAACTAATTTAATAATTTACAGTAAAAGTAAAAATAGATACATCAGTGTTAGAGCTTCTGTAATTTTCTGAGATCAGAGTAGAAATTTATCAGCACATGAGCTGTTACTAAAATGTTTAACTGTGAAGGTACAAGCTGATTCCATTCTTTTGTTAAGTAACATTTTGTAATTTTACTTTATAACTCTTCACTAAATTAATGATGCTTTAAATATGTATATTTTAGGAGGTTGATATCTAATTTATAGGAGGATTCAAGTTTAAGGGTACATTTTAAAAGAACTTTATCTTAATGACCCTTTGAGTAACACTTTGAGAATATCTCATTATTTTTATGTTCAGATTCTCTGGGGCTATGAAAAATGAATGTCATTGCTGGAACTTATTTTTGTTGTTTTTCTTGCTGATATTTAGGAGACATTTATTTGAGCAATTTCTATCCATTCTCTGAACCACAATATAAGAATTCCTATAGAACTGTATAATAAGCGAGGTTAAGTCTGCTCTACAAATGTAGTTTTGGTCCATTTAGAATTAACGTTTCATGGTCAGTATGAACAATATTTTGTTACATGAGCTATTGCTTGCGTGCAAACAATGGACTAGAAAACATAAGCCGAAGAAAGGGTTTGCCAACTTGGAATTTTGGTCCTAATTCTTGTCATTAAAAATAATACTTTCCAATTTAGCGGGGCAAGGGAGGAGGATTGCTTGAGCCCAGAGTTGGAGATCAGCCCGGGCAATATAGCAAGACCCTATCTCTATCAAAACTAAAAAATTATCCAGGTGTGGTGGTATACACCTATAGTCTTAGTTACTCAAGAGACTAAAGTGGAAAGATCATTGCACCTGGAAGGTTGAAGCTGCAATGAGCCATGATCATGCCACTACACTCCAGCCAAGGCAACAAAGTGAAGTGTTGTCTCAAAATAATAATAATGATAATAATAATGCTTCCCAGTTAATATTAGTGTTCATAAATATTGTTTAAAACCTGCTTTCTACCTGCTTATGTTGCCTTCTTTTTATCTGAAGAAAAAAATCCCATTAACTTTAATTATTATGTGCAAGTAGTTCTTTTTTCTCCTTATTCAAAATAATTATTAATTATTCATTTATTCAGATTACAAATAATATTATTTTTAAATAAACATTTACTTTAGAGAAATTTACATTTACAAAATATTACAAACATTGTACAAAAAGATCCCATATCCTTCATCCTCAGTTTATTCTATTTAATAACACCTTATGTAGTATGGTACATTTATTACAATAAATGAGCAATATTGTTATTATTAACAAAAGGTAAACTTTATTCATATATTCTTAATTTTTACCTGAGCGATTTCTATGTTTTATGAACCAATCAACAATATCACATTACATTAATAGTCATGTCCTTTTAGATGGCTGAGACAGCTTCCTAAATGTTCATGGTCTGAGATGATCTTGACAGTTTTGAGGAGTATTGATCCAGTATTTGGTAGAGTGTATCTCTATTTGAATTTTTCTTCAATGCTTTTTATTTGTATCAGATTGGGCTTATTGGTTTCTTGGAGAAAGATCACAGAGGTAAAGTGACATTTTAATCACACCATACCAACATGATTTATTAATGTTGATATTAACCTTGATCACCCGGATGAGGTTTTTCTTGTCAGGTTTCCACACTGCAAAGGTATTTTTTTCTCCCTTCTCATACTGTCATCTCTGGAGGTGTCAAGTCAAACAGAAAGTCAAGAAGGAAGACAAAAACAAGGATACAAAAGAAATTTTAAGCCTCTGATGCCTACAACTACAGCAAATATTAAACACAGCCTCTTATACAGATTTACATAAATCCAAACACTAAAGGTACATTTACTTAAGTTCCTATTTCCTGATACAAAACATGTTCTGCTTTCAAGTCATGCCAAAAAATGGACACAAACAAACAATAAAAACCAATTAAGCCACTGTCTGAAGAGACAAAGTAAGGATCAGAACAACATTCTAGTAAGACAATGATATTGAAATTATAATAATTTAAAAGTATCATGTTAATAAAATGAAAGGCTTTAATAAAAAATGTTGACAACATAAAAGAATTGATGAAGGGGTGGACCACATAAAAAGACAGTAGACAGCAACTCTAAGAATGAATCAAAAGAGAATTCTAGTAATCAAAAGCAGTATATCAGTAATGAAGAATAATTTAGATGGTACTCATCAGAAGACTAAAAGTGGCTGAGGAAAGAATTATGAACTTGAAAATAGATCAACAGAAACTTTCCATACTAAAAAGAAAATAGTGACTAGAATGAAGAAGGAGCAGGAAGAGGAGGAGGAGGAGAAGGAGAGAAAGGAGAAGAAGAAGGAGCAGAAACCAGAAAAGACCATCCTAGTGTTGTGAGCAATTTCAAAAGGTGTAATGTATGCATTATAGAATATTAGAAGAAGAAATAAAGAATGGAGAAGCAATATTTACAGTAATAATAATCGAGATCAATAACTTTCCAAATTATTGACAGATGCCAAAGCACAGATTCAAAAAGTTCAGAAAATACCAGACAGGATAAATTATAATTATAATTTTTAACAATAAAACATAAAATCAGGTCGATATTTAACAAAAGCAATTATATTTAACATATCTGGGAAAATAAACTAACAGGGAATGAAAACATGAAGGAGTGGGATCATTATCATCCTTTCTAACTCTGTTTCTTTGATTTGAAGCTGCAATTTAATTTTAAGTGACACAATGTAGTTAACATTTTTCTCTAACAGATGACTGGACTGAATGGACTTTCATCTTCCAAATGAAAGCTGCATGAATAAAACCTATTCCCATAATGTCAGTGAATATGTGTTCTAGATAGTTTCCATATTTATTTGTATTCATTTAGAGTCCCAAGTTTGTTGTAGAAGATATAAAAAGTGATGATGTTGTTTAGAAATAGGTTTAGTGCTTATTGTCTTTTATTTGAAGCATTACTATTATAATTATGAACATTAGTAAGCTGACAAATCTAATTACTCCTCCAATTATATGCCTTATATGTTGTTTAGCTTTTTAATGCTTACTTTAATGGTTATTTTAAAATTAATACCACTAATATTGCTTTTAAAGATATTACTATGGAAAAATTCTAACATGGTCTGTAGACACACTGTGTGTGTTGTGTCACTGTTGCCTTAAAATATGTGATTCATACTGCTTTTTGTTGTTATTGTAAAATATACATAACATGAAATTGACAATTTTAAATATATTTAAATGAAGTTTTCAGTGGCAAATGAGGTACTTCTCATTAATATGCAATCATCACCAACATTCATCTCCAGAACTGTTTTATCATCACAAACTGAAACTGAGTATCCATTAAATAAACACTAACTTGTCATTACCCTCACCTCCTGCCCATGGCAACCACCATTCTACTTTCTGTTTCTGAGTTTGGCTACTCTAGATACCATTTTAGTTGAAATAATAGAATATTTGTTCTTCTGTGCTTAACTTATTTCACTTAGCACGTTTTCAAGGGTCATTCATGTTGTAACATGTATAAAAATTTCTTTTTTTCAGGCTGATTAATATTACACACACACACACATACACACACACATATATAACATTTTGTTAGTTTATTTATCTATTTATGGACATTTGAGTTGCTTTCACCTTTTGGCTATTGTGAATAATGGTGCAGTGAACATGGGTATGCAGATATATTTATATTGCTTTACATTGCTTTTTTATAATGAACAGGAGAACTTCAATTAATAGAGATGTTTACTAAATGTGACAGTTTTGGTTATTCTTTGAACAAATATAATAGCTTAAAAAAGGCCCCTCTTAAAACAGTCCTTTCCTGAAATATTTCTAACTACAGCTGATCCCACAATTACAGTTTTTTACACTGTCATATACTACTTGAAGCTACTTATTTCGGTGAGGGTTGGGGGTTTCATTTCTTTACTCACCTGCATAAATCTGCTTAAACAGCACTATCAGCTAAGCTAATGAAATCATGCATGTTTCCTTGAGCATCATAGCAGTATAAGTGCAAATCATCTTTCTGGATCCCGGAATGGCAGACACAGCTATGGCTGAATATTACATATTCATATTACATAGCTTCATAGAATCCCCAATTTTAAAGTGTCTGAGACTTCCAAATTGCGTAATCCAAATTAAATGAAGGACTTTAAAAGTCAGCCTATCAGTTGAAATATCCAATAGGGACAAATTAGAGCCTTATATTTAAACACTTATTAGTATTAAATCAATATTTTTCAATAACCTATTTAGTCAAAAAGGGGCCAAGAGTCTTAGTTGGCAGAGTAGCTGAGTTTGTTTTACTTCCTTGTTGCTTGAGTACCTTAGAAATCATTCAACAGGACAGAGAAGATCATGTTGTATCATTAGCAATTCCATTTCACAATGAATATATAAAGGTCATAGAGTTTTGTAAATAAAATTACATACCAATAACATTCAAAGCAAAGCCATTGTAAATATGAGAAGCAGACTTCATTATACTTTTCTAACTTACAGATATATAAAGTATGCATAGGCGTAGGAATGGAATAAGAGCAAGACACACTTGCACACACATATATATATGTTTTTCCCTCTTAAACATACACATTTGTTTCCCCTCATATCTATATTTTTAGGAAAATTCTGCTGTTTTGTTGCAAGGTAATTTTATTTCCATATTTCTTTCATTTTCATTATAATTCACGACAGTTTCTGGATAAATAAATATGTGTTAGCCAATACATTGATTGATTGATTGAGTGATTGATTTGCTCCAGGGGAGTAAATTTAGGCAGCAAGATGGATGGTTTGAGCTTCAGTATCTGAAAGAAGGATGTTCATAATGAAATCCAGAAGGAAAGTGGGAAATTATGAGATTTTTTAGCTTCCGAACATTTAATTTTTAAAATTGTAGTATCACTTCCATATAATAAAGTGTACAGATATCATGTTCATTTTAATGAGTTTGGACATTTGTGGATGTATATATTCATTGCTGTAGAAAGTTCTGTTTTGAGCAATTGCATTCAATTTCCCCCACCTGCAGAGGCAACAACTTTATGATTTCTATGTTACACATTAATATCTGCTGTTCTTTGTATATATATAAGTTGAATCCTACAATATGTACTTGCTTGTATCCAAATTCCTTTAATCAGAATAATATCTGTAGGCTTATCCATGTTGTCAAGTGCATCATAGTTGACCCCCTTTTATTAATGGGTACTATTCCATGATATGAGTCTACCATGATGCAATTATCAGCTCTCTTGTTGATGGACAGTTGAGTGTTTATAGTTTTAAACTGCTATAAACAAGACTGCTAGAGCAATCTTGCTTATGTCATTGTATTTCTTTCCCTTGTGTAATAAAGTAAGGCCTGAAATTTTACTTACAGATGTTTAAAGAACTCAATTTCATAAGAAGCTGTGAAATAGTTTTCCAAGTGGATGTGTATTTTATATTTTACATTTCAATCAGCAATATGAGTGCTCTAGCTACTCCAAATCCTCCCCAGTATTCAATGTTGCCAGTCCTTTTTTTGCCATTAGGAAATGTGCAAAATAGGTCTTACTATGAACATTATGTAGATTTCATGATGGCTAATGATACTGAAAATCTGTGCATGTGTGCTTATTTGCTATTTTTATATCATGTTATAAATTGTCTTTTCTAGTCACATGCCCATTTTCTTAATTTTATTATTTTTATTTCTCCTTTCATTTGTAAAAACACTTATTATATTCTAGATACAAGTGTTCTGTCATTGTGACATTTGGAGAATGTTTTTCCAAGGCTATAACACACCTATTCTTGATTTGATGAGCAGAAAAGTTTAATTTGCTAAAGTATAATGCATATATTTTTCCATTAGTGGTTAATTCCATATATTTCCTGTCCATAAAATTTTTGTCTACTCTAGATTCATGGTAATGTTCTTCTAATTTTGATGCAAGATGTTTAATGATATTATAATTTTACAACTGTGATTCAGATAAAATTAATTTTTTATATAGAATTCCAGTTTAAATATATTTTATCTATAGAAATATGGCATTTCTTTGACATCATTTATAAAAAGACATATATTTCCTATACTAACCAATTTTAATTGAACAATAATCAGATTTAATATCATAATGCCTTGATTATTCTAGCATCACTATAATTTTTGTATCAGTTATATAAAGTGTTTCAATTTTGTTTGTTATCATAACTTTTTGGCCATAATTTTGCATTTCCACATAATTTTAAAAATTTGTCAATTTCTAAAAAGCTGGCTATAATGGTCATAGGGATTTTGTTAAATGATAAAACAAGCTGGGTAGAATTAAATTCTTATGAACCTTGTTTCCTCCAAGTCATTTAAATGATATATTTATTTTTTATTTATATTTTAATTTTTTCTCTTTAATGTTCAGAGTAAACATTTGGCACATTTTCACCAGATTTTTTCCTAAACATCTGATATTTTTGATTCTTTTGAAATTATAGTTTTGTTTTTTATTTTAGTGCATCACTGTAATATAGAAGTACATTTTTAAATTTGACCTTAAATGTTTTGACATTGATAAATTTTTCAGTTTTAGATTATCTGTTAGAATTTTCATATATTCCTATATACATAATCATGCTTTCTATGAATAAATACAGTTTAAGTCTTTAAATAGTTTCCCCCCTTTACTGTTTTTTCTTATTACACTCTCTAAGTGTTCAGTGTTATGGTGAATAGAACAAGTATGAGCAGATAACATTGGAATTATGTGAAGTTTTATGTTCAGTATTTCACCATTAAGTATTATGCTAACTGTAGGACTTTTATAAATACTCAATCAGATTCACTGATTTCTCCTATTTCCTCTTATTTCTACTCTGCTGACACACCTTATGGTGCTTTTTCCCCCAATTCATGGAATAGGTAAAATGCCATTTTTCCTTTATTCTGTTATTGGAGTAATTGGTATGAACTGATTGTTTAATATAAGTCAACTTTAAATTCCCAGGATGAATTCTACTGGGTCACAATGTATTATTTGACTTATAACATGCCTGATTTACTTTTTCCCCAAAGTTTATTATTTTTTAATCTATGTTCAAAAAGAATATTGGTTTATTTATTTTCTGAAAATATCTTGGTCAGCTTTTGATATAACGGCAATTAGAAAAACAAGACACATTGTAGATTTCATTAAAGATATTTACAATCAATCATAAGTATCATAAGGACACTGCACACTGATAATTTGACAAAAAAAATTTAAAAAGGACAGAAATTTATAAAATGCATTTTTATAATCCATTCTTTTTTTTTATTTTGAGACAGGGTCTCACTCTGTTGCCTGGCTACAACACAGTGTTGCAAACATTGCTCACTGCAGCCTCAACCTCCAGGGCTTAAGCAATCCTTCTACCTCAGCCTCTCCTATGGCTGGGACTGCAGGTGTGTGCCACCAAAACTTACTAATTTTTTTATGTTTTTGTAGAGATAGGGTCTCACTTTGTTGCCCAGATTGGTCTTGAATGATTGGGCTTCAAGAGATCTTCCCATCTTGGCCTCCCAAAATGTTGTGATTACAGGCATGAGCCATCATGCCTTGCTATAATCCATTCTTATTTTTGTTTTCTTCTAATTTTTATTCTAAATCTTTTTTCTTTTTCTTTCTTTCTGTATCAGTTTTATAGAAGATGTCTCCTTCAATCCTCTTAAAGATACCTGTGGTAGATCAAAAGAGGTTCCACATTCTTTGCCATATCTCTACTGAGAAACATGAACTATTTCATCTACTCTCAGATCTTCCTGGTCCTGTGATTGGGTTTGACTGATAGAATACAGCAGAAGAGATGCTGTGATTAATTCTGAGGCAGTGTCCTAAAAAATTTGCAGGTTCTACCTTCACATCTTGAAATATTTCTTTTCAGAACCACCATGCTCTGAAAAATCCAAATAAACTGGAGAAAGAGCCATATGAGAAGAGCAAAGTCATGCTGTCCAGTCTCAGCAGACCCCCAGGCTACAGCCAGCAACAAGTGCCAGCCATGTCATCCAGATGTCTTGAATGTTTCAGCCTCAATCCTTCAAGTGAACACAGTTCCAGAAAACAGTACATGAAGAAGAAAGACTATGCAGCTGTTCTAAGTCAATCTAAAAATAATACCATAAAGTGACACTTCGGTTTTCAGCCACTAAGTTTTGAGTTATTTGGTATGCAGCAAAAACAGATAATAGAAATACATACAATTTTCTAAATATTCTTCTATTTTTCTCCATAGAATATTTTTATAGTCATGTTAAATAATGCAGGGAGCATGCAATACTTAAGCAATTGTTAAATAATACAAGTTTTAATATAAATTAAGACATGAAGTTGAAAAGAGTACAAGCAAGTTTCAATCCCAAGCCAAGAACATAAAAACTTCATCATGTCTTATTTCAGGAGTCTATTGTTACATGGTATGAATAGAGCTAGGAAGAAATTCATGAACTAAAATATATAATCTTGGCAAAATATAACACTAAAATACTAAAAACTATCAACAATATCCTACGGACCGGGCAGAATTGAACTAGTAAACCTCAAATACCAGTTAAAATGTGAACCTGTAGTATTTAAATTATGTCGTTGGACTATTTCTAAAAAGATACTAATAGCAATCATTTATCAAGCATTTATATGAATTACTGCAGGAGCTCCATGCACACTCCTTAAGAAAAAATGAAGATTTACCAAATATGCAATATTGTATTGTACAGTGTAACCCTGTGCTATTGTCTTCCTCTCTACTGAACGATCTAAAATTGTTATGATGTGTACACATTTTACATTTATAACATTCATTGACATTTAGTCTAATTAATTATTAGTTCAGCATGCATAGTCTATTTGTATTAGTCATGTCCATATTTGCAACTCAAAACACAGAATTAACTTTTCGAAGGCTACGTAGGAGATGGGATTCTTTATTTGGGGGATGAGGGAAAAATATTCTATATTTATCATATGCTTTGAAATGTTTCCAATGCCTTTATTTGACTGATAGAGATTCTTGTGTGTGTGTGTGTATTTATATCTGTGTGTGATCAAAATGTATGGAGTCATAAAAAAAATCCACTACTTAGTTTCAAATATTTGAATGATCTTTGAAATTCATTTAGAATAAGTTACATAATTAAAGCTGCCTTAATTTTTTTAAACCAAATAGCCCTTTATAGAGTTTGCACTGAGAGCTTCTTTGCTTTTCTCTATTCTTCCTGTAATGTTCTTGTGATTAATTCAAAACCCATATGTACTCTCTCAAATTGTTACAGGTAGTTAGATAGGCATGCGTGGGGCAGGAGAGGGCTTTTCCCTCACCCACTAGGACTGTCAGGTGTTGATTTGACGTTTATAAAACTTCTCTAAAAATGATAATTTGGCAGCCACAGGGAGAGACAATCTCCTAATGATCCAGAGCTATTATCATTAAAAGTGTTAATTGAATTGCAGATGCCATGGAGAAGAAACTTCCTGGCCATACGCACTAATAGATAAAATGGCGAAATGTGACCTTCCGGGTACATCCCACGGGAAAAGGGAAGAAAGCCTCAGATGGGCATGTGCCCAATTTCCTAAACACGCTAGGCGTGCTCAATTCCCAGAAGTAAAGAGGGCACTGAGCATGCAGGAAGCTCATCCTAAGGGAAGAATCATGGGAAAGAGGGTGAGTCTATGAAGCCCTAGTGAGAGGTGACAGCGTGCTGGCAGTCCTCACAGCCCTCGCTCGCTCTCGGCGCCTCCTCTGCCTGGGCTCCCACTTTGGCGGCACTTGAGGAGCCCTTCAGCCAGCCGCTGCACTGTGGGAGCCCCTTTCTCGGCTGGCCAAGGCCGGAGCCGGCTCCCTCAGCTTGCAGGGAGGTGTGGAGGGAGAGGCGCGAGCGGGAACCGGGGCTGCGCGCGGCGCTTGCGGGCCAGCTGGAGTTCTGGGTGGGCGTGGGCTTGGCGGCCCCGCACTCGGAGCGGCCGGCAGGGCAATGAGGGGCTTAGCACCCGGGCCAGCGGCTGCGGAGGGTGTACTGGGTCCCCCAGCAGTGCCAGCCCAGCGGAGCTGCGCTCGATTTCTCGCCGGGCCTTAGCTGCCTTCCCGCGGGGCGGGGCTGGGGACCTGCAGCCCACCATGCCTGAGCCTCCCACCCCCTCCGTAGGCTCCTCTGCGGCCCGAGCCTCCCCGATGAGCGCTGCCCCCTGCTCCAGGGCACCCAGTCCCATTGACCACCCAAGGGCTGAGGAGTGCGGGCGCACGCGCGGGACTGGCAGGCAGCTCCACCTGCAGCCCCGGTGCGGGATCCACTGGGTGAAGCCAGCTGGGCTCCTGAGTCTGGTGGGGACGTGGAGAACCTTTATGTCTATTTCAGGGATTGTAAATACACCAATCAGCACCCTGCGTCTAGCTCAGGGTTTGTGAATGCACCAATGGACACTCTGTATCTAGCTAATCTGGGGGGACGTGGAGAACCTTTGTGTCTAGCTCAGGGATTGTAAACTGGCACCAATCAGTGCCCTGTCAAAACAGACCACTCCGGCTCTACCAATCAGCAGGATGGGGGGGGGGGAGGGGGCAGATAAGAGAATAAAAGCAAGCTGCCTGGAGGCATCAGTGGCAATCCGGCAGGGTTCCCTTCCGCAGGGTGGAAGCTTTGTTTTTTCGCTCTTTGGGTCCACACGGCCTTTATGAGCTGTAACACTTACCGCAAAGGTCTGCGGCTTCACTCCTGAAGCCAGTGAGACCACGAGCCCACCGGGAGGCAGGAACAACTCCAGACGCGCTGCCTTAAGACCTGTAACACTCACGGTGAGGGTCTGCAGCATCACTCCTGAGCCAGCGAGACCACGAACCCACCAGAAGGAAGAAACTCCGAACACATCCAAACATCAGAAGGAACAAACTCCAGACGTGCCACCTTAAGAGCTGTAACACTCACCGTGAGGGTCCGCGGCTTCATTCTTGAAGTCAGTGAGACCAAGAACCCATCAATTCCGGACACACTAGGAAGAAGGTAAAATGTTCTCTGACCTTCATGCACCCTCTGGGATATCTTCGAAGTGAACTTTCCTTTCTTTCCTGTTCTAAAGCCTTTTTAAATAAGCTTCCCCTCCTGCCCTGAAACTTGCCTCAGTCTCTTTTTCTGCTTTATGCCCCTCAGTAGAATAAATTCTTTCTTCTGAAGAGGCAAAGACTGAAATTGCTGAGGACCCATATGGATACGCTGCCCATAACTCAAAGTAAATCGGATTCCTGCCACTGGTAACAAAATAAGTAACTTGTAAGAGTTGCCTGGACTGTGGAATAACTTCTTGGTTAAAACATAGGTTTAGTCTCTTAGGGACTTTCCTGCCTAAGTTAACTTATTTTGGTCCTGTAATACTTAGTGTCTGGGTCTGTGAAATTGGGATAATAATAGAATCTAAATCATAAATTTTTTCTAATCTGTATAAAACACTTTAATGCAATGATAGAAAAAGGTATCACTCAATAAATGTTAGTTATTTTTACTACGACTGAAAACATTCTGATGTTACATAATTTATTTGTATTCCACAACTAAACACATGTATTTCATATGGTAGGCATATGGGTTAGTTGGTTGATTGGTTGACAATGTTCCTTGATGTCCAAAACCATGTCTTACTTCTTTTTGTAGATGAAAAGTCCAACAGAATTTTCAGATAGCACTGAGTAACAGAAGAGCCAAATGGATACACACCCCTATGGAACTAAAATAGTTATCAGATTTTCAAAGTTATGTCAAACATAAGTAAATAGTCTAACTTAGTATAGAAGGGTAAGCTCATTGTGTATCTTTACATTTTAATCTTTTAAGGTATTTTTGAGAGAAATCTTTATATTAAGTGAAACAGTTTCTATTATTATGGAACTGATGTTATCATGAAAGCCATTACAGGAATTATTTATAATGCATTACTGAAATCAGATATACAAAGTTGTAGGATTTTCCTTTCCAAACTAGTGGCTGTATCTATTAATTCTCTTGTAACGTAATTAAGTATAAATAACATAGAAATAGTCACTACTTATTCTTTATTTGTTATTTATTTTTGAGACGGAGTCACACTATCACCTGGGCTGGAGTGCAATGGCGCACTCTTGGCTCACTGCAACCTCCACCTCCTGGGTTCAAGTGATTCTCCTTCCTCAGCCTCCCAAGTAGGTGGGATTACAGGTGCCCACCACCACGCCTGGCTAATGTATTTTTAATAGAGGCGGGGCTTCACTGTGTTGGCCAGGCTGGTCTCTAGCTCCTGACCTCGTGACCTGCCCTCCTCGGCCTCCCAAAGTGCTGGGATTACAGGCATGATCCACTGCACCTGGCCAGTCACTACTTATTCTAAATAAAACAAAATCCATTAACTCTGAATAGAAAGAACCTTTTAAATTTCCTCTTACTTAATGTTTAAACCTTTTCATTAACCCTTTAGCAAACCCTGTGCTAGGAATTGTTTCAAGCCTCAGGATGATTTTACAAGAATAAGGAAGCCCACGGGCTAGGTTGAACAACAGAGAGTTTAATAAATAATTAAAATATAATAAAAGCCATACTAAATTATGCATAGAGGGCTCTTCAATGTTGTGCTGAATATTCTTTGCTTAAGGGAAGGTCTAAATAGTTTTCTTTGTACCAACTGTGGGGCACAGTCAGTCAAGGATAGCTAAGTATCTTAGGACTTGCCAGGAAAAAGACTAGCTAAATGATTAGTTTTTGTTGTTGACATTTTGTATTTACCTTAAGTTAGTATTCTTTAAACTTGAAATTTAGCAGAGGTGTGTACAATACTTAAATTTTCTTCCATCTAAAATTGATTGAGATTCATTAACCCTACCAACCAGTTCAACCCAAATCCACAGCTAAGAAGTTAACAGAGAGCAAACAAAAAACGCTAGCAAACAAAGACATTCAGAAAACTTAAATATTTTAGATTTCATTATTAATATTCACAATATCTTGTAAGTATCATAAAAAGACACTGCACACTGATAATCTGACAAAAGGCATTACTTAAAGTATGAAAAGGACAGAAACTTATAAAATATATTTTTATAATCCATTCTTAAATTTTTTCTTCGAGTTTCTATTTTTTCTGAATCTTTTTTTATTTCTTTCTGTATCAGTTTTATAGAAGACGTCTCCTTCCATTCTCCTGAAGACACTTATGTTAGATCGAAAGGGGCTACACATCCTTTGCTATTTCTTCTACTGAGCAATATAGCCTATCCCCCCTTCTCACAGATCTGGATGGCCCTGTGATTGGTTTTGACCGATAGAATACAGCAGAAGAGAGGCTGTAGTAATTCTCAGGCAGCGTCCTAAAAAATCTGCAGATTCTGCCTTCACATCTTAAAATATTTCTTTTTGGAACCACTATGCTCTGAAAAGCCCAAATAAACAGGAGAAAGGCCATATGAGAGGAGCAAAGACATGCTGTTCATCCCCAGCCAAGCATCCAGGCTACAACCAACAAATGCTAGCATGTCAGCCAGCTGTCTTGAATATTTCAGCCCCAGTCAGTCCTCCAGGTGAACACAGTTCCAGACAACAGCACGTAAAGCAGAAAGACTGCAGTTGTTCTGAGTCAATTTAAAAATCATAAGAAATTATAAAACAACATAAAACAGTGTTTTAAGCCAGTTAGTGTTTTAAGCTACTAAGATTTAGGCTGTATTGTTTTGTAAAAATAGAAAAATAGAGGAAAGAAATGCATAAAGTTCTTCAAATTGTTCTTCTATTTCTTACCATAGAATATATTAATATATTTATAGTCATGCTCTTTTCATTTTTTTTAGACGGAGTCTCACTCTGTTGCCCAGGCTGGAGTGCAGTGGCATGATCTCAAAACACTGCAGCCTCTGCCTCCTGGGTTCAAGTGATTCTTCTGCCTCAGCCTCCTGAGTAGCTGAGGTGGGATCCAGGTACCCACCACCAGGCTGCCTAAGCTTTATATTTTTAGCTGAGGCGGAGTTTCACCACGTTGGCCAGGCTGGTCTTGAACTCCTGACTTCAAGTGATCCACCCACTTTGGCCTACCAAAGTGCTAGGGTTACAGGTGTGGGCCACTGCACCCAACTATCCTTTAATTCTTTAGAGTGCTGCTTTATTTTGCTGATTCAATAGCATACTTGTCCCTTGACATCCATAGGTGGATGTGTGTACACATGTGAACATTAGTTTAATCTTTAATAACAGAGTGCTTTATTCTTGAAAACTACCTCTTTTAGGATGTAGTGTCTCACTACCTGTTTCCTTTCTCTCTTTTTATTTTCTTTGATGTTCTGAAGTTAAAGTAGATTTTTGAAAATTAACTTAGGGCTTATGAGTATGGTGGGGAGAGAAAAAATGACCAAATTCATTCTGAAATTGTGCCTTCAAAATGTGGCACATGAAGAGTAGTGCAGTGTCCCCTGAATACTCCTGAGGCTTTCTGGTGGCACAGAATCAAGGACTCTGAAGAGTGATAAGTGGGTTACAGACACAGTATTTGTTATATTATTTTCATAGAATTTCATTTTATTCTTTCAGTAGATTAAACTAATTTTTTACTATGCCAAGCATAGATGCACCTTCATTTTTTTCTTTAAAAGTCAGGTCATTTTTTTCCATACCTTATCTACCATAATTTAACAGAAATTGTGTCTTTATAAGTATTTTGTTGTTAAATCTGAGGCTTCAATACAGAACATGTTTTTTAAATGGTTATGGAAGTCATAACAAAATTTTCTACTTCTAGCCATTGAATGTCAAACATAATTCCACTCAAACAATTGTGAGAGTCGTTAAATTTTCCAATAAGCTCATGTTTGTATCTGCAAATTAATCATTTGGGTTCATTCAGTATTAACATTGATGCCAATATATTATAAAGAGAACTAATAGTAATGCCAATACTTTTCTCACTTAGTTAACGTATAGGCAGAATAATAAAATAACTTATTAGAACATCAATGAAATAGAATCTGGGAACTTTTATAGATACTGAGAAAAAAAAACAAACCCCAGTGCTGACACTTTGGTCAAAACAGTCATTATCTTGCTATGTTTGAGAAAAGGTTAAGAAATTTCATGATTAGAATATTACTAAGTCATTTAAGTCATTAAGATTTAAATAGTGCAATGTCTCCTGAATACTCCTGAGGCTTTCTGGTGGTACAGAACCAGGGACTCTGAAGAGTGGTGAATGGGTTACAGGCAAATTATCTTAGATCATTAAGACTTAAGACTATTAAGTCATTTTTGGAAGTTGGGTATAAACTATGTAAGCATTAATTAGTTCTGTTATTTTCAAATAGACAGACTTTGCATATACATATGTGTGTATGTGTGTGTTTGTTTATGAATATGAATGAAATAAGCATACAGCAGAACAAATATATCACAAGGGAAACGTCATATATTTAACATTTTACAAAAAAATAATGTAGTTCTTACCTTTTATTAATAATACAAAGTACAGTCTATTTTCAAAATACACTTATGTCTGAGGTATATTCTACAAATGAAACTGCATTTGTCTAAGATGAGTTTTCCAGAAATGTTTTTATCCATATTTGAAAGTGTAAGTAAGTCTTTGCTTAGTAATCATCTTTGAACCGCTTTTAATTTAAACCACTTCTGGCAATCTTTTAGCCAACCATTTCTTCATTAAAATGGACCCTATTGTTAAGTACCAGATAGAATTTTCAAGAGGATTTTTCCAGTCACTAAAAACAAGGTCTAACATCATCTCCAGGTATAATTCTGTGTCAACATAGTGAGAGAGGGCTTGCCTCTTCAAAAGCCAGAAACTAGTTGCAGTGTGACAAATGTTTCCAATATAGTTTTTTGTCTTGCCTATCTCCAATAGCAACTTTCAGCTACTTCTTTCCCCTTCACCTTCATTTTCTTTTCCATTACCTCTCATTTCTACCACCATTGTTCAGGAGAAATATGACAGACAATTTATTATTTTCTTCATCACATTTTATTAGAATTGTATTACAGGCAAGATCATTGAGAGGCTTTATTCACAGAAGCAGGGAGAAAATCTCAGCCTTTCTTCTCCTGAGGGACTCAGAATTGGACCATTTTCTACCAGGTTATTGTGTGTGCTTCCAGTGCTATTCAGTTCTTTCCATTTTTAATTCAGAATCTATTTTTTTCTAGAACTTCCTAACTTATTCACAGCTCCCTGCATTCATCTTTCTTTGTCTATACAAAGAGAGACACATTTATGTACAGACTACAGATTGATACATAGTTATTAAAAGAAATATTATATTTATATAAATTTACAAAAAGATGCATTCTCTTTTAATGGAAAGGCATATACCTAATATTACACTATAATATGGAAAGATAAATACATAATATTACATATTCATATATACCAAAAATCAGGAACTATATTCTCATTGATATTTCATCATGTAATGAAAGAAAAATCAATAAAACACAGTCTTAGTAGCACACTCACTGGTAGATTTAACAAATAATGTGATTTGAAATCTCAGTGTTCAGCATTGTCCTTTCTAGTCAATAGCATGAAAGGGCATTGGAAGTCTGAAGTGCGTTATCTGCTTAATGCATTTATCCTCCATTGTACACGTGGTTTACCTGCAACATATGTAATATTTTAAACAATGTTTACTTTCTAAATAATGTGTTATTTCTCTCTATTTTTTTTTCCTGGATAGCACAGTATATAGACAGTATAAAGCAAACTTACAAAGTCTGATACAAGCAGAATATTTTGCCAGAAGATTTTTTGACTAGACAGATATCTTTAATTGCAAAGTCTGAGACTGCCCCAAGGTGCTGTTTCTAAGTTGTTGAGCAGGGGGTCATGGAATACCAGCATGTCTGAAAATAAAAGAACATTCTTCGCAAGTCAAACGAAGATAAGGTATTTACAATTTCATTTTTGCTTGGATGATTTGGATCATTTCCAAGTGTAAAGCAATGAGGTAACTCCTTAACCTTCAGAGTCAAACCATAAAAGGATCTTTATAAGTAGGTCCTTCTGTGTCTCAGATATAGTATGAAATGGATTAAAATACAAAGATAATACCACTGATGCAACAGTAGTAAAACAGCCTTTTCTTTCTAAATTCAATTCCCTATAAACTTCAGATATTTTATTTTTACTAAATTATAGTTAGACTTTCTGTAGAATTTTTTGTTTTAATTTGTCTTATCACCTACTTTTTTGTTTTTGTATGTAAACAACGTAACAACTGGAGGTTTCTTAATAGCATGCTCATATCTAAATAGTAATCTTTTACATCTTATGCAAAGAAATAATATGTTTGCAAAGCAACATATGATGTTTTACCCAATTCCTGGAAGGAGTTTCTGAGTATAGTTGGGGAGGTCAAGCATTGAGGCAGAGTTCGGTGACAGGTGCAGGGATAGATAAAAAATGACAGTGAAAATTAAATAATCATAAAAACTTAATAGTGGAGGTTCCTTAGAAGTACTTGCTTCACTCAGAAATGTCTTCAGAAACTTAGTCATGAATGATTCTTCAACCTCTGCTTGAACTTTCATTTGTGGAAATCTTCATGTTTACAAGCCAGCATTTTCTATATTTTAGTCACATTGGTTATTAGAATGTTTAAAGCAATTTTTTAGCATAAGGTGTAGTATTAACCAAACCTTCTGATATAAGTAGCATTAATCAATGCATCTTAGTGCAAACTGAGTACATTATCCCATTTATTTTCACTGATAAATTTTTCAATTCAGGCACATCTAGAATCAGTCTGTTCTCATATTTTTTATGACAATAGAGTTAAAGATTATTTTGGAAAAAAAATTAAAAAAATTTCCACCACTTTTTATTCCTATGTATTTCCTTTTTTTGTCTTAAATAATCTAATAAAAAAAGTTCATTATTGAATTCTGCCTTTTTATATCTTTTCCCACTTAGTCCCAATCCTTTGTTATACAGACACAAAGTATAAGTACATATATGTATATATATATATTTTTTCACATGTCAGGCCCTCAGTATTTAAGTAACACTCTTATTCCCTGGTTGATCTTTCAATTTCCAGCTTAACAGTCTCAGGTAACAATTAAAGATTAGTCAAATATCATGATTTCACAGCCCTTCATGTTTCTGATGGTGGGGCTTCAAAACTGATGTTCAAAATGTAGTGCTTTGACATGTTGAACTGAAGAAGAAACCTCTAGGTCTCCCTGACCCTGCCCACACTGCCCTGACCTTAGATCTTCTGTCTATCCCAACACACAGAGTGAAGTTTTCTGACATTCCCTTATCTGCCTAAAGTCTAGACTTGCCGAAGAAAACAATTAAACCTGCTCCCTTCCCTGATTTTCTCGTTAACCAAACTCATATCATAGGAAGAAAGACTAAACTCTGCCAACTAAACTAGACAGACTTTTGTCACAAATCATTGTCCTCTCTTCAAGCCCATTGAACCCCCTTAAAATCAGTTACTAGCTCCCCCAAATTATCCAACTTCCTTCACTTCTCTTACCTCTAAGAAAAAATGTAATAACCATTCATAAACCATTACATGGTGGGGTAATCACTCTATGATTTTCCGTATTTGCACAATAATAAATTTGTATGTCTCTTATTACTAATTTATCTTCCATCAGTTGATTTTCAGAGAACCTACAGAAGGTGAAGAGGAAGTTTTCCCTTGGCCTGTACAGTTTTAGTGTCACAAACAGGACACTAAATGTGCTCTGATATTCTGGAAGCCATAGTCAAGGGAAGCCAGGAGCTTACAAGCTGGCAGAGGGGTAAGAAATTCTTACCAGCCAGGCTCCCAGACTCTACTGACTCTGGTTGAGCAGATGGTAAAAATCACATTTTGTCTCTTTTTCCTCCCAAAACTTTTGATTAATGAGAGAAAAGAATTTGTGTTAATTCTTTTAGGTATAGCAACTCTGGTGTACTTTTAGTATGAATATTAATATTGTTTCATACTTTTCCTCCTAGAAATAGTTTTTTCCTTTGTCTTTGTCTTTCTGTGTTGTTCTGTCATAAAGAGAGGTACCCTGTGGTAGTACATAGGCCTAAAACTCCCATAAATCCATCGTTCAAGCGACTGCTGCAGACTGGTCAGTTTTGCAGTTCTGGCCAGACCAGTGGCTATTTAGATGAACGTTGCTCTGGGTCCCCATAATAAAAAGCAGATGAGATTCCCCTCTCGTCTAATATTTTATGTACTTTAGAGATTGACTTGTGACCAAGTGGGAGCACTCTCTCAACTTTAACCATCTGGGGTGCATGATATTTGAGTCATGTCTGGTGGCCAGCCTAACAAGACTGGGAACCCTAAAAAATGCAAGATTTTAAGCAGTATACTTTTTGTTCTGAACATGTCATATTCTCAGGGAAGTTTATCGTATGAAGTCCCATCCTTAAGGAGATTTTGTCACCTCAACACTTGTTGCCTTGTTAGTCATGGGAAAGTCTAGTCCCAGGACTGCCTACCTATGTCATGGATTGAGTCCATGATTGGTGGCCCACCACAAGTTTGTGGGGTATTGGAGGCACTGTATACATAAACATACAATTATCTTTAACCATCTATGACAAAACGAGTCTTTTGAAATTTTATCCTACCTTTGGAATTGAACTTTTTTGGGTGGGGATTTTTGGAGCTACCTCTTCTATATCCTCTCTAGGGAATTCCTCTTCTATACCCTCTGCAGGAAATACGTCTTGCTTATATGGTAAAAACTCATTCTAAACTTGGAAAATCGCCTGCTGGACTTTTCATAAAGAGGTTACTGGGCTGATCCACTATTTAAATAATTACAACTTTGGTAATTATCTGTGTGACTCTTGACTTGTGGGGGTATCCATTTATTATTGATACTTTTCTCTTCCACAGATGGCTTTTGACTTTCTATCTTTTCCCATCTGTAGATCACACAAAGTTTTAGGGGTTTTGAATATAGTTTGTCAACTGAGAAGGTGAGACGGTAGACAATATGGCCAGATAGAAATGTGGGTTGTCCCCATTTGCGGGGAGCAAAACTGTCCTTTCATTGAGTTGCTATTGGGTTGGTTCTGTATCTTGTGAAAATAACTTTGCATCTCTTTTGAGATGCCTAGTTTGTCCTTGTTAAGTCATAACCTTTGTTAAGGCTTATTGATTATGGTGAGTCACTTGGAAAGGTACCTTTGGTTTAAAAGAAAAAAAAAATATTTAAAATCTAGGTAAATTGACTGTTTGTCCCAGCTAACATTTAATAAGAGATTTTCAAAAATGTTTATTTTAAAGAGATCTATCATCAGAAGTCAGCTTAATTAAAAGCTGATAGGCTATGGCAGGAGAATTGCTTGAACCCAGGAGGCAGAGGTTGCAGTGAGCAGAGATCACAATGCTACACTCCAGCCTGGGCGACAGAGCAAGACTCTGTCTCAAAAAAAAAAAAATACATATGGATATGTATATAATTCCTTAATATCAATAGGAAAATATTTGTGAGTATTCTAATTTCTCTGACATTGTCATATTTGATTTGCAACTAATTTGATTGAATTGGGATCCTAAGAAGGTATATAAATTCACCTCCCACTAGGGAGGCCTCACAATCATGGAAGAAGGCAAGGAGGAGCAAGTCACATCTTATGTGGATGGTGGCATGCAAAAAGAGAGTTTGTGCAGGGAAACTCCCATTTGTAAAACCATCAGATCTTGCAAGACTCATTCACTATCTAAAGAAGAGCACAGGGAAGACCCGCCCCATGATTTAATCACCTCCCACTGGTTCCTCCCACAACATGTGGGAATTGTGGGAGTAAAAATTCCAGATGAGATTTGGGTGGGGACTCAGCCAAACCATATCATTTCGATCCTGAGCCCTCACAAACCTCATATCCTCACATTTTAAAATGAATCATGCCTTCCCAACAGTCCCCCATAGTCTTAACTCATTTCAGCATTAACTCAAATGTCCACAGTCCAATGTCTCATCTGAGACAAGGCAAGTTCCTTCCACCTATAAGCCTGTAAAATCAAAAGCAAGTTAGTTACTTCCTAGATGCATTAAGAGTAAAGGCATTGGGTAAATACACCTGTTCAAAATGGGAGAAATATGTGAAAACAAAGGTGTTACAGGTCCCATGCAAGTCCAAAATCCAGCAGGGCACTCGAATCTCAAAGATCTAAAATGATCTCCTTTAAATCTATGTCTCACATCCAGGTCACACTGATGCAAGAGTTAGGTTCCCATGGTCTTCAGCAGCTCCACCTCTGTGGGTTTTGCAGGGTACATCCTTCCTCCTGTCTGCTTTCACAAGCTGGCATTGAGTGTCTGTGGCTTTTCTAGGTGTACAGTGAAAGCTTTCAGTAGATCTACCATTCTGGGGTCTGGAGGACAGTGGCCCTTTTCTCACAGCTCCAGTAGGTGGTATCCCAGAAGGGATTCTGTGTGGGGGCTCCAACCCCACATTTCCCTTCCACACTGCCCTAGAGGAGGTTCTCCATGAGACCCTCGCCCCTGCAGAAAACTTCTGCCTGAACATCCAGAGATTTCCATACATCCTCTGAAATCTAGGCAGAGGTTTCCAAACCTCAGTTTTTTATTTTTGTGTACTCATAGGCTCAACACCACATGGAAGCTGCCAAGGCTTAAGGCTTGTATCATCTGAAGCCACAGCCCAAACTCTACATCAGCCCCTTTCAGCCATAGCAGGAGTGGCTGGGACACAGGGCACAAAGTCTCTGGGCTGCACTCAGCATATGGTCCCCAGGCCCAGCCTATGAAACCACTTTTTCCTCCTGGGCCTCTGATTCTGTGATGGGAGGCTGCTCTGAAGATCTCTGACATACTCTGGAGACATTTTCCCCATTGTCTTGAGGAGTAACATTCGGCTTCTCATTACTTATGCAAATTTCTGCAGCCTGCTTGAATGTCTCCTCAGGAAATTGATTTTTCTTTTCTATGGCATTGTCAGGCTGCACACTTTCCAAACATTTATGCTCCACTTTTCTTATAAAACTGAATTCCTTTAACAATACCCAAGTCACCTCTTGAATGCTTTACTGCTTAGAAATTTCTTCTGCCAAATACCCTAAATCATCTCTTTCATGTTCAAAGTTTCACAAATCTCTAGGGCAGAGGAAAATGCTGCCAGTCTCACTTCGCTAAAGCATAATGAGAGTCACCTTTGCTCTAGTTCCCAACAAGTTCCTCATCTCCATCTGAGACCAACTCACCCTGGGACCTTTTTGTTCATATCACTATCAGCATTTTTGTCAAAGTCATTCAACAAGTCTACAGAAACTTACAAACTTTCCCACAATTTTTTTTTGTCTTCTTCTAGAGTCCTCCAAACAGTTCCAACCTCTGCCTGTTACCCAGTTCCAAAGTCACTTCCACATTTTCAGGTGTCTTTTCAGCAATGCCCCACTCAACTGGTACCAATTTACTGTATTAGTTCATTTTCACACTGCTGATAAAGCCATAATCGAGACTGGGAGTAAAAAGAGATTTAGTGGACTTACAGTTCCACATGGCTGGGGAAGCCTCACAATGATTGTGGAAGGCAAGTAGGACCAAGTCCCGTCTTATGTGTATGGTAGCAGGCAAAGAAAGAGCTTATGCAGGGAAACTCCCATTTTTAAAACCATCGGATCTCACAAGACTCATTCACTATCTAAAGAACAGCACAGGGAAGACCCGCTCCCACGATTCAATCACTTCCTAGTGGGTTCCTCCAAGAACACGTGGGAATTGTGGGAGCTACAATTCAAGATGAGATTTGGGTGGGGACACAACCAAACCATATCACCTTATAAAGTTTCTGTGAAAATTAATTAGTTAATATACAACCAAAAATGTTTTATACTGTGTTTGACATATATTAAGCACTCAATAAATGTTTACCCTAAAATGTACATTTATTTTAAATCAAAGTTTATAATATAGTAGGTATTCATGCATTTATAAATGTAATTATTAATTTTTTGCAATACACTTTGAAAGAAAAAATTCATAATTAAGATTAGAATATCAATTTAAAGTGTTTAAAAATATCCTATTTATGTGTTAGTTGCAGAACCAATTTGCTAAAATAAGCTTATTGTATTATATCACAGGCCACATACAGAGCATTTAATAGAGAGTAGAGTGGTTTTCTGGACAGACATATTTTACAAATAAAGATATTCTCTTGAGAATGAAGGTTTAAAAAATAGAAGAACACAACCCTCACATGCTTTCCATGAACAAAGTAATTCACTGTTTGTAATCGATAATGAGAAACCCAGAAGTAATATGCAGAATATATAAATTGGTTGACTGATGCAATATATGCTATTCAAGGAGTTATGAGAAGTTGAAAAAAATGGCCTTCTTTAAAAAAGAAAATAATATAGTCCAAACTGAACATAATAGAGAATTCAGGATACAAACTGCAGTGATATGAACAAGGTTAATTTGGAAGGTCAGAGAAAATGAGAACATTAAACTTTTACAAGGCAAATATTAAAAATTGGAATATAGAAACAAGAATCAATAAGCAGAAAATATTTATCAAAATAATAAAATCCAGTGTAGCCTTCTATGGCAATTCTCAACATATCCTTTTAACCAATGTCTCATAGGTATAAAACAGTTTGAGAATGAATAAAGCCCTCTAAAATTTAGGCAAATTCTTCTTTAAATATAACACCTAATTACCACATTTTCCTAGCCTTGTTCATATGCAGATATTCATTTAATTATTTTTCAGATAAAAATTTTTGTTTTATTTAAACTGTTATACATCTAGACAATCATTTCCAGAACAACAGGATTAGTATCATTTGAGATAATCATATTAACTCTGAGTTAGCCCCAGATGATCAAACTTTACTTACCTTTTTTTTTTTTTTTTAAACAATATTGAGTGCTGCTTCTGGAGGAGCTAAGTGTAGAAAATACATAATATAAAAAACATAAAAAACTGAAGTATAGAAATGTGGATCTAACATTCTTTGAAAACTTATCACTTGGGTATTCCTGGGTTTCTTCATATTACATTTTATTTGAATTGGCAAAGTAGAGGTTGTTCCATGTTGACCAGATTGACATATTTTTGCAGGAGAGATAGCATAAAGTTCTTATATCTACAGCAATAGTTGAATCTATTACTTTCTTAATGGCATTTCCTAGAGCTTTATCTCTTTTATATTTTGCTCATATTCTATTATCAAATGCCCAGTTAAGCTTTGAAATAAAATAACATATTTTTATAAGTTAATTCAGGTTTTAACTTTGAATGTTTCTACAGGACTTGAGAAGTTATATCCATAAGCTTAATACATGTATAAAATACATATATTTGATTTTTAAAAAGTAGAAAAATGTGAAATGACTTCTGGATTGGTGACATTAAGAACCCTGTTCCTACTCCCCAGCAAAACAAACGGAATTAGTAAAAAAATTTTTTCAAATAGAAGCCCTGTGTCCTAATGGCACACAGCAAATGAAGAAAACATTCAAGATAATCTACTAAATCTCAGTAAGAGCAAATCTGTGATGCTTGAACAAAGGCCCACTTGCTACCCAAAACCGCAGCTCAGAATAATGAAAGTTCTACTCTGGGTGGATACAGTGAAAAAAACAGGACATCTATTTTTCCCAATTTTCAGTCTATGACATCTCCCTAGTTCAGGCGGGACCAGAATTTCTCATTTCACTAAGGTCCATGTGGCAGAAATTGGATTTTAGCAAGAATGTCTGGAGCTCTCTTGCCCCATTCACCCTCACTGCTAAAGCAGAAGCTCCATCCCAGGACAAGCACGTTGAGAGCACTGGGGCCCTAATTGCTCTTGCATCAGCACACTGCTGGGGTAGAGGTTTTATGCCAGTGAGGCTAGACAAGACCAGAGGGAATCTCTCCCATCTGGTGCATGTCCTGCTCATAAAACAGCAGCAGCACCTTTAGAGAAATAACTCTTTCCATTCCCAGTTCCAGAGCGCTGATTCAGAGGTTTTCTTAGAGACAGAGGCTGGCCATAAAAACAGAGACCTCTGAAGCTTCCCCCACGTGACTTGGCTTTATTTTGAATATAGTGTGGGGAAGCTAAAACTTAAGGCATTCTCAGTAACAGTGGAGGTTTTGGTAGTAAGCAATTAAAAGAAGGTTGGTATCTAAATGAGGGCAATAAGCTAACACACTAGGCCACTTAGTCTACCAGAGTGAACTAGAGACAAGATATCTAAGAAGAATCCTCTTGGAGTTAGAATAAACTTTAAAGACTTGCCTCAAGACCACCCCTGCAAAGAGGATAAAATTTAATTATATAAGACCCTGGATTAATTTATGCCCTAGGTCATTGTAGAAAACAAAATACCAATAGCCAGCAATTAGTAGAGGCTACGAGTTTGGTGTGATACCAGTAAAGATAGATGGCTTAACAGAAATATGATATAAAGGGACAAACCAAGAGAGCCCTGCTAAAGCCAGTACTATTCTTGAGTGCATTTTCTAAGGCAGCAATCTCTTGCAAAGGCCACAGACTTCAGGAGAAAATACTTTATTAAGATAGTGACAACAACAATTTATGAGGGAAAATCCATATCCAGAGTTGTTGTAATATATTCCCTAAAATGTTCAATTTTTAACAATAAAAACAAGACATGCAAAGACAGAGGAAAGTGTAACACACATATAGGAAAAAAAAAGATAACCAAAACTGCCTATGAAGGGGTCCAAGTGGTAGGCTTATCAGACAAAGCCTGCAAAGTATCTATTAAAAATATAATCAAAGGACTAAATAAACGAAACCATTCTTAAAGAAATAAAGGAAGGTATGATGACAATATTTTACTAAATAAAATATAACTTAAATGGAAATTAAAGAGTGGAAAATAAAATCATCAAAATAAACATTTCATTGGAGGAATTCAACAGTAGATTTAAACTGGCAGAAGATAAATTCAGTGAAGTTGAAAATAAAAGTTATGGTTCATTCTGAAGAACAGAAACAAAATAATGAAGAAAAACAAACAAACTTTTAGGAGAATATAGGGCAGATACAATTAAACACACCAGCATATGTAAAAAAGAATATCAGGATAGAAAATTGAGAAGCAAGCAGGAAAAATAGTCTAAAAAATAATGGCTGTAAACTTTCCAAAATCATTGGAAACCTTAAACATCTAAGAGGTTAAGGATTTTAGAGTGCATTTAAGCAAACTCCTTCATTTTACAGGCATGGACACTGAGCCTAGAAAGATGACAGATTTATATTTCCTTTAATATTCCCGAATGGTTCATACAAAAATCTGTATATGTGAAATTAGCCCAGAGAAGAGTTTTAGAACATGAGGTCAGGAGTTGTTAATTCACTCTAAAATCCTTAACTATCATAAACTTCTATAATTTTGTGTTTCAAGTGGCCTACGTGATTCTTCAATGAATAAAGCCTTTAAATCTTAACTCTATTTGAATTCCAGGCTCCAAACAAGGAATCAGTTCACACACTTCATTGCTTTAATAAAACTCCTCATTACTCAACGTAGTCACCTTTTTAACTCATATGCAGTCCATTGGACAATTGTTTATTAACCAATTCCTAATCTCACACATGGAAAGTCCTCCCACTCTTCTCCCCCTTTACAAATTTCTCCTGTCTTTTGGGGATCACCTTTAATCACAATTCCTCCCACACACCTTTTTTGACTTCCCTGATCTTTATCAATCAATATCACTGACTAACATAAACCTGATGGGCAATACACTGATCTTTAAAAAAACGTATTCCTATTCTCATCTGTTTAGTTTTCTCTCTTTGATCATGACTTTGCTTTGATACTTTTATTCATATGTGCCATATCACCAGATTCAATGCTGGGCATGCCCCTTCCACCAGCTGCTAGTTCCCATGTGCAGAATAGAAGGGTTTAATCCAACCATAGTACAGAAACATTTACCACACAGTTCAGAATTACAAAGGCTATTGGAAGATATAAAATTATTATAGAAAACCTTTGGGTTATAAGAATTGCTAGTTTTTGAGAATCATAAAAGAGGAAAAATATTACTCTCCTCTCTCTGGAAGAGAAAGATTCCTAACAAAAGGTCCTTTACAAAGCTACTTTATTAATGTTCACTAACATGAAAAAAAAATTGACCTATTTATCTGACAGCATTTGATTTTAGACTAATTAAAATTTCATAAAATTACTTAGCATTTATAATAGCAATAATTTATTAGAAATTGAGGATTAAAATAAAAAAATATTACACAAATCTAGTTTTGCAGAGTTATCTCTTTACAAAAAAAGTAATACATTATTTTGCAAATTATTTGGTATTAGGAAACCTATTTATATAATTAAAATTAGGTACAACAAACAACATAGTTTTAGAAGCATATGTGATGCTCTGTGTGCTCTATATACTTTATTATAGCTGGGTCTTTTTTTCTAAAAATAGTAAAATAAATCTGTCCTCTGTCAGGTTTTCAGAAACACCAAATTAAGAATGTTTTTATGACATCTAACTTTCATTAGGATAAATATTTTAAAGAACGTTGGAAACGATACATTTAGTTTGGATATCTTTGGGGTTTTTTTGAATTGGTAAAATTACCTATTTTTATGATGTGTGAATTATCTAGAAGCCTGTACACAAAAAAGAATAAAGGCCTTCAAATAAAAGCATTTCTAAAGGCTAAAGAGATTTTAACCTCATAAATTTGACTTTGAGCATACTTAGTTTTAATATTTGTTCTTTCTGAGGAAAATAAGGTCAAAATAACTAAAGTTCTCTTTAATTTTAAAGACAAACATGCCTCTCTAAATAAACCATACTTTCATTCATATCTAACACATTTTGTTTATTATATCTCTACTATTAGTTTCCTACCCTAGTTTCTGCACAATGCCCAGTTTTTCAGAGTTAATCTGTATTATAACATAAGATGTATTCATTGAATAATAGGATTGCCTGTAAGATTTACATAGCCCCCTCAATTAAATTAAACATGACTTGTATGTCTACAAATACATTACTTTCTACTCTATTTGACCTATTGTGTATAAGAGATTTAAATGTATGAGATTTCAACATGTTGGAACTTTCTGTTCACTTTGCACATTGGCCAAACAAAAGTTTTATCCAGATTTAAACTAATTTTATACAAAGCAGCCAATATTGTAAAAATAATGTCACTGTATAGAGACTAAAATATAGTGGTTGATCCAATTTTCTATGGAAAATTTATTTACATGAACTAAATGTTTTGAATTCTTTACCCTTTCACAAGCAACTAAAAATGCTGCAGGTAAATTTTTTTAAGTATCAGCTATTCTTTGTTTTCTCTACAATTCTTACCTTTTCAGAATCTATTTAAGCTAAACAAATGTAACAAATAATTCAATTCTCTAAAGACCTTGGATGGTAATTTAAAAAATGATAAAGATATTACAACATAATATATTTTTAATAAAACACAACGTATGATTAGACATGAATATGTATTATGTATTAGGAAAAAGACTGAAGAAAAAATTTGCCAAAACATATTCAAAAAAACACAGCTACAACAGATATTTCTTCACAATGAGAAAAAAAATTAAGCCTATGTTCAGGAGTCTTTCAAGCTTTGCAGAAATTCTTGTTAGACTTGCCACCATTACAATAAATAAAATTATTTACAAATAATGCCATGCTTGTTAGGTAATAATAGATTTCCAATGGAGGAATACACATTAAATCAGCAAATGTTTTCACTGTTTTTATTGGGCCTGAACAGAGGAGACGACAGAATATGTTAAATGCTAAAATTGGCTATTAAAAGACAGTGAATCCATTTCACTGCAGCTTTTTATTTGTTTGGTTGGTTGAGTTTTTAAAAAATATATATCATAGTATCATACATACCTGATAAAATTGATTCATCGTATCTCTAATGTCTGTTTCTGTGTCTCAGCCACTGTCCAATATCCAATTTTCCAGAAGATACTCCCTTCAGTCACTTTAAATGTGATAGATATTTGTACCTGATTTTAATAGGAAAAATTATCAGACAGTAGGACTCATTAGATGCCACCTTTTCAGCTACTTGCTACAGGTCACTGCTATAGCTTTTCACCTTATCAAATTGAATCAGACAGTGGCAATAATCTGATTGCATTCAGCACGGTGTCTGCAGAAACATCTCTACTTTCTGAGCAGCTCTATTGTATTCATCTTCCTTCAGATTGCATCCAGTTTCATTACGGAACTTTGCTTCAAGGATTAACTTGGGATACAAGAAGAAAAAAATCAAAAGCAAGATGCTGAAATTGCCTTGAGAGACTTCAATAACATCAGTTTAAATTTGTCATACCTCAAATTAAATTTCAAAGGAGACTAGTTAAAAGAAAGTTGGCAGAAAGCTGTTTTTTCCTGTAAGATACAACTTTCTTGGCATGCACAAGTCACTTAACATTTCTGAACTGTATTTTCAATTAGCAAATAAGAATCAAAACTATATAAGGGAAATTGCTCTCTAAAATGTAGGTTATCCTTCAGATAAAATCCAAATATTTAAAGGCCTACACAGCTTGTAATAGTAATGAAGTTATATTTGTATTTAAATCCTAAAATTGCTGATTGTTTTCTCCATCTACACAAGTAAAAAATATTCCAACTCCCATATCACTCCTTCCATGCCCCATCCCAACTCCACCCTTCCAATTATTTTTCAGGAAAAGCCTCCTCTCTTTTTCTCTCTTTCGTCTTCTTGGTAGCTACCTACCCTCAAATATCCCCTTCAGCCATTTTTGTGCTGCTAAAGACATGCTTTCCCTTTGTAGATATTTAAATCCTATGTCCAAAACAACTCTTCCTATACTTCAGTATTCATAAAACCTTTTGTGAAAAGAGCCCACAGAAATTCAGTGATTTGATGGAGCAGGGCATAACAATTATCTAGAACCTATTATAACATTTGCAAGACTTTTGCAAAGTGAACTATTAAACACAGCCATTAATAGAAGTTAAATTATATGAACTACAAGAAAATTAATTATATTAAAAACCTGGGCAAAAATTCTCACAATTTACCACTTTAAACTACATTGTACTATTATCTATCTTATTAAGGTTATTTACACCTGTTTTATATATATGGTGTAAATACTCTTAAATTAACTTTAGCCTAAAGCTGCCTCCTTACATACTATGAGGTCAGCCTAAAGTTGTCTCTGTACATAGTGAACTGCAACCTAAGTGAATGTGTAGACAGTTTGTAACCTACTCTTGCAGCAGTCATTGGGTTTTGACCAATCAAAGGTAACCAGCTATCCGAACTGTGTTCAAATAAGACAAACGTCAAACTGTAACCAACCCAACTGTTTCAGTACCTCACTTCCATTTTCTGTATGTCACTTTCTTTTTCTGTACATAAATCATCTTTGACCAAAGGGCAGCTCTAGAGTCTCTCTGAACCTCTTCTGCTTTGGCGGCTGCATAATTGTTGGGAATAAGAGTTCAGAATCACACTGAAAATAAGCAATTAGACAACATCTCAGCAAGGCAAATTTACTTCTGCAGAAGGGTGTGTCTTGTGTTGGAGCAATGGTGAGAGCACACAGAACAAAGGAAAGCAGGGGTTTTTTATTATCTCTAATGCAGCTTCTGCTCCTGTGTCTTTCCCCTATTGGTTAGGGTTGGACCACATGGTCTAAACTAGTCCAATTGGCTAAACATTTAAACTTTCTTAGATAAGGTAGACACATAAGGGAAGTGAGAAGAGAGGGAAGAGGGGTCATTTACAGGGGAACTAGGAAGGTAACCTATTCCCTAATAAGGAAAGGAATGTCGACTGGGGTTGTAGCAAGTTCTGGCATGCCTAGGCATATTCAGACAAGTTGGGGTGCAGCAAAGGCAAGGGGGTATTTGGAATTATAGGATAGAGAATGGGAAACTGGATAAGCTGTTTGAAGAGGGAACCTAACTGTATCTAACAATTTCCCCCCTTTTGATTTTTACAATCTTCCCTCTTCAAACCTTTTTAACATGTCTTGACTTTGTTGTTCTGCTTGATCTTCTAAAAGAAAGAGCTTATCTGAATAAGGCAGGGGAGGATTGAGGAAAGTTTTGGTGAGAGTTGTCTCAATAAGTCTTTGTATTAACCCTCAAGCACAGGGTATTTGGCAACATCCAACAAGGATTAGTACACTTATAACAATGCCAGGGAGGTAACTATTGAAGTTACTAACTTTTCCCATCCACTGAACCACTTTTCCATGAGGCTTGTAAAGGGATCCTCTATTCTGAGTTTTTAGCCAATTCATCTGATAGAGAGGTAAGGCCCTGAAAGGCTTTTGTAATTGTCCCATTGGGGGCTGTGTTGTTAGAGATGAAAGTACAACACTGGGTTCTGATCATGAAAGAAACTCCACCTTTCTCTGCTAGTACCATGTCTAATGCCATCCTATTTTCCCAGGACATTTGACTGGTGGGCCTTAATTGTTCAGCTATTCCTTTAATGGCATCTCTGGTATAGTTAAATCCTTGCTGGTTATAGTAAATGTAATTTATCCAATCTACATTTTTATTAATAGTTAACCACCAGAACAATGTGGATTCAAACCATGCAGCTATTTGGTTTCAAGCTTTAAATTCATTTGACACTCTTCATGGAACCCTGATGGCATCTATGTAAACTTAAGGATCAAAAGACTCATGAGGGGTCTCTCCCAGTTTATAGTGCTTTGCTTTTACTTTTTCTGGTTGATGAAATGCCAGGGTGAAAGGGATAGCCAATTGAATTAGAGAACTAGTTCCGCTCCAGTTACTTGGCAGAGTGTCCAGCAGGGGTCCACCACAATATGACCATACATCTGCTCAGGAATGGCTAAGGGCAGACTGATGGGTAAGCTCTTGGAAGGGCCTAAGCTCTTTCGATCCCTTTAAGTCTCCAAGGAATGCGAAGTATTCCCTCTGTCGTGAGAGACATGAGGTAAACTTGACATTGGAAGGCAGAGTCTGGATGGCCCTTGGGGCCTGACCTGCAGGGTATTGAACTTCAGGGAACAGCAGAGAAAGAGCTTGGCACAATTTGTCTTCCTAGGTGTGGGGCCTTGAGAAAGAGCTACCATACAGCTCATGCACAGTCGGCAGGAAGACTATCCAAGTGGAAAGGGGGTGATCTGGGCCTCTGGTCTACTGTGCACACAAGCGTAACAGTCACTTTTGCTTAGGACATGGATGGAATATTTAATCCATTCCAGCCAGGCATTTGTATCTCATTAACCTATCTCAATTGCTAGGGTTTATTTTAGATCTTTTACTTCTATAATGGACACCTTGATTTAAACATTAGGTGCAGGAATAACAGGTGTTTGTTTCAAAGCTGAAGCTATTGGGGATGGGGAAGGAGATGGGAGGAAACAAAATGTATCTCAAAAATACCTATAGGGTCTCTCCTGTTAACATCATCCCCTATACCATAGAGACAGCTGAGGGCAGGCCTGGGGTCAGTAGAGGTAGGGATAGTAATAGAAATGAGGATGAAGTTGCATTGGTGGTATTGGTAATCAGGGGAAGTAGTTCCTTTAGTAAAATGAAGGTAAAGTTTTAGGGAGGTACAGCCTTCTAAGGAAGTCTAGCCCTGGGACTGAGTGATCCAGATAATATCATACCAGAAATAGCAAGGTAGCCAATTATAAGGAATTTTACAAGGATTAGGTTGAGAGTGGGGTGAGTACTAAGGGCAAAGATACTTTTCTGAAGAGGCTAGTTGCCTTTGACTTTGTAGGTCTCCACAGGGTTTGGCTAAGTAAGCATCAAATGCAATAGTTTGGCAGGGAGGCTGACCTGGTTACATTGATAGCAAAGTGGCTGACAGTGGAGTGAGGGAAGAAGAGACAATATAAGAGATGAAAGAGGGTTAGACTTTTCTTAGTTTTAGTTTGGTGGGACTTGATTCCAGAACAATGGACTATGATTCTGAAGACTGTGGCAGTTTATTGACTCGGGTATGGTAAGTCCACCCTCTTTCTGCTGTTCATACTGTGGTCTTAGTAGTTAGAAGCACTAGGTAGGGTCCTTTCTAAGCCAGTTCGAGTTTTCCTTCTCTCCAGCTGTTAATGAGAATGTGATCTCCAGGTTGATGCAGATGTGCTGGGAACCTCAGGAGTGGCGCCTGTGCTAAAAGGCCTTTAGTTCTGAGGGAAGAGAAGGTGGAAGATAACTCAAGTATATCGTTTTTGAGAAACTGGTCTTTCATCTCAAGCATAGGAATGTCAGCAGTGGAATGTAAATAAGGCAAATTATATAGCATTTCATAAGGGAATAAGCCGACATCTTTCAGAAGGGCAATCCTGACCCTTAAGAAGGCAATGTGGAGGAGTCTCTAAAACCAATTTGGTTAAGTGGCTCCTCAGAGTCTGGTTCATTCTCAGTATTCTTCCTGATGAAGGTGGGTGCCAGGGAGTATGGCACTCCTATATTATGTTTAGTGCTTGGGCTAATTTCTTAATGACATGTGCAGTGAAATGAGTCTTATTATATGAATCAATATTTTAACCTAAGTCCTAGAGGGCTATCAGGGGGAATATCATTGTTATTATCTCTATCCTTTTCACTCCCTGTCTTACTTGGGGCATTTCCCATGTTGGGTCCTGGTTAGGCTCAATCCCTCATACTAGGAATTTCTTGCCTTTCACACACACTTGACCTCCAAGATATCCCGACCACCAAGGAATACCTCACTGCCCTGGCTGCTTTTCTTACCTTGATCCAGACAAAGAAATGCTTCACCACCCCCACGGCTTTTCTTACTTTGGTCCCCACCAAGAAATACTTCAACACCCCTGTGGCTTTTCTTACCTTGGTCCCAACCACCAAGGAAATACTTTGCCAGCTCCCGTGGCATTTCTTTCCTTGGTCTGTGCACAGAGCTACCTGGTGGCCATGGTATTGGTAGGCCTTTTCCTCCCACGTTGCTGAGAGTCCGGGTTTATTCATCACACCAGGTGGGTCTTGATCCTTTACCCCTGAGGCCACTGCAACTAGGCAGTGGGACGTGTCTCCTCATGAGAGAGGACTGGACACCCCTCCCCAGAGGAGAATGGTTTTCCCGTATGGGCCACAAAATTGTTGGGAATAAGAGCTCGGAGTCTCAAAGAAAATGAGCACTTAGACAGAGAACGTCTCAGCAAGGCAAATTTATTTCTGCAGAAGGGTGTGTCTCGTGTATGGAGCAATGGCAAGAGCACACATAACAAAGAAAAGCAGGGGTTTTTATGATCTCTAATGCAGCTTCTGCTCCTGTGTCTTTCCCTTATTGGCTATGGTTGGACTGCACTGTCTAAACTAGTCCTGAATGGCTAAACATTTAAACTTTCTTAGATAAGGTAGGCACATAAGTGAGAAGAGAGAGAAGGGGGGTCATTTATGTGGGGACTAGGAAGGTAACCTATTCTCTAATAAGGATAGGAATGTGGATTGGGGTTGTAGCAAGTTCAGACATGCCTAGGCATATTCAGACAAGTTGGGGTGCAGCTAAGATAAGGAGGTATTTGGAATTATAGGATAGAGAACGGGGAAACTGGATAAACCATTTGAAGAGGGAAACTAACTGTATCTAACAATAATTTCTGAATCATTCTTTGCTCAAACTAGTTTAATTTTTCTAAAGTTATTTTTTTAACAATGCTATACAATGACATGCTTCTGCATACAGCTTCCTAACTCCACATCCAATGATCTTGAGTTGTTAGTCTGAAGTCTTCCATGGTGAGAATATTTTAGTGGTATGCTGGTAAATGTTTAACAACCAGTTCTCCAAAAGAAAAATGACCTGATTTATAGCATGTATCAATGTTGTGGCATAAGTATCCTCACTGTAGTTGAATCAACTTTGTAAAACTACTGAAAATTTAACAATTTCGTCTGCTGAGCTGGTTGGAGTTGTCTCCAGTATGTCATTGAATTTTTGATGCCAGATCTATTAACAAATATTGCTAAATAGTTTTTTTTTAAGCAAATTGTTAAACATTTTCCAGCATAGTCAGTGTCAGGTGGAGTTTCTGAAGCCCAGGAGTGAAGCAGGCATCTCAGATTTCTCCATTTGTGCCTTTGATTCAATTTAGTCTTTAAGACCTGAGACTCCCTAAAGGACAGATAGGAAAACTGTGGCTCAATTGGACCTGCAGTCTGTTTATGTATTGCCCTAGAGTTAAGAAAAGTTTTCATATTTTGAAAAGATGGCAAAATACAATAAAGAAAAATATATGACTATATGTGGCATACAAAACTTCAAATAATTACTGTCAGGCTATTAAAAAAAAGTTTGCAACTCCTGGCCTAAATTCACAATTGTTATTCCTCAAAACCCATTTTTCCAGTTCCTTATCCTTAAAGCAATTCTAGGCTATAATTTTTAAAAATTTTCTCCAGTCCAGGTGAGTAGTACTGGATCACAATCCTGTCTCACATTTGTCTATTTCTGCCAGTTTTTCATCTGCCCTACCTCATACTGTTACAAGCCCAATAGCCATAAATGCTAAAGTATTTCTCCATTTATAGTATAAAGTAAGAAATAATGGGACAGTCAGTTTTTAAACTATTTAACCATATGCTATAGGAGTGAATTCGTTTCTAGACAGAAAGAAAAAAGAACAAACAAGCATGCAGAGAAAAGTAGAAGGATTTCATGCAGGAAAGGTGCTCTGGCTACTCACTGTTTTCTAGTGTGCTAATTCATTTACTCCTTAGAAGCACAAAGGCCCATCAGGGGATGTGGTGATGAGCAAAACAGAGACAAGCCTACTCATATGAATCCCCTGCTTCTGGTTCTAGACCTCTGCATCAACATTGACTGTAATGTTTACTCTGATTCTATGAGATACCAGAATATCCTTCAAAAATCCTCTTTCCATGACCCAATCTGTTGTGAACTAAATTACTGGTCCATACCTAAGAAAATAAAGTCATATTTAATTAAAATTACTTCTGTTTTTAGGGATTTAAAACATCAAATTTAATTTATAGACAAATATGGTTCTAAATGTATATATGTACATTAATACATATATATTTATATAAACATTTTGTTTTATTATTTCTGATTGTTTAATAATATATTCTATTCATTAGTTCTTAAGTTAAAATAATTTTTCCCTTTATATCTTGAACCCCACCTAATTTATCTTTGGGAATAGTAGCCAAGCAACTACTGTATGTAGAGTGATGTAACTTCATACACTAGTTAGTATCTTCAAAATTTTGAAACACTAAGAATAGGTTATATTCATTCATTCTAGCCATATGAAAAGTAAAGCTAATAGTTGTCAATCCTTTCTTTTCTAAAAATAGTGACAAAAAATAATGTAAAACCATATATAGATATATATGCAAACTGCATGAAGGAGTTCTAAGATAAAGAATTCAGTACATTTATTTTCTTTTTATGCACAGGTAGTTTTCAAACTTGTGCATTTTTTTCTTTCTCTAAGATTTTCTAATACAAGTTAAATAAGCTTAATTTACAGTTACCCAAAACTCCAGAAAAAAATTCTTCTGGAGGACGGCAATGGGAAAGAGCGGGAAAGATAGGCAGCAACTGATGGTCAAATAGCATTTTTTGATTCTATTTCATTAACTTTAAATTTCATTGAGTAGTATTTGCAGTGCAGTTGACTCTTCACCTATGGAATCTTCCAGGTGACTGTTTAGGGTCTATGCCACTGAAAGTCTTTACCAGTGACATGTCATTTTGTACTTTGTCATACAGTAGAATTTAATTTTCAATCAACACGTATGATGTCTTGAAATTGCTGATGTTTTAGATTTATTTTCATGGGCTACAAGTGCTTATTTCTTTGCTTACTTCTATTTATAAACTTCCTTAAATTTACTAGACCTAGGAATACCTCTTTTCTGACTCTCTCATTTCTTTCTTATCAATCTGGATTATTCTCTGAAGCCCTGTACAATACACCTGTCCTTAAACAATAATCTCCTTTGTTACATTGCTTTCCTATCTGAGAATTCTTAAACCAGCATGTATAACATGTGGCACATATTGCTTGTAGTATTTTTTGAGGTGTTTTTTTTTGCCCTTTTGTATCTTTCCAAGTAGAATTTAATTCTTTAAAGGTAATGAACCATGACTTATACTACTTGCATATCTCTCTGTTACTGATAAACTGTTGCACACATTGACAGAGTACATGCATATTTCACAAATGGATGAACAGGACTATCTTTGAAATGAAGATGCAAAATACTCCATTTAAGAAATTTCGTACCATTATTTTAGTAGGGTCAACACACCGGTCAAATACTTATTTTTAATTTGCTCATGAGAAGAATTATGTCCCTCATTTTATAAACATGGCAGTTGTAGCATACACACAGCAAAATGAAAAAACTGACTCAGAATTATAAATGGATGACAGAGGCAGAATATTTTGGTGTGTTTCATTTTTAATATCATCCTTATTTTTTTTTAGTTTTTGAAATTTGTAATTTTAAAACTATTGTGTAAGTATTACATACAAGGAATTTAGAAATGATATTTTTAATAAATACATTTAAATACTTTCCTGAGTACAATTTGAAAGTCTACATAAACACCAACACATAAACAGAAATGTCTATTTTGAAAACATTTTGACTGGCGGTAATTCTAAATATATATTTGAGAAATATAATTGAGATAATAGAAATATTTTCTTTTATCTCAGAATATTAGAGATATTCTGAGACATTTTTACATTCTGAACATTAATAAATCATAAATATAAGTATATAAAATTATGTCTTTGGAGATATGACAATATATAGTAGAATATAATCATTTCACAAATAAAACAAAGGTGAATTAATAAAATTTTTTGGTCTAATATTATTGAGATACAGGACTAAAACTAGAATACGTATCTCCATTTCAGAAAGTTTCTTTTTTTCCTATTTCTCTCTTATTATCTAAATGAATAAAAATGAGGTTCATTCTTTTTAATGTGAAGCAAAGCATTCATAAAACACACAAAGTAATATTCTGCTATGTGTAAAATATACAATAGAAAGCTATTGTATATAAGTGAAATTAAGCTTTATCCAATGACTAAGAAGATAGAATAAGAAAAAAATTATTAGAAATCTGCAAATTATTTTCCTTTTTAATGCTGCTGAGAAGCAAGTTTCACTTATTGAACACAGGCAGGCATGATCAATTCAAGTTTCAAACTATTTGTTAAACAGTGAAAAATGATGGCAATATGCCACAAAAGTTTTTAAATTAATTTTAACTTGGTATAAAATTTCCTGAAATTCATTTAATCTATTTTTAATTGGAATGTAAAGAAAATTATTCTAGGGACAAACTCATATGTGAGTCTCTTTGAACAGAAAGCATGTTTTCTGCACTTAGGAAACAAGCATGACAGCATGGCAAGTATTTTTTAATGTGGACATCTGTCTCTCTACTCTGGAGAACATAAATACTACCCACGTGATACATTCCAGATGGTGAGCATTTTCAGCTACCATGGCCCAAACACATTTCTGAGGTGAAGTGCCATCCCTCTTCTTGCTGAATGCTCTAAGCCTCATAGGAAATGAGGAACTGAACCTTTCATAATTCAATATGATCAACAAAAAGATGTAATCTTTAAATTGTTGAAGTGTTTGGTATATGCATTCTCTCATATAAAATATATTTTGTTTAAATACTGTATATAGTTTATTGGTGTTTGGATAGCATATTTTCTTGGATAATATTCCCTCATTGCCTTGATGTTCTCTAACTCGATATAAGATAATTTTGTAAGAATATGGATTCAAATCTTACATCACTCTTTGGTGTATTAGAAAGCCAAACCATAATTTGCTACATGTAAATGGCTCACTAAATGTATGCACTAATTGGGATAAGGCATCTATATCCCCTAAGAATGTCTCCCTTAATAAATATCTAACTTACAGAAAACTAAATAGTCGTTGTTATTTATAACTGAATGAGGAAAAGCATTCATGAAAAATAATGGAAAGAAAAGAAAATGCTTTGCAAGACATACATTTGTGGTGCTGACATTCATGATTCCATGCCTTTTGAAATATTTAGGTTCTGGACTTAAGCATAATTGATCATAGGAAGGATCAAAGAAATAATACACCCACAGTTACCCGCTACACTCACCTCATATATGTGAGGGAACACTGAGGACATGAGCATCTAAATGCAGGTGAGGTTGATAGAGGTCCATTGTAGAAAGGAAGAAATTGCAAAGCTGCTACACAAAGGTAGGAAAGTTAGAGGAGGCTGATCCCTGACTACCATACATGGTTTAGGTCCACTATTTAAAATTCCCCATTTCCTGTCCACAGAAAAATGTATATTACACATAATAAAACTACTGACAAGAAAAAACAGTAGTTTGAAAATAAAATTGTCAGGAAGTTGAATGCTCAGGAAATACTTTTTTCTTTGGGTTATCAATAGTTGAAGGTAAGAAAAAAGTAAACATAAAATATGTTAAAGTATATATCTTTATGCATTCAAATTCTATGTCATCAACATATTTATGACATAAGTTTGTAAAATATTCTATGCGATTGTATTGTTTTTTGAATGAATTAGAAATGTTATCCATGAAGTAGGCCAAAATATTTATTTATATACTCTTAGTAAGTAGGCTAGATGATTAAATGAAACATTTGTTCTGACTCGCTAGACAATTTTTGATATGCTGTTTATCTATATTAAGATAAATAAAATGTGAGGAGTATGATTGAAAATAATTTTGAAATTCTTCAAGGTAAAAGTGATATTCGCTTATTTAGAACTGTTTACCTTGAGGATTCCTGAACTGGAAGCCTCAATACTTATTCAAAATGTGCATCAACTTATATTGCAAATCCAATGTACTTTTAATGATTTACTACATTATAGGTTCACAAGGAATGTACAAAACCAAAATAAAACAAACTCAATGTCCAGAACTAATAATAAGTTTGACCAGGTCACAAGATATAAAGTAAACATTTAAAAATCAATTGTATTTCTAAATTTTAACACTGGAACCCAAAATTAAAAATAAAATGCTATTTAAAATTGCCAAAAAAGAGAGAGAAATACTTAGGTGAAAACTCATCAAAACATGTACAGGAAATGTTTGCTAAAAACTATAAAATATTAGTGAAATAAATTTTTAAAATGTAAATAAAAAGACAGACTTTGTGTTCATGGATTGGAAGACAGCATAGTAAACTCAGTTCACCCCAAATTGATATATGGGAATAATATAATTATTTTCAAAACACAGCAAAATTTTTTGGGCATTGTGTATGTAATATTATCGATTAAAAAGGCCAAAATATTTATTTTATGGACTTTTTTAACCTATTTTGTTTTAATATAGTCAAGCTTTTGCTAAAATTTATGTGGAAAGGCAAAGGAAATAGAGGGGCAAAAACAATATTGAAGAGGAAGAGTAAAATGAGAGGAATTCATTTCTCCAATTTCAAAAATTATTATAAAGTTAAAGTAGTCAGGCATGAAGTATTGGTGAAGGGATAGACAGAGATTAATGGAATAAAATACAGAAACATAAGACACTAAAACAAACATGCAAAATGCTTTTTGATATAGATGGAAAGGCAATGTGATGGTGGAAAGATATCTATTTTGGATAACTGTAGGAAAGACAAAAAGAGAAAGAAGAAGGAAGGGAGGGGGAAGGAAGGAAGGAAAGAAAGAAGGAAGGAAAGAAAGAAAGAAAAAAAGAAGAAAGAAAAAGAAAGAGAGAAGAAAGAAAGAAAAAGAAAGAGACAGAGAAACAGAGAAAGAGAGGAAGGAAGGAAGGAAGGAAGGAAGGAAGGAAGAAAGGAGAAAGAGGAAGGCCATTCTGGCTAGTGTGAGAGGGTATCTCTTTGTGATTGTGATTTGCATTTCTCTAATGATTAGTGATATTGAGCATTTTTTTCATGTGCTTTTCAGCCACATGTATGTCTTCTTCTGAGAAGTGCCTCTGTCCTTTGCTCAATTTTTTTTCATGGGGTTATTATTATCATTATTTGCTTGTTGACTTGTTTAAGTTCCTTATTGATTCTATATATTAGATCTTTGTCAGATGCATATTTTGCAAGTATTTTCTCCTTCTTTGGTTATCTGTTTAATCTGTTGATAGTTCCTTTTGCTGTGCAGCAACTCTTTAGTTTAAATAAGTCTCATTTGTCAATTTTTGTTTTTGTTGCAATTGCTTATGACATCTTTGTCATGAAATCTTTGCAAGAGCCTATGTCCAGAATGGTATTTCCCAGGCTTTCTTCTGGAGTTTTAATAGCTTTAAGTTTTACATTTAAGTCTTTAATTTAACTTGAATTAAATTTCATATATGGTAAAAGGAAGGGGTCCAGTTTCACTCTTCTGCATGTGACTAGCCAGTCATCCTAGCACCATTTATTGAATAGGGAGTTCTTTCCCCATTGCTTCTTTTTGTCAACTTTGTCAAAGGTCAATTGGCTGCAGCTGTGTGACTTTATTACTGGGTTCTCTAATCTGTTCCGTTGTATTATGTATCTGTTTTTATACCAGTACTAGGCTGTTTTGGTTACTGTAGCTTTGCAGTATAGATTGAAGCTGGGTAACGTGATGTCTCCAGCTTTGTTGTTTTTGCTTAGGATTCAAGTGGCTATTCAGGCTTTTTTGGTTCCATATGAATTTTAGAATAGCTTTTTTCTAGTTATGTGAAAAATGTCATTGGTAGTTTGATATAAAGAGCATTGAATCTTTACATTGCTTTGTACGGTTTGGCCATTTTAACAATATTGATTCTTTCCATCCATGAGCATTGAACCCTTTCCATTTGTTTTTGTCCTCTATGATTTCTTTCAGCAGTGTTTTGTCATTCTTGTTGTAGAGATCTTTCTCCTCCCTGGTTAGCCGTATTCCTAGGTATGTGTGTGTGAGTGTGTGTGTGTGTGTGTCTACTGTGAATGGGATTGTGTTCTTGATTTGGGTCTCAGCTTGGATGCCGTTTGTGTATAGAAATGTACTGATCTTTGTATGCTTAAACTTTGCTGAAGTTGTTTATCAGATCTGGGAACTTTTGGGCAGAAACTATGGGTTTTCTAGGTATAAACTCATATCATCTGTGAAGAGAGATAGTTTGGACTTTCTTCCTATTTTGATATATTTTATTTCTTTCTCTTGCCTGATTGCTCTCAGGCACTATGTTGAATAGGAGTGATGAGAGTGGGCATCCTCTTCTTGTTCCAATTCTAAAGGGGAATGCTGCTGGCTTTTGCCCATTTCAGTCTTCTTATCTATAAAATGAAGACAGTAATAGTACTTTTACTGAAAAACTGTTATAAATACATGCTAATGTATTTATGCTAATAAAATATTATATTAGTATATGTAATAAATGTATTTATGCTAGTAAAATATATTAGCATAAATACTTTAGCATGTATTTATAACAGTTTTTCAGAAAACTTTCATGCTAATAAATTATATTAGCATAATTTTACATTTTATGCACTCAACAAATTTTTATTAATTAAAAGGTAATATAAAGCCAATGTTTAACATATGACTATAGCAGTGTGAGTACGACTTAGATGTTATGTCGTTAGTGGGCATTTTCTTCTTTAGGGTAAGACAAGATAACAACTCAAAAGTCTCTCTTCCATTACTCTGAGACTTTCTCAACATTATTGCAAGTCATTTGTGACTCTGAAATACGTATAAATCTTTTGGTGGTGAGAATGATCTAGCTCAGCATTTGTCACTTCTTTGGTCACTGTGACTGATGAGTGATAGGCTGGTATCTTACCATTGCTTCATAATCCAGGAGGTTTCTTCTTTAAGCATGTTCCTAATAAATAAGCCAACTAAGAAAACAAGGAGAAGATTTTTAATTGGAACTCACATTTCTTTGATGAAGTATTCAAATAAACCCACTGGGCACTTTTATTAAACAAACTCTAAGACAGAAAAAAATAGTATTTCAGTAGTGGGTTAATAATGAATAAATAAGATAATTTGAAAGAAGTTTTACATTGATCTGAAAAGTGGGCAAGTGTAAACACATTATATTTAAAGCCAGAAGAAGTTGTGTTGGACATTACAGCATATGAAGATTCCACAGAAATATTTGAGCCAGTAGAGTCAGATGAGAAAATCAGAGGACTTCCCTTTAATGGAGAAGGGACTGTGGAATTTTAAGTAGGAAATCCACAAAGCCAGCTATACATATGAATGTTATTAGAACCAAATAAGAGCCTGCTCTAAGCTCAATGCTTTGTTGTGAGAAAGAAAAATGGAATTCTAAGTTCCCCAATCAATGGGACATCCATCCCAGAGCAAACTTGGAAGAGGAGTTCTTGGCCATAATGGTACGGGAGGTCAGTCATGCCTCATTATACTTCCTCTGTCACTAACCACCGTTAGGTTTTCTTCCCCAAGAACTAAACAGAAACTGGCCCTCTCAAAATACTGCAGGGCTGATTTCAATCAGCTTCCTGACTGTTTCCCCTCCTTGTTGTGGTTTCCATACAATAAGCGACTAGCATTTCTTCCTGATAATAGACCACCAGCCACAGCCACCAACCATGGAGCATTTCTAGCCAGGCTCAAGAGGATGTGCAGTGGGGATTTTCATGTCTTCTGATTTATTCTTTGACATTATAGGGCTAAAAATTCCACCCCAGATCATGCTAATACCACCATTTTTTGAACGTTGGACCCATGGAGTGGCATGAAGCTCAATTGCGCATGTACATGTTTCTCCTTTCATAAATATTCCTGACTCCTCCTATAGCTTATTGAGTATTTATATTAAGTCACCTCATTAAGTATAAATCCCTGTCTTATTCTTCCTGTTAAGGGTGGCAAATATTCAAGTTACTAGTGGCAAATTTGTAAAAGTCTGCAGTAACCTTAATCCTTGCCTCCTCAGAAGAAAGAATTTGACTGAGGCATATAAGGCAAAAAAAAGAGACTGAGGCAAGTTTCAGAGCAGGAGTGGAAGTTTATTAAAAAGTTTTAGAGTAGGAAAGAAAGGAAATACACTTGGAAGAGACCCAAGCAGGTACCTTGGGGGTCGATTGCAGTGTCTGACATTTTGACTTGGGGTTTTATATGTTGGCATACTTCTGGGGTCTTGCATTTCTTTTACCATGATGCTTCCTTTAGAGTGAGCTGCCTGCATGCTCAGTGGCCTGCTATCACTTGAGAAGTGAGAATGCATTGTGTATTTACTGTAGTTGTACATATGCTTGCCTGAGGTATTCTTCCCTTTGGTGGAAAGCTCCCAGAAGGTTCTGCTTCACCATTTTATCGTGCTTGAGCCCATCCATCCAGTTCCTGAGATTTTACTGGAAGCTGCTAATTACCAATTTCAAGTGCTTTTATCTATTGGGATATTGCCTCTTCCTGGCACTGACTCTGACCAGTTTTATTTTGGTGTGACAGCTTCCAGACCATCACTTCATGGTTATTCCTGCTGGTCACCTGATATTCCTCTCCTGCCCTGCTCATGCTTGGCTAGTGACCTACTGTAACATTCCCACTCTCAAAGTGGCTCTTTCTAGCTTCTGCCCGGAAGCTATGTTTCCCAGCCTGTCAGAATGGTCACTGCAGTCTGCAACCCTTTTCAGAAATAAAACTTTCATTTCCAAATTTAAAAACCTCAACATTCTTCAGTTTACATCTGTGTTATCCTAAAATTTGATCTCAAATTAACTTTAAAATTATTCAGGTTTGCTTCCTGAACTATTAAATTTGACTCTTTAAGTTGCTAGTGACATAAATGCTACTCAAATTAGTTTAAGTAAAAAGAGAATTTCCATGGCTCCACAATGAAAGAAAGACAAAATTTGTTCTAAGGATCATACGATTCCTCTTTCTATACCCTTTGCTTTTATTTTATCTATGTTCTGATCACTCTCTATTAATATAGGTGGTTCTCCTTGAACTGGCAAGAGAAGTTAGTGACATAGGAAAACAAGAGGACTTACTACTTCATTATCTTTTCATTTCGGAGAAGGTCCACGATTGCTCTGGCATGTAAACAGCGCTTATTATTTTTGATACAAGTTTGGGCCCATGGAAGTGAGGTATTATTTTTAGTCAATATCCTAGGGCAGAAAGAATTCAACAAAGATGTGAGGAAGGAAGCCATGATGCACAGTCATTCTTAGTAAGTTTTGGAATTTTTCCTCTCTGCTCTAATATCTACTTTTGGACTATTTCTGTTTTAAGCTTATTCCTTACATTTTGACACTGATAATTAAGAGGCCGTGATAAGAAAGAATTCAGTCAAATATGTATTTATTGAATTAAATCTGAATTTATGTCTCTAACTTACACTTGGTCACCTGCCAGGAAAGTATCTCACTGTGAGATGGAAAATTTCTCATAAGGTATCATTTATGATTGCTAAAAGTCTCAGTTGTCAGATTCTGTCAGTCACGTAAGTCATGGCTTCAAAGATTTGGGAATTACACAGTGTAAAACCTACTACTCATATGACACATTACTTTCCAGTGATATGTTTTCTTCCTTAATAGTAAGTCCCCAGGGTTTATTCACATGTATGACACATGACTGACACTTTTGGGATAGATCGTACATAGCAATGCAGATATTTCTTAAATAATTAAAAACCTGACAATAATTTTTAAATTAATATTTGAATTAGTTGTGCATGATTTTGAAAGAAGGATATTTCCTAAATTAACATGTAAAATTATTAATCACAACAATGCAAACATCATATTTAATTATAATCACAAAAGTCTTATAGTAGGACTTCAGAAATAAATAGGTACAACAAAAATAATAAGGCTAAAATGATGAAAATTGGTTTACAACACAGGTGATCTGGCTCCAGAGCCTGTCTATGCTCTCATTTCTACTGACAGTTATATTGTGACAAAATGTCCAGCCTTTTAAAATGAATAACCATTTAAAAATTATTAAATTAATGAGTTACTAACAATTTTATTACTTTTACAAGATTCAAGTCTACATTTGAAAATAAATCAATAGTTTTGTGACATATGCCTAATCAACTTCTATATCAATTTAATCTAATTAATGAAATATCAATCTAATCAATTTTATATACATAATTCAAACTGTGTAATATGCATGTACATTTATAGCCTCATTAAACAAAATTCCTTTTTTCTCTTATTCCTTTATTTTATTAAATGTTGAGCCCTTGTTTAATTGAATTTTTTTTTAATATTAGGGTCTTCTATAGTGCAAAGCAGCTAAAAGAAGTTGAGGATTTATTCTCCAATCTTTGCCCCTCCAACATAGTTCTTTATCATTTTCTTTCCTTTTTCCAACTTCATGTTTTTTCTCTGTCTCTTTTTGTAGTGGTTTAGTATATGATCACTCTAGTCCTTTCAGTCAGATCTTGTTTAGTATGGGCAGTTCTGTCCACATAGACTGTTTGCTGTGTTATAGTATGAGAAATTCTCCTTAACACTCATCCTACATATCCAAGTCTTGCATGTAAAAATCTTGATTATAATTTGAGTACTGTCTTCCATCCACAAGCATTTGGCCTTAGAGTAATTGATGCCTGTGAAGGCTGATATTCTGCAAAGTGGTTAATAATTTTAGAGATCACTGAGAGCTGCTTTGTCCTTTGAGATTGTAGATTTTAAACACAGCTTTGTGTTATGTTGTTATGTTTTACAAATGAGGAAACTGAGCCACAGTGAACTTAAATTTTCTTGACTACTCCCCCATTACTATTAATTGGTGCAGCTGGATTTTAAACTATTTTCTAATTAAAGTGTAATTCTTTTTCTGTAATAACACACTTTATATTTGTTAAAGAGAAAAGGTAAAAATCTTAGAGGAGATAGAATTACAAATGGGAGATTTTTAAGGAAGGAAAGCAATTAGAAGAGGAAAATATATGTGCGTGTTCACCCATGAGTACACACACTCACAAACATATACACCCCAAGGACTTCAGCAACAACAATGAAGCCCAAGCCCACATAGGCCTCCTGACAACACTACAAACTGATGTTCATTTCAGAGATAACATATTGCACTTGATTCTTAGCAGATCGATAGCTACAGTGCATTTATTTTTTAGTTAATAACCACATTAGCGCCTAAGCTTTAAATAAAGTTCAGTAAAATTGAACTAGCAATTTGATCAAAACAAACATATTTCAACTGGATTTTTGAGCAGAGTCTGAGTCATTGTTCACTCAAGGCTCCACCTTCTCCCAAGATTTATTCTAACTCAACACCCATAGAGGATATCAGCTAACATCTCTCACTCAGTCTTATCTACTTCATCCAGATTCTAACTAGAGAGGTAAAAACACTAAAACAAACATTTCTCAAATTCCACTGGAGCTATAGTTCTTATTTAAATTGGTTTCACCAATCAACCAGGTTTTGAGATTTGAAAAATAGAAGTGATGTGGAGTCTATTTTTCTATGAGCTATTTTCTATCGAGAAGCTAGGTTGTGGAAATATGAAGTTTCTCTTACACTGGCTTTCACTATCATTACACCAGCTTCTGCAGAGTGTCAAAAAGAAAACCGAAGCACAAGCCACAGAACATTGGTAGCTGCTTGATCTGACACCCAGATTCCTAACTTACGGCTCACATTGTATATGTTCTAGTTTTTCCTGGGTCACCTGCACAGTTGCAGCAGCAACAACAGTATTGCTTTCCATATTTCAGTTTTGTTTTCTTCAGCGGTCACCTCAGCAGTTATATAGTAACTCCTAATAAAGCTCTGGTCAGTCACTTCGTTTCAGTGTCATTCTAGAAGGCTCAGTTAAAAACTTTCTCCAATTATATTTTAAGCATATGACTTTCTGTTTTAAATCTCTCTATACTTAAAATGCTTAGTATATCTGTTTTTTGCTTTGACTGATATAACCTTTTTACCAACTAGAAACAATACTATTATAAAACATATGATAAATAAAAAAGACTTTGCTTCAAAGTGATATTCTTTTAATTAGTTTAATATAGGTTCGAATGCATGATATAATTACTCATGACCTGTTGTCAGTTTAAACCACTGATTGTCAATAGCCTGGTTTGCCTTTGCAGATTTTTTCTTCTTTGCAGAATTTTTCTTCTTTTCTTTCCTTTGGGACGGAGTCTCACTGTGTCGCCCTGGCTGGAGTTCAGTGGCGCGATCTTGGCTCACTGCAGCGTCTGCCTCCCGGCTTCCAGCGATTCTCCTGCCTCAGCCTCCTGGGTAGCTGGGATTACAGGCACGTGCCACCACATCTGGCTAATTTTTTGTATTTTTAGTAGAGATGGGGTTTCAGCATGTTGGTCAGGCTGGTCTGGAACTGCTGACTTGAGGTGATATGCCCATCTCGACCTCGCAAAGTGTTAAGATTGCAGGCGTGAGCCACTGTGCCCGGCCGCCTTTGCAGACTTCTTGTTCCAATTTCCAAAAGCTGTTATTAAGAAGTGTCTATGTTATTGGGTTAATCTACAGCTTTAGAAATTATCGTTTATAATTATAGAAAAAAATCTCTATTAAATGGTTCCATATAAATTGGAAATTTGATATGTACAGTGACTTTCAAAGATGATTAATAAGAATAGATTAGAAAAATTGTGGGAGGTATTAATAAAGAAATGATGAGCTTTGAAATCATTTTTACTCATTGACATAAACAAATTCTCTATTTCATTGGACACTGGAAAACTTTAAAAATCAGATTACTATGAAAAAGTATTTTTACGGTGAACAATTTCTACCTCATTCTTGGACATATTTTTATGACTCATTTGGTTTTATTAATTTACTCTTGCTTCTAATTTAATTTGCAGTTTTAATTTTCTCTTGCTTCTACTACTATCAATCTTATATTTCATGCAAATTTGAATCTTCTTTGAATGAAGTTATAGTTAAATGAAAAAATAAACCTTATGTTTCGAGAAGCTCAACTCATTATATGCTTAAATTTCAGATGTATCTCAAAATAACTTTCTACTCATACTGATGTTTACACATAGTACAGCATACCAAAAGTTGTGTGTAACTGGAAAGTATTTCAAAAGATAAAAGATTTTATGATAAAGTGAGCTTTGTAAAGAGTCATCCTGCTATTATAATCATCTTGTATAGAACAACAGCTATGGCTTAACTTTACCCTGTTAACATAATTTTTTCTAAGAAGAAATAGTATCCCTGTAAACCTAAACTACTCTATGAAGAAGTATATTAATTTTAAAACATATATTTGTTGAATTATACTTCTGAAAGTCATGGTGGCTCCAATAACTTACATTTTTTTTTAGAAAAAAGAAAGGAAAAGAAAACCAGGACCAAGATCATACAATCAGAAAAGTAGTATTTTGATTCAAGTAGTTTTCATATGCTTCTATAGCTCCTCACCCGTTTCCAGCAGAGTATATTTCGATATGCTGTCAACAAAGTTGGACCATGAAACTTAATGAAAATATGATTTAAAATATCATCAAAGACAAAAAACTTAAGAATATATTTTCTAAAACATATACAGAAACTATCCTACACAACAGTATAAAATATTACTGAGAGAAATTAAATAAGACCTAAATAAATGGCAATATACCACATTCATAATTCAGCAACCTCAATTTTTTTAAGAAGACCATATTATGCTGTTCTTGCATTGCTATAAATACCGGAGACTGGGTAACTTATAAAGGAAATAGATTTAATTGGATCATGGTTCTGCAGGCTTCACAGGAAGTATGGTGCTGGCATCTGCTCAGCTTCTGGTGAAGTCTCAGAGAGCTTACAATCGTGGCGGAAGGCAAAGCAGGAGCAAATACTTCACAAGGTGAGAGCAGGAGCAAGTGTGCGTGCATGAGAGACAGAGAGAAAGAGAGAGACTAGGGGAAAGTGCCACACAGTTTTAAATGTCCAGATCTCATGTGAACTCAGACCAAGAGCTCACTTATCACCAACGGGATGGCCTAAGCCATTCATGAGCAATCCATCCCCATGATTCAAACACCTCCCACCAAGTCCCTCCTCCAACATTGGGGATTATGTTGTAACATGAGATTTGGTTAGGAACTAACATCCAAACTATATCAGAATAATTCTTCCCAAATTGATATGCAGATTTAATGCAATTAAAATCAATATGGCTAAGATGCTTTTTTAAATACAAATATTCAAAAGAGTAGACTGGAAGTGGAGCACAGTGGTTGAATAGAAGCCTCAACTGATTGTTCTCCCCACAGGAAAGAAATTGAACAACTATCCACACGAAAAATCACTGTCATAAGAAACAAAAATCAGGTGAGTAATCACAGTACCTGGTTTTAACTTGGTATCACTGAAAGAGGCACTGAAGAGGATAGAAAAGAGAGTCTTGAATTGCTGATGCCACCCCTCACCAATCCACTGGCAGCCACATAGTGAAGAAAGAGAATCTGTGCTCTCGAGGGAGGGATAGCACAGTGATTGTGGAACTTTGTATTGGAATTCAGTGACACTTTTTCACAATGTAAAGCAACATGTGGCAGAATTTAGCCCACAGCCCTGGAGGGAGCATTTAGATCAGCTCTAGCCAGAAGAGAATTGCCCATCCCAGTGGTCAAAACCTGAATTCCAGCAAGCATCACTACCAAGGACTGACATGTTCTAGGATTCTAAATAAACATGAAAGGAAGTCTAAGTCAGAAGGGCTGTAATTCCTTGGCAAGTCTGGGTGCTGAGCTGGGCTCAGAGCCAGTGGCCTTGGGGTACCTGCAGCCTAGTGAGACAACAGCCCAGGCCGCCAAGAGAGTGCATGCTCCACCGCTCCCCCAACCCTGGGAGAGACTCCTACCTTCCAGTTGAGGAGAGGAGAGGGAAGAGTAAAGTGAACTTTGTCTTGCAACTTGGATATCAGCTAAGTCACAATAGGACAGGGCACCACACAGTGTCCTAAACCTCCCATTCCAGGCCCTAGCTCCTGGGTAACATTTCTAGACACACCTTGGGCCAGAAGGGAGCTCACTGCCTTCAAGAGAAGGATCCAATTATGGCAGGATTTATTACTGGCTGACTGGAAAGCACGTGGACTTAAATAATACCAGTGATAGCCAGGCAGTTCTAGTCATGGGTTTTGGGTGAGACTAAGAGGTATACTGGCTACAGGTGTGACCCAGCAGATTCCTAGCTGTGGTGATTATTGGCAGAGACTCCTTTTGCTTGAGAAAAGGAGAGGGTAAAGTAAAGGGGACTTTGTGCTGCATTTGAGGTACCAAGCTCAACCACAGTGGGGTAAAGCACCAAAAGGGCTCATGGGGTCCCTGATTTTAGGTCTTGGCCTCTGGATGGTATATCTGGAGCTGTCCTGTTCCAGAGGGGAGCTAACTTCCCTGAAGAGTGGTCTCCAGGGCTGGCAGCATTCACCATAATGGGACTGAAGAGTCCCTGAGCCTTGAGTAAACATCAGCAATAGCTAGGTTGTGCTCACCATGGGTCTGTAGCAGTGATGACCATGAGGAGTGACTTTTCTATTTGTGAAAAGAGGAAGGAAGAGTAAGAAGGACTTTGTCTTATTCCTTGGGTGCCAGCTCAGTTGGAGTAGAATAGAGCACCACATAGATTTCTAAGGTCTCTGACTCCAAGACTTGGGTCCTGGATGGAATCTCTGGAACCACCTAGGGCCATGAGAATTCATAATCCTGAAGGAAAGGACATGAGCCTGGCTAGCTTGAGCCTGGCTACCTTCATCATCTGCTGATTGTAGAGCCTTAGGACTTGAGCAAATATAAGCAGTTGCCAGGCAGTCATTATTGTGGGCCTTGGGCAAGACCCAATGCTATGCTGACTTCAGGTTGAACCCAGTGTAGTCCCAAGGTTAGTGGCCACATGGGTGCTTGTGTCACCCCTCTCTTGACTCCAAGCAACTAAGCACAGAAAGACTGTTTGTGTGGTAAAAAGTAAGGAAAGATAACAAGAGTCTCTTCCTTGAATTCCAGGGAATTCTTTCAGATCTTGTCAAAGACAACCATGGAAATACTTCTACAAGTCTGCAAGAGCCACAGTGTCATTGGTCTTGGGGTGTCCCCTAATGCAGGTATGGCTGAGTGACCAAAGACTTAGATCAAAACATCCAAGTTTCACTGAATACCTGGAAGGCCATCCCAAGAAGGACTAGTACACAAAAGCTCACAATGTGAAAACTACAGTAAATACATAATTCTTCAATGCCTGAACACTGACGAATATGCACAAGCATCAAGACCATCCAGGAAAATATGACCACACAAAATGAACTAAATAAGACACAAGGGACCAATTCTAGAGAAAGAGATATGTGACCTTTCACATAAAGAATTCGAAACAGCTATTTTGAGAAAACTCAACAAAATTGAAGATAACAGAGAAAAAAGTTTCAGAATCCTATCAGTTAAAATTTAAAAAGAAATTTGAAATAATAAAAAAGAATCAAGCAGAAATTCTATAGCTGAAAAATGCAATTGACATACTAAAGATTGCATCAAAGTGTCTTAACAGCAGACTTGATTAAGCAGAAGAAAGAATTAGTGAGCTTGAAGACAGGCAATTTGAATGCACAGTCAGAGAAGACAAAAGAATAAAAAAGAATGAAGCATGCCTACCAGAAATAGAAAATAGCCTAAAAAGGGCAAATCTGAGTTGTTGGCATAAAGACAAGGTAGAGAGAGAGAGAGAGTGATCAGAGTAGGAAGTTTATTTAAAGAAGTAATCACACAAAACTTCCCAAACCTAGAGAAAACATCAATAGTAAAGTAAAAGAAGGTTATAAAATACTGAGCAGATATAACTCAAATAAGACTATCTAAAGACATTTAATAATCAAACTCCTGATCATCAAGGATAAAGAAATGATCCCAAAAGCAGCAAGAGAAAAGAAGCAACATACAAAAGAGCTCCAATATGTCTGGAAGCAGACTTCTCAGTGGAAACCTTACAGGTCACGAGAGAGTGTCATGACATGCTTAAAGGGATAAAAGTAAAAAAACCCTTTTATCCTAGAATAGTATATCCAACAAAAATACCCTTCAAACATGAAGGAGAAATACTTCCCTAGACAAACAAAAGCTGAGGGATTTCATCAATACCAGACATGTACTACAAGAAATGCTAAAGACAGCTTTTCATTCTAAAAGGAAAAGATGTTAATGAGGAAATCATCTGAAAGTACAAAACTCACAGATAATAGTAAGTACGCAGAAAAATACAGAATATTATAACCCTGTCACTGTGGTGTGTAAATTACTTATCTCTTGAGTAGAAAGACTAAAAGATGAACCCATAAAAAATAATAACTGCAGCAAATGTACAAGACCTAGACAGTAAAATAATCTATTAATAGAAATAAGAGAAAGTTAACAACTGGGAAGACAAAGTTCAGGTGTAATATTTTCATTAGGTTTTTTTTTTTTGCTTGTTAGTTTGTTTAGGCAATCAGTGTTAAGTTGTCAGTTTAAAATAAGATATGAATGGAGACCTCATGGTAACCGTAAATTAAAAAAAATACAAAGAAAAATGTACACAATAAAGAAAACACAAGAAATTAAAGCATACCATGAAAGAAAGTCAACATCACTAAAAAGAAGACAGGAAAGAGAGAAGGAAGATAAGACCACAAAACAAGCAGAAAACAAATAACAAAATGGCAGGAGTAAGTGCTTACTTATCAATAATAACAGTAAATGTAAATGTACTGAACTCTACAATTAAAAGACTTAGAGTGATTGAATGTATTAAAAAAAGAAGATTAAATGTTTTGTTGCCTACAAGAAACACACTTCAACTGTAAAGACACAAATAGACTGTAAATGAAGTGAAAAAAATACATTTCATGCTAATGGAAATGAAAAAATAGCAGAAATAGCTGTGCCTGTATCAGACAGAATAGATTTCAAGATAAAGACCATAAACAGAGACAAAAAAAGTTATTTTGTGATGATAAAGGGGTCATTCCAGCAAGAAGATATAAAAATTAGAAATACATATGCACCCAGCACTAGAGGACCCAGATATATGAAGCAAGTATTATTACAGAAAAGAGAGAAACAGACTTTAATAAAATAATAGCTGTAGACTTCAGCACCTCACTTTCAGTGTTTGACAGAAAATCATCAAAGAAATGTCAAACATTATCTGCACTATAGAACAAACAGACCTAATAAATATTTACAGAATATTTTATACAACAGCTGCAGAATACACGTTCTTCTCAGCACATGAATTATTCTCAAGGATAGACCATATGTAGGTCACAAAGCAAGGTTAAATAATTCAAGAAAGTTGAAAACATATCAAGTAACTTCTTGTACCACACTGGAATAAAATTAGAAATTAGTAACAAAGAATTTTGGAAATTATGCAAACACATGGATATTAATCATTATGTTCTTGAATGACCAGTGAGTCAATGAAAAAAGTAAGAATAAAATTTAAATTCTTCTTGATAGTATGAAAATAGAAACACAACATATCAAAATTTACAGGATACAGCAAAAGCACAACTAAGAGCAAAGTTTCCAGCTATAAAGTGCCTCCAATTTAAAAAGTATATAAACTTCAAATAAACAACCTAACAATGCATTTTAAAGAATTAGAAAAGCAAGAGCACACAGAACCCAAAATTAGTAGAGAGAAAAAATAATAAAGAGCAGAACAGAAATAAATGAAATTGAAATGAAGAAAACAACCCAAAAGATCAACAAAATGAAAAGTTGGCTTTTTGAAAAGATAAAATCGACAAATTGTTAGTCAAACTAATAAAAAAAAGAGAAGTCCCAAATAAATAAAATCAGCAATGAAAAAGAGACATTAAAACCACTGCTTCAGAAATTCAAGGGATTGTTAGAGGCTGTTATGGGCAGCTATATACCAATAAATTGGAAAACCTAAAGGAAATGGATAAATGCCTAGACACATATTACCTACCAAGATTAAACCATGAAGAAATCCAAAACCTTAACAGACCAATAACAAGTAACAAAATGGAAGCCATAATAACAAATCTCCCAGCAAATAAAAGCCTGGGGCCCTATGGCTTCACTGCTGAATTTTAAGAAACATTTAACGAAGATACAATACCAATTCTACTCAAACTAATCTGAGAAATAGAAGAGGAGGGAGTACTTTCAAATTCATTCTACAAGGTCAGTATTACTCTGATACCAAAACTTAGCAAAGACACATCAAAAAAGAAAACTATTTCACATTGCAGTATCCCTGATAAACTCTGATGCAAAAATCCTGAAGCTAATACTAGCAAGCTGAATTCACCAATACACTGAAAAAATCACTTATTATGGCCAAGTGAGATTTTTCCCAGAGAGGCAAGGATTCAACAAATGCAAATTAATCAATGTAATATATCAAAAGATTGAAGGACAAACAGCCCATGAGCATTTCAATTGACTGTGAAAAACCATTTTATAAAATCCAACATTGCTTCATGATTAAACCCCTCAAAAAATGGGTATACAAGGATCATGCCTCAACATATACAAAAAGAAGCCACATAGGACAGACAATGAATGGGGAAAAACTGAAAGCTTTTCCTCTAAGATCTGGAAACTGACAAGAATGCCGACTTTTACCACTTTTATTCAACATAGCACTGGCAGTCTTCCCTGGAGTAATCGACAACAGAAAGAAATAAAAACCTTCCAAATTGGAAAGGAATAAATCAAATTATCCTTGTTTGCCGATGATATCATCATATATTTGAAAAAACAAAAACACTTCACCAGAAAACCATTAGAACTGATAAATTCAGTAAAGTAACAAAATCAACATGTAAGAATCAGAAGCCTTTCTATATGCCAACAGCAAATAATCTGAAAAAGAAATCAAGAAAGTAATCCCATTTACAATAGATAAAATAAAATATGCATGAATGAACTTAATCAAAGAAGTGAAAGACTCTACTTTGAGGAAAAAATTTACAATTTCTGACAAACACTATATGACCTTGTAATCGTACTTCAAAGTGTAAAAAAATAAAAATTCATGTTTACACAAAAGCCTGTATGCCAATATTTACAGATGCTTCATTCATAAATTCCTAGAATTGGACACATCTATTTTGTTTTTCCTTTTATAATAAATTCTGGAAAATATAAATGTATTGGGATAAAACAATAGTTGGGTGTAATAGTTAAGTACAGGAGTGTCATGCAAGGAATATTTTCAGGGGAAGTAATGATCATGGGTGGGGATGGTAGATGCATGGCTCTAACTCTAGATTTCAATTTAGATTTGTCAAAAATCATGGAACTGTGCACCACAAAGAATGAACTTTCCTGCATGAAAATTAAAATCAAATCAATGAGCATTAGGGTATTTCACAGGAAGAAATGCATACTGTGACAAATGAATCTCATTGTTTTACAAATATATACTATGTTATAACACCATTAAAAAGTGAGAATAAAGGAGCTAACTCTGGAAAATAGCATTTTAATCAGACACTATGAGGGGAAAACTGAAAAATAATTGTATGTAAATATTCTTTTTGGGGGTATTTTTTCTCATAGGAGTACTGATTAGAAATTAAGAAACCATATTGTATTCGTATTGACTTTGAACACTCGAGTAAAAGGAATATTCATTAATTGTGGTGTGACTTTAGTATATGTCAGGAACTCTTTGATAGTTCTTACTCCAGATGTGACAGCTTAGTTTTCCTCCACTTGAGTGTAGGCCAGCTTAATGATGCTCCTCTAACCAATAGAATGGGAAGGGAAAAATAAAGTGGGACAATGTAGTAGACACCACCATGACCAAGTGGTCAAATTTAACTCATCCATAAAAAGCCATCATTCTCGCTCTGAGATGATGCATTGAAAAGATCACTTTAGTTCTGCGGTATTCTTCCATAAATTATGAAACTTCAATCTAATCATAAGAAAACATCAGTGATATCCAAATTAAGGGTCATTGTGCAAAATACCTAACCAATACTCTACAAAAGTACATTAGTGGAAAAATAGTGAATCAGAATAAAGTCTGTGATTTATAGTATTGTACCAATTTTAGTTTCATAGTTATGATAAATGCATCATGATTACATATGATGTTAACTTTAGGAGAATTAGGGGAAGGCTGTATAGAAGCTCTCTGTATTGTATTTACAACTCATCTCTAAATCTGAGGTTATTTCAAAACAAAAGTTTAAAAATATAGAAATTCCTATGGTAATCAAGTCTCCAAAGTTAGGAAATAAACAACCCAATGAATATTGACCAAATATTTAAATTTTTTTGGCAAGGAATTTATAGTGATAGTAAATGAGTATATGAAAAAATGTACAGCATCATAATGGAAATAAAAATTCAAACCAAAATGAGATTTAGTTACATATTTGTTGGAATGGCTAAAAATAATGACTGACTGTGTCAGTCATGGAGCAACTTAAACTCTAAAACTGATGGTATACTTTAAAGCTTAAGCTGCAGCAATATGATGACTTAGCCACTTCTATCTTAGACATTTAAGCAAGAGAAATGAAAATCTGTGTTGATATAGAGACCTGTTTACAAAGTGAAGTTTACAATAGCTTTATTTGTAAAAGTCAGTAATTAAAAATATACCAATGTCCATGCATAGATGACAGTAAACCTTTTGTGATACATTGAGATTATGGAATATTACTTGTCCAATAAAGGAGTGAAAAATTTATACACATGACAACTTGGATGGATCTCAAAATAATTACTTTGAATGAATAAAGCCAACAACAGAGTACATACTATATGGTGTTATTTCTCAAAATTTTTTATGAAGTTAAAATTAATGGGTAGTGACAGAAAGTAGATCATGAATATTTCTGTGAAGGAAAAATAAGCTAACTGCAAAATTTTAACACTATTCCTTTGCTACCATGGTTTTTTTTACATAGATTATCTTTTTTCATGGCTATCCTGCACGTCGTAGGTGCCCTCTAGAAACTTCCTCTTTGATGCAATTATACATTTTTTCACTGAACAAAACTCAAGTGTATCATATTGCTGATGGTACCCTGCGGGTATCATTCATACACCTCAACATCGGTTAGCAGAATCATCTCCAACTGCACAGAATGCTAAGTGAAGCAATTTATTCACTGCAAGTTTAGAAAGCAGTTAGTGGTGAGGAGAAAAATCAAAAGCTTCTCCTCAAATTATAATGATCTCAATTATGTATAATATTGAAAAAGAACTACTGAATAAAATATCCCATGCAGTATTTATTTCAGTTCTTACTTAACTTTTTCTTATTTTAACCATGTATGAATATTGCATCTTTTGCTATTTACTCTAATTTTGAGGAATGATTTTAGTGACATTTTATGTCTTATCTGCAACATTGTCTAGCAGAAAATAACAGGTTGTTATGATAACCACTACATACTTGAATGCTTTAGGTTATAATATAAAATAAATGAAAATATCCCTATAGACAGTAAGGAATATTACATAAGATGATTAAAATGAATCAAAATTAAATTAATATGAAAATGATGAAATCAGCAAGTATCTCAAAGTGGATAGGAAATATATTTGAATTAATGAATAACCTACTCTTTAATAATAATGTTTCATAAATGTTTCAAATGTAAATTGCTTAATAACACAAGTGGGAATAACATGAAATATGAACAATTGGAAACAGTATTAGTTCTCAGTAACATGTTTTAATAATATTCAAGGAAAAGCCAGAAGAAAGAGCAAATATTTTATGACTATAAATATTCTCACCTTCAGAATTTCACAGATGGCATAAAAGACAAAATTACATTCTATCTCTTCTTTTTAGGTAAAATTAACTTCATTTCTTGCCATAAACTTTCTACATTGCACACTGAAGAGTAGAAATTGTGAGTAATCTTATGTGCTGTATCAGTGAAGACATGTCTTCCAAAATAACATGCTTACTTTGGATTAAGAAATACATCTTAATGTGTGATATGAAGGTAAATATAAACACTATAATTGAGAGTTTATTTTATTTTTTATGACATTTTATTTAAATTGTGCTGATTTAAACATTTTCATTTTTATTTTGGGTGATTTGGAATTAAAAAAATAGACACAAATAGCTATACTTCTGAAATTATATATCATTTCAATATGTAAGTAATAGTGTACTAGAGCCAGCTCATACCAGCTCATTAGAGACAATTGTTGAAGTTTTAGGAATTTTGCAAGCCAATTATTAAACTGAGCTATTATTAAATATTAAAATTATATGTTTATATAAACTTAAAAATAATTTATTTTTTAAATTAAAGTAATAAATACACAGAAACCACCACTTCCTAGTTATTTTGCTATTTATTATCTATGATCTTAAGATTTTTATGCCTATTATACCTATATGGAAGAAATACTGTACAATGATGTAATATTGACCATCTCTTCCAAAATCTGAATTCAGCAATGCCATTTTGGTATCTTGAAATTGGCCATGGTGGGTGTATTTACACCACAACAAAAAGCAATCATTACAAATCAAGGTTTCTATTTCCCTTCTTGGAGAGCAAACAGCCAGAATGTAACTCTTTCTAAGGTTGTATGAATACATAAATGTCTAAAAAAATAGATAATCCAAATGTGTTCAGGTAAGCTAATGCCTTCATTTTGCACTAAACATACTTTTGTGTATATGTATACACACATATGTCTATAAGTACATACAAAATTATATATAATGTGTATTAGTATGAAATTATTATATATATTATATATTTATATATTAATTTTTTTCAAGTTTGAGATACAAAAATATTGGGTTGACTTGCGGTTAAGATGACAAAAGTTTGTATGTTGGGCCCTCATTTCCATTTGAATTATAATATTGGGAAATTGGGAAAGAAAAAACAAACAGTAGGATATAGAGAGAAGGGAAGAAAGGAGAAAAGGAGGGAGGAAGGAAGGGGTGGTAAGAAGGAAAAGAGGAAAGATGTTAATTCCCCACAAATACAAGGTCTCCATGGGTTAGAAAACAAAGGGCAACTTTGACTGGAGCCACAAGCCTCCTGGGCTGTAAGTATCTGGGACTGGGTGCAGGAATAAGACGTCCTCGATTTTAAAGAAGGCTGCTGCTTATAAACATAGTTTATGCAAGGCTACAGGCCTAGAGAGGCTGAAGTCCCTGGACCTACTCTTGTCATAAGGAAGTGAAACAAGCCAGGCACTGATTCTGCGGTGAGAACTGCTATAATTCCAATCTTACCCTAACCATGGTGCCTCAATTCTATTAAGCATGGCTTTTTATTTAGATTAGAAGACTGTTCTAAATTAGTATCACTCCATGTTTATCCCACATTTTCAGAAGTTTTGTTTCAAAAAGTGAAATGATTGCTGTCAAAGTTGTCTGCATTAGCAGAAAATAAAATTCTCAAGTAATTAAATGATACTCATGTCGGTGTCATCATAGATTTTAAATAAAAAATCATTTACTACTTAATTCAAATAATGTTTTATTACTTTTGTTTATGAAAAGCTTTTTGGGCCAGGCGTGGTGGCCATGCCTGTAATCCCAGAACTTTGGGAGTCCAAGGTGGGTGGATCACTTGAGGACAGGAGTTCCAGACCAGCCTGGTCAACATGGTGAAATCCCACCTCTACTAAAAATACATAATTAGCCTGGTATGGTGGCATACACCTGTAATCCCAGTCACTTCGGAGGCTGAGGCACAAGAATCGCTTGAACTGGGTAGGTGGAGGTTGCAGTGAGGCAGTGCACTGCAGCTTGGGCGACAGAGTGAAACTCTCAAAAAAAAAAAACAAAAACTTGTGGAAGGTAATTTACTGAAGAGAAAAAAATCTGACGTTGTTAATAATATTGAACATTTAGTTGAAATGCTAGTAAATGAGGTAAACATTATGATGTCAGTTTATACATGTTCTTTGTTAACTAAAAACAATATAGAAGACTGTCTTAATCCATTTTGTGTTGCTATAACAGAATTCGTTAGGCTGGGATAATTTATAAACAAAAGAGTTTTATTTTGCTCACAGTTTTGCAGGCTGAGACATTCAAGAGCATATTGCTGCCTCTGGCTAGCTTCTGGTGGGGGCCATGTGCTAGGTCAAACATGACAGAAAAGTGTAACAGCCACTGGTTATGCATAAAGAAATCACACGGTAAGAAAGGAAGCAAGAGAGAAAAACCAAGGAGCCAGAATCTTTTTAACAACCCACTTGCCCCTCTGGTATGGCAATCTACTCATGACCCAAACACCTGCTACTAGGCACTACCTTCCAAAACTGCACCACTGAAAATCAAATTTTAACATGAGTTTTGGTGGGGACAAACCACATCCAAAGCACAGCAAGGAGAAATGTACTTTCAATTGGCTGTGAAGCACACATAATTTATAATTATGTCCTAACAAGCTGCATTATTCTGCCATCCAGAACAGAACATATAGTTTTCAACATATAAAAAAATTGCAAAAAATGAAATTAAACTACATTTTATAAAAGTAATATTTAATATTAAGAGATTTAAATTTAGGATCATGTGCTTTCTCTTTTATGTTCCTCTAAATGTTTGAAACTTTATAAAGCAAATGTTCAAAATAATTTAAGGGTTCTGTGATGACTGGAAACCATTTTACAAAGTTCTCCAAGTTTATGTTATGATTTTCTTAAAATAAGTTGGAATTCTTTAAGGACTATATATCCTACAAGCTGTTTACTAACACATTTCAGTTTCTGAAGCTTTCAGGAAATTGCAATTAAAATATAAAAGTGCTCACATTATTTTTTAAATTGAACTTTGAAATATATTTACTTGTGGGGAGAAACTTTTTGTGGAGCTAATATTTTTACTTGGATGAATTTATCTTTTGAACAAAAATAGAAGAAAACTGAGAGTCCCTACAATATTTTAGCATCCAAATTAGGAAAAACATTCAAAAATATCATAAATGTAGATAACTTATTTGATGATTTAATTCTTGAAAATATTATTTGAAGATTGATACTCTAAGAGTAAAAAGAAGTTATGCATGCCAAACAATTGGCTGGAATGTGTACACAGTTCAGTAAAAGTTCATTTGGGAGATATCCTTGGATTACTAAAATATTTTATAGGCTTATCCAGTACTCAGCACTTATGGAAAGAATATTTCCTCTTTAAAAAATACATATAGTCCCCTACTTATGAACATTTGACTTACAACTTTTTGACTCTGATGGTGTGAAAGCGGTAAGTATTCAGTATGCTCCTCCATTTACAAACAATGAGATTATGTCCAAATCCATTGTAAACTGAAAATGTCATAAATCAAAATGACAATATTTTCAATTAACAATGGATTTATTGGGATGTAACCCCACTGTAAGTCAAGGAGTACCTGCACTATAACAGAGTCAATTTCAGTCATCAACATTTTAGGTTTTAAGATGCAAATAAAATTGAAGACAGTTCTACATAAAATGAAAAATAAAACTAACACTACCCCCAAAAGTAAATTATTAAGAGAATAAAACTGACATATAATTAAAAGATAGGAAAAATTTATTCTTATATTTTAATATTTATATTTTTACATTGATAATCAATATTCCAAAATTATCTTTTCTTGACAGAAAGGTAATGCTAAATTTGTTATATACCAAGTTTCTGTATAGGTATAAACTGCTGTACTTCATAATTTATTGTTCATTTTTAATACTTTTCACCACAATCTAATAGTCATATCTTCTTCGGATCCTCTTGGCTAAGATAGTTTCTCGGACTTTTTCATTACACATATCAAAGTTATGTGCTGTCATTATGATGTATCACTGTTGATTTGAGCTTTGATCATCTATCAGAGGTGGTGTTTGTCAGTTTTCTCCACTAAAAAGATGCTTTCTTTTCTCTCTTTCCATAGTGTACGCTTTGGAAGACCGTTGCTATAAAAAAGTTCACATCTAAGGAGTAGAGACTTTGTGTTCCACTTTCTGTGTCTGTAATACCTACGTAAATTATTTGTAAAATTCTTCTACAAGGGAAATTTGACAATTCTCCATTTATTAGTTCTTAGTTTATATATACAGACAAACAGATCTTATTTGAATTAAATATTTTATTATAAAAATCAATAAATATATAGGATATAGGAGAATTGGGTTCTCTCCCAAAGGAAAAAATGATTTGCTGATAAAGTGACAAAGAAGGATCCTAGATGTGGTGGCTCATACCTATCATCCCAGCAGTTTAGGAGGCCAAGGCAGGAGGATTTCTTGAGGCCAGAAGTTTGAGGCTGGGATGAGCTATGACTGCAGCAATACATGCCAGCTTGAGTGACAGAGCAAGACCCTGCCTAACGTATGAAACAAAAGAGACCCATTTATAAATATAAGCACTAAAATTTAAAAGAATAAACAAATGGCCTTTTATTGCTGACAGCTTAACTACCTCGATTCTAGCAGCTACATCATAATGTGTTCCTTTTGAATATAAAAATTATCTTCTCACTCAAATTTTTCCACCTCTGGGAGCTTTTTCAGTTGGCTCCTCTGAATCTTTGACATACTCCAGGATTAGTTATTGTTGTTGTGATTTTTTAGTAGTTCTTTTATTTTGTGGTATTATAAGATGTCTCAGGCTGACATCATATATACTTGGCCCCAGACCTAGAATCAGCCATTTATCCAAAGATTCCTAATTTCTCATACTTGAGTGTCATATTAAAAATCAAGATCAGGGCACTGGATAGACCTGTTACTATTGGGAAATCCTTGCTTCTAAGCCATTTCAATTGACAGAGCAAAGAAACATATGCATGCATACTAATTAATATATTAATCTATCTATATATCTATCTATTTATCTTTCTATCCATCCATCTACATCTGCTTAGGTTTTAAGCTAAGCATGTGTTTATTCAAATGTCTTCAATTCTAATCTGTTGTCACACAGATCATTGTAAGTTTCCCCCATGCTGGTTTTTACCCTTTTACTCTAATGGTGAGAAACTTGGCTCCCACTATCTGCCAACTATTTCCATAATTCTTCAATTTCAGTACTCTGATGGGTCTAGGAACATGATTTTCAGTTTGTTTGGCTTTTTTATTATAAAAAGAGGGAGACAACTTGCAAGATCTCAGATGTGACAGCTGAAATCAGAAGCATTGTGAACATAATTATACATATTTTCCAGGTCAATATGTGCACATGAAGACCTCCAAATGTAGAAAATCCAGTTTATTAAGATCCCCAGCATCTGCATTCTGAATTCCTTTGTTCTGTTTTGCTGAGGTCATATTTTCCAGAGGCTTATTCCCCTGCTCAATACCCATTATCAAACCACAGAAGGGGTGCTCAGTCAGAAATATTCCAGAAAGACACACAACTACTCTGACAGGCAGCTATAGCTTCCAAGAATGGTTTCACAAGAAATTTGTGGTAAGATGGTGGAGTAGAAGGCACCAGGAATCTGTTACCCAGAGAACAATTGCAGTGGCAGAATCTGTATAACATAAGTATTTTAGAACTCGGAAGGCTTTCAACGCTCAGAGGAAGTCTTGCATGTAAATTACAGTTAATTTTGGTCAATTTCAGGTGTTAGCACAGTAGAAACTATTCTTCCCCAACTTCCAGCCTCATGGCAGGCAGATGTGCATGTGTTCCTAAAGCAGTTGCAAGCAAGCTGCAGGAGCCAGAGTGGGCATAAAAAATCCTGTTATCCAAATATTAGAGAGCTGTGTTCTTATTGCTGATTGTCAGTTCTAAACACAGAAGTGCAGACGAAGAGACTTTGGCTATTATCTTTGTACCTCCCTCACTGTTGCAAGCCCCTCCTCCTTGGGCTGAATTGACTTCCAAGAAATTTAAAGAACGGGTGACCTTTCTTCCCTCTTCACATCCCCTTCATCTTTTTCTTTTTCCACTTTGGGGTGCAGGATATTAATGATTAGGACATTCAAAAGAAAGTAAATATATGGGGAAAATTAGAAAGTGACTAAAATGTATGGTCAGGTAAAGGTACAAGCATAGAAAAGACCTGAAAAAAAAACTTAAGTTTAGAATGTAGGCTGATTCTTGGCACAGAGATTACCTACAAAAATCTTTAAAGACCGAAAAGAATAAAAACAATTTAAAAAAGCAAACCATGGGAAAGAAGAAGAACGTGATTTTGTTTTAGCACATTATTATATATAAATGTCCAGTTTTCAACAACAACAAAAAATCAACAAGGCATACAAAGAAATGGGAAAGTATGGGCAATTCAAAGGGTAAAAATATCAACAGAAACTCTTCTTGAAAAAGACCTGATAGCAGTTCCACTGGACAGAAAAACAACTAAAAGATATTCAAAAAGGCTGGGCGCAGTGGCTCACGCCTGTAATCCTAACACTTTGAACACCTTGGGAGGCCAAGGTGGGCAGATCACCTGAGGCTAGGAGTTTGAGATCAGCTTGGCCAACATTATGAAACCCTGTCTCTACTAAAAATACAAAAATTAACCAGGCGTTGTGGCTCATGCCTGTAATCTCAGCTGCTTGGGAGGCTGAGGAAGGAGAATTACTTGAACGTGGAAGGCAGAGGTTGCAGTGAGCTGAGATCATGCCACTACACTCCAGCCTGGGCAACAGAATGACACTCCATCTGAAAATAAATAATAATAATAATAAAAAATAATGATACTCAAAGGACTAAAGGGATATGGAAAAAATCAAGGAAATAATGTGTGAACAAATCAATGAAATGAAGTGAAAATCACAATAACTGAAATGAAAAAAAAAACACCACTAAGATTGAAAGGAAGTTTTGAAGAAGCAGAAGAAAGAATCAGACAGCTTGAAAATAGGACAACAGAAGCCATCAAGTTTGAGGGACAGAAATATAAAAATAATTGAAGTAAACAGAGCATAAAAGGACTTGTGAGATGGCATCAAGTTCACGAAAATAGGCATTATGGAAATCTAAGAAGAAGAAAAGGCAGAGAAAGAGATAGGGAATATTTTTAAAAATAATTACTGATATTTTCACAAATGATAAAAGTCATAAATACAGACATCCAAGAAGCTCATCAAACTCAAAGTAAGATGAATTCAAAGAGAACCATGTGGAGATACATTGTAATCAAACTTTCAAAAGTCAAAGACAAAGAACAAACAGTGAGAGACAAGAAGCTCTTCACACACAAGGGATATTCAATAAGATTATCAGCAGATTTCTCATCAGAAATGTTGGAAGCCTGAATGCCGTGGGGCAATATAGTCAAAGTGCTAAAAGAAAAAAATAAAGACCAATGAACCAAGAATTCTATATTTAAAAAACCTGTCTTTTATAAGTGAGGAAAAAATTAAGACATTCCCAGATAAACAAAAGCCGAGATAGTTTGCTACTGGTAGACCTTCTCTGCAAGGAATTCTCAAGAGACTCCTGCAGAGTGAAATGAAAGAACACTAGACAATAACAAAAAGCTGCATGAAAAAAAATTCAGATAAAGATAAATGTGTGGGCAATTATAAAAGTCAGTGCTATAGTAACAATGCTTTTTTAAAAGAATTCTACTCTGTTTTTACATGACTAAGGAGATTAATATTTTTGAGAAAACTATTATTATTTCAAAAGCTAGTATTATTATAACTTTGGTTTGCAATTCCACACTTCATTTTCTTCTTTCTTGTAGTTTAAGAAAATAATGTGTTTAAAGTATTCATGATAAAAGCATTCAAAAAACTAGGAATATAAGCAAATCAACTTGGCTGGGCAGGGTGGCTCATGCCTGTAATCCCTGTACTTTGGGAGACCTAGGCAGTCATATTACCTGAGGTCAGGAGTTCGAGACCAGCCTCGCCAACATGGTGAAACACTGTCTCTACTAAAATACAAAAATTAGCCAGGTATGGTGGCACAGCTACTCGGGAGGCTGAGACAGGAGAATCACTTGAACCTGGAGGCAGAGGTTGCAGTGAGCCGAGATTATGCCACTGCACTCCAGCCTGGGCAACAGGGTGAGAATCCATCTCAAAAAAATAAAATAAAATTATTTCAGCATAATAAATACCGTATAGGTAAAACCTACATTATACTCAAAAGTAGAACACTAAAAACCTTTAAGATCAGGAACAAGGTAAGTATGCTCACTTTCACCACTTCTGTTCAACACAGTACATGAAGTGCTAGCTAGAACAATTAGCCAGAAAAAAGTGATAAAAGATAATCAAATTGAAAACAAAGAAGTAAAATTATTTTTGTTTGTTCACAGATGATATAATCTTATATATAGAAAACACTAAAGATTTTACACACATAAATGCACAGTGCCCTTTAAACTAACAAATGAATTCAGCAAAGTATCAGGATCCAAAATCAACACTCCCAAATCAGTTGCATTTCTATACATTAACAATGAACAGTTTTAAAAGAAAATTATGAAAATAATTGCATTTATAATAGCTTTGAAAAAATAAAATACTTAGCAATCAACTTAAGCAAGTAGGTAAAATACTTTTACAAAGAAAACTACAAAACATTACTGAGGAATTAAAGAAAAGAAAGCATAATGAAAACACATCCTATGTATGTGGATTGGAAATCAATATTATTAAAATGCCAGTACACTACAAAGCAATATATAGATTCAGTGCAATCCCTATCAAAATCCCAGTGAATTTTTTTGCAGAAATAGTAAAACCCATCTGATATGTGATTATATATACAGTAGGCCCTCCACATCAATCAAAAATACTCCAAAAAAAATCCACAAAGTTTCAAAAAGCAAAACTTGAATTTGTTGTGCACTAAACATTACATTGAATTCATGCAAGTGAAGTGATGTGTAGGCATTGTATTAAATATTATAAGTGATCTAGAGATGGTTTCAAGTATATGGAGGATGTGGATAGGTTATAATCAAATATGTCATTTTATGTAAGGGACTTGAGAATCTTGAGAATCTGTGGATTTTTGTTTCTGTGGGGGTGCTGGAATCAGTTCCCCTTGGAGACTCAGGAGTGGCTGCATGTAATGAGGTATTAATATCCCAAATGTATATAGAAAATCTAAACTCAATAATTAAAAAACAAAAAAATCTAATTCAAAAACGATCAAATAATCTTAATAGACATTTTCAAAAGAAGATATACCCCTAGCCAATAAGTAACAAAAAAGATGCTCAGTCTCACTAATGATTAGTGGAGTGCAAATCAAAACTGCAATGATATACAAGCTTATACCCCTTAAGTAGGCTACTGTCAAATTTTAAAAAAAAAACAAAAAACAAAAACCAGAAAATAACAGATGTTGGCAAGGATATAAAGTAACTGGAATCCTTGTACACTGTTTATGGGAATGTGAAATGGTACAGACAATGTGGAAACAGTATGACAGTTCCTCAAAAAGTTAAACATAGTGTTCTTATATGATCCAGCAATTCCACTTCTGTACATATATTCAAAATTGAATGTAACATCTAAAAGAAATGTTTATACAGCCATATTCATAGCAGCATTGTATACAATAGTCAAAATATGGAAGCAACCCAAGTGTCTATCATCAGATGAATGGAGCAGCAAAAGTGATATACACATACGATGGAATATTATTCACCTTTAAAAAGGAAATTCTGCAACATGCTGCAACATGCATGAAACTAATAACTGTACATTTTAAAATTACTTAAAGAATGGAATTTGATGGTTTGTAACTCAAAGGATTAATGCGTGAGGGGATGGATACTCCACTCTCTATGATGTTATTATTTCACATTGCATGCCTGTATCAAAACATGTCATGTACACCCCTACCTACAGTGTAAGCACAAACATTACAAAATAAAAGTAAAAATTGAAACAAATAAATTAAATTTAAAATAAAAAAGACATTATGCTAAAAGAAGTAAGCCAGTTACAAAAAGACAAATGATCCCATTTTTATGAGGTACTCACAGGAGTCAAAATCATAAAAACAGAAAGAAGAGTGGTTGTCAGGTGCTCGGGCAGAGAGGAATGGGAAGTTATTGTTTGTTGGGAATAGACTTTCAGTTTTACGAGATCAAAGAGCTCTGGGGATGGGTGGTTGGTAATGGTTGTTCAACATTGTGAATGTACTAAATAACATCGATTTCTGGATTTTTATATGGTTAAGATGGTAAATTTTATGTTATGTGTACTTTACTATAATTTTTAAAACAAAGAAAACAGATTTTTCAAGCATGCTCATAAAAATATGTTTAAAATATGCATAAGAAGGACTACTGAAAAAATATAACAAAAAAAGTAGCTATGGTAGGAGAAATGTGAGAATTAGTTTTTACTTTATAAATATTCTGTATTGTTGTTTTATCATTTTTTATTCCAAAATACTTCTTTAAATAGGAAAAAGAATAAGTACGAAAAATATTTGACTTCTAATTAAGAATAAAAAACTGTCTCATAGTCTTGTCAAACTGCTTTAAAATTCTTCCACCTAACTTTTTCTCTTTTTCCTTCACTCAGGATCAAACTCTCATTAATCCGACAGTTCTTCCAGCTTTGTCTGATTACTTCCCTATTTTCTCTTACTCAAGTATTCTCATTAACAAAATCTTTGCACATTTTATTTTGTCTTGATATCTACTTATCAGAGGATCTAGTCTAACAATCTAACTTTTGGGGTCTACATTCTCAGAACCACTAGGTATAAGAATCATATGTTAATCTATCACAGAAATATTCCAAAAGTGGTAAGATGCCCATTGGGAATATAAAAATTGTAGGTATATAAAGTATGCATTCATTAAAACATTAGCCGTCTTCTATGACTATCAATCACTTGATTCTCCTGGAGAATGCAGAGATCTCTACTGAACACTCCTCCAGGCCAGAAAAAGTGCCCTTCCTGCTTCTTCCACACATTAAGACCTAGTTATTTAAAAAATATTTTTATTTTACAATTGTATATGGAAAGACTAGACTAATTGTTTTCACAAACTTATTTGCCTATTCAGTGAGGAAAACTCATATTCCAAAAATCTCTAGATGTTGAGATTGAATGCGTAATTTCACTTTATTCTACAGTGCATTATTCAGACTTTTTTTTTTTTTTTGAGACAGGGTCTCACTCTGTTGCCCAGGCTGGAGTTCAGTGGTGCAATCTCAGCTCACTGCCACCTCTGCCTCCCGAGTTTAAGAGATTGTTCTGCCCTAGCCTCCAAGTAACTGGGATTATCGGGGCGTGCTGCCACGCCCTACTAAGTTTTAGTATCTTTAGTAGAGAGAGATAGGTTTCACCATGTTGCCCAGGTTGGTCTCAAACTCCTGACCTCAAGCGATGTGCCTGCCTTGGCATCCCAAAGTGCTAGGATTACAGGCATGAGCCACCGCACCCAGCTTCAGACTTTACTTGAACATTTTATGATATTTTTTTCCTAATAATTCCATAGATTTAATTATGTTTAATTTCATTTAAGGAAAAACGCAGATACTGTCCAAATTCTTACTTTATTTGGTGTCTTATAAATATAATAGGTATAACAAAAAATATTTTACAATGTGTTTTCATAAGCTTGATTGCATCTAATCTGTATTTTTATTATGGAAGATGAGCTTTAAATATTAACCACAACAAAATACAATATAATCATTTTAAAGACGCTGTGTTGATAAAGCTTTTATTATCATTTTTCCTACTTATCTACCCTATAACCATAGCACAGACCTACCCTGGTTTCTGTTTAGTGTCATAGTCCTCACTGTCAACACAAATTAACTCAAGGAGGTAAGCAGTTTGTTTCTCCCTTATGACTTTCTCAGGCAATAAATAAAAACCTAGGATAAATAAAATCTGAAATACTTATCGTGGCAGGTCTATTGTCATGATTTGTAGTTGATGTGGATTATGCCCTTATAGTAAACTTCTATGTCAGAAATGTTTTGTCAATAACAATATTACACAAAACACAATAACAGTGATATAATTGGAAAAATGTATTGGTCTATAGAAGTAGACTCTAGTTCATCAAGGAATATTATTACAATACAGTTTTTTAAAGAATGTTTGAACTTCATGTTTATCAAACTGAAGGGAGAACTATTTAAAGTTCAACATTTTCCTGTTAACACACACGCAATCCATGCTGTTTGTTTTTTTTTGTTTTGTTTTGTTTTTTGTTTTTCTTTTTGAGACCATGCTGTTTTATATACTGGCTGTCTCTTACATTTATTTATTCTCTTTTTTTCTTAGGAGACAACTAATGTTCATGCAGAGTTTTCGTTCATTCAACTTTCACAAAGAGGATTCTGTTTTTCTCCTCTAGTCATTCTCCCGGAATACTGTTTTTTATTCTCCTTATATCAGTAACAGAATAAGAAGGGGTAGGAAGAAAACATAGCAAAGGCAGAGATTATAAAAAAACGAAAGGAAAATGTTGGCTGTGACAGATATGTTAATACCTTTATTATTGTGATGGTTCTGTAGTTGTACACATATGTTAAAACATATCAGATTGTGCACCTTAAATATTGCTGTACATTTTATGAAAAGTGTACCTTTATAAAGCTGTTAAAATATTATTTGTAATAACACAGGAAGTCAAAAATCTAATTTGGTAATTTTAGTAGAAGTTACTCTACTAAAATTTAGTTACTCTATCTAGAAGTGCTTAGTCTTTATGAATATTTCACATTATTAAAACAAATAGATAGCTTTTTCAGATTTATTTATTCCTCTACTTTTAACTCTTGTGTAATATTATAAGAGACATCTTCTCTGACCCTATCTTCTATTATCCAGACTTAACACATTATTTGCAGATTCTTCAAATATCCTACTTGCTGTCCATGTCTCCAACATGTCTCTATGCTTTGAAATATGTTTATCCTATGCTTAAAAAGTGCTTAACCAACGTTAAATGATATAAATGATACTAATATGGCAGTGCAGAGAAGGGAAGGGGGTGGTCCCTTTAAATGATACAGAAGTAGGGAAAGGAAGTGCTGGGTAGGGGAGGGTGTGGTCCCTGGCTAGGGCTCCACCTCCATGGACCTAGGCGAGGACAGGCACTTTTGTTTTTCTGCCTAAATGTTGCATTTCCCAAGACCACCCTGGCCTGCCATGGCCCATCCTGTGCCTATAAAAACCCCAACACCCTAGCAGGCAGACACATAGGTGGCTGGACGTTGAGGGGAGCACATCAGAGGAACACAAGGGCGGCTGGATGTCAAGAGGAACGCACTGACAGGCACCTGCATGCTGGCAGGTCTGCAACACGCAGAAGCAGAATAATACGGAGTTGGCTGGGTCTGTCTGAGGAGAGCCCAGGCCGCTGAGTGGCCCGATTCCAGGGGAAAACCTTCCCACTACATCCCCTCTGACTTCCATCTGCTGAGAGTTACCTCCACTCAATAAGACCTTGCAATCATTCTCTAAGCCCAGGTGTGATCCGATTCTTCTGGTACACCAAGGCAAAAACCGAGATACAGATAGCCCTCTGTCCTTGTGACAAGGTAGAGGGTCTAATTGAGCTGGTTAACACAAGCCACCAATAGACGGCAAAACTGAAAGAGCACACAGTAGCACACACCCACTGGGGCTACAGGGGCTGTAACCATCTACCCCTAGACACTACCATGGGGTTGGAGCTCCACAGCCTGCCTGTCTGTATGCTCCTCTAGAGGTTTGAGCACCGGAGCACTGAAGAAGGGAGCCACCTGCCCTGTTGCACGCCCTGAGAGGGGACAAGGGAACTTCTCTCATTTCAATACTTGCTCTGATGAATCTTCCTCAACATACCACTTCTTGTCACTCTCAAATCAGGCACAGCATGCAGATCATCACAGTTGCCAAAGGACTGGATAGGTAATATACATTATGTCTATGAAATGTGCATAATACATCATGCATGCTTCTACCTACATTTATTATCCTTTTTTCTTGCAGAATTTGGTCAAGTATCCAGCCCATTTTGGTCCTCAAAAGATACTTCCATAGTGAATGAATAACAATTTGACATTAAGTAATATTCAAAAATTTCTATCATTACAAAATTATCCAGTTGGCAAATATTCCCAGTATAATCTCCATTTTTAAACTACATAAATGCTATTTTTATTAGATAATATTGAATAAATTATTGATATTCTAAATAAACATAAAATTAATGCTTATATATAAGGCAAAGTTTTAACTTTGAGTCAAACTCTTAATCACTGGTTCTATGGAAGATGGTCATATATTGACCTAAATAAGAGCCTATGCTTTTATTTTCATTATGATGATTCTGTCTGCTCTGAGAAGGATCCATTTAAGAAAAAGTAAAAGGAAAAAAGAAGACCTCTTAGGAAGCTGTGACAGATGGCTAGTTACAAGGTCATGGTGGCTTAGTCCAGGGTGGAAATAACATTAATTAAAATTGATGAAGTATTTATTTTAGAAATAAAGTCAAGCATACTGACAGATTGAATGTACAGAGAGGGAAAGTAACCAAGTCTGTCTCCTATGTTTTGATTCTAGTAAATGTGCAGTTGACTGGGATAATGAAGACTGGAATAAAAAAATATAAGTAAGTGGGGCAAGACATAAAGATATCCATTTTAATTTTGTAAGTTTGAGATAGCTAAAGTACATCCATGTAAACGTATCACAATTAAAGTTGGAAGTACCAGAGCAGGTCCTAGAAAACGTTGAGCTCCACAAATAGAAACATGGAATTTATTAGCATGCAGATATGGCTGAGACATTTGCTGCTCACCAAATATCCATGTGCTCCCCCAATTTACCAGTCCTCTTGTATTTACACAGAGCCAGGTGATTGGTTCTGCTGAAGGGCTGTGATTGAAAATGATGTGTGTCATTTTCAAACCAAATTATGTAAGAGTCGACGTGTGACTGACCAGTTCTCTCCTTTGCACTGGTGACAAAAATATCTGTATTTTTGTATGAAGCACCTAACATATGATAAAATAATCACCAGAGTGGTTTCCTGAGTAATATACATTTTATATATATATATATATATATATGTATGTATAAAAATTGAAATGAATACATCAAGTAAGCAGCTGAATATCAATAATCTGGAATTCAGAATAGAGATACACATTTGGAAAACATCAACATATAGGTGCCTTTAAGTGTTCAGACTGAATGTGATCAGAAAGTGAGTAAATGCCTGCAGAGAAAACACAGGCCATAAGGACAGAGCCCAGACAAACTCAAAGAATCCAGGATAAAGAAGGAGTACCAGCAAGAAGCCTGAGGAAAAAATGATATTTGAGGTAAAAGAGAAACCAATAATGTGGTATTTTGAAAGCCAGATATAGAAAATATTTTCAGGAGGGAGGACCAACAAACTTCCGTGTATTTTTCATATGTCAAGTAAAATTTAGGTTTGCATTGACAATTGAATTTAAGAGTATGGAGATAATTTGTTACTTTAAGAAGCAAGCTTAGAAGAGTATTGGGTATAAAAAAGTGATTTTAGGAGTTTATAAATAGTATGGGAGGAGATAAATGACAGGCAAAGATTAAGAACAACAATTTAAAATTTTTTAAATGTAAAATGAAACAGATAAATGAATTATTAGAAAAAATTGAAGTTAAAAGAGATTTTTTTTAAGATGAGAGAAATAAGTACATATTTTTATACTTATGGAAACAATTTGCTTGAGAGGAAAAATAGAAGATGCAGAAAATCTGAAGTAATTTTATTTTTGGAGATATTTTGAAATAATAACTTTGAATAAAGAACAAGTGATGTGATCCAGTACACCGGAGGAAATGTTCTTTGAGAGTCCCATGGAGAAATCATGTATAGTAATAGGAAGAAAAGCACATCAGAGTGCTAGAGACGCAGTTTAACAAAGAGGTATTGGGATCAGATTCTTCTGACAGCTTCCATTTTCTCAGAAAAATACAAAGTAAGGTCATCAGCTGAGAATAAATAAAGGGATGCAGATATCTGAGAGAGAGGAGAGAGGAGAAGGTATATACTAGCCTATTAGGGCAGTGGGAGCATGAATCTTATAAGAAAATGCAATAGAGTTGCTTGAAAACATTGTCTAAAAAAGACCAAAAGCTCAGAATGTAGACTAAACTGTGTCATTTACCAGAAACTACATTATCAAAAGAATTGACAGGAGTTATAACCATCCAGAGCTAGAGACCACTATGCCATCTTAATCAGGAAAGAATTAGCTACTTTAGTAACAAATTATCCCATTACTTTCAATTACTTAATAAAGAAAATAGTTTATGTCTAATTATTCCTATTCAAAAAATTTTGATAAAGAGTTTTGTTTCACATATTCCTTCATAGAACAAACTGACAGATGCTTTAACAATAGAACATGTATATCCTTAGGTCATTGCAATGGAGGAAGAGACAGACTGTGAAATGACATACTAGCTCTTAAATGCTTTGGTCCAAGAGTGACATATGCCACTTCTACTCACAATCCATAGGCTATAATGTGTCACATATGTTTAATCCATTGCAAGAGATTTATGTAGAAGAGCCCAAAGAAAGACAATAAATAGTAAATATCTATGGACTACCATTTTAGTTATTTAACTTATCAAAATTATGATTCTATTTGATACAGAAGTACAATTTAAGAACACTTCAGATAATTTTCATGAATATTCAGTGCACATGTGGTAATTATAGAAATAGTGTTAAATTCTCAACAAAATATGTATGCATCATCATTGATTTAATGAACAAACTTTTTGAGGCCTTTCAAAAGTATATAATTATGACTTTTCTTTGAGTGTCATAGTCTTGTCTTTTCTGAGCTAAAGTCCTTATAAAATTAAAAGTAACGAAATCAGCTCCACAGATAACTTTAATAAAGAGAGATGATGTGTCATGCTATCTGGTGGCATGGATTTGAAACAGAAAGCTGGAGAGCGAGTGGTCAGAAAGCAGCAATAATGTACAAACAGAACATCTGCCCCTCCTCTAAGCTAGCTGAAAGGAATCAGCTGGAGTACAAAGCATCTCTGCTCTTGAGACTGTAGGAAGAGCAAAACTTACCAAAAGTCAGCTTCCACTCAGATCAATTAATGAAAAGATTGCTTAGAGGGAAGATAGTGGATATAGGGGATAATGAATGACTGACTAGGAGTTATCAAAGGCACAACAGACAAACAGGATCAGAAAACAAAACACAAAATCCTATGTGGCTTAGAGTGAAAAGTAGTATGGATGATCTAGGAGTCCCTCACAATTTTTATGGTGATCTAATTAAATTAGAATAAAGAATCTCATGGAGATAGTTCTGGTAAGGCTCTGAGGATTAGCAGAGGAGGAGAGGTAGGGGTTTTTGCTAGAAACATCATGACCACTCTTTAATTTGGCCAACAATTGAGTAGAGTGATGATCTTAATTAGAATGCTCAGCATTCAGAGAATGTTCTAAAATGGCATAGGTATATGATAAGGGTGTATATATCATCTTCTGGGAGTGGGTGTGTAACACTTATTTAGGGAGATAGAACATTTAAACATGTAAGTTCAAACAGAGCTAGAGAAGCCAGCCATGAAAACCAAAACAAAAGATGCAACCAGTAAGGTAGATAAAACCAGGAGAGTGAGGTTGCAAAAAGATATCAGGTACAAAAAAATGTCTGAAGTGGCAAACTGTGCTAAAATTAGGCCTAGAGATCATGTCGAGTGTGTGTGTGTGTGTGTGTCCATATACGTATCCTTCCATATGTTTTTATAGCTGTGATAGAGTTTAAGCAACTAACGTTCATGTCAGGGAAAGACAATGAAGTGCTCATTAAATGTTATTTTTAATCCATTAATTAGTCATACTTTTAGATAGATGGATAGATAGACAGACAGATGATAGACAGAAAGAGAGAGCACATACCATGTGCTAAGCACTATTAAAGGCTCTGAGATAAGAAAACAATACAAAATACCCTGTGCTCATGGGAATTAACTTCTGATGGATTTTTGTTCAGCATGCTAAGCACTAATACAGAGATTCTATCTTCTTAAAATAATTATTCACTAAAACATATGGAAACAAAAGGTATTCAGAATCATCAAATGGTTTGATTTGTTTATGTTTTCATTCATGGTAACAAATATAAAAAATAATTTATTATGAATGTACAGATTAAATAGTGTTCTAATCAATGACTTAAAATTTGGGTACTGGTTTGGATTTGGTCTGTGTTCAGAATATCATTGTAAAACTATATTGTGTTTTGAAATGCATGGCAAATAGAAAATAGATTTCCTGATATATGTTTTCATATAAAAGTATTGTCATAAGAATACTATAAAACATGCTTTAAAAATCTTGATATAAAATTCCATTTCTAATTTATACATTTCTAATGGAATTGGAATTCAATGGAATTCTAATGGAAATGGAATTTCAAATTAGAAATGTATAAAATTTATATAGATGGAAAGTTTAGAGAGGGAAGCGTTTATTATCTTCCATATCAAAGTAGAAACAATTAAAGGAGTGATTTTGACATTAGATTTCATATTATTAGAATTGTCAGTGCTAAATCATATCTGCTTGTTTATGACAAACAGGAGCAGTATTTGTAGAAAGTGCTAGGATGAAATACTACCTCTTTATTTTACTCTTAGACTCTTGGAGATAATAAAAATAGTTTTTAATAAGCTTTTTTTAGTACCTTCCATTTATTCATTTGTTTAGAAAATCTGTTTTGTTTATATCTATAACATCTAAATTCAGACACATATTACATTTTAGAAGAGGGATGTAAGACATTTATTCTATATAAGATATTTTGTTTATATCTATAACATCTAAATCAGACACACATTAAATTTTAGAAGAGGACTGTTGGACATCTATTTTATATAAGATAATTGACTTTATTTTCTGAGGTCCTCATTTGATGAAAGAAAATACTGAGTTGTGTTCATTTAAAAATTATAATAAAGAATATATTTTCACAATTTTATTTTGAGAGAAAATATAAATTGAATTTCAGTCTCTTTGAAGAAGCACTGTGTCTTGAGGTTACCATTGAATTTTAGATGCTTAATCCATAACAGAATAACCATGTAAAATACCACTTGAGTATTTATACACAAGGGAACAGTAAAAAAGTACCATCAATGTGACAGATAATTGCAGCTCTAAAAACTATATGCATTTTACCAAGGGGGAACTGATTCTTTAGAGATTAAATAAGTAGCCCTCGAACAGATGTTAGATGCAAACCTCATTTTCTGAAGATCAGCTTTTTCCTCATTCTGCTGTATGATATTCTGTTGTTTCTTTAGACAGAGATGCTATTGATGGAAAGATATTGATGAGAAGATATAATATCAAGTTGATATCAACTTGATTTTATCCTGAAACATTTTTTTCTTATTATTATAGGATCCCTTATCTCCTGAGTCCACACTAAAATTAGAATGTGTATGTCCATACTAGGGACTCATATAGAAATGGTGAGTTCAGTAGCTCAACTACCACCTCCTTTATTTATCAAAGAAATTGCTCTGGCTAGAGAGATTGGCAAATTTTGTTCTGGGGCCATAATATAATATCCATAACATAAGGCTAACTGAAGACATTGATCCACCCCTTTTGAGCCATGTATTAGATTTATTTCTTCTGAGTATGATGCCATGTAAAGCAAAGAATGATGAAGAAAATTATTGAAGACTCAAGAAGTTGTGACAATTTATTCTACTCTGGGGAGAAAAAAATATTCCCAACTTCCTGCCCACTGCCATTATTCTGATTATCCAAGATCCCTTCTACTGTGCTGGCTTTAATTTAGGAAAGTAACCAAAGCAAAAAACAAAGAAAACAAAGAAACTAAAATGTTTGAAGGAATGGTGCAAATAGTACAATTTGTTCTATGTTTTCATCTTATATCCTGCTACACTTTAAGAAAGAGTCATTTTATAGTTATATTTTTAGTAAACTTGAAGATGTTAAGTAAAATTTCATAGTATATCTGCATCGGATTTTAAAAATTCCACATAGATTGTTTCTGGAGACAATTTTTTTTTTAATGAAAGCATTAGAAGAATTGTCCTTTATTAATCAGAAATGGAAAACTTACATCATTTTTTACAACTTGGGATTTTATAAATTCCACTCATCTGTTAATTAAGCAGCACTTCCATTTTTAGTAAGTTAAATGGTATCTCATTATTTTATCCTTCATTTATTTTTCACCCTACATGTAATTCTGAGTTCTTTATTCACTTCTCATACTGGTGAAATATTTTACAGTTGCTCTGCAGTTGATATTTAGGAAATTTTATTTTCAGGTACTTTGGATATCATCTTTTCTTTGTACTTTCAGAGGTTTCTCGTATTGTCTTTGTTGTTTTTATTTATTTTCTTTTTTTCCTTACACCATATACAAAAATTAACTCAATATGGATTAAAGACTTAATTGTAAAACCTGAAACTCTAAAAACCCTAGAAGACAATCTAAGCAATACCATTCAGGATGTAGGCATGGGCTACAATTTCATGATGAAGATCCCAACAGCAATTGCAACAAACCCCAAAATTGACAAATGGGAACTAATTAAACTAAACAGCTTCTGCACTGCAAAAGAAACTATCAACAGAGTAAATGAACTACCTAAAGAATGGCAGAAAATTTTTGCAAACTATGCATCTGACAAAGGTCTAACACCGAACTTAAACAAATCTACAAGAAAAAAAGCAAACAACCCTGTAAGAAGAAAGTGGGCAAAGGACATAAACGGACTCTTTTCAAAAGAAGATATCTATGTGGCCAAAAATCGTATGAGAAAAGCTCAAGATCCTTGATCATTAGAGAAATGAAAGTCACAAAAAACAAGGAGATACCATCTAACACCAGTCAGAATGGCTATTATTTAGAAGTCCAAAAATAACAGATGCTGGCAAGGTTGTAGAGACAAAGGAAGACTTATACACTGTTGCTGGTTATGTATATTGTTTCAGCCACTGTGAAAGACAGTGTGGCAATTCCCCAAAGATCTAAAGACAGAAATACTATTCAACCGAGCAATTTCACTCCTGGGTATATACCCAAAGGAATAGAAATCATTCTATTATAAAGACACATGCATGTGTATGTTCACTGCAGCACCATTCACAATAACCAAGATATAGAATCAACCTAAATGTCCATCCATGATAGACTAGGCAGAGAAAATGTGGTACATATACACCACGGAATACTATGCAGCCATAAAAAAATAAAGAGATCATATCCTCTGCAGGGACATGGATGAAGCTGGAGGCAATTATAATTAGCAAACCAGCACAAGAACAGGAAACCAACTACTACATGTTCTCACTTATAAGTGAGAGCAAAATCATGAGAACACATGCACACATAGAAGGGAAGAACACACATGGCTTTTTGGAGCGGGGAGGCTGGGAGGATGGACAGAATTAAGAAAAATAACTAATGGTTACTAGGCTTCATATCTGGGTGATTAAATAATCTGTACAATAAAACTTCATGACCAGTTTACCTATGTAACAAACCTGCACTTGTACTCCTGTATTCCTAAACTTTCATAGTTTAAAAAGATGAAACATACGAAAAAGATGGAGACAGGTTTTCGAAAAAAAATTTTTTTTTTGGTCTGGTGTGCTCAGAAATTGCAAGAGAAACATGATGTATTCAAAAGGGAACCCAGAGATTTATTATTTTTTATTTCCTGGTTTTGAGAGCTAAAAAATAGGCAAAAAACAAACAAACAAGCAAAATGAAAATGATACATATTTCAAAATAATTAAAAGAGTAGAATTGAAACGTTTTAACACAAAGAAATGATAAATGTTTGAAGTAACAGATACCTCTATTATCCTGATTTTATCATGCACTGTATGCTTGTATCACAATATCACATGTACCCCATACATATGTACAGCTACTATGTATCCGTGTAATTACAAAGATTTTAAATCATGCAACTCAGGCCCTTACGTGGTTTAAATGATAAGAAAGTAGGTGCAATAATTCACAAATTATACATAAAGTGTGGGTTTAAATAATAAATTATTTGCTATATAAGGACCTTTGGGAATTATTTTCAAAATGTTCAATCAGTTAAACCAATATTTATTGAAAGCTGATTTGGTAAGATTAATAAGCAGCTTATAGCCCTTAACGCTAAGCTCCAAGTTCTCTAAATGAAAGGGCTTCAGGAAAGAGTTATATTTTATTTGTTGTGTTGTAGCGTTTACATTTTATTAATATGAGATATTTGTTTCAGAAAAAAGTTTCTTAATTATTTCATAAAATAGAGGTAATTCTACCATCTATTTAAAAGTCTTCACTTCTTTTTCCCCCCTCTGGAAAGAAATACATATAAATTCCTATTTTAGTGCTACGGAAAACATACACGCCTGGAGAGAACATCAAACAGACTAGCCTAAAACTTAGGTGCTCTGTAACTTTTGTGATTCAGTGTAGCCACTCTATGCTGCAGTTTCATCATTCATATATCTTGCAGCACAGTATACTAGAATGATATTAGCTTTTGGAGTCAGCATATCCAGACTCCCGGCTCTGTGATCTAGGTAAGATTAGGCAAAATTCTAGACCTCTCTAAATCCTGTTTTCCTTATCTACTACCTGTAACAAATATAATACAAAATAAGCTCTATGTCCCAGGGCAGTTTTAAGGATCTAATATGACTATATATGCATTATAGTTAATACACTTTTCCAGTGCAGGTGAATATAACTGGCCAGTGATATAGGTGCAGGGCAACTCAAAACAAATAGTTACAGAAGAAATAAGTGCTTATAGAAAATGAAAAGGATGTATAAAAGATACCCTTTGACAAAGTAATTTTAATTCTATGATTCAATCTTTAAGAAATAACCTTACATATTTTGCAGGATAGGAGCAAAGAAGGCTGTAAGCATGCAATATTTCTTGCACCATTATTTCAAAGAAGAGGAAATAAAGTTTAAGATTAAGAAAATGCTTAGGAAATTTTTGGAGCGTTCAATAAAACAATATACACATAACGAACTTGCAGCAGATTAAATGGAATACAAGAATGCTCACTTATCAAACTCCATAGTACAAGCTACAAGTGTGATCTGACCAAGGCATAGAAAAAGGAAGCTTTTTTTTTCATTTTTGGTATGAATAGAGCATACATTAAACTAAATTTTTATCTTATTATACCTTGAATGACATTGCTACAGCCTTTAACTCAAGCCATTGTGTTCCATGCTGCTGCTATGCTTTCTCATTCTCTATATGTAGGTGATTAGATTGTGTAAGAAACAGCATATACCTGTAAGTCAGATTCATCTTGTGATCTTGAACTCAGGTTTGTAGATATTCTGGAGTTTCGAGTGCATATTCACTACAAGTTTGAAAAGTATGCCCTCTAGCAGGTTGTATTTTTCAAATATGGATGCAATGACATTGTCCATCCCAGTAGTTCTTTTGTAAAGAGTTCCTTCTGAACTCTGGAGTGCCTTTGTGGCTGTGTCAACTAACAGGATAAGGGGGAAATGGTGCTATGTGACTACTGCAAGACGACCCCTGCCCTGACCACCTTCTGACTACAAAGTCAAGAGAGAGAACAAGCATGAACTTCCAAATGGGTCCAACCTCCAGAACCACCATCAAAGCACAAGTTTGCTCTAGTTTTAAGTCATCGTTTTGAAGTGATTTGTTATATAGCAATAGATAACCAGAACAACCTCTGTAATTTTATCCAAACTCTTGATAAACCTGAAGAATAAGATGTAGAAGTAGTGATTCACAAAAGTAGCTGCATTTCAAAATCTGATTTTCAATTTTAAAGTGCTTATTCCTGGGCATTTATATTTACCCACTTTTCAGATGTGTGGCCAGACAACTGTATCTTTTTAACAGTTTGTATGTGTGTGGTAAAATACTAACATGAAATTTACCATTTTAATCATTATATAGTGTACATTTCAGTGTTTTATTTGTTTGTTGGTTTGTTTGTGTGCTTGAGACGGAGTCTTGCTCTGTCACCTATACTGGAGTGCAGTGGTGCAATACTGGCTCACTGCAGCCTCCACCTCCCAGGTTAGAGCGATTCTACTGCCTCAGCCTCCCAAGCATCTGGGATTACAGGCATGCACCACTACGCCCACCTAATTTTTTTTTTTTTTTTTGTATTTTTAGTAGAGATGGAGTTTCACCATGTTGGCCAGGCTGATCTCAAACTCCCAACTTCAAGTGTTCCGCCTGCCTCGACCTCCCAAAGTGTTGGGATTACAGGCGTGAGCCACCGCACCCAGGCAATTCAGTGGTATTAAGTACATTCACAGTGTTGTACAACTACCATTACTGTTTAGTTCCAGGACATTTTATTACCCCAAAGGGAAACCTTATTCCCATTAAGCCCTCATTTCCTATTCCTATTTTCTGCAGCCAGTGGAAACTAATGTGATTTCTCTTTCCATATATTTGTGTATTTTGGAAATTTCAATTTTTTAAGGAGTGTATAAAGTGATTTTTATACAGACCAGCACCTGTTAGCTGATGGATATTTTAGGAAGAGTATACTACTGTGTACAATTAGAAAATTCTCTTCAAGTTAAGATAAATCTAGCCATGTTCTGTTCCAAAGGCACTAATTTCCATTTCTATCCTGGGCCTAAGTGCTTGTTTTTCTTTCTACTATGTACGACCAAATAACAATTTTATTTTTTGTTTCTCTAATTGCTCAGAAAATGTGAAATTATTCATATTGCCATTTGCACAATCTATCTTCTTTCTCATTTTGACCATCAGAGCAGACCATAGAATGAATGAGGGATTAATTTTAGACCCACTTCCAATTTCCTCAGTTCATCAACCCCCGGTGATTCAGAGAAACACAAATTACTTGGCTGTACTTATTTTGTCAGGCCAGAGGCATAGGGTCTGTATACTTTACAAATCTCACTGCTTCTGTTAGTTTTAATTTACTTAGATATATATTTCAGTCTCCTATGCATTCTACTTTAGAAATTCAACAACATAAAATTTGAAGATTACCATATATATATATATATATATATATATATATATATATATATATATATTTTTTTTTTTTTTTTTTTAAAGAGTAACTCAGAAATGGAAAACTGCCCAGGCATGGTGGCTCACGCCTGTAGTCCCAGCACTTTGGGAGGCCAAGGCAAACAGATCACCTGAGGTCAGGAGTTTGAGCCGGGCCAACATGGTGAAACCCTGTCTCTACTAAAAATACAAAAATTAGCTGGGCGTGGTGGCAGGTGCCGTAATCCCAGCTACTTGTGAGGCTGAGGCAGGAGAATCGCTTGAATCTGGGAGGCAGAAATGCAGTGAGCAGAGATCACGCCATTGCCCTCTGAACTCCAGCCTGGCCAAGAGTGAAACTTCATCTCAAAAAAAAAAAAAAAAAGAAAAGAAAAAGAAAAAGGAAAACCAAACATCATATGTTCTCACTCATAAGATTGAGGAGCAAAGGCATAAGAATGATTCAATGAAATTTGGGGACTTGGGGGAAACGGTGGGAGGGGGTGAGGAATAAAAGACTACAAATTGGGTATAGTGTATACTGTCCTGGTGATGGTTGCAACAAAATTTCACAAATCACCACTAAAGAACGTACTCATGCAACCAAACGCCACCCATTCCCCAAAATCCTATAAAAATAAAGTAAAACAAAATTAAAAAAAACAAAAAGGTTATTGTAATCATACTAGAATGTGTGACATATATTCTTTTATTGACCTTTTCTTATTTATAATATGTCCAAAATACATTATTTTCAAACTCCAACACATGAGAACTTATACTCATACTTTTTATGTGTTAAATATATTAATTCTCAATAACAAGATAAAATGTGTTTGAAAGTGCAAAATTTATTTTTTATTTTTAATAGAAATATCTATTATATACAATGCATATTTTAACACTGTCTTTATGATGTTTCTTTGTTATGTGTATAATTTTAAGCTCTAAAAATTTGCCTTATATTAGGTAAAGATTTTTCAAAACCAAATTCAACTTTTCACGTTTTAAATTTTTAAATTTAGATTTCTTTTCTTTTAAAATTCGAGTTTTAAAAAGCAGCTTACTTAACTTCACCCTAACCTTAATCTCTTAAATAGGTAAATGCATTAGAATGAATAATGGCCACAAAAGGGGACCTAATCTGGAACCTGTATATATATATGTATATATATACACACACACACATACATGGTGATTATATAAGGTATTATATACACACAGTATTATATATATAAGGTATTTTTTATATATATGGTGATTATATAAGGTTTTATATACATATATATATGATCTCTGCTCATTACATTTCTGCCTCCCAGGTTCACGTGTGTTTAAGGATTTTGAATTTAAGAAATATGATTTTTAATTTTCTTTGAAACAAATTATTGCTTTTATTTGAATTTGGAATGAAGATCCATTAAGATCAAGTTAAGGTTGTGCAATTTGAAGTAACAACTCTGTAATATTAATATTATCTGATTACTTATTATATAAAATAAAGACATATGAAATACATATTGACATATTACTAATTAATAATAGCAATTGTCCTCATGAGTTTTACTCTTAAAACGCAATTGCATACATATTCTCAATGACATGTCCTGTCATCACATGAGAAGAGAGAGAGATCAGGTATTATTATTTTCATATGATTGAGAAGCTCAGAATCCAAATAACATAATTTGAAGGGTAGGAATATTTATTGATGGTACACATGGGAAAATAGAGCATATACATATACTTAGGATTTAGCCAGAACTAGTTTTGGGTCTCAGCTTCTCCACCATCAAAATAGTCTTGACCCAGTTGCTTAATCTCCCTTAGCCTCAATTTCTCATATGTCAAATAGTAATACAAATAATACCTATATTATAGGGCAATTGTGAGGTTAAATGTATAGGTTCAAGTACAAAGTATGTCATCAATAAATAATAGGAATGTGGCACATCCTTAAGCTTGATAGTCTACACATATTATCTTAGTGGACCCTCAAAACAACTATTCGATATGTAATTTCTAATTTAGAGCTGTAGAAATTTATTTGCAACCACCAATGGTAACTACAACATGTCCTTCAGCATAACTTAAAGTTGAAGTGTTTTACAATAAGAGTAAGCAGTAGGTATTGAAGTCCTGTTCAATTTAAAGTTCATAAGAGATACTATATCAATACAAAGTACAAGATGTCAACCCTATATGAAATACCAGTATTCACCTTTCAATCCTGAGATATCTTCTTTGTTGGAGAAAACTTTTGAGAACTGTATTTTCTGACAAGAGTGAAGACAAGGGGAATAAATATCAGGGGTTTTAATACAATTCAGAATTGTATTAAACTCTGGGATTGAAGTCACCTTCAATTTAATCCTTTTTTTTTTTTTTTTTTTGGTCTTGGTACGTTGCCCAGGCTAGTTTCAAACTCCTCAACTCTCCTGGGCCCAAGTGATCCTCCTGCCCAGCCTCCTTGGTAGCCAGGACTACAAGCCTGCACCACTGTGCTCGGGCTCTCTCTCTCTCTCTCTTTTTTTCTTCTTAAAACAGGCCCTCTTTTAATGACAGATTCATTTTCTTCCCTTTAAAATGAGGGTGGAGAATAATGATCTCTAACATCTCTATCTGCTCTTCTTTCGCTGATCCTCCAGTACGCAATTCAGTGATTTACTTCATTCCTTAAATTTTATCATTTTAATAGCAATGTGTTGTGCATTTATTTTCTTTTTAATTAAGCTGACAAAGTATGTTTCCAAAATATTTTCCAATGTGTTTAAACATATTTTTAAGAATTAAAATTTTTTAGTACATTTGTTGATTTACAAAAAATATTGAATAGACAGTATAGAGTTTCATATGTCCACACCACCCCTACTCCTACACATAGTACACACTGTGATCTAATTTTAAATAACCTGAGTCAGTGTGGGACATTTGTTACAATTAATGAACCAATGTTGGTACATTAGTATTAACTAAAGTTCATAGTTTACATTAAGATTCACTTTTTGTGTTGTATGGTTCACTTTGTTTTGAAAGATGCATGATGACATACATGCAACATCACATTGTCATACAGGATGTTTTAGACATACTAAAGATACTCCAGTGCTTCTCCAGTTCATCTTTCCCCCCTCTCCTCAAGACCCTGACAACCACTATGCTTTTACAATCTGTGGAGTTTCCCTTTTCTGAAATGCCATGTGGTTGGTGATCACACAGTATGTAGCCTTTTCAGACTGGTTTCTTTTACTTAGAAATATGCATTTAAAGTCCCTCTATGTTTTTCATGGCTTGATAGTTTATTTATTGTTATTATTAAATAATATTCCATTGTATGCCTGCACTACAGCTTACTCACCTATTAAAGGACATATTTGTTGCTTGTAATTTTTGGTGATTATGAATATAGCTGCTATAAACATTCATGTGAAGGTTTTTATGTGTACATAAGCCTTCAACTAAATTGAGTAAATAAAATTGTTGGCTTTTGTGGCTAGGCTAAGTATAGCTCTCTAAGAAACTACCAAAATGTCTTCCAAAATAGCTGTACCATTTTGCATTCCAACCAGCAATTAATGAGTTCCTAACTACACATCTTCATCAGCTTTTGTTATTATCATTTTTTAGCCATTATAATAAGTGTGTTGTGGTATCTTGTTGTATTAATTTGAAATTCCAAAGAGATGTATGATATTGAGCATAGTTTCATACGCTTATTAACCATATTCATATCTCTTTTGATGAAGTGCCTGCTCAGATCTTTAGCAAATTTTGGAATATTTTATATCATTTTTGAGCTATGAGCTCAAAATACTATATTTTGCTGTGCAGAAGGTTTTTTAAATTTTAATAAAACTTAGTTTATCCAATCCTAAAATTCATATGGATTCTAAAAAGAGCCCACACAGTCAAAACAATATTAAGCAAAATGAACGAATCTGGAGGCACCACATTATTGGACTTTAAATTATACTATGAAGTTAGAGTTACCAAAATAGCATGATACTGGTATAAAAATAGGCATACAGACCAGTAAAACAGAACAGAGAAGACAGATTAAAGCCAAGTACTTGTGGCTAACTGATCTTTGACAAAGCATACAGAAACATAAATTAGGGAAAGGACACTCTATTCGATACATGATGCTGAGCAAACTGGCAAGACACATGTTGAAGAATAAAACTATATCCTCATTTCTCAGTGTATAATAAAACCAACTCAAGATGGATCAAAGACTTAAATCTAAGACCTGAAACCACAAAAATTCTAGAAAATAACATCGTAAAAACATCTCTGGACATTGGCTTAGGCAAATAATTCATGACTAAGACCCGAAAAGCAAATGCAACAAAAATCGATAAATGGGACCTAAATAAACTAAAAAGCTTCTGTACAGCAAAAGAAATAATCAGCAGAGTAAACAGACAACCCACAGAGTGGGAGAAAATACTCACAAACTATGCATCTGACCAATGACTAGTATCCAGAATCAACAAAGAACGCAAACAAATCAGCAAGAAAAAAACATATAATTCCATCAAGAAGTAGGCAAAGGACATGAATAGACTATTATCAAAAGAAGATATACAAACAGCCAACAAACATATTTAAAAATGCTCACCATCACGAATCATCAGGGAAATGCAAACTAAAACTGCAATGAGATACCACCTTACCCCGGCCAAAAAACAATAGATGTTGGCATGGATGTGGTGAAAAGGGAACACTTTTGTACTGCTGATCAGGAATGTAAATTAGTTCAACCACTGTGGAAAACAGTATGGCAATTCCTTAAAGAAATAAAAGTAGAACTACCATTTGATCTAGGGATCTCACCACTGGGTATTTACCCAAAGGAAAATAAGTCATTATATTAAAAAGACACATACACAAACTTATTTATAGAAGCACAATTCACAATTGCAAAGATATGGAACCAGACTAACTGCCCATTGACCAACAAGTGGGTAAAGGAAATGTGGTAAAAATACACCATGGAATATTACTCAGCCATAAAAAGGAACAACTAATCTTTTGCAGCAATTTGAATGGAGCTGGAGGACATTATTCTAAGTAAAGTAACTCAGAAATAGAAACCAAATATTTATGTTCTCATTTGTAAGTGAGAGCTAAGCTATGAAGACACAAAAGCATACGTGTGATAAAATGGACTTTGAAGTAGGGGAAGGTTGCGAGGGAAGTGAGGGATAAAAGAGCACATATCTGGTACAATCTACAATTCTCAGGTGACAGACACACTAAAATCTCAGAAATCACCACTAAAGATTGGCATTTGGATTGATTTCATATCTTAGCTATTGTGAATAGTGTTGCAATAAGCACAGAAGTGCAGACATGGCTTTGACATACTGATTTTATTTGCTGTGGATATATGCCCAAGAGTAAGTTTGTAGATCTTATGGTACTTTTGTCTTTAATGTTTTGAGAAATCTTCCTAATATTTTTCACAATGGCTGTACTAACATATTGTCTCACCAACAGTGTGTAAGGGTTCTCTTTTCTCTACATACTCCCCAACCGTGTTATGTTATAATTGTTGATAGTAGTTATTCTGACTGGAGTGATTTGATATCTCATTGTAGTTTTGATCTTCATTTTCATGATGATTACTAATGGCAAGCATTTTTTTCCACATATCTTTTGGCCATATTTGTGTCTCATTTTGAGAAAGGTCTATTCAGTTTTTTTGCCTACTTTTTAAATAGGTTATTTTGTTGTTGTTGAGCTGTTTGATTTCCTTATATATTATGCATATTAACCCTTTATCAGATGTATAGTTTGCAATCACAGTCTTCCATTTTGTAGGTTGTCTTTTTGCCTTGTTGATTATATCCTTTGCTATGCAGTAGTATTTTAGTTTTATATAATCCCAATTTTTTGTTTGTTTTGTTTATCTGTTTGCGTTTGTTGCAGATGCTTTCACGGTTTTCTCTAAAAATCCCGTTCTGCACCAATGTCATGGCTTTTCTCCTATGTTTTCTTCTGGTAGCTTCATAGTTTTGGGTCTTACATTTATGTATTTAATCCATTTTGAGTTAATTTTTGCAAATGGTAAGAGATAGAGGTCATTCTTCAGCATGTGGATATCCAGTTTTCCCAGTACTATTCATTGAAAAGACTGTTTGTTTCCCATTGCGTATACTTGACACCTTTGCTTAAAATCATTTGGCTTTAGATGCACAGGTTTATTTCTGGGATTTCTATTTTGTTTCATTGAGTATGTATTTGTTTTTATGTCTGTACCACACTGTTTAATAACTGCAGCTTTGTAGTATGTTTTGAAGTCAGGTAGTATGATGCCTTAGCTTTATTCTTTTTGCTAAAGATTGCTTTGGCTATTCAGTCTTTTGTGGTTCCATACCCATTTTACAAATTTTTTTCTATCTCTGCAAAGAACGACACTAGTATTTTGATAGGGATTGCATTGAGCTTATAGATTGCTTTTGGTAGTACTTTCATTTTATCAACATTAATTCTTCCAATCCATAAGCATTGGATATCTTTCCATTTTTATGTCTTCCTATGTTTTTCGTTAATATTTTGTAGTTTTCCTTCTGGAAATTTTGTAATTGGTTCAATATATTCCAAGGCATTTTACATATTTTTGAAGCTATTGCAAAAAGGATTACTTCTTTGTTTCTTTTTCAAATAATTTCCTATTGATACATAGAAATGCTACTTATATTTGTAAGTTGTTTTTATACTGTGCAACAATACTGAATTTATTTATTAATTCTACTAGTTAATTGGTGGATTATTTGGGATTTTCTCTATATAAGATTATGTTAGCTACAAACAGGGACAATTTGACTTTCTCATTTCCAGTTTGGATACCTTTTATTTCTTTCACTTGCCGAATTGCTCAGGCTAGAACTTCCAGTACTATGTTAAATAATGTGATGAAAGTAGTATCCTTGTCTTGTTCTAGATCTTATAAAAAAAGCTTACAGCTTTCCCCAATTCAACATAATGTTAGCTATACATTTGTTATATATAGCCTTTATTATGTTGTGGTATATTCCTTCTATAGGTAACTTGTTGAGTTTTTATTGTAAATGGTTGTTAAGGGCTGGGCATGGTGGCTCATGCCTGTAATCTCAGCACTTTGGGAGAGCAAGGGAGGTGGACCACCTGAGCTCAGGAGTTTGAGACCAGCCTGGGCAGCATGGCAAATCCCTGTCTCTATCAAAAATTCAGAAAATTAGCCTGGTGTGGTGGCATGTCCCTGTGTTCCTAGCTGCTCAGGAGGCTGAGGTCAGGGGATCGCTTGAACCTGGAAGGGGGATGTTGCAGTGAGCAGAGATTTCATGACTCCACTCCAGCCTGAGTGACAGAGTGAGACCCTGTTTCAAGGAAAGAAAAAAAAGAAGGATAAATGGATGTTGAATTTTATCAAGTGCTTGTTCTGTGTCTATTGAGATGATTGTATGGCTTTTGTCCATTCTGTTAATGAAATGTATGATGTTTATTGATTTGCATATGTCAAAACATCATTGAATCACTTGAAATGAATCCCACTGGATAATTAAAGGTAATCTTCTTGATTTCTTGTTGAATTTAGTTTGCTAGTATTTTGTTGAGAATTTTTACATGCATGTTTACTGGGATATTGGTGTATAACTATAGTTTCTTGGGGTTTTTTTGTTTTGTCCTTGTCTGCTTTTGATTTTAAAGTAATTCTAGCCTTGTAGAATTAGTTTATAAGGATAATCCCTCTTTTATTTTTTGAAATAATTTTAGAAGAATTGGCATTAGTTTGGCTTGGTAGAATTCACATTAAAACCATCCAGCCCTGAACTTTTCTTTGATGGAAGACTTCTTATTTCTGACTCAATCTTATTACTCCTTGTCTGTTTGGATTTTCTGTTTCTTCATAGTTTCATCTTGGTAAGTTGTGTGTGTCCAGAATTTCATCCATTTCTTTTAGGTTTTTCAATTTTCTGGCACATAAAATGTTCACAATAATCTCGAATAATCTTCTGTATTTCTGTGATGTCAGTGCTAATCACTTTTTTGTTTCTAGTTTTAATAACTTTAATTTTAATTTTAATGACCTTTTTGTCTCTAATTTTATTTGAGTCTTCTCTTTAGTCTAGCTAGATTTGTCCATTTTATTTATCTTTTCAAAAAATCAGCTATATGTTGCCTTATTCTTTTGTATTTTTAGGTGCTATTTTGTATATTTCTGCTCTGATTTTGTCATTATTATTATTATTATTATCTATTTTTTTTTGGACGGAGTCTAGCTCTGTCACCAGACTGGAGTGCAGTGGCGTGATCTCAGTTCACTGCAACCTCCGTCTCCCGGGTTCACCTAATTCTCCTGCCTCAGCCTCCTGGGTAGCTGGGACTACATGTGTGCCACCACATTCAGCTGATTTTTTATTTTAGTAGAGATGGGGTTTCACCATGTTGGCCAGGATTGTCTCGATCTCCTGACCTCGCGATACGTCTGCCTCGACCTCCCAAAGTGCTGGGATTACAGGCATGAGCCACCGTGACTGGCCTGTTTCTTTTGTTTTATCCGTTTGGAATTATTCTTGTTTTTCTAGTTCCTTGAGTTACAACATTAGATTTCCATCTTTTGATTTATAGATTAACTGCTATGAACTTTCCTCTTAGTACTGCTTTTGTGATATTTCATAGATTTTGATATGATGCTTTTTATTTTAATATGTTTCAAGTAATTTTTTAATTTTAAAATATTTTTTCATTGATTTTTTGGCTGTTTGAGAGCATGTTGTTTAATGTCCATGTATTTGTATAATTTCCAAGTTTTCCTGGTATTGAATTCCAGTTTTAATGCAATGTAGTCAGAAAAAACACTTGATATGATTTTAAATTTTTAAAAAAATTTTGGAGTTGTTTTGTGGCCTATTATATGATCTACCTTGGAGAATGTTTTATGTGCCACTGAGAAGAATATGTACTGTGCAGTTGTTGCGTAGAATGTTCTGTACATGTCTGATAGGTCCCTTTGGTCTAGGTTGTAGACTAACTTCACCGTTTCTTAGTTGATTTTTTTTTTGTCTAGACGATATCTTTTGCTGAAAGTGGGATGTTAAAGTTCCCTGTTCTTATTGTATTGGAGTTTATCTCACCTTTATGGCTTGTTAATATTTGCTTTATATATTTAGGTGTTCTGATATTGGCTGCATATGTATTTACAATTGTTACGTCCTCTTGTTTAATTGACCTTGTTATGATTATATAATAGCCTTATGTGCCTCTTTTTAGAGCTGTAGATTTAAAGTCTATTTTATCTGACATAAGTCTAGCTACTCCTGCTATCCTTTGGTTTCCATTTGCAAGGAGTGTCTCTTTTTTCCATCACTTCACTATCATTCAGTGTCCTTACAAGAGAATTAGGTTTCTTTCTAAGCAGCATGCAGTTGAGTCTTGTTTTTCAATGAAACCAATCACTCTCTGAGAACTTAATTCACATTTAAGATAATTATCAATAAGCAAGGATAATATTGCCATTTTGTTTCATTAGGTTTTGTTTTGTTTTGTTTTTTGTAGATTTTTTTCTTCTTTCCTTCCTCTCTCTTGCTGTTTTCTTTTGTGGTTAGGTGCTTCTCTCTAATAGTACGTTTTGATTCCGTGCTTTTAATTTTTAGTGTATCCACTATAGATTTTTGTTTTGTGGTTAACATGAAGTGTTCCAAAAATATCTTGCAGTTAAAACAAGTTATTATAGGATGAGAGCAACCTAACTTTAATTGTAAAAATAGGAAATTTAAAAAAGGAAACCAAATAAATAAATGAATCTACAATTTAACTTTATTTCCCCCCACATTTGGAACTTTTCACATCCCACATTACATAATATTATAGTTCCTACATTTTTTTCAAATTAAAATAGTCGTTATTTTTTAGTAATTTGTTTCTTAAGTCTTAATATTACATCCACACTCACTCTTACTGTGCTGGCACAATTTAGACATGCCAATGAACCTAACATGCACATCTTTGGGATGTGGGAAGAAACTAGAACACCTGGATAAAACACAAGGTGATGTAGGGAGATAGCAGTCCTGGCTAGGAATCAATTTTTTCTCATCTATGTTATAACAAAATGACATTAAAGAAATTAATGCTATCTCTAGACTTTCTATACTGCAAATGTGGTGTGTAAACTGCTTATATCTTTAATATGATAAAAATTACTTTCACTGTAACTTGTTTTACTTGAAGTTGCAGCTACCAAGACCTTACAACTATTTTAAGATAGGACTTATGTATCAGAGTATTCTTAGTTTCCCTGTAAATTTGCTCTTACCAGTGAGCTGTATACCTTCAGATGTTTTCTTGTCGCACATTAGCATCTCTTTCTTTCAGTTTGAAGATCTCACTTTAGCATTTTTTGTAAGACAGGTCTGATGGTGATGAGTTATCTCAGCTTTTATTTTTACTTTTTGGTCTGGGAAACTATCTTCATTTCTGAAAGATAACTTTTTTGGATACAGAATGCTTAGTTGGCAATATTTTTCCTTCAGCATTTTGAATATATCATTCCACCCCCTCTGGTCTGTGTGTTTTCTGTGAGCAGTATATTGCCAGGTGAATTAGAATTCTCATATGTAGAATTTGCTTATTTTCCCTTGCTGATTTCAGAATCCTCTCTTTGTCTTTGAAATTTGAGGGCCTGATTACAATATGTCTCAGGGCAGACTTATTTGCACTAAATCTTAGCGGCCCTTGACCTTTATGACCCTGGTTCCAGGAGTATTATGTTTTTGTTGTTTCACTTTTTTGAAATTTTCTAAGTCATATTATTCACAAAAACACTTTCATTTATTCTTCTCAATCTGTATACCTTTTATTTTCATTTTCTCTTAATATTACATAAACTAGGACTTCCAACACAATGTTAACAGAAGTGGTGAAAAAGGCAGTTTGCCTTACTTACGATCTTGAGAAAAAAGCATCTAGTTTCTTTTCATTATATGTGAGGTTAGTTCTAAGTATTTTGTAGGTGTTCTTTATCAGCTTGAGAAATTTGACCTCTATAGCTAGCTAAGAGTTTTATAATCAATTGGTATGAGTGTTTTATCAATTTTTTTCCTACATTTATTGATGTGACTATATATTTCTTCTTTAAACAGGTTATCTGATGGATTACCTTAATTGAATTATGATTGTTGAATCAGCCTTGAATACATTAAATAAATCCTACTTGGTTATGGAACGTAATTCTTTTTGCACATCTTTGAATTTGATTTGCTAATATTTTGCTGTGAATTTTTGCATTTTTGTTCATAAAAAATAGTCTGTAGTTTTCTTTCTGCATTTGATTTTGATATTAGGGTAATTCTTGTCTCACAGAATGCATTAGAAAGCATTCCTTGTGTTTCTATTTGATAAAAGACATTGTAGAAAATTGAGAGAATAATTTGCATGCTTTCTCCTTTTTAACTCATTATGGCATGTTTTATGACCCAGAATGTCATCTATCTTAGTGAATTTTTATGCAAACTTGAAAAGAATGTGTGTTCTGCTATTGTTGAATGGAGGGATCTGTAAATATCAATTAGTTACAGTTGACTGAAGGGGGTTATCAATCAGCTATATTCTTATTGATTTCATGCCTCCTAGGTCTTTTAATTTTTAATAAAGGGGTATTAAAATCTCCAAATATAATTCTAGACTTTTCTATTTGTCCTTAGAATTCCATCAGAGTTTTTCCGTCATGTATCTTGATGCTCTATTAGGTGCATACTCATTGTTGTATAGTTCCTAAGAATTTACTTCTTTATCATTATCTAAAACACTTCTTTGTCTTTGATAATTTTACATGCTGTGAAACCTGCTTTGTGTGAAACTAATGTAGCTACTCCAGCTTTATGTTGATTAGTATTAGTATTATATATATTTCTTCATCCTTTTGCTTTTAATCTACTTGTGGCTTTATATTTAATGTGGGCTTCTTCCAGAAAACATATAGTTGGGTCTTTATTGTTTATCTTATTTACTGTAACAATCTCTGTCTTATTTGCTATATTTAGACCATTCACATTGAAAGTTATTATTGATACAGTCATATTAATACCTACCATATCTGTAACACTTTTCCACTCGTTGCACTTGTTCTTAAGATTAATATTTTCTTCTTTTTCTGCCTTCTCTGGTTTTAAATGAGCATATATTTTATTCCATTTCCTCTCTTATCAGATCAATTTCTTTTTCTTTGTAAAAACTCTTTGGTACTTACCATAGAGTTTGAAATATTCATTTACAACTAATTTAAATCCACTTTCAAATAACACAGTACTATATTACCTCATGAGTAATGCAATTAATGCATAACAGAGTAAACCCAATCTTTTTCTCTCTTCCCATTTGTCTTTCATGTCACTTATCTGTATGCTATTAGCGTTCAATACATTGCTGTTATCATGGCTTTGAACACATAGTTATCTATTAGATTAAGGAGAAATAAATAAAATAAAATAATTTAATTTTTTTTCTTTTCTGTCATTCTATCTTTATCTAAATAAGAGTTTCTGACACATTTGAATTTGTTTCCTATCCTCTAATTTATGGCTAGAGGATAAAAATAAATATTAAATCCTTCTACTTACTCAAATTCTTTGATTGCTTGCCAAGTGGTCATCTCATTTTTTTTATTATTCTTTAGATAAATTTTACTCTTTTAATAGCACAGTTTTATGCTGTTATTTGTATTTTTAATTACACTAACAAATATGAGTCCAAAATTTTGTTTCCATTAACTTTAAGATTTCATGGTTAAATATGGCAATAGCTCTATGAAATTTCTAAAATTAAATACTTTCAAATATGCATAGTATTTTTCTTTAGTTTATTAGATTATTGATGAGAGTAACTATCTTTTTAAAATATTCTATGTATTTCTTTTATACTTATACATCTAAATATCAAAATTTTATAAACAAATCTACATAAGTGGTTGTTTGATTATTTTTTAAAAATGCTAAGCCAGGTCATGCTACATTAAGAAGTCAATTTAAGAAAAATCTGTTTGATTAAGGAACTCCTTAATTTTCTACTATTAAAACTACCCATTTTTCTCATTTAAAGCTGATTTTTTTTCAATGGTTAATCGTCACCCTGGGATTTTTCAGGGTGCTTGTGCACTGATATGGCTCAGCAGGAATGCCTAAACAGAACATTAACATGAGCAGTCGTGTGGGAAGATTAAAGATTAAAAGTTGCATTTAATTTTCTAATCAATGGGAGGGCAATTTACCCATGGGATGCTTCCTTCAGCAGGTTGCAAACCCAATAACTGTATATAATAGGAATGTTTTGGATTCAGTTAGAACTGAACTTTTGCCTTAAGATGAAAATTGTAATGTGCATAGGTATGACAAATTATTGTATTGATTTGTCTTGGTTTTATTTATGCCTTAAAGTGGAGGGACATAAAAACAAATGAGATAATATTTACTTAGAAAACTTTATAAGACATTGAAGAGTTTTTCTCCTCTCTTGCCTGCTATGCTTATAATCATCATTCAGAAATACCTCTATCATCATCTTTTCTGTGAAATATTATTTCAGTTTATATTGTGGGATGATTAATATTCTATTTTTAGAGTTCCTGAGCCATATTGTGCATACATTCTTACAGCATGTATCCCTTTATATTTTAATAAGCATGTTGGATCTTCCTGCTTACATGCCTCACTGGTCCCTAACAAATTCATTGCTATGTAATAATAAATAATAATAATTAATAATAATAGTTGAAGTGATTAATATTTTTCATCACTTTTATTTGACTTATTCTTTAAATGTTTCATTCTAATCCTTATAACAGCATTTTAGATGTTTAGAGAAGTTAAGTTGCACTGAGGATTATTGCAGTAATGATTCAGTAATGACTCAATTTGGAATTTATATCTAGATTTGTTTTATTCCAAAGGCTGATTTTTCCCCAATATAGAATGACTTGTTAAATGACAGCAGAATTCTAATTCTTAAATACATAAAAGAAAATAAATGATAGTGCTGAAATTTTAGTTTATGTCATGCAGCCTGAGGCCATAACATGAAAAATACATGAAGACATAGTGAAACAAGCAAACAAAACAATGTGCATGTGAGTATAATGTTGGCTGCTATAGCAAATAATTACCAAACTAAGTGGCTGTCAATAGGAGGCTTTATTCTTAACTTATATAAATAGTCCACAGAGATTCCAAGTTGTTATTTTTGGTGGTGGGCAGGGGAGAAGTTATGTTCCTTAGTCATTCAGAATGAGGCTGATGGATTCTGTGCGACCTGCAATGGGGTAAAAGTTGCTGGCATTCTTGGGCTCTATCCCTCTAGCTAGCAGAAAAGGAAGAAATTGGATAATCACACATGGGAGCTTTTGATGGGTAAGATCTCGATGTAGTGAACATCACTTCCACTGGCAAGAACTCAGTAGGAGTTCTTGCATCTCCTATGCATTCAATGGAATGCATAGTTTCATCTCCTATGCATTCAGCGGAATGCTTAGGAGACCGGGAGATCCAGGAATATGAGGGAGAAATTGCTTGTGGAGATTTAGCCATTTTCTAGACTAGGTTGATTTGGTCACCAATATCCATTTTCCAACATCTCTCTAAAGGAGAAACCCATGCTTCTATTTAATCACTGCATCTGGCTCATGGTTTGCCTTTGATCTCTGAAGGAATACTATTTCCAAGTTTTAACATAAAATTTGTGACGTACCAGCAATGAAAATCAGTATCAGCAAACTAGGGCTAATAAACTTATTAGCCTCAATATTCAAGCATCCCACCTCTTAAGTGAGGACTCGTGATATATAATGACATTTGCTTCAGATAGATTTCCAGTAAACTTCATTACAGGACTTTAGTAGTTTTTTATTCCTCTCCAGAATAGAATCAACACTGTAGTTTGTTGGGAACTGGAAAAAAAACAAGTAGTATAGAAAAAACTCTAGGAAAGTAAATGAATCTATATGAAAAAGAATGCAGACTGTAGCATTCAAAATTCAGTTGTTTGCAGCTCTTCTTTTCTCAGGGGGCAAATTAAAAAGGCAAAGACATTGTCCCAATTTAACACATGGATGCTGTAGAAATATGAAATATGTAGAGACAAACTATGATGGAAAAACTCTGAAATAATATAGAAGACACTGTATAAGAATGGCATAATTTACTTTTTCTGTTCAACAATGCATATAAGAAATTTCGTCATAATTCTATTTTTCAAGCATTAGATCTACTGAACATGTCCTCTTGATTTTTGAAGCATGTGTATTAAATGTATACAATTGCAAAACAACTGAAGTTTGTTACCACTATTTGTTATGTCAAACCACAGTTTAAATGTAACGTATTCTAAGGCCAGCAGAGTATTTCATAATCAGCATGAAAAATGTGTTTGGAAGACAAGTTACAACTGGATGGTAAGAGTAAGTGAGACGGTTGACATTAAGAATGTTTACAGTGATTCTGAGCACCAAGAAGGGTGTTTGTTATAAAACATAACACACAAGATCTGAAAAGGACTGAGTTAAATTATCACTCTGTGAGGCAAAGGGTCTGAAAAATTCAGATTAGTTTTTTTATCTTGTTTGTCTAGAAAACTTCAGAAAACATATTTATCTCAATTTTATAGATTTATGCAATTGATAGATATTTATAACTACTGAGCAATACGTCTATCTTAGAGATGAGAGTATGTTAATATTAACTATTTATTGTTCATCAGGTCTTGTGCTAGAGACATTTCCTATGTTTTTCATTTAATACTTAAGTAAATACAATTATTATATTTAATAATTATGTAACAGACCCGAAGATATAGGTTTTGTGGGGCTTGCAGTTTATGCAATATATGTGGCCATGCATTTTGCAATTTTTTAAAAAATTTTGTATACAGGAAGGATCCGGTACAAGTGAGAAGCACTGAAGCTTAAGCTTCTGTAGCTTCATGGTAAATCTGTCTCTACCAAAGGTAGAGATGAGAAAACTGAGTTTTTGAAAAGGTAAGTAATTTTCATAATAAGTAGTAAAACTGACTTTAAATCCACACACTTCTGAATCTGTGCACCATAATCTCTCAATTCAAAGCATGGATGATTTGAAAATTGATCTGAAAAGGAAGAGAATGTGCAACTCTGATAGATCTACAGAGACAGTGCCCTATTTGCCATTCCCTTTAGTCACTGGGCCCAAATAGCTTGCTAGGATTGTGCAAAAATTCAGAGAAGTTATTTCTCTCCCTCTTCTATAGAATTAGAGAAGTAAATTTATATTTATATTGGGAAAATTGTAGCATTATAGAATACGTTTTTCTGTATCTTTCTTCTCTCCTTTCCTACACTGAGAGCTCATCACATAAAGATATGCCTAACTGGTCTATCTCAGGATTTAGGACAGTGCTTGAAGCAGCAAATTTCTAATGATTATCTGCAATGTTTTTAAATAAACAATAGAAATTATCTTAGACTCAAGAATTTTTTCATAAAAGCAAATCTGTAAAAAAGATTCATACTTATGATCCAAAATAAGTGTTGATTGATACATTTGTAAATTAACGCTACAACCTGTATAGAAGCATCTGAAAGTCAGAGGGTGGGACAGTAATCACTAGATGTTCTCTCAGAATCCCTTGTGCACTGTGCGAGTCATCTATCTCAAGACTTCAAGGTTACTGACATCCATGCTGGGTGGAAATGTACACTGTATCTTACAGACTGCTTGTTAAAGTAACTTTTTTAATTGTGAATATTTGACCCCCAGCCATTATTCCATTGAAAGGGTATATATCATACATGTTTCTCATGTTCATGAAAACAAAAGAATAAATTAATAATGCTATGTGGAAAAAGATTAAGGAAAGAAGTAACCCTATTTGGCATGAAGTTAAATATGTTTATGACACTTTTTGTCACTATTTGTACTTTTTCTTTAACAAACCTCATAATCTCATTGCAAAGAAATATAAGCCAAGAGAAAATTATTGCCTCAAATGAAGACAGTAAATAATAGTGAAGCTAGTTTTTGGGATGATAAAACCAGGAGTTTAAACCATATCAGTAATTGTTTTTCTTCTCCCAACCCATCTCTGTTTCCCTAATCTTATTGTATTCATTTCTGTGCACTGCAGAAGTGTTTTCTCCATTTTAAAGACAACACATGAGGCAGTAATTTTGAAGATTAAATCTAATATGGACAAGTAAAGAAAAAGGACTGTCTCCTGATTTCACCCAGAAATTCCTCAGTTATAGGCATTTGCCCTTCTTCTACCTACTTGATCATGGTTCTATAACAGTGATCAATAACCAGAGGGAAAAGAAAAATTTCCCAAAAGAAGGGGTACAATGTTAGTCCAAAAAATCAATGCATGCCTATCACAGTGATAGCTTTATATTAAAGTGAAAATGTGTACATTCTGTGTCTTCTTGAGTGCATATTTCAGTAAATGTGTTACATACTTCAACTTTGCCAGTTTTCCACATATTTCTCAGCTACATATATCCATACTTTGAAATTCTTGAGATTCATTATTCTTAACATTGAAACTAATTATTATTGTCTTACAACATCCTCCTTAGTTTACATACTTAAATTACTATATAGTTAATCCTAGTAGCATCACTTTTTAGTTAATTGATTTTAATTCTGAAAACACCCTCTGCATCTAGTCTATTAAATGTTATTTAAATATCTACCCTACAATTTTTAATTGTCCTAAATCATTGCAATTTCACTGTCACTTACTAATATCTTCTCATGCTAAAAGGATTTAAAACAGGGAAACACCAATTAAAACCTGTGTACAAGTTTTGCCTTTCCTCAGTTTTGTTCAACAACTTTCCCAATCCATTTAAGAGCAGTCTGTAGTATCTCTAATTTTTTTTAACTTTTGTGTAAACACTACATGATTTTATATTCTATAAAATTTGTCTCAATTTTTTTTTTTTTTTTTTTTTTTTTTTTGACGTGGAGTCTCGTTCTGTCGCCCAGGCTGGAGTGCAGTGGCGCAATCTCAGCTCACTGCAAGCTCCGCCTCCCGGGTCCACGCCATTCTCCTGCCTCATCCTCCTAAGTAGCTGGGACTACAGGCGCCTGCCACTATGCCCCGCTGATTTTTTGTATTTTTTTTTTAGTAGAGACGGGGTTTCAGCGTGTTAGCTAGGATGGTCTCGATCTCCTGACCTCGTGATCCGCCCGCCTCAGCCTCCCAAAGTGTTGGGATTACAGGCTTGAGACACCACGCCTGGCCATCTCAAAAATTTTACTATGTGCATCGGTAAATATTCATTTTCCATTTGGGGGACTTTTGATGATGTATGTGTTTTTGTAGGAACTTATATTAGAAATAGTTGTGAGATACGCCCTTATTCTTTTCATTGTCATATTTTCCATTCTTTTAATTTTTGTTATGCCTTCTGACATCTCTGGTCCAGTGGCTAGGATAAGCTGTATCACAAACCAAGCGCAAAACTAGGTTTTGTTCTTCAGTGCTAATCAACCAAATAGAAATCTATAATGGCTCTAAAAAAAATCCTCATCCTTTGTGTGAAAATAAACTCCCATTTATTCACTTTACAGTTTTGTTTGCCTCCAATATCTGAACATTTGCCTTGTTGTTTCTATAAAATATTCTGGATTCTTTCCTCTACTAACCTTTAAAATCAATTAATTAATGCTTGTTTTGTTTTGTTTTATTTTGTTAAGGAATCTTCATGTTATAATACATGAAATACTTTTTAACATATAAATGTACTTATAAAACTCCTAGTTTCTGAAGCACCCCTTATTATAATAGGAGGAATCCGAGAAAAAGGTAAATTAATGATGAAAATTTACATTGGAAAATTGGGAAATAAATCTTACTGAAATAGATTTTGTTCTTTATTCCCGCTATTGCCTGCAGAGCTGGAATGGTTATATTTAAAATTAACATACATTGATTATTTTATTTTTAGCAAACAAATGTTTTTGTATTACATCTTCAAATGCAAAGCATTTTTCAAAAGCAAACAGATTAAAATATCAGAGGTTTTGTGACTTATGGAATATTACAAATTACTTTTACATACATAACCAAATATTAGAGTAGATATGAAAAAACTATTCTACAATGTTAAAGAAGCACTATTATTTTTTCTGGATTAGCTTTAGTGTATTTTTTTCTTTATTATGGTATAATTGACTAATAAAAATCATATTTTTAGTAAAAATGTTTTGATACATGTATATATTGTGAAATGATACTCACAATCAAGTATCAAACTAGTTAACATATTCGCTACCTCCCTCACATAGTTACTTTTATGTGTATATACCTATGTGTAGTAAGAATATTTAAGTTCTATTTCCTGGGTAATTTTCAAAGATGGGATACAGTATTATTAACTATAGTCACCATGCTGTACAACAGCTTTCCAGAATTCATTCAAACTCTACAGCTGAAACTTTGTTTCCTTTGACCAACATACCCTTATACCACTACTCACCCCCATTGCTCCTGGCAAGCACCATTCTACTCTCTGCTTCTATAAGTTCGAATATTTTAGATTCCACATGTAAGTGATACCATGTCACATTTGTCTTTCTGTGTCTGTTTTTTTTTTTTTTTTTTTTTTTTTTTTCATTTAACCTAATATCTTCCTGGTTAATTCATGTTGTGGAAAATAGCAGGATGTACTTTTTTTTTTTTTTTTTTTTTTTAAGGCTAAATAGTCTTTTAAAAGGGGAGAAAATAGCTGAATGGGCATTAAAAGGATAGAAAACATGGCCAATGAACGTTTGGAAAAATGTTTAATATTGTTAATCAGAGAAATACAAATTGTAACCATAATGGCATCACAATATGTGTCCATGAAAACAAAACAAAACAAAAAATAAATACCAAGAAATGGCAATAATATGAAAAATTTAACTTTCATCCATTGTCATTTCACATGTAAATTGGTACAGGCTGAACAAGCTTCTTGAAAATTATTTAGGTTTACTCACAAAACCTATGCATACATATACATCATGGCCCCTTGTTACAGGATTCCTTCAGTACCGTTTGACCAGCCAGAAATCTCTGTGGCCGTCACCTCTGTCTGGGCCTCACTTGGGCCCACTGGACTTGCTCTGCCCACTTGACCCAGCAGGCTGTGCTTGGCTTGTGCCCTGGTCTGGATCCCATACCCACTGTGGCTCCACGCTCAGCCCATTGTTGGACCTGGCATGCTGTGAGCGGCTTCAGCATCGGGCGCTGACGTCCAGATGAGGGGAACGCTGTGGCACCCAAAAACTCAGAAAGGCCAGCAATTGCGGAGCCCCAAGGGGTGTTACAGCTCTTGCTTGGGGATTCTCGAGGTCTGAGCTCCCCAAAAATGTCACAGCTCTTCACTCCTAAAGCTCAGTTAGTGGGAGTGTGTTACAAGCCCTTTTATTCCCACCACTCGCAGCTTGGCGAGCAGAAGTGTGTGGCACTAAGAGGCTTTTTTGACTCTCACAGTTTAGCAAGCAAGAGCGTGGTACAGCATTTTTACTTCTGCCACCAGCAGCTTGCTGGGTTCTGGGTTTGTAACCTTCAACCAAGAGGAATAAGGTGCGTGGACACCAGAGAGTGAGTAAGGCAGAAAAGAATTTTACCGAGTGACAGAAAGAAAGCTCTCAGTGGAGAGAGGACTCCAGAACTAGTAGCCAACTGTGCGGCTGAGTCCATAGTTTTTATGGGCTTAGAATGAGGTAATGCTGGCGGGCACCTGTAGTACCAGCTACTCGGGAGGTTGAGGCAGGAGAATGGCGTGAACCCAGGAGGCGGACCTTGCAGTGAGCGGAGATCATGCCACTGCACTCCAGCCTGGGCGACAGAGCGAGATTCCCTCTAAAAAACAAACAAACAAACAAAACAATGAGGTAATGCATGCTGATTGGTCCATGAATGGTCTTTGGAAAAAGCACCATTCAGTTGGTTAAAAAGCATCATCCAGAAGGAACCAATTGAGAGAGAGGGTAAGATGGGGATAGAAGTTCTCACTTCATGTGTGTACACTATCTGGAACCAGCAGCTTGCTTTTCAGGCTTTTAACTGTCTTTGGCTTGAAGGGTCAGGCTTCACCACAGACCTGTGCCTGTCTGCCTAGGAGTTCGTCTGTCTCCTGTTGCTATCACTATCAATTTTACTCCTAAGTACATAGCAAAAATAATTAGTATATATGTCCACCAAAAGACATACAGAAAATTGTTATTAGCAGGTTTACTACAAATAGGCCAAACTGGATACAATCCAAATGTTCAAATATTCAGCCATACAATGGATACATAAATTGTGGCATGTGTGCCAATATAATATATAAACAGTGATTTTTTTAAAAAAACAACGATTCATCTTAGATTAAAATTGATTACTGAAATAATCTAAACACAAAATACTACACACTACATATATGATGCCACTTATACTATGTTCAAAAAAGGCAAAGTAAATCTGTGAGAATAGGAATCAGAATATCGCTACCTCAAAGGGCGGCCCATGTGTATTATAAGGAGTAAAATGGGGTACCTTGGAATGATGGAAATATTGAATATTTTGATTTGAAGTGATTATAAGTTTAAGGAGTTTTACACATAAGATCTGTGTCCTCTACAGTATGTAGGATTTTTTTATTGTTCAAATATTAAAAATCATATATATGCTGGTATGATTTCCTAAACCCAATTTAACATGAAGAAATAATGTGGCAAATGATATATACAGTATGGAATCCTGTTACATATATACATATAGCATATGTGTATTTATATATATATATCCCAAATATATATATATATACACACACTATATTCCATACTATATATTTGTGTAGTATGATATATACAATATGAAATCCTGTCTCATATATATATATATATATATGGAATCCTATTCCATAATTTCTAGGAATACATAGACAAATGTGTAGAAGGAACTGTAAACTATAAATATTGAACAGCTCTGATGATGGGATTAAGGTAGTGGATTAATATTGGGAGCAGTAGTAAAAAGAATCTTTAGCTTTGTCTTTTATTCTTTACATGTTTAAAAAAAGATTACATTATCGTGTTGCATTTTTAATTAAAAATATTAACTAGTCTAAAAAAACTATTTTAAATTAAAATGTTAGTTGAAATAAAACAAGACAAAACAATATAAATGCTAGAAGTAAAAGAGAAAGAAATTTTCTAAAATGCTGTACAAAATGACAAGGAGATTAACAATTTGAGTAAAATGTAGGAGAGGCAATGAAGGTCAGGCTGTAATTTTTGTAGTAGTCTTCCGGATTTTTGCAGTTGTTGGATATCAGCATCTGTTCCACCTTTTCCTGATAATAGCACTCCAACTGACCTCTGTGACATCACTTGTTTTTTTGTTGCTGCATACAGTCTGGTGGGATTGTTAAATAATTTCTGCCTTTGTCTAGAAACTGGTGCACAGCTGCTCCATACAAAGTTAATTTAAATACTTCCCCACATAATTAGAATCGTGTATGAAGTGACAATAAACTAAAGTGGTTAGAGTTTTTGTTGATTTGTTTCTTTTTTATTTTTAATAATTCCAGTGCTGGTAACTGGACATAATCAGAAGGTGTGCTGTTTCATATGATTTTGGAGCCTGTTCTTCAACCTTTCTTCAATTTTATAAGCTTCCCAATAATATATCCAGTATTTTTTCATTAAGTTTTTATATTAGTTAAGATTGTCAGATTTACTTTACTTAGTTCAAACCAAAAACTTTGACTGATAACATGACCATCAAAAATACAATAAAAATTACATAAAGATAAAATTGAAAATAGGGAGAAAATTAGCTAAAAGTAAACATAAAACAAATTTCAGCAGAAAGGATAAAAATCTTTCATCTGCACACATTTTTATTGAATTTTACAAATCCATAAATAAGAGAATATCCTACTTGCATCCATGGATAAATAATGTATTCTCTTCAAAAACATTGTATGTTAGAAAAAAATAGCAATGAATCTTCACAGTTCTTAGTAAAAACTAATTATAACTAAGTAATAAATCAATTTTGATAACAAAAACAAAGATTTTATCTTTTTAGGCACAAAAATACTCAGAAATTTATATGTATGCATTCTTTCTTATGCATTCATCTGGTAAAATTCTTAGGAATTTTATTCGATAATCTACTCTGAAAATAAAAGCAGAGAGCAAAACCAAACAAAAGAAAACATGAAGTCCAAACATTTCTTTGAAGAGGTTTCTAGGATTGCAACTGGTAAAATTCTTAGAAAATAGTCAGTAGAGATTAGAACCTTATAATAGAGAGCTTTACATGAGAGAAGGCCAATGAAAAACAAGGATATAATACACCAAATAAGTGAGATGTTAAGAAAATAGAAAATATAATAAATGATTAGATGGTAAACACAAAGGAGGGGCAAAATTTAAATAAAAATAAAACAAGAAAAGTTATGCAACCATAAAGCAAAGTAAAACACCGCATATTTTCAGCCATTAGTGGAATATGAAAATAGGGCATCATTCAAAAATAACTCCAGCCAATTCTCCTTTGAGCAGTTTGGGAATTGTGAAGTTTGAAAAGAACTAAAGGGAATTTCAGTTAGTTCTTCCATGAGAAATTAATTCACAGACAAATCTCTGAGACATTCTATAGTCATAAAACCGCACAGATTAGAACTTTATGATAGAGAGCGAATGCCAAGGAAAAATGACGATATAATATAGGAAATATGTGAGATGTTGTGAAGCTAGAAGATAATAATAAATGATTATATGGTAAGCAAAAAGGAAGGGCAAAATTTAAATTAAAAAAACAAGAAAGTTTATGCAACCGTAAAGCAAATTAAAATACTGCATATTTTCAGCCATTAGTGGAATATAAAAGTAGAGCATCATTCAAAAATAACTCTAGCAAATTCTCCTTTGACCAGTTTGGAATTATGAAGTTTAAAAAGAACTAAAGAGAATTTCAGTTGGTTCTTCCATGAGAATTTATAGACAAATCACTGACATATGCTATAGTCATATAATAGCATTATTCTACGCATGGGCAATGTATACAAAGACACAGATAGCTAGGGTTAGGAATAAGATTAATGCCAGTAAATTAGGGGGAGAAGAATTATATCTAACAACATGAAGAGTAATTTATTCATCATCCCACTGTGCTAAAACAATAGCAAATAAGAATAGTTCTATATAAGAGAATGAGAGAAAAAGATTGCAAAGTAAATTCAACCGTCTCCCGTCATATCATTAATTTGTTAAAAGTGGCTAAATAATGTCTAATTTATGCCTAAAGCATAGTAGCCTTCATTTTTTTCTTAAAAGAAGTTAACCACAAAATTATTTTAAAATATAAATGATTACAACTTGCTAGGAGAAATACAGTGAGCACACTATATTATTGCAATTCATTATAAGTTATTTGTTCAATTTGACCTCCAGTATCATGCTTGTGTATTAATTTCTTTAAAACAGGAGATGAAAAGAAATAGACCAAACAGTTCACAGAAAGTGTAGAGTAGTTAAGGATGATATAGAAAACACTAATCAATCATGTGTGATTAAATGTTATACATATAATGACATGTAATTGTAATTATGAATTTGATATAATTATGTTATTATATTTACAATATTAGACTGGCAGGGATTTAAATGTGTTAATTAACACACAGTGTAAGCCAGGATATGGGGAAATAGGAAATAGGTCTTCTCTTACACTGTCAGATAAAAGATGAACTGCATATAAGTACTCATATATAATGTACAGATATGTAATTGTATATGTACACATAATATATTCATGTATGTAATAAATAGAATCATCCACATGTTAAATCTATACATATACAAAGTTTTATATTAACATTTTACTTTAGAGAGAGAAAAAAATGTTTTACCCTGGTTAAATCTGTGGCATGAGCTTATATGGAGTGAGTTGGAACAATTATCATTATTCACTTTTTAATTTATTTGTACTGTCTGAATGCTTTCCATTTGAATGTAGTATTTTTATAACACAAAACATTTGAAAACCTAAATGCAATAGTATATTTATTAAACTTGCATGTACAGTAATAAGAAATATAGTAATCAAGACCCCTTCTTGAACATAACTGAAAGTTAACAAAATCCGTCAACCAAGTGATGAAACAACGAAAATTATTCAGGAATAGACAGTTTGTGGTAAAATAATAGAACTAAATAAAAACAATGGCATTTAGAAACAAATCTATGATAAATCATTGTTATTGATTTGTTAAACAATATAACGCAGAGCAACATAAATCAATTTGTTTTTTCATAGCAATAATATAAAAGAGTGCATAAAACCTTCACACCTTGCAAGTAGTAAAGCTTAAAAATTTTAGGTTAAACATTGAGGTTGATGGTAGTTTTCAGGTGTGTCAATAACCAATTGGGTATCGAGAAAAAAACAATTTTTTATAGTGATACTGGTGAATGACTGAATCCCACTTCTACCACTTAATACCTATACAACCATGACCAAGCCACAGTCCTCTTATTTATGTAAAATAGAGTAATGAACACTGCACATAATTGTGGAATACCTATATTTAAATTAGATACCATAAATAATTTCTCTAGCTTCTTACATGTACCTTTATCAATTAAACAACTGGCTTTTTAAATGTCGTATGGATTCAACTACATTGACAATGTGTAGACTTCAGATGTTAATAAATATTTCGGATTATTTGGTTCACAATTATAGTTATTTACATCTCTTTTTTTTACCTGTAATTATTCCTTGGTAGACACAGTGCTCATTTAGGTAGCACATTTCAATCATGATTAAAAAATTAAAACCAGACCTGCCTGAGATAGCACTGATAGGCTGAAAAATTTTCTATAGCCTGTGGACATGAATAGTACATAAATAAAATCTTCAAAGATCACTTTAAGCAGGGCGAGTTGGCAGTTGCATAATTTTCTTATATTGACATAAGAATTATATCTAGCTTTCTATAATGTTTTTATCTTGATCAGAATGAAATGACATGCATTTTTAACCATAATATCACATGAAATGCAATGCAAGGAAGCAATTTACACTGCTTGTATATAGAAACAGAAATCTACTCTAACAAAACTCAGTAATTCCAAATGATAAAACTCACACATTCACAAAATTATTAATTATCAAAAGGTCTTTTATTATAGCTTGACTGTTTAAGAATTTTGATTGACAGCATTAAAATAAATGATTAATTGTAAAAAATCTTAATATAAAATTTTCAAAGAAACTTGTCTTCAAATAAGTTATCTGTCCACTCTCTCCAATTCCTCTCTCTCTCTCCAATTCACTCTCTCTTCCATCTACTTATAACTTAATCTTATATACTCAAGTGTTGCCTCCTAATACGTATCTTAACCAGAGTTTTGAAAGCCACAGTTGGCCTCCGAAACACAAGCTATAAAATATTATATAAAATGACTCCTTTTTTAAAAAAAAAAAACAACAACTGTTTTTCACTTTGGAATAAAATATTGTTTCTTTTTATGGCTTATATGGCATTTTACTAACTTATTCTAGAACTACTGTTTGGACCATAGTTAAAGGGTGCATCGATTTCATTCAGTGTCACCTCTTCCTAAATATGGGTGACTCTAATTATCTGTTTTCACCCTGGCCAACTCTCTTCCCCTGAGGTGTATTCCTTTTATATTAGTTTTTATTTTAACATACAAATGACTTTTGGAGTCCTCTTTCTCAAACTTTATCGCTTTAATTGTTCTGCAATTGATTGATTAGAACATTAATTTATTCAAAATATTTTATTGAAAACTTGTTACATGCCATACACAAGAGACAAACAGTAAAAAAAAAAAAAAATGATTTCATGAGGTATTTATCCTAGCTTCAGTCAGTGATATCTGCTAAGGAAAAGTGACCACAAAAGATATAGTGTGATAGATGTGTGTGGGGGTGGGGGAGGGTGTTATTTTAGGATAGGGTAGCCAGTTAAATTACTATCAAGATATCCAAAATTTCATGGTGCTTTAAACATGGAAGTTTTGGCATACTTTGTCCCTTATTCCAAGGCACAAAACATTCCCAACTTCCCATTTCACACTTTGAGTGACTTACTGCTCCATCCGCCTCTCTTCTAAATTGCAAATCCATTTCTGCTAGTTTGATGCACATTTCCAAAGCAACTCCAAATGAAAAATGTCTACAAATAGCACTTATACTGCATCTCACCCCCAAAAGCATCATCTACTGAATTTCTTAATCTTGATGAATCAATTAATTTATTTAATCACATACATTATGATAGACATAGTGCTTGATCTTGCAGTAAAGGAGAGAGATTCATAGTTTTCCTCACAGACCATAACATGATTTTAATTAAGGATGTTAAACTTCAATTGTTTGGTCAATTCTCCCCTCTAATTAGCCTTACAAAGCATATATTTCATTTTTTTCTCAGCCATTAAGCTTTAATGATTCTTTAAAATGCTTTCTAAAATCACTCTTTTTCTTGTGTTATCACTTGGATTGCCTCATTTTTTATCTTATGTTCTGCAGCAACACTAACAACAAAGAAATCCTCTTATAGCTGCTTCATATGAGAACTTCCTGCTTCCATTCTCATTTGTCTCTTAAAACTTGCATTCTGTTACAAAATTCTACATGGTTTACATGTATTAACTAACCTAATTCTTACAACTCCAGTAAGGCAATTAAGTAGATATCACTACTTTTCCAATGAAGCCATTGTCACACGTTTATACAGCTAAGAAGTAGTGAAATCACAATTTGACCAAACTCAGTTCATCACTGATATCTATGCCTTTAATCATTTTCTATGTCCAAGCTATATGTTTCCATTACATTTTAAAAAAATCTCCAGACATAAAAGAGGTAACTAAGGAATAGAAGAAGCATGCAAGTTGTATGTGCATAAAAGCAAGAGTTATCGATGGCTATTTATATTGGAATATCACAGCATCATTATGTCAGCAACTATGTCTCCTCTAAAAGTTGCTTGCACTTTCTGCACTCACCACATAGTTCTTCTGAGTTAACTTCTTTACAGATAGTGACTATTAATGCTTCGGCTTTCCTTATGCCTATCCTCCACTATCAGCTCTGCAAAGTGTTGGAAAAATGTGCCTTCCTTATCCACTGGAGAGGTCACAGGCTTTGGCTCTACATTGCAAACTGTGTTTTCAGCTTAAGAATTATACAATTTGAATTCTAAAAACGCAATAAGGTTAACATTTTGCTATCAATCTTCGAATTGATTATTACAAATACATGGACACCAAAGGTCTACAAAGTTCCCCTCCCAGTTTTTTCTGCCTAAAAATTGACATCATGTTTTTCTAATTTTTTTTGAAGGGATGAGTATGAGAGAATCCTGGGGTAAAGCAGGAAGACGTGATAAATGTGCATTGCTTCTCTTAGCTGAGTTTATTTTTTCCTCTTACAGAATATCTAAGGACAGAGCTTATTGCTTGATAATCCATTAAGTACTTGAGTCTAAAATGCAATAATGCTTTATTGTCAACTGGTTAATGCTGATTAAAGAGTTAGGACTCTCTGGCAAGTTGATTAGCCATACTTGAGGATGGTGTGAGTAAACGGTGTATTTATGAATATGAACCACTGGATCCTGTGAAAGAACACATCTTCTAGGTGTACTAACTATATTATACTGCCTGAATATGAGCAAGCAACTAATGAGTATACCTAAAGAGGTAACAAAAGATTTAAATACTTTAAAATACAAAAGTTTAATTTGGAGAAATGTTAAACTTTCTATTTTGAGTGTTAACCAAAATTAAAATAACATACCTTTCAAATTAGTACAGAAGATAATATCAAATACTTTTCCCTATATTTTAGGAAGAACTCAAAGAAAATATCTGTGAAATGCAAAATAGAAAGCACTGAATATGCCAAGATTAAGACTAAATATATTTATTATCATAAAAAATCAAATCATATGCCATCCTGTTGAGACAAAATTGATTTGTTTAATTAAAGTGTATGCTCATCTGCTTCCTCTCCAAATATCATCCAAAAATTCCTCTGAAGACTTTTTTGAAAAAGAAAGAAATTTTTTCATTAAAATAAATATTGACCTAATATCAAATCAGACATTTAAAATTATGTTATTTCACAGCTATTAAATATAAATGAAAACATTGCAGGGGAGTAGAAGAAAATACTATCTCAGTCTACCGCAATTGTACTAGATATGATTCTTTAACATTCAGCCAGATGCTCATTACTTTTACTTAATTTTTTAATTTAACAAAGTTTGTATTTTAGTAGACTATTCATGCATTCATACTTATCACCGAATTCACTAATTCAGCACCTTTCTGCATCTAAGTAGCTATAATGACCTATGATATATATTTCTTGTTAATCCCATAATATCCATTTGATTTCTTTTTTAACGTTTTAACTAATTACTTGTTTTCCATTTTGTCTGTATTTTCTCTATTTTCATTAATTTATTAATTACAGTTATTTTAAAACGTGTGTCTGTTGGCCGGGCGTGGTGGCTCACACCTGTGATCCCAGCATTTTGGGAGGCTTAGGTAGGCGGATCACGAGGTTGGGAGATTGAGACCATCCTGGCCAACATGGTGAAACACCGTCTCTACTAAAATACAAAAAATTAGCTGGGCATGCATAGTGTGCGCCTGTAATCCCAGCTACTCGGGAGGCTGAGGCAGGGGAATCGCTTGAACCTGGGAGGCAGAGGTTTTAGTGAGCCGAGATGGCGCCACTGCACTCCAGCCTGGGTGACACAGCGAGACTCCATCTCAAAAACAAACAACTAAAAACAACAACAACAACAACCAAAAAACGTGTGTCTGTTAAATATCTGGGTTATCTCTCTGTTTGCTAATATTTACTATTTTATCTCTTGTTTATCAGCCAAATTTCCTGACTATGCCTGGTAATTTTTTAATGTATTTTGTACTAGTATTCTAGAAGAGTTATATTATCCTCCCCTAAAGGAGAGGTTGGCCACCTTTTTCTTAAAGAATCAGACAGTACATATTTTAGGTTTGGGGACCGTACTGTGTCACATCTACTTACCTCATTTGTTGTTGCATGGAAGTAGTCAAAGAAATATGTAAACACTTGGCCATGACTATGTTTGTGTAAAACTTAATTACCAAAATAGGCAACTGGCCCAATCCATGCTCTAAATCATGTTGACTTCTGTTACGACAGGCAGTGAAATTTCAGGTGAATAATCTTATTCTTGTCAAGGTTTGGTTTTAGCCTTTTTAAAATTAGGTCTATTTCAGCTTTCCAGTTAGTCTTAAGGTTTAGCACTTTTCTGACAGTTGGCCCATAGTCTTAGACTATGGGTGTTATGTGGTCTCAAATGAATGCCTGGTATTTACCATGGTCCTTGAATCTTGACTAAGTCAGAAATTCAATGTTTCCTAGCAGTGTGTGAACGCAGAAGCTGTTTTACACCAAGCCTCCAAAAGCCTCACCGTCTGCATGTGCACCTTAGGAACTGGAAAGGGACCTAAGGAAAAAACCCTACAAGAGTTTAGGGCTTTCTTTCTGTGTTGCTCTCCTTCTATAAACCTTGACACCTTTAAACTGCAATCTGTTTTTCTTCCAATATCAAAGTTGCTACTTTCTACTTTGACTCTACTTCTCTGTGATACACTTACACAAGTGTCTCCAGGGTAAAATTGGTGAAAGTGGACCCAACTCATGTGTTTATCTTCCCTCAATGAGCACAGTCTTGTTTTTCACTGCTGAAGACTTAAAATACTTGTTTTATATGTATTGACCATTTTTATGTTTGTTATGAGAGTGAAATCTGATACTAGGTACTCCATCATGTAAAGAACCTGAATGACAACTGTTAAATAAAAATTATATAGGTTCCAGATGTGGCTATCTTCTAACAGAGTGAATTACTGGCCTTTGCTGGGCAGCTAGAATTGGGGCTGATTGCCTTAATCTAATTAGCTATTGAACTGAATTCTATCTGGGTTTGAGTTAATGTAGCCACAGTCCAGCTTGGGCTTGAGATTTTTTGTAAGACATAGCCCTCTAAATATTTGTATGTGATAATTTGCTGAGTTCACCAGGGCTCCTTCATACAGGATCTGAACTCAATTTTCTCTTTACCACAGTGAGACTCCCAAAAATAATATGAAGTAATTTATTCAAACACTAGGAGTAACTGAGATATTAACAAGCAAAATAAAAATTCTGCTCAAAGCCATTCCTGTAGAATTTAAAACTTGTTTAATTAGTATTTTAAATGAAGCACAGGCCTATCTGGAGTTATTAAGGTTCTAATGATGTTTGAAAATGCTCAGAAAGACAGAAAATACATTTTTGCTAGTAAGAAGAAAAGTATTAGTTTAATTGGAGACTAAAAACTGTCTTTGGCCTGCGTGAAGGAGCCTTTGATCTCAACTCAGATCCAGATGAATTTCTACAGCTGTGCTTAGGTGAATTTACCTGCTATAGCCAATTAAGCTGTATTGCTTAGAATGTGCATCTCCAAGACTGTGAAAACACAGACACTTAGTTTTTTTGTTTCCTCGAGTAATCTCATGTGGCAAACTTGCACTTCAGTTGAAAAAAACTACCCTTCTGTCAATTTGGGAAAGACTATTCTCCCCATTTGTTAATAAAAATAAATAAATAAGGTGGCAGAGCAAGACGGTGGAATAGAAAGCTCCATCAATCATGCCCCCTCCCAACAAGGACACCAAGTTAACAACTATCTGCACTGAAAAAACATCTTCATAAGAACAAAAATGAGGTGAGTACTCACAGTACCTGATTTTAACTAATATTGCTGAAAGAGGCATTAAAGAGATAGAAAAAACAGCCCTGAATCACCAACACCACCACCGTGTTACCCCCAGCAACAGAGGCATGGTGCGGAGAGCTTCTCTGTGTGCTAGGGAAGAGAGAACACACCAGTTGTGAGGTATTAAGCTCAGTGCTGTTCTGTTAGAGCAGAAAGGCAAGCCGGACCAAGCTCAGCTGATGTATGCCCATGGAGGGAGCATTTAAACAAGCCCTAGCCAGAAGGGAATTGCAAAACCTAGCATTCTGAACTTGAGTGCTTGCCAACCTCACCACCAAGGACCAAAGTGCTCTTAGTCTCTAAGTAAATTGAAAGGCAGCCTAAGCCATAAGGACTGCAACTCGTAGGCAAGTCCTAGGACTGAACTAGGTCGAGAGATGGTAGACTAGGGGGCACACGTGACATGCTGAGACACCAGCTGGGGCAGGCAAGGGAGTTCTGCCATCACCCTTCCTCTAACCCCAGGCTGCACAGCTCAGGGCTCCAAAGGAGACTCCTTCCTTCTGCCTGAGGAGAAGAGAGGGGAGAAGAGAGGGAAGAATGGGAAGAACTTTGTCCTGCATGTTGGATACCAGCTGGGCCACTACAGGATAAGGCAGCAGTCAGAGTCAAGAAGCCCCTGTGCCAGGACCTAGCCCACAGATGACATTTCTAGACAAACTTTGGTCCAGAAGAAAATCCGCTTCCTTGAAGCAAAGGACCGAGGCCTACCAGCTATTCATCGCATGCTAACTGAAGAGCCCTTGGGCCCTGAATAACCAGCGGCTATACTCAGGTACTACATAGATGGCCTTGAGTGAGCCTCTGAGACTTGCTGGCTTCAAGTGAGACTCATCACATTACCAGCTGTGGTGGCTACAGAGCAAAACTCCTTCTGCATATGAAAAGCAGAGGGAAAAGTAAAGGGGAGTTTGTCTTGCCCCTTAGGTACCAACAGTGCCACAGGGAGGTTGAGAACCAAGCAAGATCTTGGGTTCTTCAGTTCTAAAACTTCACTCTTGGACAGCATTTCTGGACATGCCATGGGCCAGAGGGTAGTCCACTGCCCTAAAGGGTGAGTCCCAGGCCAGGCAGCATTCATGACAAGCTGACTTAAGAGACCTTGGATCTTAAGGGAACATTGGTGGTAGTCTGGCAGTACTCCCCATGGCCATGGATGGTGATGGCTAAGGCGTGAGGTTTCTCTGCCTTTGGAAAGGGGAGGGAAGAGTAGGAAGAACTGTGTCTTGCAGTTTGAGTGCCAGCTCAGCCACAATATAATAGAATACCAGATAGACTTCTAAGGTTTTTTACTCTCATTCTTGACACCTAGATGGTACTTCTGGACCCACCTGGGGCCTGGGGGGAACTTGCTGCCCTGAAGTGAAGGAAACAGGCCTGGTTGGCTTTGCCACCTTCCGATTATAGAGGGCCAGGGCCTTATGCAAACACAGGCAGTGGTCAGGGAGTGGTTACAGCAGGACTTGAGTGAGACCCAGCCCTGTGATGGCTTTAGATCTGACTCAGTGCAGTCACAGTGGTGGTGGCCATAGGAGTGCTTGTGTCACTCCAACCCCAGCTTTAGATGGCCCATAACAGAGGCAGAGATTCTGTATGTTTTGGAGAAAGGAAGGGAAAATAACAAGAGTTTCTACCTGGTAATCCAGAGAATTCTCCTGGACATTGTCCAATACCATCATTGTGGACTGCAAGAATCACAGTGTTACTGGCCTTGGGATGCCCCTTAAAGCAGAAACAGCATTGATCACAACACCCAAGTCTTTTCAAATATCTGGAAAGGCTTCCCAAGAAGGACAGCCACAAATAAGCCCAGGCAATGAAGACTACAATAAACACCTAACCCTTCAATGCCCAGATACTGAAGAACATCTAGTAGCATAAACACCAACCAGGAAAACATGATCTAATCAAGTGAACTAAATAAGGCACCAGGAACAAATCCTGAAGAAACAGAGATATGTGACCTTCCAGACAAAAGAATTCAAAATAGCTGTGTTGAGAAAATTGAAAGAAATTCAAGATAACACAAAGAAAGAATTCAGAATTCAGTCAGATATATTTAACAAAGAGACTGACAAAATTAAAAAGATGCAGAAATTCTGGAGTAGAAAAATGCAACTGGCATACTGAAAACTGCATTAGAGTCCTTTAATAGCAGAATGGATGAAGCAAAAGAATTAGTGAGCTTCAGGACAGGCAATTTGAAAATACACAGTCAGAGGAGACAAAGGAAAAAAAAAAAGGTTAAAAAACAATGAAGCATGCCTACAGGATCTGGAAAATAGCCTCAAAAAGGCAAATCTAAGAGTCATTGACCTTAAAGAGAAGGTAGAGAGATAGGGGTAGAATATTTATTCAAGTGATAACAGAGAACTTCCCAAACCTAGAGGAAGATATTATTATAATATAAAAGTACAAGAAAGTTGTAGAACACCAAGCAGATTTAACTCAAAGAAAACTTCCTCAAGGTATTTAAAAAGTCAAACTCCAAAAGGCAAGAATAGAGAAATGATCCTAAATGCAACAAGAGAAAAGAAACAAATAACATACAACAGAGCTCCAGTGTGTTTGGCAGCAGACTTTTTAGTGGAAACCTTATGGGCCAGGAGAGAGTGGCATGGCATATTTAACGTGCTGAAGGAAAAAAACAAACAAAAAAAGAGTTTTACCTTAGTAAAAGGTTACTATAATATATCTGGCAAAAATATTCTTTAGACATGAAGGAGAAATAAAGACTTTTCCATACAAACAAAAGCTGAGCGATTTCATCAATACCAAACCTCTTCTACAAGAAATGCTAAATAGAGTACTTCAATTAGAAAGAAAAGGGCATTAGTGAACAATAAATAATCACCTGAAGGTACAAAACTTACCAGTAATAGTAAGTTCACAGAAAAACACAAAATATTGTAACACTGTAACTGTGGTTGTAAACTACTCTTATCCTAAGAAAGACTAAACAATGATCGAATCAAAAATAATGACTACAAAAACTTTTCAAGCTGTAGTCAGCATAATAAAATAGAAATAGAAACAAAAAAAGTTAAAAAGCAGTGGGACAAAGTTAAGGTGAGTTTTTATTAGTTTTCTTTCTGCTTGTATGTTTACACAAATAGTGTTCAGTTGTTATCAGGTTAAAATAATGGGTTATAAGATAGTATTTGCAAGCCTCATGCTACCCTCAAACCAAAAAACACACAATAAAAACAAAAAAAATTAAAAAGAAACTAAATTATATCACCAGACAAAATCATCTTCACTCAAAGAAAACAGGAATGCAAAAAAGAAGAAATATTATACCATAAAATAACCAGAAAACAAATGACAAAATAGCAAGGGTAAATCCTTACTTATCAATAGTAACATTGAATGCAAACGAACTAAACTCTCCAACCAAAAGACAATGAGTGGCTGAATGAATGCAAAAGCAAGATCCCTTTACCTGTTGCCTACAAAAAACACACTACACCTATAAAGACATACATAGAACTAAAATAAAAGGATGGAAGAAGATATTACATGCCAATGGAAACCAAAAAAAGCAGGAATTGCTAAACTTATACCAGACAAAATTGATTTTAAGACCAAAACTATACGAAGATTCAAAAAAGGCCAGGTACGGTGGCTCACGCCTGTAATCCCAACACTTGGGGAGGCCGAGGTGGGTGGATCAGGAGGTCAAGAGATGGAGACCATCCTGGCCAACATGGTGAAACCCCATCTCTACTAAAAATATACATGCTGGTGCGTGCCTGTAGTCCTGGCTACTCGGGAGGCTGAGGCAGGAGAATCGCTTGAACTTGGGAGGCAGAGGTTGCAGTCAGCCAAGATCACACCACTGCACTCCAGCCTGGTGACACAGTGAGACTCTGTCTAAAAAAAAAAAAAAAAAAAAAAAGAAAGAAATAAAAAGATACAAAAAAAATCACTATATAATGATAAAGGGGTCAATTCAGCAAGAGGACATAATAATTTTAAATACACATACACACAAAACAGGAGCACCCAGCTATATAAAGGAAATATTATTAGAGCTAAAGAGAGGAAATATTATTAGAGCTAAAGAGAGAGATAGGCCCCAATACAATAATAGATGGAGACCTTCACCACACCTTCAGCATTGGACAGAAGCATCAACAAAGAAGCATCAGATTTAATTTGCACTATTGATCAAATGGATCTAATAGATATTTACAAAATGTTTCATCCAAGAGATGCAGAATACACATTCTTTTCCGCAATATATGAATTACTCTCAAGGATAGACCATATACTGGGTCACAAAAAGATCAGAGCAGAAATAAATGAAATTGAAAGGAAAAAATACAAAAGATGAATGAAACTTGGGAGGCTGAGGCAGGAGAATTGCTTGAACCCAGGAGGTAGAGATTGCAGTGAGCCGAGATCACACCACTGCACTGCTCTCCAGTCTGGGAGACAGAGCGAGACTCTGTTTCAAATTAAATAAATAAATATAAAGATGAATGAAACAAATTTTTTTTAACATTAAACAACATCAGCAAAGTTTTAACAAGACTAACTAACAAGGAAAGAGAGAAGATGAAAATAAATAAAATCAGAAATGAAAAAGGAGACATTCCAACTTATACTGTAGAAATTCAAAGGCTCATTAGTGGCTGCCATGAGCAACTATATGCCAATAAATTGGAAAGTCTAATAAATCCAATAAATTGGCATATAGTTGATTACATTAGCCACTAACGAGCCACAAAAGTAAAGAAGAAATGGACAAATTCCTAGACATATAACTTTCTAAGATTGAATCATGAAGAGATCCAAAACCTGAACAGATCAATAGTAAGTAATGAAGCTTCAATAAATTTTTTCAGTAAAGAAGAGACTGGGACCTGATGGCTTCACTGCTGAATTCTACCAAACATTGAAGGAAGAACTAATATCCATCCTACTTAAAGTATTCCAAAAAAGAGAGGAGGAGGAAATACTTCCAAACTCATTCCACAGGCAAGTATTTTCCTGATATCAAAACCTGACAGTCACATCAAAAAAAGAATCCTACAGATCAATATCTCTGATGAATATTGAAAAAATCCTCAACAAATTGCTAGCAAACTGAATTTAACAACACATGAAAAAGATCATTTCTCATGACCACGTGGGACTTATCCCAGGATTTCAAGGATGATTTAACATACACAAATCAATCAATATGATACATTATATTAACAGAATGTAGGACAAAACCCATACGATTTCATTTGATGCTGAAAAAGCATTTGATAAAATTCAGCATCTCTTCATAATAAAAACCCTCTAAAAACTGGGTATAAAAAAGAACATACCTCAACACAATACTTTTTATATTAGATTCACTGCATTTTATTACAGCTTCCACAAGGTTCTAGTTATTCACAACTTCTGGGTATAGTTACAGGACAAAGATTAGTGAAAATAACTCTAGAGTCTCGGTGCTCAAGTTGGTCCAAATTCCTTAACAGACAGTCATTACCTTTCTCTTCTACTGCTTATTCTGGTTTTCTCTTCCACTTAGCTAACTTCTCTGCCAATTCTGATTGCTTGTCTGTTGAATTGGAACAAACCCTCCTTCCTAGAGGGTTCAAAGTCCAAGTTAAAATGTCATTATCAAGTTACAGGAGCTGTTCTTGTCCATCTTGTTCCTATCAACAGAATGAAGGATAAAAACTATATGATCATTTCAACTGACCCTGCAAAAGCCTTTAATAAAATTTGACATCCCTTCATAATAAAACCTCAAAAAATTGGGTATAGAAAGAAAATATCTCAACATAATAAAAGCCATACATGACATACCCAAAGATAGTATTGTACTAAATAGGGAAAAACTGAAAGCCTTTCCTCTAAGATCTGGAACATGACAAGGATATCTATTGTCACCACTGTTATTCAACATGGTAATTATGTCTTAGCTAGAGCAATTAGACAAAAGAAAGATGCAAAGGGCATCCAAATTGGAAAGAAAGAAATCAAATTATCCTCGTTTGCTGATGATATGATCTTAAAAAACCTAAAGACTCCATAAGAAAATTATTAGAACTGACACAAAAATAGTAAAGCTGCAGGATACCAATTTAACATACAAAAATCAGTAGCATTTTTATATGCCAACAGTAAACAATGTGAAAAAGAAATTAAAAAACAATTCCATTTACAATAGGCATAAATAAAATTAAATATCTAGGAATTAACCAAAGAAGTAAAAGTTCTCTATAATGAAAATTTTTAAGCACTGGCAAAAGAAACTGAAGAGGACACCAAAGAATGGAAAGATATTCCATGTTCATAGATTGGAAAAATTAATATGGTTAAAATGTCCATAATACCCCAAAATAGTCTAGAGATTCAATCTCTATTCAAAATACCTATGACATGCTTCACAGAAATACAAATACAATCCTAAAATTTATATGGAAATGCAAAAGACCCAGGATAGTCAAAGTTATCCTAAGCAAAAAGAACAAAACTAGAGGAATCATGTGACCTGGCTTTAAATTATGCTACAGAGCTACAGTAACCAAAACTGTCATAAAAACAGACATATAGACCAATGAAACAGAAATGAATCATTTTTTTGCTTTTATTTTACCTACTAACAAAAACCCTGGTACAAAGTGCAGATGAGAATGGAGTTTTCTGGAAAGAATAGCAAAAGAGCTACAATAAATGTCTATACGTCATTTCTGCAAACAGCTAACAAGTTGACTTCATCAAGGGGTCAGGTTTTTCAGCACACTCTCAGTCCAGTAGCCAATAACTATGTAGAAAAAGACTATATAACTTAAAATCCAAAAAACAAGATCAATTCCCAAAAATAATGAACTAATTTAATTATAACTTTTTAATGTCTTAAATTAACATAGTTAAAATTGGTTTCCAACTTCAACAGACACCTTAAAACTCAGAAAAAATGACATCCCTGAAAAGGTCTAAATATGTATATAAAGCTAAACACTTTTTATAAAGCCTAGAGAAAAACATTCATAGATACATATAGATTCGCTTTCCCAATAAACTTATTCAAAACAGTGGTTTAATGTTTTACTAAATGCAAAAATCACTGTCAAAGGGCCTGGCCATGTTTGATAAAAATCCTCGATTTTCTAATATTTTCACAAAAGGAAAGCTTCCACTTGTCTAAAAATTCATACTGTTAACCATTACTAACTCATCCACATACTAAAATGTGCTTTTGGATATTAATGCCGTATGTACTGATAGCCCAGACTTAATTGAGGAAATGACAAATCTAGTCTAAATAAGTGGATATTTACAGAAATATCATGAATTTCTGACAACTAATCACCAAAGACAAATAAGAAAACTATAGCCATCACCAAAACCCTGGATGGAACCAAGGGTATCAACCTTGAATGGAACTTTTATAACGACTGGACTGATCAGAGTCACAGTAATATGGCTGTTCTCTTTTGAGATGCAGACTTTCTATTGCCTACTACAATAATGGTGAGTTACAATTCTTAAATTATCTGTAAGATGCATTTAAAGTTTGAATATTCTCGGTATGGATTGTAAAGTCTATTTGTTGCATTGTGTGAGAATGTTCAATTTTGCCATAAAAATAAGAAAATAAACGAAAAAATAAAACTTTAAAGAGGTATTACATACATGTAAAAAATAAACTGGTAAATTAACTGATTGGGCAGAATCATTGAACATGTAAGCACAGATAAGTTAGTAAACTGTAAGACATGTTATGCATAGACAATGTAAATTAGTACACAGTAAGAGATGTTAGGTATTAATTAAAGTAAATGGGTAATTGAGACATGATTAAACCAAGATAAATTAAGTAGATAATATCGTTGCTGAACAAAGTTGTAAAAGAGATGAAATGACCAAAAAGCCCCTAATATTCATATACTTACTATAGATCAGTCACTCAAAATTTATAAGATGATAAATTGATTATCACATGGCAGTAGCCATTATGATCCCATGAGTATTCTAAGAAATGCAAATAAAATTTACATTCGCTCATAAGGCTATGGGCGAACTACAGTTATTGGCAAGGCATGCTGCTCCCCATGTTGTCTAATATAACAAAACATTTTGGTTCCAGGCGCCTTCTGTTTTCTGAGCACCCTTGTTCAAACCTCTACGCTGATCCACAAAACCACAACTTCATCAGGAAAGGTCAAAGTAGCGAGAGTAAGGCAAAGTCTAAAAATATTGGGCATTGTCTATTTCAGAAATTATGGCATTCTTCTATCATTGCACCCTTTCCTAATTATGTGTATCTACTTCTATTTTCCCCTGCTTATCATTATATGTTTTAAATTGATTTAATAAATCATATTATTATTTTCCAGGACTCTTCTACACCATTGCCTGGTATGTAGCTTGGTGTTCATTCAAATAACTAATGATTGAATAAATTAATTAATATGTTTCTTTTATATTTTAACATGGCAATAAAATTTTAAAACCTTTACTTCTTAAGACTGGTTGAGACTCATAAGAAATTAATACAACTATACTGCTATAGGGAGTAAAATATAGCATAGCCCACTCTAGAAAATAGCTTGACAACAGATAGAAGTTTTAAAAGTGTCCATATCATTTCGCATTATGTATTTAATATCTGGTACTCAATTTTAGGGAAAGTATTTGAACTAAAGGAACAACATTAAAGTGGTTATCTATGAAATGTAGAAATTTCAGCAATTTTTTCTGTAATTTTTATTATACAATATTCAAGACTTAAAATTATGTATTTGGCCTCCTCATTTCAGCACATCATAAGATTCCAAACGCAAATATCTTCATTCCTTGAGCCCTTTTTTTCTATTTTTGGTTACATGCTGCATGGCCTTGGCCAATATTTTACAGTAATTATAGGAGAATTATACAATTTTTTACATCAAATTGAATGAATTCTTTCCTGAAATGGAGTGACTTTGCAATTTTCCTAAACCAGAAGGATAATGACCATTAAAATTAAAAATCATAATCTGGTCTTATTGATTAAAATTAGCCTAAATAAATTGTAAATAAATTTAACAACTAGAGCATATGTCTTCAACTTGCTTATCCCAAAAAGATTGATTTTACACATTTATTGTAATGCTAATGGTTTTAAATACTGGAAATCTGAATTGATTACATTGTGGCATAGTTGTATTACCACTTACACAACTTTATACATTTTAAATTCTATTTTTATAATTGATTATGTGTCTCAGAACATTTAAATCATTTTGCAAGAAAAGCAAATATTTCTCTTTTGTTAAAACTGTCACTGATTTTTCAAAGGTTTCATTCCGACTACCTGTTGCTGTAGAACAAACTTTCCATAACACAAGGGAATAAAACAATCACTTCATTATGCTTACCTACCATGCGAGTCAGGGATATGGGGCAAAGGGTGAGTGTTTCTTCGCTACTTCATGAAATGACTCATTTGTGTGCCTAGAAAAACAGCAGGCCAGAACAGCAGCTACTGGAGGTACCATTTCCAAAATGGTTTCTTTACCTATATGCCTGACACTTGGTTTAGAATAAAGAATGGGTTTGAGATAAAGAGTTCAGGTGAAACTCTCAACAGAAGAATTTCTATGTGGCCTCTCTACATGGCAGCATTAGGATAGTCAGACTTCTCACATGGTGTCTCAGCACTCCAAGAGTGGGTGTTCCAATGAACAAGACAGTAGCTGCATGCCCTTTTATTACTTAGACTCCCAAGTCACATTGCATGGCTATGTGGCTTAGAATGCCATAGAAATTTAACCTATGCAGCCACCTCAAACTCCATGTTTAGGTAAAACCACAAATATATTGGCATACATTCCAACTTTGCCTAGGATATCTGACAGTAAAGAAACACATACTATGAACCATTACTATGTGTTAACATTCTATTATATATGGGATAGAAAAGAGAGTAAGACAGATATACCCTCTGCATCAATGAATGGATACATTCTGTGAGTGTGTGTGTGTGTGTGTGTGCACGCGTGCACCATGGTCTATGGAGGGAAAGAGGATGATAGAAGACTAGTATAAATGAAATTTGGAGAGCAAGGGTACAAATGTAAAAATATTTAGAAGAGAGATCATGATTGGTTTATTAGTCAATTTGGGCTGCCATAAAGAACTACCATAGACAGAGTAGCTTAAACAACGGAAATTTATTTTCTTGCAGTTGTGGAGGGTAGAAGTCCAAGATTAAGGTTCTAGTCCATTTGTTTTCTGGCGAAGCCTTTCTTTCTGGCTTCAGGTGGCCACTGTCTCACAATATCCATACATGGCCATTCCTTGGTGCATGCATATAGGAAGAGAGAGAAAGAGTAATTTCTCTGGTGTTGCTTCTTGTAAGGTCACTAGTGTTATTGGATCAGGATCCCATCCTTAATGGCCTCATTAAACCTTAATTATTTTCATAGAGGCCTCATCTTCACATATAGCCACATTGGGAGTTAGGGTTTTAAAATATAGACTAGAGGAGAAGAGAAAACCACAACAAAAATCCATAATGGTAGGATAAACATTTGTGTGTTATTGGCTCTTGAAAAGTTCCTATCCATGCGTTGACTTCAATTACCTTTCAAGAGCCAGTAGCTGTTGACAGGCTCAGGACTACATGATGAGTTTCTCTAACACACAGTTAGCTAGAGGCAGAAGCTTCTAAAAACTGTAACAGACAAACAAACAAAAAAAAAAAACAGAGTTTCTAAAAAGTGTAACAAACAAAAAACCTAGACATACAAGTAGTAAAAAATAAAGACTCTCCTGTTAGGAATCAAGAACTAGAAGGTACTGTCATAACTATTCTAATATATTGTAAAATCTGCTCTGAGCAGTAGCTGTTAAAAAATTCTTAAAATATTTTGAAAGTTCAATTTGTGCTATTCAGAATTAGCTTCATGACAGTGCATAGCATTTAAGTAATAACTCACCTATAAATAATTTTGTTCTCAGAGTGAATCATCTACCTATTCACACACTGCTTGAAATTTGAGATTAAAATATTTTTCTTAATATACATATGAGCAAGCTATAATGGTATGCATAATCATATCTATATAACTCATAATCATTAGAAGTTTGTAATATTTATATGCTGGAAATATGTTAAATGGCAGTCTTCTGTTTAATAGTAAAATTTAATCCTGTGTTTTACACATGACATAAATCTTCTGATTCATTTTATGCAATATTAGCAGACAGAGTATTCTACAGTATAAATAAATATAAAAATCTCCTTGCAACAAACTTAACAGAAATAAGTCACTAGGGAAAGCTGTTATGTGATTCATATATGTGTATTTGTCACTTGCTAGAACAAATGATTCATGCCTCTACCTTGTCTTTATTTAAATTGTTTAAGAATATTAAACTTATAAGACAAACTGTTTGAATGCTATTTACCACTCTGATAAAATCAAAAGTTGTGAAGTTTATATTATTTTTGAAATTCAGCACTTACCAAATAGCTATTGATATTTATTTGATTCACATTTACTCTATGGTAAATCAAGTAAGAGGAAGCATAACTGTCTAAATATGAGAGTAACATAGATATTTAACTATTTAACTTAAAAATATTTTTGTACTTTCTTTTATCTATTTCCTTAATTTTTATTTGATTTTAAAGAGTTTCCCAAGTACACTTGACACTGTATTTTTCATAACACTGGATTCTATAAAAGTTTTGTATTATTTTAAGTAAATTTGTCATAATTTTCCATATTATATAATAATTTTTGTATTTTTCCTCTCTACAGACATTCAAAATATTATTATGTGTAGTAGTATTGGATAGAAAATAATCTTTTCATTCCACAATCTTTCATTCTCTAACTTCTAACAGACAGGGTAGGCTTACCATTCTAAAATCCTATGTATCTTATCTATTAATCCCTGTCCATGGGCAATATTACATGTGCCTGACCTTGGTGCATTACATAAGAGGATATAACAGAAAAAAAGTATGTGTGTGTTTATACACACACACACACACACACACACACACGTATATTCATTGGCCTAATAAGCTAATATGTAGAAACTATAGACCAGCAGATCCTATCTACCATTTTATTACAAACTATTACCTAGAATAATGCTAGAAAATTGAGTCAGCTGCAAATATATTTGAAGGGAAATTTAATTCATTCTATTATTTTTAAATTTTCAAAATACATACCCCCAACACTGAGTCAAGGAACTAGAACTACATGAGGGATTATTGATAAAGAAAAAGCACAGTTGGATCATGAACTGTGATGAACTCATGATGATGAGATGCAAGTTATGAACAATATACCAAGTAAAGACTTGAATTCACAATTGTGTGTAATAACATTAATTATTAAAATGAGGGAAACTTCCAGGTTAATGAAATTGACACTTTAAATTGTTCCATGAAACGATATAGATCAACATAGAAAGCATATAAAATCACCTGAAGACCACACCAATATTACGTCTCAGAGAAAGTATACTATATACTTTAATATTTTTTTCTTTTTTTTTTTTGAGATGAAGTCTCGTTCTGTCGCCCAGGATGGAGTGCAGTCGTGCGATCTCAGCTCACTGCAAACTCCACCTCCCTGGTTTCATGCCATTCTCCTGCCTCAGCCTCCAAGTAGCTGGGACTATAGGCGCCCACCACCACACCTTGCTAATTTTTTGTATTTTTAGTAAAGACGGGGTTTCATCCTGTTAGCCAGGATGGTCTCAATATTCTGACCTCATGATCCGCCCTCCTCGGCCTCCCAAAGTGCTGGGATTACAGGCATGAGCCACCGCGCCCGCCCGGCCTCTATACTTTCATTTACAGGAATGTGAGGAAGTAAATCACTGACACCATAGAGATGGTACGGACAACACATCATGGCAAAAGAAATAAAGCAAGGTCTCTGCAAAGAGAGAAGAGTGTCATTGTCATGAGGTCCTCATAGTGGAGACGTGCTGATAATAAATTCACTCCCAGAAAAAAAGTCCCCATCCTGATTATTTCCCTAATTAGCACTGGAAGGTCAAATTAAGGGAAAAAATGTATACACACACACACACACACACACACACACACACACACACATCCTACCAAATCATACCTTTAACTAGGAGTTTACCTCCTAGGCATGCCAAAGTTCCTGGCATTTCCCTCAATGTTGAGCTCTAGAGATCTAGACTTATTGTCTTCCTTCTTCACGTCTGCACAGAGATCACCTCCCTATATGTGTGTGTGTGTGTGTGTGTGTGTGTGTGTGTGTGTGTAGTAAATAACTATATCTGTCTACATATAAAACTATAGATAAATGTGTAATATAATACATTAAGTAAATGTATTATAATTACTTTTTACCTATTAGTCAAAGTTCTGAGACTCAACTTTGCAGATTCCTCTCCAAAAGTAAGAAATAATATATACTTAATTCTGCATATTCACTACGAAAAATTAGAAACAAGCCAAATGTTCACTTTATGCTGTTTATAAATCTTTAGTGGATTCACATTAAGACTACTTAATATATATTATAAATTTTTTCAAAGATACACAAAATAAGGTTATATACTATCCATTTATTTATTTTCTATTTACTTTTATTTATTATGGTGATTTTTTTAAAGATAGGCTATTGCTCTGTTGCACAGGCTAGAAGGCAGTGGCACAATCATAGCTCCCTGCAGCCTTGAACTCCTGAGCTCAAGTGATCTCCGAAGTTCAGCCTCCCAGAGTAGCTAGGATTACAGCACATGCCACTGTGCCTGACATCATTCATTATTTTTAATATTAGTAATAATTATCATTTTATAATTTTAAAATCTTTTGGACATTTTATAGGGTAAAATTCAAGTTTTTTTAATAAAGAATAAGAAAATATCTGAAAATATCTTAATCATCTATTTAGAAAAATTATCAGTTCACAACAATTATCAACAGATGGTAAGAATCATTGAAAGAAGACAAAAGAATCACAGATCACACTGATTCAACCTGATTCCAAGGTCTGTGTCTTTCATGTCTATACAACCTTTCTTCTCAATATGAATGCTGGAATTTTAAATATGTTACTGACATGCCAGATTTCCTAATTTAACTGATATATTTTTAATTTATATTTGGAAACCTGGGAGTTTATCTTAACTTGCTTTTTTCTTCTCTACTTGGCATCTACTCACTGCATTAAAAAAAATCAACACAGAGGCTTTATATAAGAGTTTCTTGAACAGTTCCAGGTAGCTGAGGCAAATTGTAATTGGTGTAAATAGTACCATAAATAGGGTTTCATTATAAACAAGGTTTGGGTTTTCAGCCAGCATATAACACAAAATTGAATATGGCAAAAATTTCCCTTGAACAACACCTTCAAGAAGCCAAGAAACTGTGTACTTTCTCTCAGTAAGGGCAGACTAGTCAGTTTTCCTCCAGTGTTAGAATGGGTTTGTTTTGCTTTGTGAAACAAAAGATAAGTGTCATGTTTCCAATTTTGGGGCTGATGTAAGATATAAGAGTCAATCTTCAAACACTAGAAACACAGGATACTACTGTGCTCATAGCGTGAGTGTCAAATGCACACTGATAATCAGGGAATTATGGATTCATCACTGTTCGACACAGAGACACTCTCTCATTTTCCTCCACTATTCTCATGCGTTCTGTTAAATTAACATTATTTCAATTCACTCTAGAGATGCCTGTCCTCATATTACAACAGAAAATAATGTCACTAAAATCATACCTTTAACTGAATTTACCTCCTAGGCATGTCCAAGTTCCTAGCATTTCCCTCAATGTTAAGCCCTACAGATCTAGACTTATAGTCTCCCTTCTTCACAGCTGCACAGTGATCACCTCCATTTTATTAGGAACATTTTTTCAGTGGACAGGTTGGCTTTGTTCTGGGGTCCATCCATTCCTCATTTAGGCAACCAGTGTACAAGAAGAGTGCAGGGTTATGGGTGTGAGGAGAGAATGATGAATTTAGTGCTACAGCTAGAAAATAAAGTTCCTGTTCACATAAACGAGTAAAATGCCCATCTTTCCTTTACTAAACACAGCTGAGCCACTGTGCATGGCTTGGCGAGCAGAGCATGGGCTCAGTATTGGCTCCCAATCATCCTCATGATGAAGAGGTTTTTAATGTGCCCAAACTGAATAAAATTTAAAGGCAGCCAGGGATGAATTCTGATAAATATCCCAGGGTGGTTTCAGGCACATGAATACTTATTTCTGGCAGTGTAAGGATTCAATATGTCTTTCCTTAATTCCTGGCCATCCTGGCAGTAATGCTGAATGTTTCTTTCCAAAACACGTATATCCCCACATACTTCACTAGAACAGAAAAGACAATATTTCCCAAACTAGATCCATGTTAGGAAATATAAGTGTTTTCAAAATATAAAATTAAACCTCCTGAGTCACTCCTACTCACAATGGGAATAATGTTTTCCATTATATAATGTGATGAGAGGTGCCTTGTTCTTTGATTTAGTCTTCTGCTTTCAACAGACTGAGTGGGTCAGTGGGTATGACCATTGATTAAGGATTGGGGTGAACTTTGTTACTTTTTAGTGTAGTAGTATTCAAATTCCAGCCTATACCACCAGCATTAGAATCACCTAGAATCTTGTTAGAAATACAAATTTTCTGGCCCCATTCCAGACCTACAGAATCAGAAAGCCTGGGAATGAAGCTTAGCAATCTGTTACTTAATAAGCTCTCCAGGTGATTCTGATGTAGACTGAAGCTTGAAAACTACTTCCTTGCTACAAGGAACCATATTTTGAGTCCAAGACTTATTTTGTTTGGGCCATCTTAAATCCAAGCAGAAATAGAATCCCCTAGGATAAAGCTATATGTGGCAACTCTTGGCAAATATGGGGCACATAATTAATTTCAACCCTTTATATAGGTTAAGGAATAATAGAAGTTTTATTCCCAATGTTATACTGATTTACTCATTGTTCACCTTAAATAAGAATAACATGCTGGAATGAATGAAATTTAATAAATGTTTTATTTTTTAATGTTCACATCTTTCTTTTTTATAACATTTCCAACAATATTGCTTCATTTTCACTTGTTATAATTAGAAAGTTACATTCTTATAATTTTGTTTTAAGCTTCATCAAGTTCATGTCATTCAAATTATATTAAAAGTGGCTGTTTCTTCTAGATTTGTGAGGAAAACTGAAGTAATGAGAATTGTTTCATTTTCAGCCCTGCCACGGAAATGGCTGGAGCTTGCTAAAGTTAAATAATCCTCTATCTTTCAATTTCCCTTTCTATACAATCGAGTAATAATACCTGAAACCTACAGAAAACCGTGCTATCATGTTTAGTTAAGTAACCTGGGTAAAGAGCAGAAATGGTAGTCTAACAGCTGAGAATTGCTAGAGAAAATGCTACGTAATTAAGTAATATTTCAGAGCTACCATTTCTCTTCTAAAAGAGGTTCTAAAAGAATCCTTTACTACATTGCTTTTATTAAGGAATCTTTTCTTTCAACTCAGTGATTCTTTTTAAGTGACGTTTACGTTAACTACTGAAATTCTACTTTATTCTAATTGGTATCTAATCTATTCTGATACTATTTTAAACTCCAGTATCTCTAACTAATCTTAGTTTATTACAATCATTTGAAAGGAAGTGATGTGTGTACACTTCATCTGGATAAGTTATACGTAACAGAAAATGAAGAAAGAGGTATATAGATATACAGACATTTATGTAGATAAAATTTTTACTCCACGTGCTTCTGAAGATAATTTGAGAAAACTGAAAACATAAGTATGGTTAAAGAAAAATGTACAATTCAGTACAAAATAAATGAGAAATAGTTATCATTTTGATAATAGGAAAGAACAAATTACTTTCCTGATACTCTTTTCAGTAATAGAAAAAATATGGCACATTTTTTCAACTGAACTATTCCATCATCTTACGCCTCTTTGATAGGGTGCTGACTTTTATGCCACTGTGGTCAAGAAATAACATAAGGGAAAAAAAAGAAAATAATTTGTTCAAATTTTCTTGTACTTTAATATACTTCTTTAAAATACCAATACTATTGTAATTGCATTGATAATACATGAATACGTATTTATTCATAAAAATAATTTTCTGTTGATGATTACATACCTTAATTGTAGCCACATTCCCCTAATTCTCCACTCTCTTCTGACTACTTACTTTTTATTATTGAAGACAAGGAGGTCCTTTTATGCTGTCTAGAATCTAGAAGACTGGAGGGGGGATGCTTATTTCTTATTTCATAAAATAATAATAGAAACAACATAAATAGCTCAGAGCTTTAAACTCTTAGCTTAAGTCAATGTCAGAGGACCAGAGAGCTCATTTGGTGGCCCTAACATAACCCTTTCTATCTTGTAAACACAGAGTCAACTTCACTGAAAATCCGACCCAAATTTTAATTGTGGGGGTTACATAATGACATTATGTTAACTTCATTGCCTTGTTTAAGGTCAAGGTGAAATTTAGGATGGAAATTGTGGGATTTGGAATAGGAACATATGAGTGGACACAGACAAAACTGAAAATCTGAAATCCTTCACATGTAGAAGCAGATACAATAACCTTCTCACTTTTCACTAATTCCCATCCAAGACTTGCTTAAGGCAAAACTTAAACATTGTTTTCTTTATCTTATCTTTCCCTCTTCCCCATATCCAGTCAAATACCAAGTTCTCTTCTATTCTGCCTCTTAAACATTTTAAACTTATTTTTATTTCTTTTGTCATTAATTTGCACATAAGCTATTATTAGACACTCCCCTAAAAATGGTAGCTGCGTCCTGTATTTATTATCTGTTACCTCAGTATTCTATTTATGCCTTTTCAGTCTTCCAATATCTGTTTAAAATTTGGGGTATTAAATTATCTTTGTGAAGATAACTGTTGTGGCTTGTGTATTCAGGGCCCAATGCAGTGTCTGATCTCAGAGGTATCAAATGCTTGGGAGGCGTTTACAGGGCAATGAATAATTTCCTGCATAGTCAACTTTTTTTTTTTTTTTTTGAGATGGAGTCTCACTCTGTTGCCCAGGCTGGAGTGCAAAGGTGCAATCTTGGGTCACTGCAACCTCTGCCTCCTGGACTCAAGCCATTCTCCTGCCTCTGCCTCCCAAGTAGCTGGGATTACAGGCACGCACCACCACGCCCAGCTAATTTTTGTATGTTTAGTAGAGATGGGGTTTCACCATGTTGCCCAGACTTGTCTTGAACTCCTGACCTCAGGTGATCCACCTGCCTTAGGCTCCCAAAGTGCTGGGATTACAGGCGTAAGCCATCACGCCCGGCCCATAGTCAACTTTTTAATTTGCAAGAGAAATTTACAGTTTTAAGTTTTATTACATAAATAATTATTATACATAGATACTAAGCAAATCATATAAGTAGAGTGTTCTGTAAAGGAAGGTTGAGGTTCACATAGCCTAGAGAAACTTCCATATATAAGAGTTGAGTTTTAGAGAATAAACTACAAGAAACTGGGGGAACATGACTACATAACTAATTTGCTTTCCTTGTGTATTAACTGTTGCATTTTAAATTTCCATATTTGTTCAAATACTGATTTTATATGGATGTTATTAGCATAGTGAAGCTTATATAAATACCATATGTATATTTAATAAATCATATGTTTACGTTATAAGATTTAAAGACAAACAGACTTTCTGTTAGAAATGAGCTCATTTTCATTTCAGAAATGAAAATACTAAAACTGAGAATTTATGTAAAATAATCTCAAAGACATACACCTCCTAAGTGAACGAGACTGAGCGTCTAGTCTAGTACTTAGATAACTATTTTTAGTTTAAGCCCACTTTCTCCTGTACCATTTCCTGTGAAGCTAAAATAATCTAAGTCTGTGATGAAAGGAAAAAGAGCTCTCAAAGATACATACGTTTCCTGACATAAATTTTTTGACAAACTATATAATTTTGATGTACCTCACTTTAGATGCTTAAATCAGCTTCATTATTCTACACTTTCTTTTCTCCACCAGCTAATTGTACAACTTGCTGCAAAAACACATTAGATTCACAAGTTCAGTATTTCTACACATCTCCCAATATAGCAGAGTGGTTAAGGGTGAGAGCTTTGTGGTAGATCCACTTATGTTGTCAAAAGCTAGCTTATCAGTCACTCGTTGCATAACCTTGGGAAAATTTCTCAGCATTCTTTCCCCTCTGTTTTTTCATCAGTATTAAGAATGATAATAGTTCCTCACTATTCAAATTAAATAGACTACCTGGAAAAACCTTAAATATACCACACAGTGCGCACTCAGTAAACTATTATTAATATTACTAGTAATCTTCCGCTACTAGAGGAATTTGTAAAACTGTAGTAACAAGTGAAAGTGCAATGCAGTGTAGAATCCATTAAATTTTAGTTTCTCACAGCTTTCAGGAACAACTGAATACATGAGATATGTGTTTATATTCAAATATATTTCATACAGTGATTAATGATTTTTTATTAAAATAGCACTGCCACTTATTGTAAATATTATTATTTCCATTTTAAAGATGAGAAACCTGAGATTTAGATTGGTCCAATAGGTAGTCCCTGGCCCAACAGACAGTATGTGGTGAAATTGAAAATATGTAAACTATTTAAATTTTAGTTTTATCTACACGTCAAGAATTCCTCCAAATATATCTGTTTGTCTATTTATATACCTAGCTATGATATAATTAGAATTCAAAATAACATAGAGCCTTCAATATATCATGCAGCTTGTTTTTACTTTCTAAAATGAGTAAGTTTTGCTCATAATTTATGTCAAACTTATCATATTTATAATAATGGGCCTATTCATTTTATGGCCCCAAATTAAGTATTCTTTTTTCACCAAGTATTTTTAAAATATTTTTATGGTAGTGCAAAAATCATTGAGGAAACAGGTCATACTAACTGGATACCTGCCGTTTAAATTAAAGGGCCAATAAAATAGTTGAATATATTTTTCTTCTGAAAATCAGACACATGATCAGTTAATCATAGTGCTACATAAATTGAGTATGAGATAGTAGAATTAATTATCAATGTGTATTTGTATGTTAACCAGAAACTAAGTTTAACATAACAAATTATTTAGATTTCTATTTTTAGTAAAAAAAATATTTGTTATATGAATAGAATGTTTTCTTAGTGCTCCAATTAACAGTCATTTTATATTATCACTTCTTCAGTCTTTTACTGTGTGACTCATTTTCTCTTCATTTGATTGTGTTATTTTCTGATATTTGGAAATGTTTATGTGTTCTGAAATGTATCTTTATAATTACTATTATTATTTTTTATTTTATTTTATTATTATTATACTTTAAGTTTTAGGGTACATGTGCACAATGTGCAGGTTAGTTACATATGTATACATGTGCCATGCTGGTGTGCTGCACCCATTAACTCGTCATTTAGCATTAGGTATATCTCCCAATGCTATCCCTCCCCCCTCCCCCCATCCCACAACAGTCCCCAGAGTGTGATGTTCCCCTTCCTGTGTCCATGTGTTCTCATTGTTCAATTCCCACCTATGAGTGAGAACATGCAGTGTTTGGTTTTTTGTCCTTGCGATAGTTTACTGAGAATGATGATTTCCAATTTCATCCATGTGCCTACAAAGGACATGAACTCATCCTTTTTCATGGCTGCATAGTATTCCATGGTGTATATGTGCCACATTTTCTTAATCCAGTCTATCATTGTTGGACATCTGGGTTGGTTCCAAGTCTTTGCTGTTGTGAATAGTGCCACAATAAACATACATGTGCATGTGTCTTTATAGCAGCATGACTTATAATCCTTTGGGTATATACCCAGTAATGGGATGGCTGGGTCAAATGGTATTTCTAGTTCTAGATCGCTGAGGAATCGCCACACTGACTTCCACAATGGTTGAACTAGTTTACAGTCCCACCAACAGTGTAAAAGTGTTCCTATTTCTCCACATCCTCTCCAGCACCTGTTGTTTCCTGACTTTTTAATGATTGCCATTCTAACTGGTGTGAGATGGTATCTCATTGTGGTTTTGATTTGCATTTCTCTGATGGCCAGTGATGGTGAGCATTTTTTCATGTGTTTTTTGGCAGCATAAATGTCTTCTTTTGAGAAGTGTCTGTTCATGTCCTTCACCCACTTTTTGATGGGGTTGTTTGTTTTTTTCTTGTAAATTTGTTTGAGTTCATTGTAGATTCTGGATATTAGCCCTTTGTCAGATGAGTAGGTTGCAAAAATTTTCTCCCATTTTGTAGGTTGCCTGTTCACTCTGATGGTAGTTTGTTTTGCTGTGCAGAAGCTCTTTAGTTTAATGAGATCCCATTTGTCAATTTTGTCTTTTGTTGCCATTGCTTTTGGTGTTTTAGACATGAAGTACTTGCCCATGCTTATGTCCAGAATGGTAATGCCTAGGTTTTCTTCTAGGGTTTTTATGGTTTTAGGTCGAATGTTTAAGTCTTTAATCCATCTTGAATTAATTTTTGTATAAGGTGTAAGGAAGGGATCCAGTTTCAGCTTTCTACATATGGCTAGCCAGTTTTCCCAGCACCATTTATTAAATAGGGAATCCTTTCCCCATTGCTTATTTTTCTCCAGTTTGTCAAAGATCAGATAGTTGCAGATATGCGGCATTATTTCTGAGGGCTCTGTTCTGTTCCATTGATCTATATCTCTGTTTTGGTACCAGTACCATACTGTTTTGGTTACTGTAGCCTTGTAATATAGTTTGAAGTCAGGTAGCGTGATGCCTCCAGCTTTGTTCTTTTGGCTTAGGATTGACTTGGCGATGCGGGCTCTTTTTTGGTTCCATATGAACTTTAAAGTAGTTTTTTCCAATTCTGTGAAGAAAGTCATTGGTAGCTTGATGGGGATGGCATTGAATCTATAAATTACCTTGGGCAGTATGACCATTTTCACGATATTGATTCTTCCTACCCATGAGCATGGAATGTTCTTCCATTTGTTTGTTTCCTCTTTTATTTCACTGAGCAGTGGTTTGTAGTTCTCCTTGAAGAGGTCCTTCACGTCCCTTGTAAGTTGGATTCCTAGGTATTTTATTCTCTTTGAAGCAATTGTGAATGGGAGTTCACTCATGATTTGGCTCTCTGTTTGTCTGTTATTGGTGTATAAGAATGCTTGTGATTTTTGTACATTGATTTTGTATCCTGAGACTTTGCTGAAGTTGCTTATGAGCTTAAGGAGATTTTGGGCTGAGACAATGGGGTTTTCTAGATATACAATCATGTCATCTGCAAACAGGGACAATTTGACTTCCTCTTTTCCTAATTGAATACCGTTTATTTCCTTCTCCTGCCTAATTGCCCTGGCCAGAACTTCCAACACTATGTTGAATAGGAGTGGTGAGAGAGGGCATCCCTGTCTTGTGCCAGTTTTCAAAGGGAATGCTTCCAGTTTTTGCCCATTCAGTATGATATTGGCTGTGGGTTTGTCATAGATAGCTCTTATTATTTTGAAATACGTCCCATCAATACCTAATTTATTGAGAGTTTTTAGGATGAAGGGTTATTGAATTTTGTCAAAGGCCTTTTCTGCATCTATTGAGATAATCATGTGGTTTTTGTCTTTGGTTCTGTTTATATGCTGGATTACATTTATTGATTTGCGCATATTGAACCAGCCTTGCATCCCAGGGATGAAGCCCACTTGATCATGGTGGATAAGCTTTTTGATGTGCTGCTGGATTCGGTTTGCCAGTATTTTATTGAGGATTTTTGCATCAATGTTCATCAAGGATATTGGTCTAAAATTCTCTTTTTTGGTTGTGTCTCTGCCCGGCTTTGGTATCAGGATGATGCTGGCCTCATTAAATGAGTTAGGGAGGATTCCCTCTTTTTCTATTGATTGGAATAGTTTCAGAAGGAATGGTACCAGTTCCTCCTTGTACCTCTGGTAGAATTTGGCTGTGAATCCATCTGGTCCTGAACTCTTTTTGGTTGGTAAGCTATTGATTATTGCCACAATTTCAGAGCCTGTCATTGGTCTATGCAGAGATTCAACTTCTTCCTGGTTTAGTCTTGGGAGGGTGTATGTGTCGAGGAATTTATCCATTTCTTCTAGATTTTCTAGTTTATTTGCGCAGACGTGTTTGTGGTATTCTCTGATGGTAGTTTGTATTTCTGTGGGATCGGTGGTGATATCCCCTTTATCATTTTTTATTGCATCTATTTGATTCTTCTCTCTTTTCTTCTTTATTAGTCTTGCTAGCGGTCTATCAATTTTGTTGATCCTTTCAAAAAACCAGCTCCTGGATTCATTAATTTTTTGAAGGTTTTTTTTGTGTCTCTATTTCCTTCAGTTCTGCTCTGATTTTAGTTATTTCTTGCCTTCTGCTAGCTTTTGAATGTGTTTGCTCTTGCTTTTCTAGTTCTTTTAATTGTGATGTTAGGGTGTCGATTTTGGATCTTTCCTGCTTTCTCTTGTGGGCATTTAGTGCTATAAATTTCCCTCTACACACTGCTTTGAATGTGTCCCAGAGATTCTGGTATGTTGTGTTTTTGTTCTCGTTGGTTTCAAAGAACATCTTTATTTCTGCCTTCATTTCGTTATGTACCCAGTAGTCATTCAGGAGCAGATTGTTCAGTTTCCATGTATTTGAGCGGTTTCGAGTGAGTTTCTTAATCCTGAGTTCTAGTTTGATTGCACTGTGGTCTAAGAGACAGATTGTTATAATTTCTGTTCTTTTACATTTGCTGAGGAGAGCTTTACTTCCAAGTATGTGGTCAATTTTGGAATAGGTGTGGTGTGGTGCTGAAAAAAATGTATATTCTGTTGATTTGGGGTGGAGAGTTCTGTAGATGTCTATTAGGTCTGCTTGGTGCAGAGCTGAGTTCAATTCCTGGGTAACCTTGTTAACTTTCTGTCTCATTGATCTGTCTAATGTTGACAGTGGGGTGTTAAAGTCTCCCACTATTATTGTGTGGGAGTCTAAGTCTCTTTGTAGGTCACTCAGGACTTGCTTTATGAATCTGGGTGCTCCTGTATTGGGTGCATATATATTTAGGATAGTTAGCTCTTCTTGTTGAATTGATCCCTTTACCATTATGTAATGGCCTTCTTTGTCTCTTTTGATCTTTGTTGGTTTAAAGTGTGTTTTATCAGAGACTAGGATTGCAACCCCTGCCTTTTTTTTGTTTTCCATTTGCTTGGTAGATCTTCCTCGATTCTTTTATTATTATTTTATAATTTCTGTATTTTAGATAGTATTCTTAAGATACATAGTATGAATGATAATATAAAGAGTTTTATTAATCTTCTTTCTCCCTTTCACCCCATTACTTACATTTTTTTAGTGTGCACCTTAACAGAATCCTTTAAATTAAATCTCTTAAACAACAGTGAGCTTATTCCACTTTTCCCTCTTCTCCTCCTCCTTTAATTTACTTTTTTTTTTTTTTTTTGAGATGGAGTCTCACTCTGTCACCCAGGTTGGAATGTAGTAGCACAATCTCAGCTCACTGCAACCTCTGCCTCCTGGGTTCAAGTGATTTTCCTCCCTTAGCCTCCCGAGTAGCTGGGATTACAGGTGACTGCCACCATGCCAGGCTAATTTTTTTATTTTTGTTTTTAGTAGAGATGAGGTTTTACCATGTTGGCCAGGCTGGTCTGGAACTCCTGACCTCAAGTGATCTGCCCACCTGGGTCTCCCAAAGTCCTGGGATTACAGGCGTGAGCCACTGTGACTGGTCTAATTTACATTTTTATTGTTGCATTTACACTAACCCTGCATTCTAAAACAAATGTTCTAAAAATCTGAAGTTAAATATACTTACTTCAATTGTACCTGCTCTGATATAAATCTGTTTCAGACTTCTCTTCCTTGAGTGTCTGCTGGGTTTGCCTCTATTGTCTTGCACTGAATTTTAGTATAGAACAAATAATGTCAACCTGGTTATCCTCCTTTTAAGAGGGACTTCCTTTTAAAAAAAATTGCTGAGTACAAAAAACAGAAATGATGAATAAGACCTAGTATTTGGCTACAGTCAAAAATAATTAATTGAATATTTTGAAAAAACTAAATGAATAAATTGGATTGTTTGTAACACAAGGAATAAACACTTGAGGTGATGGATACACCCATTTACCCTGATGTGATTATTTCGCATTGCATGCCCGTATCAAAATATCTCAGTTAACCCATAAATATATATACCTACTATGTAACCACAAAAAATAAAAATAATTAAAAATTTTGCCCCCAAAATTATTCTATTTTTCATGTTTAAAATGTAATGTTATTAATCTTGTATTATTCTTAACTATTAAAATGTAATTTTTCTGGAACAGGTCTGTGACTGAAATATGTAGTATAAATTTTTTTTTCAGAATATTTTGTTTGAATTGTATCTTAAAATACACTATTATGTCCTTTGTCTTAGTTTTCCTCTCTGGGTACATCAAATAATTGTTTGCATGGATAAGAATAATCAATATCATTAAAATGGTCACACTATCCAGAGCAATTTTTAGATTCAACGTTATTCAAATTAAACTATCATTGACATTCTTCACAAAACAGGAAAGAAATATTTTAGAATCAATGTGAAACCAAAAAGGAATCTGAATAACTAAGAAAATCCTAAGCAAAAAGAACAAAGCTGGAGGCATTATGCTATTGAACTTCAGACTATACTGCAGGGCTACAGTAACAAAAACAGCATGGTTATTTGTACAAGAATAGACACATAGACCATGGAACAGAATAGAGAACCCAGAAATAAGGCTGTACACTTACAGCTATCTGATCTTCAACAAACATGACAAAAACAAGCAATAGGGAAAGGATTCCCTTTTTAATAAATGGTGAGGGGATAACTGGCTACCCATATGCAGAAAACTAAAGTGATCCCTTCTTTATACCATATACAAAAATTAACTCAAGATGGATTAAAGGCTTAAATATAAAACCTAAAACTATGAAAACCCTGGAAGACTATTTAGGCAGTACCATTCTGGACATAGGCACAAGCAAAGATTTTATGGCAAAGATGCCAAAACCAATTGCAACAAAAGCAAAAACTGACAAATGGGGTCTACCTAAACTAAAGAACCGCTGCACAGCAAAATAAACTATCAACAGGGTAAACAGACAACCTACAGAATGAGAAAATATTTTTGCAATCTATGCACCTGACAAAGGTCTAATATCCAGCATCTATAAGAAACTTAAACAAATTTACAAGAAAAAAAAACCCATTAAAAAGTGAGCAAAGGACATTAACAGATCCTTCTCAAAAGAAGACATATACATTTGGCCAAAAAGCACATAAAAAAGAAACTCAACATAACTGATTATTAGAGAAATGCAAATCAAAACCACAATGAGACACCATCTCACACCAGTCAGAATGGCTGTGATTAAAAAGTCAAAAAATAACAGATGCTGGCGAGGTTGTGGAGAAAAAGTAATGTTTATACACTGTTGGTGGGAGTGTAAATTAATTCAAGCATGGTGGAAGACAGTGTGGCAATTCCTCAAAGATCCAGAACCAGAAATATCATTTCACCCAGGAATCCTATTACCGGGTCAAAATAATATACATTGTTCTATTATAAAGACACATGCATGCATGTGTTCATTGCAGCACTATTCACAATAGCAAAGACATAGAATCAACCCAAATGCTAATCAATGATAGATTAAAGAAAATGTGGTACATATACACCATGGAATACTATATCATTTCCTTGGCAGGGACATAGATGAAGCTGGAGGCCATTATCCTTAGCAAACTAATGCAGAAAAGCAAATACCACATGTTCTTATTTATAAGTGGGAGCTAAATGATGAGAACACATGAACACATAGAGGGGAACAACACACAAATGGGACCTATTAGAGGGTGGAGGTTGGAAGGTAGAAGAGAATCAGAAAAAATAACTGTTGGGTACTAGGCTTAATACCTGGGTGATAAAATAATCTACAACAAACCCCCATGACACACATTTACTTATGTAACAAATCCACACAGTTTGCACATGTACTTGTGAACTTAAAAGTTAAACAGTAAAATAAATAGAAATAATTTAAAAAAGTTATTATTTGATGGATATTTTTTGTAGTCTATGCCTGTCATTTTATCCCAAATACCTTTTATCTCTTTATTTATGTTTGTGTGCTATAGCTTTTTGCATTGATTTTTCTTCATTGTTTTCCTCCTAATTTAGGCTTTCTGTTTCCTGAAAGGCCCTTTTTTCCCCCTCATTCTGTCAGTTCTTGTTTTAGTTCTTCTATCTTCTAGCTATCACTTTTATTGTGTGGTCCTCTCTTCCTTAATTTCACTTTAATTTTTTCATGTTTACTTTTTGCTTTGTTTAATGTAAGGTCCACTTATGTTTATGTCTGGTTATTGTTCATTTTTTTGGAAGGAATCCACTAAAATTTCTTATTTATGTATCTTAGTGCATAATGGAAAGCATGCTGAGACATTGAACAATTATTAGAAGCTTTCCAGAAACCTTTCAGTAAGTTTTTATTATTTTTCCTTGGTGAACATTTCCTTTAGCATTGAAGCCTTTGAGTTCACCTAGCTCTCTACTCTTCCCTCATTACTGCAACATTAGTTAAGTGTTAAGAGGCATGGTCTAGATAACAGAAAAGCTTCTCCCTTAGAACCACCTCCTCCACGATTTTGAGTTATATAATTGGCTTCCTTGGAATAGTTTTGGTGTCTCCTTTTTAAATTATTACTATAAATAGCAACTGTTGTAATTAAATGATCATTTTGACATGCTTTTAGGGGTATGATACTCTTACAAATTTAAGTTTACTTTTCACTTTACACATAGTAACTCATAAAATGCTTAAAATTATTTGTGAGATAGGTTCTCTGACTATACCTTATTAACATACAAAAAAACTGAAGCAGAGGGCAGTTAACTTATTTGAATATTTAATAATTGGTAGAATTGAAATGTAAAGTCAGACATGCTGGTTCTGACATATTTGATTTACTTAACTATATTAGTTTGCCTCTTATCTCCCTTGTCTCAGTCTAGTCTTATAGATTTTATAATGTAAGTGAAAGCAAATCTGTAAAATAAGAATAGAAAACCACGATGCTGACTGATAACAACAAAGACAACACTCATAAGTTTCTCTAACAGTGCTTTTTCTGCAACTGTGGAGAAAAATGGAAAATATATCTGTGAATATTCAGGGAATTAGAATAAATATCTGGGTATTTGAGGAATTTTGGTATCAAATGCTACTTTCCAGAGTTGAACAAGTATTCCACAGCCCTAAAGAGCTCCTGAACACTCAAAAGGACTTCATAAAAGAATAGAAGAAAAGAATCCTTTTTGACAGCCAAAATTAACTAGAATACAATCTAATATTGCCTTTCAAACATCCCCATATACAACCATACCTCCCTCAAGATAGATAAAAGCAAATAAAACATAAAATATGTAATCCAAAAATAAAATAAATTTAATAAAAACAAATACATTTTTCATGCTGTCAAAAGGAAAACAATAGGAAGGTACATGCACATTATATGGAAAAGCAATTGTTACCCATATTAAATGTAGGTAAATTAAAGAAGTCAAAAAACACCTACACAAAATATAACATGTCAAAAGAGAAGAGCACAGTAAAAAAAAAAAGGGAGTTCAAGACACATTTTTATATGAGATGTAGAAAATATTTTGCAAGTATTTCAAGCTATGAGAAAATAAAAAAATTTACATAAATTCAATACAATGAAGCCAAAATTGGTTGAAGAAAGCAAAAAAAACATGAAATGAAAAACATGATGGAGTGAAACAAAATGAAGACATAAATATATTTTAGCTATGAACAACAATGAACAAATAGACATAGCTGTTGACAATTTTTTAACAAAAAGGCTACAAATAATTGCAGGAGAATGAACAAATGGATTAAAAAGTAGTGAGATGAAAACAGGATGCATTTCAGGAAAACTGACGTGCATGAAGTATAATATCTAATAAATATTAAAGCAAGTATATTCAAATACCCTTGAAGCAAAATATTGCAGAAATGAAGTAAATAGTCATAAAAGTATAAATCATATTCTAGGTAAAATTAAAATTTAGTCATTTGCTTATCAATGTATTAATTCAATAAATAATTATGCAGTTCCTTCTCCATGACACTGGGATACACTGCAGAAGAAAGATATGGATTCTGGTCTGATCAAACTTACATTTCAATCTGGTTCATCACTGAAAACTAATCAGTCAGAGAAGTAACTGAAATAACTATATATTTTGTTAAACTGAAAGTAAGAAAATATAAGCTGCTTGGATAATAAAATTACAGAAAGCCTTAAAGAGAGTTAAAAGTTAAAATAATTATTAAACTACGAGAAAGAGCCAACTATGGGAAGAGCAAATGTTTCTGGAAAATACACAACGGGTGTAAAGCTCCTTAAGCAGAAAAAGAGTGGCTTTTTGAGGATCCATATACTAATATTGCATAGGAGAAAGCTTGGCCAAAACAGGTTCGAATGATTGAGTGAGTAAATCCTTAAGGTTCTTTATATATGGTTTTCAATTTGCTACTGAAAATCATCAAATGTTTTAAGAAGCAAGTGGCATGATCCTTTTCTGTTTTAAGGTGGTAACATTTTTTGTATTGTGTGTTGATTGAAACAGAAGAATCTAGAGTAGAATTGAGAACAGTTAGGTTACATTGGCGTAGTTCGTATGACAATGCCACTTCACTTTGCTTCACTTTGCTGATGTTAAAATTCATTAAGAGAAGTTATACTTCTGTTATATTTTTGACACCAAATAGTCAAGAAAGCTGAAGGATGTGATGTATGTAATGAGAGAAAAGGAGGTCCTGAAAGTGATGGGTTTGTGGCTTGAGTGGTGTCTTGCACTGAGGAAATTCCTGTTTACTTTAATGAGGAAAAATGCAATAGAAGACAATTTTGAGGTGAGGAGTCTCAGAGTTTAGTTTGGAAATTTAAGATACGGAGTTAACTATAGATACTCAAAAGATACCACAGAGACAGCTGCCTATGTCAGTCTGTTTGAATTCAAGGTTTAGGATAAAGATATAAGTTTTGAATCATTAGCATAAAATGATACTGAAACGCATGTGTTAGTTTGAGAACAAGAGAAAGAATGTTAAAGAGAGAAAATGAGGAGAGCTTGATTTAAAGGAGAAGACAGCAAGAGGGAAGGATAAAAAAACAGATAGATAACAGAAAAACCTTGAGAAAGTATAAATTCAAAAGCCAGGAGAAAAGATTACCTCGAAGGAAAGAAAATAACTATAGCTGGCTAAATGCAGAGGAATTTACTCAGATAAAGTCAAAGGAGTTTTTTTTGAAACATTTACTAAGAAATACTGTAGTGAGATAATCACAAAAATAAAGACATTACCCAAATGTTATAATATTGTGGGTAAGGGAGCATGGTAGAAAATGTTTATGACTTAATTTACTCATCTTTTAAAGGCTGATAATAGCAAAGGCTATAAATGCTAAATCTAGATTTGAAAGTTTGCTGAAAGTTATGACATCAATTCCTAACACATCTAAATACAATGATATATGTAACAAAATTGGGAGTGGAGACATCAAGAAGTATAAAATGGATCAAATGGTAGTTCTACTTTTAGTTCTTTGAGGAATCACCATACTATTTTCCACAGTGGTTGCACCAGTTTACGTTCCTAACAGCAGTGTAAAAGTGTCCCTTTGCACCACAGCCACCCCAACATCTGTTTGTTTTTGTTTTAATATTTTCATTATAACCATTGCAATGCCACTACTGGGTATCTAGCAAGGAAAAGAAGCCATTATATGAAAAAGAGACTTGCACGTGTATGTTTATAGCAGCACAATTCCCAATTGCAAAAATATGGAACCAGCCTAAATGCCCATCAACCAACGAGCGGATAAAGAAAATGTGGCATATATTAATACATCCCATGGAATACTACTCAGCCATAAAAAGGAATGAAATAATGGCATTCACAGCAACCTGGATGGTGTTGGAGACCATTTTGTAAGTGAAGTAACTCAGGAATGAAAAAAACCAAACATTGTATGTTCTCACTTATAAGCAAGAGCTAAGCTATGAGGATGCAAAGGCAGAAGAACGATATAATGGACTTTGGGGACCTGGAGGGAAGGGTGGGAGTGGGATGAGAGATATTACAAAAAAGAGGATATTACAAGAAAGAAATATGATACTAATCTCATTAATAAAGCTTCAAAAATCTTCAACCAAATACTAGTGAATGGAATTTAGCAATATTTATAAAAAAGTAAAAAACACAGTTTTTTTCTAGAAACGCAAAAGTTGTTTAACTCACAGCATTAGCAGAAAGGGTTTAAAAATCAGATCATCATCTTGATATATGGATTAAGTATTTTAACTCTCATAACTCTTCATAACATGTCATGATAAAACCAATAGCAAATTAGAAATGAGAGACAATTTCTTTACTCTGACAAAAAGTACCTATAAAAGTCCTTCATCAAACATTATGCATGGATAATTACTGAAAGTTCCCCCTTAGAACATGGATGACTCAAGCATGCCAATATCACACAATAATATATAATATTATAATGGAAGTGCTAGTCACAAAAATAAGGCAAGAAAAGAGAATTTTTTAAATATAGAAGGGATAAAGAAATAAAAATAAAGAAAAACATTATCACTATTCACAGATTATATGATCTTATACATGTAAATATATGCATCAAAAAGATATGTCCAAGAATGTCCATAACTGCCTTAGTCATAATAGCCCAACAAATTTAAGGTATATTCACATAATGGAATGTTATACAATAATGAGAACTTTTAAAAACTACAATTGCGCAAAAAAAGATAAATTTTACAATCAAAATGTTTTGCAAAAAGAGACAGATACAATAAGCTACATGTTGTCTGATTTCATTTACATAAAGCTAAAAAACAAACTACTTTTTGACAATAAAGTTAGGACAGTGATTACACTTGCCATATTCAGTGTCTGGGTAGGGGCATAGAGTGGATATCTGGAATATTTGTGTTATACTTTCTTGTGTATACTGAATTTGAGCAGGTTCACTTAATGAAAATTAACCCTGCTATGCACTTTTGATTTCATCACTTTTCTGTATCTGGGCTACACTTAAATAAAATGTTTTCTTAAATTAATGTTTGATAATAAAATAATCGCATTAATATAGAGCAATAAAAAATGACTTATTTCATCCATATTGTATTGTGATTTTCTGAAAATAGACACCAGGCAATTAGAGAAAAATATCAATAACATAAAATGCAATGTTTTATGTTAGTGAATGGAGAAGAAAACAAGGATCACTGTATTTGATGTGAAGTTATGCCAAGAAAACAGAAAATTCACTGGAAAAACTATTGGTAACAATAAAAATCGTGCAATAATGAGGCTAAAGAAAAAATTAGCACATAATTATTAAAAGCTTTTCTGCATAAAAACTAAATAGTAAAAAACATGTAATGAAAGATGCCCCATTTATATTAGCAGCATAAAATCTAGAACACTTAGCAATACATTTAACAATAATTGTGCAGAATATGTTTGTGGATAAATTAAATCTCAAATGTTAATGCTCCCTATTATTGACCATCATGAAAATTTGCATTGCCCAGAGATAACATTTAGACAATATTATGTGGATCACTAACAACAAAACATTGAGTTTAGGTTATTCACTTGTCCTTCAGGATATTTCTCAGCCTCCTCCTCCTGACACCATAAACTTAGTGTTTACTGATTACAAATTAGGTCTTAAGTCATACTTCGCAAAACATTAGGAAACCTAACTTTTTACAAGAAATGCTGTTCCAAAGCCAAATACGAATGATTTCCAATATGCTTATTACCACTCTGTTCCCATTCATTAGCAGAGGTAATTAAAGAGTTGGCTGCAAATACAAAACATTCATTAGCAGCCTTTTATTATTCTTGCTCCGTCTGCCTATGGAGTCTAATGTGGAAATTCTGGCACCTTCTCACATTTATTTTGTCTTTGTGTATGTTAATTAAACTTTCTGGTAGTCATTTCCCAATCCTCTGGGATAAAAGGAAACTGAACCAGATAAATTCAGGGCAGAAATATTAATAATTGAGGCACCATTGCACTAGAATATCTGCTTGTTTCAAGAAAATATTAGTGGAGTTAACTCTCCATTCTGGAGAAGTGTAGTATGTGAAGAAACACTTATTATTATTATTAAAGTAAATGTGTATTCACACTTACCTTTTATTCATGAATGCCTCTCCCTCTGATATACAAATAAAATGGCACTTATTTAAGCCAATATATAAATGTAATATGTGTAATATGGAAGTATTGTTGGTCATTACTTAATGGATGATGAGGCCTATAAAATAGCCTGTTTTATTTTTAGAAAGAATTGAACTTTCGACAATACCATCATGGTAAATTTTAAACATCTTACTCAACTGTCACAAAATGTAACAAAGTTGATTTCATGTAATGACACACATTTTCATGCTTAGTGTTTGAAATTAAAATATCTGTTCTACTTTGTTAATAATATGAATAAAGCAATGCAGGTAAACTGTTCAGAGAATTGCCTGATATTTAAAGTGTTCTATAATAGTCAATTTTGAACGTTAGATTCAATATTAATGTTTTTATTTTGTCAGACATGTTTACATACTTTATAACTTACATGTAATATGGTAATAATGTTCCAACATAAGCCAAAGACAGCCAAGACGTGAGAATAAAGTGAGTTTGGGTAGGAGGAAATACATTTTCAGGAAAACAAATTCTGTGTTTTAAAAAATAAATTATAGATAGCTGCTCAGGAGGCTGAGGCAGGGATATTGCTTGAACCTGTGATGGAGAGGTTGCAGTGAGCCAAGATCATGCCACTGCACTCCAGCCTGGGCAACAGAGCGAGACTCCATCTCAAAAGAAAAATTATAAATACATTTTATCAGAAATTTGATTAATAAATCAAATACTAAATATAAAATATGAATATAATTATAGTGAGTCCATTTCTATTTCATTTCTGTTTCATTTTGAAATGTTCATGTATAGTCAGATTAACTACTTATGGCAACCACATATTTGTTTCAAATATTGTTGAATGGCACAGACTCCAGTTGAAGAAACATGTGAACAATTAAATATTTTGCTGTGACTTTCTGTAACCTATAGAAATAAGTTTGCTAATTAACTTTCTTCATAGTCTTTACCATCTCTATGTTTTAACTTTATTTCCTTATAGGGAATTTTGAATATAATTTTTATGGGAATGTGACAATAAAATCAATTATATATACTTTCTCATTTCTGCTAAAATGCTTAAATTTTTACAATGTATGTTTCCTAATTCATTCTATATATTGCTACCAAAATAAAACAATAATATCTGAGAGAGAGAAATCTTAGGTGGGAGAGAGATAATATCAGCTTTAAAAATTGCACACTGCTTTCTGAAGAAAAGTCAAAAGGCCTCAGATTAATATTCACGATTTTAAAAATTCACATTCAAACCAACTTTTGCAACTTTTTGCACTCCAACATGAAAACTACCTTATCATCAGTGGGATTACACTATTAACAATCTTCTCAAAAATAGTTGAACAGAGAAATTATGAAAAAGTCTGAAAGGCAAAGGAAAAAAATATTCACCAGGGTAACTGTATGTAAAACTATGGTAGTTCTCATTTTGCAAAATTGTGTGACCTGCATGGAGTTCTCAGAGGTTGCTCACTATAGACCAATGTACGAACTAGATGTACACCCTTGGATAGTCATGGACTTGTGGTTTCCAGAGTTGTCAGATCAAGTATGGAATACTACATAGAAAATTCACTTTAAATTAGATCATTCTTTCCACAAGAAACTCATGTGACATCGGTACATCTATTACAAGTTTAATTTGGCAAGCTTGTATATGATTTCTAAAGGAATCTAACGGAATACTTTTAGAGTGAGCATGGTAAGATAGGAGAGGGATGGGAAGGAGGTGGGAGACATACGTTTTATAATACCATCTCCACAAGTGACTAAGTGTTACCTTTGAAGAACTTACATTTGGCATTTAATGACTTTAGTTTTCCCCATACTTTTTAACTACTAAATAGCAGTTAATTTAAATCTGAGTTTCCAAATTCAACTCCTTGAAGCAAATGCACAACTGATTTGACTGTATATAAGCATGACTTGGAGAGCTTGTTAAAAAGGTGAATTTCTAGAACTCATTTAACCATGCCTAACATTTTGACTAAATAGTTCTAGTAAGAGGTCTGTGAATTTTCAATAAGAAATTCTGGGCCAGGCGTGGTGGCTCACGCCTGTAATCCCAGCACTTTGGGAGGCTGAGGTGGGCAGATCATGAGGTCAGGAGATCGAGACCATCCCGGCTAATATGGTGAAACCCCCGTCTCTACTAAAAATACAAAAAATTAGCCGGGCGTGGTGGCAGGCGACTGTAGTCCCAGCTACTCAGGAGGCTGAGGCAGGAGAATGGCATGAACCCAGAAGGCAGAGGTTGAAGTGAGCCGAAATTGCTCCACTGCACTCCAGCCTGGGTGACAGAGTGAGACTCCATCTCAAAAAAAAAAAAAAAAAAATTCTGAACATTCGGCAGCAGGTTTTTCATTCATAAAACTGAGAAATGCCTTCTAAGATTCTATCTGTATGTCTCACAATTAAGGTTGAATGATGAGGTTCCAAGGTTCTTAAGTTTCTCATTTGTCTATCTTGCATACTGGGTTGTCTAAGTGTTTTCCTAAATGCATGAATTGAACTTTGAATCTGACATTTTATACCACTTTCAGACATAAAAGAAAATTTTGAAAAGCAGTTATCCAAATGACTATTTTGTGTAAATTGCTAATTCCCTTTCATTGTTTGGATTACTAATCCATAATGCTGCAGAAACATTAATTTATTGCATGTTTGTTTGAAAGTTAATCATATGAAAGATTTCGTTATCTATGCTGTGACCTGAAAGCAAAACGAAAAAGAAGAAAAATAAACGTAACGAACAACTGCAGGGCACATTTTATGTAATAAACTTCTCTGAAAATGGTAAAGTATGTTGTTTTATTGAAGGAAACACAAATAAGACCAAGTAATTGTCATTTGATCTAAGTGTACATCAGTGACAGTGTTTACATTTAATTAAACACATGGAACACAATTTCTTTCACAAACTTATTAGATGCTGAGAAATAGAATTGCCAGTTGGGTATGCAGGGAAGAAATGTGTACCCTAAGCTTTAATGTACACCTTTAAAGTTTAATGTACACATTTAATGATTTAAATATTAAACTATGGACTTTAAGTGATATTGATGTGTGAGTGTACATTTATCAGTTGTAACAAATGTATCACTCTTGTGGGAGACCTTGATAACTGGGGAGTCTATGCATGTTTGGGGACAGGAGGTATATGGGCTTCCTCCTCTAAATATTACTGTGAACCCAAAAACTGCTTTAAAAAATAAAGTCTATTAAAAAAAAAAGTGTACATTAAAAGAAAAGCTGGCTGGGTGTGGTGGCTCATGCCTGTAATCCCAGCACTTCGAGAGGCTGAGGTGGGAGTATCACGAGGTCAGGAGTTCGAGACCAGCCTGACCAACATGGTGAAACCCTGTCTCTACTATAAATACAAAAATTAGCCAAACGTGGTGGGCGCCTGTAATCCCAGCTACTCCGGAGGCTGAGGCAGGAGAATTGCTTGAATCCGGGAGGCGGAGGTTGCAGTGAGCCGAGACCGTGCCATTGCACTCCAGTGCTGGGCAACAGAGCAAGACTCCGTCTGAGAAAAAAAAAAGAAAAGCTTAGGAATCCAATAGAGTTAAAAGAGTTTCTCATAATTTGTTTTAAAATGAAAAGTTCATTTTAAAATTAAATTAATTTAGACTTAAAACAATTATTTTCTAGAACTATAATTTTAAAATGTAGAAAATATCTGTAGTGAATTATTTGACTATCTTACTAAGTAGATGAAAATAATTTTTAGAATAGTTTCAATATTCACCGTTTTTACATCAAATGATTAAAATTAGTGTTTGAATATATCCTTGTGTAATTCCTAAATCATGCATATCTAAACAAAGCTTGGTATTTCACTGCCTACTCTGCTTCCCCTGCAGTCTTCTTTTCATTCACATAGATGGAGAGCTACCTAGCTAGACATATATACAGAAATAAATATAGGTAAATTTTGTTATTCATAGATGTCCATATTCACTTATATTGTGATTTTGTTTTCATTTGTGTGTTTGTACTTACAAAATCATGTTTGTGTGTATATATATATCTCTAAAAGTCTATGATATGTTTTGCTTACTACCTATAAATCTGTGCTGCTCCATTTTGTATTTAATAGCTGTGTAGTATTTCATAGTACAGATTAAAATCAAGCAAAGTGGGAATCATGTGCCTTTCCTTTTCAAATTAGTTTTTAGTCCATATACTAAGTGTCACTAAGAATTCTACCCTGAGTTGTTTTCAGTTCTTACTTTCAGCCTTGTATCCTCCATAGTGAATTACTATACTTCTGTGTTTTCTCAGTCACATATATTTAAAATAGTTTTTATTGTTTATTAATCTTGACTTTGCATTTATTTCATTCATACAAAATGATATAGCTTAACACAGTAATTCAAAACTTTTTAGTTTATATTTAGTACTGAAAAGTAGGAATCAGTGTATAATGATTTCACTATTTTAAAATTTATTTTGTTGCATTAGCTATATTATCATATTTTATGCTGTAGGTACAAGTAGTATGACATTCAATATTGAATTAGGGCAGTAAAAATAGAAAAATTCAAATAATTATAGCTAAAGTTAAAAGGCAAAAATACATAACTTTACTAGTTTGTAAAATGCCTTAAAATATTATAATTTTATTTATAATGGGATTTCATTCTTCATATTAAATACCTCTATCAAAATAGTATCAACCCCTAAATCATGGCAGAATCAAATCTTATTTAATTTTAATTTTGAGGATTCTCAGTTTTTCTGTTCATTTTTCTCAAATATTCAAATTTATTTGCCACATATGAGAATGGCTGTATTTTGACAGAACATAATTATAAACTACTACATTGATTTATTATGTTTCAAATCTTCTTATAGTGATATAAAAATAAACTGAAATCAGTATTCAAGTGAAATTTTTAACATGAGATATCAACACATGAAAACTGCTTTCTAAGAATAATTTCTCTTGTGTCTGTTTGATTCTTCTCTCTTTTCTTCTTTATTCGTCTGACTAGTGATCTATCTATTTTGTTGATCCTTTCAAAAAACCAGCTCCTGGATGCACTGATTTTTTTGAAGGGTTTTTTGTGTCTCTATATCCTTCAGTTTTGCTTTGATCTTAGTTATTTCTTGTCTTCTGCTAGCTTTTGAATTTGTTTGCTCTTGCTTCTCCAGTTCTTTTATCTGTGATGTTAGGGTGTCAATTTTAGATATTTCCTGCTTTCTCTTGTGGGCATTTAGTGCTATAAATTTCCCTCTAAACACTGCTTTAAATGTGTCCCAGAGATTCTGGTACATTGTGTCTTTGCTCTCACTGGTTTCAAAGAACTTATTTATTTCTGCCTTCATTTCGTTATTTACCCAATAGTCATTCAGGAGCAGGTTGTTCAGTTTCCATGTAGTTGTGCAGTTTTCAGTGAGTTTCTTAATCCTGAGTCACAGTTTGATTGCACTGTGGTATGAGAGACTGTTTGTTATGATTTCCATGTTTTGCTGAGGAGCGTTTTACTTCCAATTATGTGGTCGATCTTAGAATAAGTGTGACTTGGTGCTGAGAATAATGTATACTCTGTTGATTTGGGGTGTAGGGTTCTCTTGATGTCTCTTGGGTCCCCTTGGTTCAGAGCTGAGTTCAAGTACTGAATATCGCTGTTAATATTCTGTATCTTTGATATGTTTAATATTGACAGTGGGGTGTTAAAGTCTCCCCCTATTATTGTGTGTAAGTCTAAGTCTCTTTGTATGTCTCTAAGAACTTGCTTTGTGAATCTGGGTGCTCCGGTATTGAGTGCATATATATTTAGAATAGTTAGCTCTTCTTGTTGCATTGATCACTTTACCATTATGTGATGCCCTTCTTTGTCTCTTTTGATCTTTGCTGGTTTAAAGTCTGTTTTATCAGAGACTAGAATTGCAATCCCTGCTTTTTTTTTCTTTTTTTTTTTGCTTTCCATTTGCTTGGTAAATATTCTTCCATCCTTTTATTTTGAGCCTATGTGCTTTGCACAAAAGACGGTTCCATATGAAATTCAAAGTAGTTTTTTTCTAATTCTGTGAAGAAAGTCAATGGTAGCTTGATGGGGATAGCATTGAATCTATAAATTACTTTGGGCAGTGTGGCCATTTTCATGATATTGATTCTTCCTATACATGAGCGTAGAATGTTTTTCCATTAGTTTGTGTCCTCTCTTATTTCCTTGAGCAGTGTTTTGTAGTTCTCCTTGAAGAACTCCTTCACATCCCTTGTAAGTTGTAGTCCTAGGTATTTTATTCTCTTTGTAGTAATTGTGAATGGGATTTCACTCATGATTTGGCTCTCTATTATTGGTGTATAGGAATGCTGTGATTTTGGCACATTGATTTTGTATCCTGAGACTTTGCTGAAGTTGTATATCAGCTGAAGGAGATTTTGGACTGAGATGATGGAGTTTTCTAAATATACAATCACGTCATCTGCAGAGACAATTTGACTTCCTCCCTTCCTATTTGAATACCCTTTATTTCTTCCTCTTGCCTGATTGCCCTCTGCTCTGAGGGCAGAACTTCCAATAATATGTTGAATAGGAATGGTGAGAGAGGGCCTCCTTGTCTTGTGCTAGTTTTCAAGGGAATGCTTGCAGTTTTTGCCCATTCAGTATGATATTGGCTGCGGGTTTCTCATAAATAGCTCTTATTATTTTGAGATACGTTCCATCAATACCAAGTTTATTGAGAGTTTTTAGCATGATGTGGCGTTGAATTTTATCGAAGGCCTTTTCTGCATCTATTGAGATAATCATGTGGTTTTTGTCATTGGTTCTGTTTATGTAATGGTTTATTTACTTGTGTATGTTGATCTAGCCTTTCATCCCAGGGATGAAGCTGACTTGATCGTGGTCGATTAGCTTTTTGAAGTGCTGCTGGATTTGGTGTGCCCATATTTTATTGATGATTTTTGCATCGATGTTCAGTCAGGCATATTGGCCTGAAATTTTCTTTATTTTGTTTTGTCTCTGCCAGGTTTTGGTATCAGGATGATGATGGCCTCATAAAATGAGTTAGGGAGGATTCCCTCTTGTTCTATTGTTTGAAATAGTTCAGAAGGGATGGTACCAGCTCCTCTTTGTACCTCTGGTAGAATTTTGCTGTGAATTCATATGATCCTGGACTGTTTTTGGTTGGTAGGCTATTAATTACTGCCTCAATTTCAGACCTTGTTATTGGTCTACTCAGGGATTCAACTTCTTCCTGGTTTAGACTTGGGAGGGTGTATATGTCCAGGAATTTGTCCATTTCTTCTAGATTTTCTAGTTTATTTGTGTAGAGGTGTTTATAGTATTCTCTGATGGTAGTTTGTATTTCTGTGGGATCAGGGGTGATAGCCCCTTTATCATTTTTTATTGTGTCTTTTTGATTCTTATCTCTTTTCTTCTTTGTTGTTCTGGCTAGTGGTCTATCTTTTGTGTTAGTCTTTTCAAAAAACTATCTCCTGGATTCATTGATTTTTTTGAAGGTTTTTTTCGTGTCTCTACCAAAAAAGAGCCTGCATAGCCAAAACAATCCTAAGCAAAAAGAACAAAGCTGGAGGCATCACACTAACTGACTTCAAGCTATACTACAAGGCTACAGTAACCAAAATAGCATGGTACTGGTACCAAAACAGATATATAGATCAATGGCAGAGAACAGAGGCCTCAGAAATAACACCACACATCTACAACCATCTGATCTTTCACAATCCTGACAAAAACAAGCAATGGGGAAAGGATTCCCTATTTAATAAATGGTGTTGAGAAAACTGGCTAGCCATATGCAGAAAATTGAAACTGGACCCCTTCCTTACACCTTAAACAAAAATTAACTCAAGATGTATTAAAGACTTAAATGTAAGACCTAAAACCATAAAAACCCTGGAAGAAATCCAGGGCAATATCATTCAGGACACAGGCATGGGCAAACTTCATGACTAAAACACCAAAAGCAATGGCAACAAAAGCCAAAATTGACAAGTGGGATCTAATTAAACTAAAGAGCTTCTGCACAGCAAAAGAAACTATCAGAGAGTGAACAGGCAACCTACAGAATGGGAGAAAATTTTTGCAATCTACTCATCTGACAAAGAGCTAATATCCAGAATCTACAATGAACTCAAACAAATTTACAAGAAAAAAACAAACAACCCCATCAACAAGTGGGCAAAGGATATGAACAGACACTTCTCAAAACAAGACATTTATGCAGCCAAAAAGACACATGGAAAAATGCTCATCATCACTGGCTGTCAGAGAAATGCAAATCAAAACCACTATCAGATACCATCTCACACCAGTTAGAATGGAGATCATTAAAAAGTCAGGAAACAACAGATGATGGAGAGGATGTGGAAAAATAGGAATGCTTTTACACTTTTGGTGGGAGTGTAAATTAGTTCAAGCATTGTGGAAGACAGTGTGGGGATTCCTCAAGGATCTAGAACCAGAAATACCATTTGATCCAGCAATCCCATTACTGGGTATATACCCAAAGGATTATAATTCATTCTACTATAAAGACCCATGCACACATATGTTTAATGTGGCACTGTTCACAATAGCAAAGACTTGGAACCAACCCAAATGTCCATCAATGATAGACTGGATTAAGAAAATGTGGCACATATACACCATGGAATACTATGCAGCCATAAAAAAGGATGAGTTCATGTCCTTTGCAGGGACATGGATAAAGCTGGAAACCATCATTCTCAGCAAATTAACACAAGAACAGAAAATCAAACACTGCACGTTCTCACTCATAAGTGGGAGTTGAACAATGAGAACACATGGACACACGGCAGGAAACATCACACACCAGGGCCTGTCAGGGAGCTGGGGGCTAGGGGAGGGATAGCATTAGAAGAAATACCTATGGTAGATGACTGGCTGATGGGTGCAGCAAACCACCATGGCACATGTATACCTATATAACAAACTTCCACGTTTTGCACATATACCCCAGAACTTAAAACACAATAAAAAAAGAAGCCAGATGCAAAAGAATACATGCTCTGTAATTTCACTTATATGAAGTTCAAGAACAGACCGAACTAATCTACAAAGACAGGTATTCATAACAGTGACTGCCTCAGGTTGGGAGTGGGATTTGGGGATTAACGTGATTGGCAGACAGGGGAACTTTCAGGGGTCCTGGGAATATTTTATATCTTAATTGGGATAGTGATTATGTGTTTATGTATTTACCAAAACACATTGAATTATGCAAATAAAATCTATGTATTTAATGAAAAAAGAATAATTTTTCATAGCATAGGTCTTAAATTATTCTTATCTTACTAAGATCATAATATTCTGGTTGTTTGTGGTTGATTTTCTGGGAATTCCCTCCTGCCTCATTTTACTGGCCAAGAATAATGATGACATATTATATAAGTTTATATTTTAGAAAAATATAAACTAAGCCTACTGTAAGCTTACTAATTATTAGTAATTCAAAATGAATTAGTGATTCAATAATAAATATGATGGGATGGTGAAATTCTTAGTTGGCTCTAATTTAATCCTCAACTTTCTCATTTTATAGAATGCTGTAAAATTTGAACCTTTAGGCATTTATTGATTAGTTTCTGCCTAATTCAGAATGACGTGGATGTAACTTTAAGCACCTTATTTGTGCCATGTGGCACACTAGAAAGAAGTGTTGGTGTGAAGTCATGGAATGGCCATTACTACTATCAGAAAAGAGGAGTTGATACATTCCTGGCTCTGAAGTCAAGAGAAAAATCAGTAAATTTTTTTTTTTTTTTTTTTTTATTGATCATTCTTGGGTGTTTCTCGCAGAGGGGGATTTGGCAGGGTCACAGGACAATAGTGGAGGGAAGGTCTGCAGATAAACAAGTGAACAAAGGTCTCTGGTTTTCCTAGGCAGAGGACCCTGCGGCCTTCCGCAGTGTTTGTGTCCCTGGGTACTTGAGATTAGGGAGTGGTGATGACTCTTAAGGAGCATGCTGCCTTCAAGCATCTGTTTAACAAAGCACATCTTGCACCGCCCTTAATCCATTCAACCCTGAGTGGATACAGCACATGTTTCAGAGAGCACAGGGTTGGGGGTAAGGTCGCAGATCAACAGGATCCCAAGGCAGAAGAATTTTTCTTAGTACAGAACAAAATGAAAAGTCTCCCATGTCTACCTCTTTCTACACAGACACGGCAACCATCCGATTTCTCAGTCTTTTCCCCACCTTTCCCCCCTTTCTATTCCACAAAACCGCCATTGTCATCATGGCCCGTTCTCAATGAGCTGTTGGGTACACCTCCCAGACGGGGTGGTGGCCGGGCAGAGGGGCTCCTCACTTCCCAGTAGGGGCGGCCGGGCAGAGGCGCCCCTCACCTCCCGGACGGGGCGGCTGGCGGGCGGGGGGCTGACCGCCACCTCCCTCAGCCCCCCGCCCGGCCAGCCAGGGGGCTGACCCCCCCACTTCCCTCAGCCCCCCGCCCGGCCAGCCACCCCGTCCGGGAGGTGAGGGGCGCCTCTGCCCAGCCGCCCCTACAGGGAAGTGAGGAGCCCCTCTGCCCGGCCAGCCGCCCGGTCCAGGAGGGAGGTGGGGGGGGTCAGCCCCCCGCCCGAAAAATCAGTAAATTAACAAGGTATAATAAGAAACACAGGCATCATGATTGTTGGTGATACATAAATAGTGAATAGAGATGGTCATACATTTTCTCCAGCCTTAGCTATGTATAACTAAAATCTTTATGTATCTTACTATGAAATACCCCAATTTTCATATTTTTGGAGTGCTTTCTTTGTAAAGCAATCATGAAATATTAGACAACTGACCTATTTTAATTTTTCTAACTTCTGTAACAGTGTAAGGAAAATATTGTCCATTATCTTGAATTTCTGTAATATGGTGGATTGATTCAAACTTCTCCAAGAGGATGCCTCAAGATATTGCAGGAATGACTTGAAAAATATCTAAGAGACACATTAGCTTTCCAATTCATTTTACTTAGGGAAAGAGAAGCCTGTGTTTAAAAAGTTTATTTTCTAATTCTACTAATTATGTGACAGTGGAGAATAACAATGAACTGCCCTTACAGATTTCAAGACAGACAAAGAACTTTATTTCAGCAGCTTCCTCTGTAGTACACAAGCAAAAGACAGATATTGGAGAGTTTATTTGGCTCAGAAAAGTTGTCTGCCAAGATGAAGACAGACTAAAACAATTCATGCAATTAGCAAAATTTTGAAAAATATGAATAATTACATCTCAGAGAAGAAAATTTTATGACCAGATTTACATCTTCCTTGACATGGATAGCAGGAATACCAGATGTCTTCCCTGTGGGGGTAAAATTACCCCATCAGTAGCTCTAGTTACTCTGTTATTTCAGGACTAAGAAACATGAATAACAGATAGATATTAACCATTTGCATTTGTTTTATCGGATGCTACCTCAGTTTCTTCTTATAAAAATATTTGTAATCTACTATGCTATTTTAAGAGCAACTCAAAGACTTTTCTATAGCTTTGGAACAACTAAATAAACCAGAACTTGGAGCAATAGCAAATGTTGCATTTCAGCAGCATGATAAATAATGAATAGGTCATTAAAATACCACCGATCACATCTCTTCATCCGGCTTCATAATACAAGAGCAAAGGGACACATAATGCTAACGACTTATAGGAAATTTAAAACTCCTAAAAGGAAATAGAGTGTATAAATGAGCACAGTATTATAAATCTTTAGAGCTTACAGCCATGTGGGAAATCAATGAGACTAGTTGTTCAGAGAGATTTAAAAGGGACTTGCAAGTTCCTTGAGAGCTGCAAGAGTAAATCAACAATTTGAGCAACAGTATCACAAAAAAAGTAATCCCAGTCCTTAAGCTCCAGGTTATCACCTGATAACTGAAAGAGGAAAGAGGGAGGTTGGTATCCCCTAGTCAATTGTAAATGAAAAGAATTAAAGGCGAGAAGACAATGAATTTTTGAAAGCTTCATATTTAATTCAAAACTGAATTTATTGATTTTTTTTTCAGTAAGTACTTTAAAATCTCTAATCTACTCTTCATGGGACCCATGAGACATATTACTTTGACATCAAGTTATTTCTTATAAAATTTGCCTAATCCTTTATTTAAATCCAAAATGCAAAGTAAAATCCTCCAGATATAAACATCTAACATAGCATAGCAGCAAATATTTTGAGGGGGGAAAGAATGATGAAAGAAATTCAGTCTCATGAAGTTTTAGTTTTTGCCTTAAACTTTAATCAACAGAGAGCATGGATTCAAAGACAAAGCATGGTTTTACAAATGTCAGTTATAAATGGCTGGAGAAAGGCTGATGTGTGAAAAAAATTCATTTTTTTGAGCAGAAGATAAAACAATATAATTATCTTTGAAATGTTTGAGAAAACGGTCATAGAATGTATAAGATACATCTAAACTTCATAAATAAGAAATAAGCATCCATATTATATTAAATCATTTTCCATTTAATTCAATAAGATATTATTAGAATATTTTCTTCATATACAATAAATCTATGCAACTACAGTTGCATTTGTAAAATGTAATATAGAATCACATACAATAAAATTCATTACAATTATATATTTTCCATTAATCTTAGGGCTTTCAAAAATTATGCAGTTCTAGTTTTTAAAAGTGCTAATCATATTCTTAGATACTGAAAATTTATGAGTTGAAATGTTTATGAAATAAATTTTACCTGGGGAGTTGTGGCTCATGCCTGTAATCCCAACACTAATGAGGAAGGCCAAAGTGGGAGGAACACTTGAGCCCAGGAGTTCCAGACCAGCCTGAGCAACACAGTGAGACTCCGTCTCTCCAAAAAATAAAAAACTTAGCCAGGTGTGGTGGCATGTGCCTGTGGTCCCAGCTACTTGGGAGCCTTACGTGGGAAGATGGCTTGAGCCTGGGCAGTAGAGAGAAACTGCAGTGAGCTGTGATTGTACCACTGCACTCCAGTCTGGGCAGCATAGTGAGACCCTGTCTCAAAAACAAAAAACAAAAACAAAAAAAATGAATACATTTTACCTGACTTCCAAAAATATGACTATCTTCTTCCTATCAGAAATGTGCATGTATTTGTGTGTTTAATTGAAGAGGATTACACATACTCCTATTTCAACAGTGCCCATATTTCCAATATTTTTTCTGCACTAATACTTATATTGATTTTTATCAAAGTGCTCACTGTCTCCAACCAATGCCACCTTCTCTTGAGGTTGAGGCAATAGTGAGTCAGAGATTTCTTCTGTGGCTCTAAAACTTGTTAGGCGTGACACCAAGCAATAAAACTTACTTTATACGGTTTTGTTGTAAGAGCTAAAGAAATAAACTTATCATAATGTAATTATTTTTGTAAAAAAGCTCTTTTTACCTGCCTACCCGAATAGCTGAAGATCAGATTTAAATTTTCTGTATTTAAAATTCAATTTTTAAAAATCATTTGGTTTTCCTTTATCATAAGAACCTCACCTTTCTTTGCTTTTTTTAAATTTTTGATAACTTTTAAAAACAAATACAAGCTCAAATTCCAACAAAGTTATTGCTAAAGTTAGTGTGTGCTAAATCCTATCTAGGAAATATTTTAAATTTATGTTGGTGTCAACATATGTTTTATTTAACAATTCCCCTATTGAGAGGCATTTTCTTTCTCATAATTGAAAATCATGCAACCAAGCATCATTTTATAGATTATAAATTTCCCCTTCTACATACATATATGTTTTCTTAAAAATAGACTCTCAGCCCGGCAAGGTGGCTCATGCCTGTAATCCTAGCACTTTGGGAGGCCGAGGCAGGCAGATCATGAGGTCAGGAGATCAAGACCAGCCTGACCAACATGGTGAAACCCTGTCTCTACTAAAAATAGAAAAATTAGCTGGGCATGATGGTATGGACCTGTAATCCCAGCTACTCAGGAGACTGAGGAAAGAGAATCGCTTGAACCCGGGAGGCGGAGGTTACAGTGAGCCAAGATCATGCCACTGCACTCCAGTCTGGGTGACAGAGCAAGACTCTGTCTCAAAAAAAAAAAAAAAAAAAGACTCTCGAAAGTATCACTTCTGAATCAAACTGTCATAACATTTTTAGTTTACAAGTCATAGAAAAATTGCTTTTCATAGTCATTATACCTATTTACCCTTTAACTCACGAATTCTCCAAAAGTTCTAAGCTTTATGAGTTATTTTTCACTACAACATGTCATGGGAGTTGGAAAATGTAGATGTAGACATTCTGGCAATGAAAATACTTTGTCAGTTATTTGCAAGGAAGGTTTATTTCCTTTCCCAAATTTATTTATGCAAACAGTGTTGTATTTATATCGGTATGAACTCATGGATATTTCTTCCATATTTTGTGTTATTAACCAGTGATACATGACTTATTGTGTTGCATTTTTTCTGCTTTGCTCGTGGGGAGCTCTTTCAGGTTGGCCACTATGTTTTTTTCCATGTTCCCATTCTGGTGTTTTTTGAGTACATCTTTACTTTCTGGTACTTCAAAGTGCTTCATGCTCATCTTATGTTTTCCCTTTCCTGAGGATAAAATCAGTGATTTCTCCAAGAAACACTTGGCCCTTTTCTTAGATATTCGGAAACCAAGATCTTGATGGTTGGGTGTACTTATGGCTCCTGAGGTGTCACTGCTTCTGAGCCTTCTTTTTGGGCAGAGTGAGGCAATATATTTATGCATATTAACCTACACATAAACACATTTATGATTGCTTTTGTGTCTAAACATCTGAATATATATTAGGCTACACATAAATTCATACCCATACCTCTGACTCTAATCCTGCCATGTGCTTTTAATTCTTCTCTCTGTTTATTTATATTGAAGGTATATGCATGTGTTTGCACTAAAGTAAGCAAATATTAGAAAGGAGTCATGTACAGAATTCATGGATATTTATGTACTGAATACATAGTTTTATTTTAACCTACTCCATTTGCTAATTCCTATTTTACTATAATAAAACCAGAGATTATAGAAAACAGGTGATTAACCATATTAAACATCTATTCAGTGGAAGAACCAAAATAGCACTTGAATTAAGACAGATACATAAAATGCCGTAACAGCAATGTTTTTACTTTTTTTTTTTTTCAGTTTGGGGAAAATAAACATCTGACATCACCTTTATTTCAAGAGTGTGTGTACGTGGTGACAATGAAGATATAAGAATTGGAAAAGAAATTTGAGAAGTTGAGAGTAATATAAAAGATTGTTACTTAAAACAATAAATACAAATAAAAGCTGCATTGAATATTTATATCTTAATCTCTTACTAACTAAATGAAGTTAACATATTAAGTTTAAATATTCCTAAGCAGCATCAATGCCTAAGGAAAGATTTATGGTAATGAAGTGTTGACAGTTTTTTGAAATTGCTTATGTATATGTTAGCTGACATTAACATAAGTAAATTGCTTCTGTCTGGAATTCACCTTGAAGCCATTTTCGAATATAATAATTCCCTATCCTCTAATATGAAAGTCATATTTAAATAAAAAATGAGAAGAAAACTGTCTGTTACCCTTGGGTATTCAGTATGTCCCTGGATTTCTAACTATAGCAGATGATAATAATTGTCGTTATATAACCAGTACATACCAAATTCGACACAATTCAAACTAGAGACTTAGTCTCATAGTTTCTTTAGTTGCACTGCAGTCTATATTCATATCTGTTCAAATCTAGTCAGTTCCATGTGCCAGTTATTTTTGAAAAATAATATCTAGATCTGCTACATTGCTTTTTAAAATTTTTTTTATTTATTTATTTTTTTACAAAGTACCTTTTTCTTAGATTGCTCTGGAAAGCCTACACTTTTAATATAATTTGTATCCTGAACTTTTAATGCACTGACAGGTAGAATTAGTTGACCTACCATTAGATTGACTTATTTCCTCTGTAGAAAGTTTTATCAGGTGAGAAGTTTTGGTAATAGAAAAGGTGGCCACATCCTTAATCTGATCTTTTCTCCAGAAAAGGTAATCAACTATAATATTTGATCTCTTACTGTACTTGGTTTATTTGTATAGATGATTATTTTGGAATTCACCAGCAGAGCACCTTAAAGCCTCCCCTGATACTATCTAAGCTGTCAGTTGTTTCTTCAAGTAAAAATGCTATTCCATGGAAAAAAAGATTACTTCAACCCTCTACTCAAAATGATAGCACATGTGCTTTTGGATAATCATCGTATGTTCATATACAGCTGAAAGACGTTTTACATACTTCTGGTTTCATCATACAGAATATTTTTAAAACACGTAGTAACAATCAAGCTTTCATAAAATTAATAAATTGTACCGATTCCTGAAAGACAAGCTTCAGTGAAACTTTTTTTCCCCTAGGAATACGTGATGGAAAAAAATAACATGACTATCGGTACAGGGTAGTGCCATTGAATTCATGCTAAGGTAACAGAAGTAATAACCGTCAAAGTAAATGACAATACAGTTGTTCCTGATATACCCTGATATTAAAATCTATCATTAAACTCTTTCAATATAATAGCACAATTTGTGTTCATTTCCAAGCATTTCCATAGAAGAAGATTTTCTTTGATGATTAGCTGGTACTGATACCCAATTAAAAAAAGCAAAACTGCAAGTCCACATATTATCTGTAGATTCATTCACTTGTAAGACATAGGCATAATTCTACTGATAACACATGGTGTCAATCAATCTTTATGCATACAGCTAAGCATTTCATTTGACAAGTTACCTTCTCATTGTAAAAGAACAGTTCTGTGATTTCTGTTACTTCTCATCAAGCAGGCATTCAGCAATGTCAACTGCATAAAGCTTTATTAATCATCTAGCTATTGAGTGCCTTTCTCTAACCAAGGTAATACAGTGTGATGATTTACCCTGTTAAGACACTTCAGTGGCTTTTTCATTTGCAGTTTGGAAAATTATAAAATAAAATTAGAACTCCAAAATATCTTATTGTCTATATTTGAAATATTTAGATCTGTTTCCTTTAAAAGCTAAGCAATTCATTTCAAAACAATGCTACAATTTAACTGAGAGTATAAGCTTATTTGAAAATCTTTTGTTGTGTAAGACACAAGGGATAAATTATTAACATTTATAAAGCCAAAAATAATACCATTTTTTTATATCAGTGGTCACTACTTAAACTATTTTTTAAAATTTCTTTTGGAGTAAATTTCTGTACTTCATGGGCCAAAAATCTATTTTACCTTTTTCAGCATTGTTTGACATAGACAATGAACGTGTGGGCTGAAAAAGCAAGTCTTCTGGTTTCCCCCTTTAAACCAATACTCCACTTTGAAACATCAGAAAAATTCCCAACATGTAAATTTCAATAACCACTTATAATCTCATTAAATAACATTTTTTTGCATGCTTGCTATTGCACCAAATTATCTAGCCGTTCTTTTAATCAGACAGGCCTTTTTGGTCTCCTTTGCTTGGTCTCCTTTGCTTGCTCCTGCCTCTAAATGTCAAGAGTGTCTCAGTTGAGGGTCTTGCAAAAGTAGCAATTCCTTCTCTCTTTGGCATGGTCCTCACTATAATCATTCTGATATCAATTAAGGATAATAAAAATCAGGTGAATTAAAGCAGCATGAAGAGAAATTCTAAGCAGAAAAGGGTGAGTCCCAGGCAAAACTCCACCCTCAAGCTGAAAAGCCTAAAACTTGCCCAAAGTGAGAATTTCTATCCCTGTTTTCTCACTCAAATGTTGCCTTTTCCTAAACCACTCATAGCCCTGCCCCACCCTACCCTGTGCCTATAAAAATCCCAGACTCAGCTGGTAGACGGGACTGTGACTGGATATCCGAGAGAAGTGGCTTGACTTCAGGGGGACAGCTTAATGGCATAACTTCAGAGAAGAATCTGGCTAGCAATTGCTGTAATTCAGAGGAAGATGAACTGCCTGCCCCATCCTCTTTTCAGCTCCCCTTCCTGCTGACGGCCACTTTCATCAGCAATAAAAATCCCCCCACATTTGCCATCCTTCAATTCATTTGTGTGATGCCATTTTTCCTGGATGCCAGACAAGAGCTCGGGAGCCACGAGTTTGGATATGAAAGGCTATCATACTGGCACTTTGCCCTTACTGGTGGAGGGCAGCTCCCTCATGCAGAAAGGCAAAGTTAACACTTAAGCCGTCTGTGGACAGCAGAGCTAAAAAAGCACTGCAACATGCCCTCTGGGGCTTCAGGAGTAGCAGCCACCCCTGCCTGGATGCTGCCACTGGACGTGCACGGAGTTCCCTCTTGCCCAAAGCACACATGCTGGCTCCCACACCCACTCACCTGTGTACTCCCTGCCATGAGGGGTGAAACACACTGGGTCCAAGTGAGTGGAGTTTGATCCCACTGGCACTGAAGCAGCCGGCCATTTCCAGTGCTCATGCATTCCATTTGCTCATGCACTCCCTCCTGAGAGGAGTTGAGAGCAGTGGGCTGAGTCAATGAGGCACACCTGTCAGGGGTCCTGCGAGGGTGTCACGGAAATGTCCTGCTTCACTATGATATAAAGTTCTAAGCACTATCCACTCTGGTTTTGGAGCTAAAAAAGTTGAATTATTCAATATAAAAGTTCTTGTCCTATGACCTGACAGGCTCACTAAGCATTAGCAACTAGTTATTTTTATTTTTATAATTATAAAAGTCAAACAGAGAAATTTTTCTCACAACCTTCCTCCAACCTTCTAGGCAACTAGCCTATGATTTCTTTCCTTGGGGCATAATTTGTGGAATCTATACAAATGTGTTTTACCTTACTTCCAATACAAAGAAAAGTGTTTTCCCCCAGTTTGACTATAGGGACATACTTGCCAAGATAATAAGAAGGCAAGGAGTCTAAACAAAGATTATTGAATCAGGGGAGTTTCAAGTACTGCATGTAATCTAATCTCATTGCAGATCTTGACAGATTCATGATGGCTGAAGAAACTTTAACCCTCCTTTTATTAAAAGGCAAGGTCTGTTTATTTATCCCTTTGAATCTGAGCTGTCCTATGACTTCTTGAACCAGAAGAATAGGCCCATACTGGGCATAGCTTCTTCAGCTTTTTATCACTCTTGGGGAGCTCTAAGATGCCGTGTATTAAATCTAATTATGCTGCTGGCAGCATCATGTGTGGAAGACTCTAGAATGCATAGAGAGGAAGGTGTACAAATGGAAGCTTTCTTCTAGCCACCTTCACCAAGTCACGAGACCAAAAGGCTGTCAACTGAATACTGCCAAGTGACAGCATTGTTGCTACATTGAGCAGAGGAATCCACCAGCCAAGTCTTGTCTGAATCTCTGACTCCTACATTATTAAATATAATTATATTGTTGTTGTTTAAAGGCATCAAGTTTTGAGGTAGCTTGCTAGGCAGCAATAGATAGCCCTAACAGAATTTGGAAACCGATAGTGAAGTTCCACCATGATAAAAGCAAAAATAGTTTTGGTTTTGAAACTAGATAATGGTCGGAATCTGAAAAGATCTTAAGAAGAATTTTAGTGGATGCTGGAAGACTTTTAAGACAGTACATGGACACCTCAATGGTAAAAAGAAAAACATTATTGGAGGCAAGAGAAAAATGGACACTCTGGATACTCGTTATCTAATTGCAGAAAGTTTGGCAACATTGTCCATGACATAATGGAGAAACTAGCAAGGTACTTAATAAATTTGTCTGTCTGGTTGTTGAATCTTTGATACAAAGTATAAAAATTACTTTTTAAAAATTATGATAAAATAAGAGATAGGTGCATTAAAGAAGAAAATAAGTTTTTAGTAGAATTTACAGGAAATATAAAAGCAGCCAGGATATCCTGTTAACACAAGCATGCGTGCACACACACACACACACACACACATGCGCTCGTGCACATGCACTTCAAAACAAACAATACGTTTCTCAGTCCATTGTTCTTTTCAGCCATTTCAAGGGCTTTTAAGGAGCTAAAATGTATGTCTTTGTAGCCTTGCTCTTTTAAATTATAGTTTCTCTAAGAATCCTAAGGATTTTCTGTTCCAGCAGTCTCATATGCCACCTACCATGACAAAAAGCATGTCTCAAAAAAACAGCATATGAATATGTCAAATGGAGTAAACGCTAGTGAAATTCATAGAAAACCCACAAAGTTTTTGATACAATGATAAAAAATAAAAAGAGACTTTGGAGTCCCCCAAATACAATGAGAATGAAGAAGGTAGAAAAGCCTAGTGTCTTGCAAATCTAGGCCATTTCTTATGAAAAAGAAGGGATATCACAAAGGGTGGTGTCAAGAACACAAAGCAAGACAATATTCAAGGAGAACAATGGAATGTGGAGCGATAATCAGAACTTGAAAATAATGCATCCAAATGAGAGAACTGAAATTGAGATGGGCAGAACCAGTCCAGACTGCAAGAACTGTAAACAATGAACTAAATAGAATAAGTGCATTTTAAGTTGCTGAGTTTCAGAGCAGTTTGCTATGAAGCAAAACTTTGCTGACACAACCATGTTAGATTACATCCTAACTATTACAGAAAAGTGGTACAAGAGAGTGAAGGAATGTCATAAAAATGACCTACATTCATAGCAGTTTTATAATACAGCAAGGGTAACAATAGAGGAGGTTTGAAAGGTAATGACACATGCAATTCTATGGCAAAACATCCGTTAAACTGTCACCTGAAATACTTCAGAAGGTAGACTGCCTACCAACACAGCCTATAATTTGGGCATAATTGGTTGCAAATTTGATTTCTTTTAGCATGTGTGCATTTCAGTAATTATGCAAAGCATGTTCTGATAAAATCAGAAAGATCATCTATATACCTTTCGTTAAGGGGAAGGCCTTCAATGTTTCCATTCTCTTTTCTTATTAAAAAAAAACCCATACCCCACATCTTGTTGGTAATGAAACATAATTATTTCTGCCTCAGTAAAAATAGAATAAAATTAACCTTCGCTGGAGGTAGGAAGTTATGTTTTGGCACTTATAAAGGTATTCTTGTTTAAAACAAGCTTTGTGGAACCCAGTCTCCAAGATGGCCCCCAGTAGTTCTCACCTCCCATTTTTCATCAGCTTGTCCAATGCCCTCACACACTGAATACAGTAAATTTATATGATCATTAGGAAAACATGGAGGTGGCAGTATGTAATTTCTGGGGCTAGATAATAAAAGGCACTGTCACTTAAGCTTCTGTCTTTTGGATCATTCACACTGGGGAAACGCTGCTATGTTGTGAGAACCCTTAAGCAGCGCTGGGGAAAGAATTCCATGGATTGGATGGAGGACTGAGGCCCCCTGTCACCAACCAGCTGACCATGCTAGTGAGTCACTTTGGAAGTGGCTCCTTCAGCCCCAGTGAAATCTTTAGATAACTCTATCCCTGGCTAATGTTTTGATTGAAATCTCATGAGAGACCCCAAACCAGAACTTCTCAGCTAAATGGTTCCCCAATTTCTGGTCTGTACATACTGTGAGAAAAAAAAATGTTTCTTGTTATTTTAACTATATTTTCAGGCAATTACTAATCCAGCAATAAATAACTAATAAAACTATAAACAAACCCTAGAAGAAAACCTAGGTAATACCATTCAGGACATAGGCATGGGCAAGGGCTTTATGTCTAAAACACCAAAAGCAATGACAACAAAAGCTAAAATTGACAAATGGGACCTAATTAAACAAAAGAGCTTCTGCACAGCAAAAGAAACTACTATCAGAGTGAACAGGCAACCTACAGAATGGGAGAAAATTTTTGCAATCTACTCATCTGACGAAGGGCTAATATCCAGAATCTACAATGAACTCAAACAAATTTACAAGAAAAAAGCAAACAACCCCATCAACAAGTGGGCGAAAGATATGAACAGACCCTTCTCAAAACAAGACATTTATGCAGCCAAAAAGACACATGGAAAAATGCTCATAATCACTGGCCATCAGAGAAATGCAAATCAAAACCACTATGAGATACCATCTCACACCAGTTAGGATGGCGATCATTAAAAAGTCAGGAAACAACAGGTGCTGGAGAGGATGTGGAGAAATAGGAACACTTTTACACTGTTGGTGGGACTGTAAACTAGTTCAACCATTGTGGAAGTCAGTGTGGCGATTCCTCAGGGATCTAGAACTAGAAATACCATTTGACCCAGCCATCCCATTACTGGGTATATACCCAAAGGATTATAAATCATGCTGCTATAAAGACACATGCACACGTATGTTTATTGTGGCACTATTCACAATAGCAAAGACTTGGAACCAACCCAAATGTCCAACAATGATAGACTGGATTAAGAAAATGTGGCACATATACACCATGGAATACTATGCTGCCATAAAAAATGATGAGTTCATGTCCTTTGTAGGGACATGGATGAAGCTGGAAACCACCATTCTCAGCAAACTATCGCAAGGACAAAAAACCAAACACCGCATATTCTCATTCACAGGTGGGAATTGAACAATGAGAACACATGGACACAGGAAGGGGAACATCACACACAGGGGCCTGTTGTGGGGTGGGGGGAGCGGGGAGGCGTAGCATTAGTAGATATACCTAATGTTAAATGATGAGTTAATGGGTACAGCACACCAACGTGGCACATGTATACATATGTAACTAACCTGCACGTTGCGCACATGTATCCTAAAACTTAAAGTATAATAATAAAAAAACTATAAACAAACATTTTATGTCTTAAATTTTACTTGACTGCTGTATTGCTTTTTCTTTAAAAGTACTGTCTTTGGACACAGCACTTGAATTTGCCACTTTGTAAATTTGAGCAAGTTGTTCATTTTCATATGCCCCATTTCTCCAATCTGCAAAGTGGAATAATAATGGTAATCACATGGTTAAGGCTTATGCAATTTACATGAAATAACATACATAAGTGATTGAAAATATACCTGGCACATAGTAAACACCCAACCTCTATCAAAATTAATTTTTGTGGAAAGGCTAATGGCTTAAGGTTGAATATACAGCAAATCACATTTTCCCAGATTCTAATATTTCAGGCTTTTTTTTTTTTTTACAAAATATGATACTTAATAAAACTGTTATTTTTTTCTCATGAAATATTTCTCAAAGTTCCTTTCATTTCTACTTGTTATTGTTTCACAATATCGTTACACATTTTGTATTCCGGCTATAATCAAGACAAACTTTATTAAGATAGGTAGTGGTTGTTTCTAATAAATGAAATAGCCATCCTAAGGCACAGTATGGAAGATGAATATCACTTCAAAGTCTAGATACAGAGTAGAGACTTCTATTAAGTATGCACTCTCCAATTTTAGACTCACATTCTTTATCTGAGCTTTGCACTCCTTGGGAGACATATCAAATTGTAATTATTGCCCTTTTGATATTTACTACAGCAAATAATTTATTTCCTATGATCCTTTTCATTTTACTTTCATAAATAAAACATTCTTTCACTTATTGTATGTTTTATTGTTATTGAGACCAAATTCTAGGACTAGCATCAGAAATGTATTTCTTCAGTTGGCCATTTTATTGTTCCTTTTGCTACCATTTGTTGGAAATAATTATGCATTACATGCTATGAATATTAGAAGCCATCACTTGTATAACTCGTGTCTGTTTTCTAAGTTGCGAATGACTGATTCTTCCCTAAATAATGCTTTTTTTTTTCAAGCACAACTATTTCCCATACATATGATGAAAAAGTCATGCTCTCAAAATATAACAAGTATAATATTAACTACCCTGGCTCTATGTTGTTTTTGAAACATTATACTTCAATCATTGAGGTTAATTATTGACTCTTTCTCAAGAAAACAAAATAAAAATGACAACTTAATGTGGCTAACAATGTAATAATTTAATAGAGATACTGACATCTAAATTGGGCTGTGTTTTATTCGTTCAATAGAAATTATAGTTTCAAGTATGGAAGAAAACGTCAATGAGATTATAAATTGTATTTATCATATAAATTAATATAATAAAGAGTCCATTTTCAATTTATTATATAGGAAGAAATAGGAAAGGCTCTCATGCCATCATTGGTTTTACTTTTGGCTTGGCTAATGACAGCACTAAAGACACATTTCATTGTGTGTTTTTTTGTGCAGAACAGGAAAGTACACATACAGCATTCTGTGTTCTAGTTACTAGAACACAGCCAGTTAGGTGACATTTGAAAACTGTTACTGCCAAAGCAAGTCAGTTTGCAAAATGTAATATCAAATTTTGAAACATTTGTATGAAATGACTTGTCACATGCTGAGTGTTTGCCATACACAACACAGAGATTTGCTTTACTTTTTTTTTAATCCTCAAAAGAGAATAGGAAAGAAAAGGTCCACTCTGCATTTTCCCCCCATTCCTATCTCTGCTTGAGTAAAACATAGTCTGTGGCTGTGGAAGAAACTCCCAGTCATATCATACAGACACTTGACAGGAGAAGCATTATATATTCAATTAGCCAAAAATATATTAATGAGTGTGTGTGTATATATATATATATATATGTAAATACATACACACATACTGCATTCCTGCTAGATTGCTTCTCACTCGGTAACTCTACACAGGCTCTGGAGTATGTCCAGAGAAATTGTCTCCATCGTGTGTCTAAGCAGTTCATATTTCTCCCTAAATGATCTGAGAAATGTTTTTAATTAAAATTAATTTTTCCAAATCAAAGGACACATTTCCTAAGAATGAACTGGTGCAGAAGTTTTTAACCACATGTAACCTGGAGCAATATTTACTAGAATGTTTTCCCTAATTTTGCTTGCATACCTTTTTTTGTCATTGTAATTGCGCTAGCAAAAATACCAAGGAATAGGTCATACTACCTTAGTCCAGGCCAAAAATAAGAAATGGGTTTTATGCATATCTTATGTACTTAATTACAAATAATAATAAAGCACAATAAAACAGAATATTATTAAATATAGAAAAGAAAGAAAAAAGGAGAGGGAAGACGGGAGGGAGGGAAGGAAGGAAAGAATGTATGAGGGAGGGATTGAAGGAAGGAAGCAAGCTACTTGGTACTTGGTTTTCCTATGAAACCACCTAATTTACACAAAAGAAAGTATTTCTGCATGTCTTCCGCTTTCTGCCTGAGGAAGAAGAGGAGTGATAATGACCTCTGAGTCTAGAAACTCTCTGCCAGAGACTAGGAGGTAGTGAACATAGAGGAAGAGGATTTGCAGCCAGCATACAGTGAAATATTATATTAAAAAAATTATTACATAGGAATAACTTACCAACTCAGACAAATGCTGAGATTTAAAATCAAGAAAACTTAATAAAATTAAGTTCAAAGGATGCACTTCAGGAAGAAATATAATTATCCCAGAAGAAAAGTTAAAAGTATCATAAATGTATTGAAAAAACCTGGCATGGGTTGGAAGGTGAAAGAGAAAAAATAACTGATTTGTTAATTCACTTAGATTTTGATAAAAATTTTCAAATAATTTAAACACATGGAAGAAAGTAATTAGTTTTAAGAGTGTTACTATTTGGAAATATATCTACTTCAAATCAGACAAAACACGTAAAAAATAAAAGATATTTTCAAATATTTATCTGTTCTCATCTTGAGGCTTGAAACCATGGTTAGAAAAGGGTTTTCTGGATGAGGGAAGCTGATATGTTGATTATTATGTTTGTCCTTATATGTCTAAACTTTTGCTTCATGACGTCTCTCCTAATACCACAAAAGCAACTCCTAAGTATCTGAATTCACCTCAGCTTGCTAATTTTCTATTACAGATGACTTATTTTTTACACAAACTAGAAAGTATTTATGGCATTATTGGTGCAACACTATAGCCTTGAAGTAAAAAGTTCTAACCTTAGAAGTCAGACACACACACACACACACACACACACACACACACACTGGTTTCTCATTCAGTCTAACAAGGAAGAATGTTCTCATTTCAATAGTCAATATTGCTTTTTATCAACTTATTGCAAACTGAAAATAGTGACATACTTTTGTTTCAAAAGCGCATACAATGAATTGGGGGAACGGGTGGTAAAAATGTGAAAATCAAATAAAGAGGTTTTTTTCTTGATTGATTAATTTTATTTTCAATGCAATATTTTAATTAAATAGTACTGCTAAATTTTCTGCCCAAATGACTTCCAATAAAACAATATTCATATCAAAACACAGGATGTGGGAGATGTTAGTATATATTTGATGCAATTTTCATCTCTGTATATGATATATGTATTTGTATGTATATGGTATATATATATGTTGTGTATGTAATTTTCATATCTGTATATGGTAGGAGGAAAGGGAAAACTTTTAGACTTTACATTTATTTTTCTAGAGTTTTTAAAGTATTATATAGATTTCTAGTTAGTACATTCAATAAATGTTTTTTATATATAATACGGCAATTCCAGTAGTCTTCGGTAGCAATATGTAGAGTACAAATAGACATTTTTGTTTAATAACACATTATTGAATAAAATTGGAAAAATAGCCTCAGTTTCCATGTACATAAAAGCTTTTAAATATCCGTAGAATAAATTCATGTAGATATAACAACAGAGTACATATTTTTCAGTGAAATTTTCAAATTTATTTACTTGTTGATTCTGAATTATTAAGCAAATAATAATCTTCCCTGTTATCCACCCAGTAATATCAGCTTTCTTGGATGTTTACAGTATTCTATCATTATCTTGGTAGTGAATCTCTTACTAAAATGTTTCGTGAATTTTTTACTAGTCTGCTACTAAAATTGCTTTCTGAATTTTTCTTTCATTCTATTTCCTTTTAAGTTTTTTTTCCATTTACATAATTAAAACATTTTAAATGGGGAAACAGAAACCTTTAGGATTAATGGACAGAGTAATTTGTCTCATAATGTACAAAATTTACTTTTATTCATTCATTTGTATTTTCGTTTATGCATGAACTCAGTCCACATTTGCTAATCACTTTCTATTTTTCAGAGATTTATGGTTAGTATATTGGGTACAAAAATAAAGAACTTTCTCTGATTATAATATGGATCAGTATTTTAATTTGTAGATAGATTGTTTTAATAACTCAGGAGTTGTTAAAACATCTCTACTTGGAAAAGAGAGGTTATGACTGAAGAATCTCTTTCAGAGTTCTGGATGACTGAAGAATCTCTTTCAGAGTTCTGGGTCTTCAGCACTAGTGGAAACTTTTGTCAGCCAATCATAAGAACAATGGGATATTTCATTCAGAGAGTAGAATTACATGTAAGAAATTTCACTGGTGAGGCAAGTGGAGAGTGAAGAACTCAAAAAAAATGTCTAGGAAGCAGAATGACTAGAATTAAGGATTCTTTCATCAAGAGATTGATCAATTTTTCCATTCAACAATGTAACATTACTATTGTTTTGTGTGTGTGTCTGTGTGTGTGTGTATGTGTCTTTATAGCTATGGTTTCAGGGACAAAGCTCAAGCCTTGTCTTGAACTGGCTATGAAATGTTCTGTGCATATTTTCATCTCTTCTCTCTGAATTTGTGATAGTCTCTAACACATATTGAATTTCAGTAAATATTTATTGAATGATTAAAATAAAATGGTTTGTAAGATGAGAAAGGCCATGAAACTAAAAAAAATGTATGTTTTAAAGACTAAGACATTTACCAGTCTGAATAGAGCCCAGTATTCCCCAAAACATTTTGGAATCATTCTATACTATGTAGTGAACTGGAAAAATATTCTCTAAGACTTAAGGCTTTTTAAAAAGTCATGAAGTCTGGTTATTGTAGTCTAACATCAATTTGGGGTCACAAGTACTTATAACAAATCAATTCATTTAATTCATTCTGTTTGCTGTTATAATTTCATATGATAATAAAAATTTTTAATATACTTTTGAAATGTTCTAAAATCCCCTGAATTATAATTTCTCCATTGTAACTGACCATATACCAAAATTTTCTTTTTGAAATCAATGTAACTGAGATGCCTATTTCATTTTCTGTTCCCTTATTAAAATAAAAAAATGACTTAGGTTTGTGGCAGATGGCAAATCACTTCAAGATCAAAATAATAATGAAGTAATATAATTAAAAACACATTAGTTAAATGAAAACCTGTCCATGTTAAGGCTGGTACAAAATATTCATTACGGCTTTATTCATAAAAGCAAAAATTGATAAACAATCTAAATGTCCATGTAAAAGCAATAAAATGAATCCAACTATTGAATAATAACAGGCAATGAGCTACTGATATATACACCATGAAGGAATCCCAAAAGCATTATGCTAAGTAAAAGAAGCAAGATATACATGACTGCACACTGTAGAATTACATTTTTAAGTTCTAAAAATGGCAAAACAATAGTGATGGCAGATATGTGGTTGCCAGGGACTGAGAGTGAGAAAAGGAGATTGACCAGAAAGGAACACAGAAAGCAGGTGGGGTAAAACTGTGGGAAGATATAGAGAAATGAAAAATCAAACACAAACAAAGTAGAGTCTTGCAGAGTTAACTGTCATTTTCCCAGTAGAATCAAAGCTTAGAGTCAACCAATACAAGTGCAGGAATGAGCAGTGTATCTATCAACTCACAGGTCATGGATAAAGCAAAGCAGCATAGAGAGAAGGGACATGTGTCTGTAGGTACCACTCAGTGGTAACTTGTAAATCTCCAGACTAAATTCCATCAAAAGCAGTGAGCAAAGAAAATGTGCCAGGAACAGGTTGTGTTACCTGTAGGCATTCTTTACCCCAGCTTACCCACTAAATAACATAGTTCAGTGTTGCTCATTTGAGAACCAGCTGAGGTTTAGGGGACTCCTAAGAAACCCTAAGATCTTTTCAGGCAGTCTATGAGTTCAAAACTGTTTTTATAATAATAGAAACACTTAGTATTACATAATCTTGTCATTCTCATTCTCTCACAATGTATAGTAGGATACATCTCAGAGACTACACTACATGTGATGACATCATTGCTTAATGGCTAATGGAATGTGTGTTTTTATATTTTTGGGTTTTAAACATTTTGGGGTTTTAACTATTGCTGTGGCAAGCATCTGAAGAGATAACTCACCCAAATAAAAGCGTAGAAATGAGTCCTAAGATAGGGAAGTTTGAGAATTGCTAGCATGGTTAAATAAATACTGAACCACTCTCAAGATTGGGCCTGGAACCTCTCCTTCCCAGAAGTATAGAAAGCAGCTTTGTTTCAAGCTTTGAGAATTACTTCCTAAACACAGAAAAATATTTGCATGAGAAGATCATATGGTTGAAAAGCAGAATATAGCCAAGTGTCACTACAGACCTGTATAACAAACACATATAAAAATGAAAAAAGTCTAAATGATCTGTTTTTCTATTCAATAATGTAACATTACCCTAATGCATTCCAATTTAGGCTTCATCCTTATTTCAGTCTGCTGACGACAAACCATGCCTACTTAAAGGAAGTCTCAGCGACAGCTCTCCCGTTCAGAGGAATAAATAGACTACTACAACTGTAAGGAAAATATACTAATTATCATAGTGCTGCCCTCAAACATAAAAGCACAACAACAGACAAAAATTCTTAACTATAGATTACATTAAAGAAAATCTTTACTATGAACATTGACAACAATTGGTCCAGTGACAAAACTGGATCTATAGATCTGAGGACAAAACCGCAATACTATGTAATCAATAGAATAGAATCTAGAGCATCTTCTGTTTAGAAAATTTTATGAACTTCTCTAAAAGGGAGGGAATCAGAGAAGACGAAGTTATTGTAAATTAAAATGTAATTCCTATAAGTAAAACTTCAATAGAATGTCTGGAAAAGAGGACACACATATAAGTGACCAGTAATTTAAAATTCAAAATTTCTCCCAGAAGGTTCAGCAACAAGTAAAAGATATAAAAATGTAATAGAGCAGTTCAGAGATACAGAGCACAAAGCTGAATATTCTAACATCCATATAATAGGAGTTCTAACAGGACAAAGTAAAGAGAATTTAGGGCAATAAATAAATGAAAATATCCCTGACTTGAACTAGTCTTCACATTTAGATGGCCCACCAAATGCCAAAGAAGGAAATCATTTTTAAAAATACATATCTAGACACAAATGTATATTTCACAAAGAATAAAAACCTTACTTCCAGATCCATCAGAATAAAATTGACCTAAGATATCTCATCAATAACATTTGATGCCAATTAAATGACAAAATAAGGAATTTTTTTATCCATCAGAATAAAATTGACCTAAGATATCTCATCAATAACATTTGATGCCAATTAAATGACAAAATAAGGAATTTTTTTCCTTCAAAATGTTAACTATCGTGGATCCTATAATTATATGTGACAAAAACGCTCAATTGTGACAGTAAAATAAAAATATTTTTACATATAGAAGAACCCCCAAAGCCTATTTTATTCATAGTCTTCCTAAAAAAAACTTCAATTTCCTTATCTGTAAAATGAGTCTTTAAGAGTCTTAATTTCTTAATAAAATCCTAGATGATTTCAAACAGGCCATTTCTGCCTGACATTTTGCTAACACAACTAACAAAAAACTATCAGCTACAAAAACAAAAGTAACCCAATGAAATGTACAAGAAAAAGTAAAAGATTATTATCTGAATCTAAAAGATATTATCTAAATCTAATCAAGGAATGGAATTGACAAATGTGTGTTAGATCCAGGCAGCAGGCCAAAGAATCTACAGGTCCAAATGGTGAGAACTCTTAGATTCTGTGAACTGACATGGTCCCATACAGTTTCACTGCATAATTGATAAGACCTATGCCTCAAATCTTATATTCCATCTTCCAGGGCAGATATGGGAAGCAAGCAAACCTACATCTATCACTCAGGAGAGGCTGTGATATGCTAAAACAAGCCCACATCCTCAGTGGCTAAGAAAAACATTAATATTTCACTTGTGGTAAATGCCTATCATAGATTTAGCTGGGGATTCTACTCTGCCATTCACCCAAGGGCCCAGGGGAAACAGATGCAATCTCTCGGCTTGGGTACTTGCTGAAGTCAGAAGAAATACACGTGGTAAACTATGCCCAGGGTCAATGCTGTCAGCCAAAAGTGTACAAAGAACATGTTTTCATCCATGTTTTATTCATTGAAGCACAACTAACTTCTGGGGTAGTAAATTATAATCCTGCATCAAACAAAAGTATCACAATATTTGATAGCATTTATGACTATCATATTTTGTGAGAATTATGACCTAATTTTATCTTATCACAACATTATTTTTGACAAATAATGGAGAAATTTATTTCTATAAAAAAGCAGTTATTAATGTACTTACACACACAGGTTTGGGCCTGGATTCTTCTCCACTGTCAAAGACAATGTAGCCTTTATGTCTCCTTGAGTAATTATAGGCAAATCACTCTATCTCTAACAACTTTCATTTCCTCAGGTATACAGTGAATTTCTAAGATCCTCAATTTTCATACTAATAAAATCTTAAATGTTCTTAAAGTGATTTTCTCTTCTTTATTGACATTTTCTTTTACTTTACAGACAAGAAAATAAGAAATTTTATGCACAGAAAAGATATGTGAGTTAAAGACCATCATAGTATATTTAGTGATCAACTTGAAATTGATTGTATCATTTATGAATCTAACATTTCATGTATTTTATGTCAAACAGACATACGCACATACACACACACACAGCAAATTTCTCAAAACAAAAGCAAAATATAGCAATAATAACCACAGCCACAAAACAGAATCTGTTTTAAGAAGCCCAAATTATCTATTTTCTTTTTCAAATCTCCATTTACCTATCACCTGCCAAGTTTATAACGGTTAATTATGGTTATAGAATTTTTAAAATATGAAATAAATGTAAAAGTGCCCTGAAAAAATATGTCACATCATAGTCAAGACAGTATCTAAGATGTATTGCATAAAAGATTTGTCAGTAAAATGCTCTTTAATCTCTACAGGATTCTCTGCACTTGAAAGACCAGATGTTCATTGTATTTGATGAGCTACAGAACCACTGCCTGTATTGAAAACAACGACTAAGAATGAAGTGACATTGACGTGTGGCAAAAGCAGTCCCACTTTACAGTAAATTGATGTTCAGCTGTTTTAACCCCCAGTGAGTATTCTGTGAATCTTACAAATAGTTTTTATAACAAAAAAATTCATTTTGCTTCATTTTAAATTATGGGTTTCCTTAAGTCATTTTCCCGCAAGATGAGAGACAGTATCTTATAATGTATGCAACATAGATTTTTATTTTCAATGATACAAGTAATACATAATAATTGTATTTTCCTCATAAAAATACAAGATTTGTAATGATAAATTAGTTAAAAAGTAAAATTGTCTTTCATATTTCCCTTTTCCTCAAGGATTCAGTTACTCTTTTCAGTTTTCCACATATCTTCATAGGCAATTATGTATGTTTATATGCCCATCTGTACATAAAGTTAAAGTGTGTGAGTGTAAATATGTTGTATTAGTCCATTCTCACACTGCTATAGAGAAATACCCGAGACTGGGTAATTTATACAGGAGAGAGGTTTAATTGACTCACAGTTCTGCATGGCTGGGGAGGCCTCAGGAAACTTACAATCATGGTGGAAGGGGAAGCAGAAGGCACTTACAAAACCATCAGATCTCGAGAGAACTCACTCACTAACAAGAGATCAGCATGGGGGAAAACTGGCGCCATGATCCAATCACCTCCTTCTCTCAACACGTGGGTATTGCAGGTCGTTCCTTCGACACGTGGGGATTACAATTCAAGAGGAAATTTAGGTGGGAACACAGAGCCAAACCTATCATATGTGTATGTCTATGTGTGCATATGTGTGTAGTTTAGGATATAAATGGAGTTATAATGTGTCTACTTCTGTGCATATAGCATTATTTCTCAGACATGAAGATCTCTGATCTCTTGAAAGTTCAACACTAAGCTAATATAAAACCATTATTCTCTAACATGACAAGATCAGTTCTTAAAATATGAAAATAATTTCATAATTTTAAAGTAAGTAGCATTTAGCCTAACCCTCCCACTTTCCCCAGCCAACTCAGCCCCTCCTTCAGGAGCTCCAAGACCCAGCAACCAAAAGATCAACACTTGGCATAATAGGCCTCAGAAACTGCTCCAGCACCCTGGGCAGCCAGCAACTCTTCTGAATGACCAAGGCAGTTGTTAAATATTGGAAATGTAGCCCTAGATGTATCAAAATAGAATTTGTCATTTCACTGTTGGTAGCTCTTTCTCCAGTTCTCTTATACTACTTCATTTTGTAACACTTTTCACCTTTTGACAAACCATAAAATTTAATTATAATTACATTAACTTAGTGAGGGCGGGGATTTTTTGTTTTGTTTATTTACTGCTATATTCCAAGCGCCAGGATATGGTAAGTTTGATTACATTTCATTGAATTAATAGCCTCATGGGCTTACCAACATTGAAAATCTTTATAATTTTGCTAATAAAATAAAGAAAACATATGGTGTTGTTTTGTCAGTTCACATTTAGCATATTACAACTGAATCGAACATCATAATTTTTTAAAAGTTGTTGTTTTATATATACAATTATTCTATAGATACATATTTTTCAATTTTTTATAGTTAAATGGATTGTTTTCTCTTATATTTATTTTCGATAAATTCATTTAAATCCTTTTGCTTTGCTGATGGCTATTTTGTAGCTAAAACAGGTTATCACTTATTGTTTCCATTCAAGATTAATCTGCATATTTAATTTAATTCCTTCATAAATCCAGGGTACACTTTATAAAATGCTGCTATTTAAAATTTTTGCTTCATTTCTGTTAATTACCAGTTTTGTTTTGCCCCAGTAAGAAAAACGGGCTTGTATGATTTGTTTTATTTTGGAAATTTATTTTTAATTTTAGTAAAATTGTATTAGGCCTAGTAGGTTTGTACTATGGTACTATACAACTCCAGGTTCTCAGAGACTTAGCATATAAAAAATTCTTTTTCACCCTTTGTTTCACATGGGTTGATATAAGGACTCAGTTCCACACAATCATTCAGGGTCTTAAGCTTTTGACATCCCCAAGACATATAGTTGCAAGACAAGTAACATGCAACCTTCAGAAAACAGCAGAAAAAATCATTTCAATGGTTGGCCTGGCAGGAAGCTGCATACATTTCTTTCACACAGAAATAATTGGCCTGAACTAGTCCTATGGCCATAACTCCCTGTAAAAGGGCTGGCAAATGTGAGTAAACATGGAATATGAGGTAAGTACATCTCTTTACTAATGTATTATTCCGGTCCCACACACTCCTTTACTCCCTCTTTTTCTTTAATAAAACTTAAATCAAATTCTTCTTAAGGGAACAAAACCCAAACCCTGTCCATTCAACGTTTGGGGTCGCTGGGTGATATGTGGTAGTCACTGCATCATTCTGAAAATGTTTCCTCTTCGTTCAGAGAAACAGGTAAAACAAGTTACTATCCCATCCCCCACACACCCCATCTTGGCCATACACACACACACACACACACACCACACACACACACACACACACACACACATTTTATACAATGGTAAAGCTAGGATTACTCAATTGCAATACATTTTTCCTGGTGGAAAGACAAAGCATTTGATAGTAATATTTCCAAAATTGTACAAGTTAACATTGTGAGGGCCCTTATCCTGGAAATAAGGAATGTTTTCAAATTAGGCATTGATTTGGCTCTTAGCAGACTCCTTTGTTCATTTTTCACCACAGCTCTAGACTTTGTAGTCAAGGTGTTGTGGAATGAATGTGCCACCCTGCAAATTCAAATGCTGAAGACCTAAACTCCAGTGTGGCTGTTTTGGAGATGGCAACTCTAAGAAAAATAATTCGCATAAGGTCATAAACATGGAGCCCTAATTCAAAAGGATTAATGTCCTTCTAAGAAGAGACACCAGAGAGATAAGTCTCGCTTTCTCTCCCAGTGACCACACACTGAGGAAGATCCATATGAGGACATAGCAAGAAGGCAGCCTTCTACTGGCCAGAAAAGAGGCCTTATAAGAAAATAACTTGGCGGGCAGCTTGACCTGGGATTTCCAGCCTCCAGAACTGTGTGATTTGTTTAAGCCACTCCACGTATGGTATTTTTGTCCTGGCAGCCAGGGCAAACTGATACAGAGGCATTTCCTTTGGTGTCATCCTTAGTGGTTGCTGAGAAATATGGCCAGCTTTCAGGATCCCCTTCCTATTTACAGCAGGTTGGGGATTCAAGGGCTACTTGCTTTCAAATAGTCATGGCCTTTTGAAACTTGATCTCATAGTTTCTTTAGTTGCACTGCAGTCTATATTCATCTGTTCAAATCTAGTCAGTTCCATGTGCCAGTTATTTTTGAAAAATAATATCTAGATCTGCTACATTGCTTTTTAAAATTTTTTAAATTTTTTAATTTTTTTACAAAGTATCTTTTTCTCAGAGTGCTCTGGAAAGCCTACACCTTTAATATAATTTGTATCCTGAACTTTTAATGCACTGACAGGTAGAATTAGTTGACCTACCATTAGATTGACTTATTTCCTCTGTAAGAAGTTTTATCAGGTGAGAAATTTTGGTAATAGAAAAGGTGGCCACATCCTTAATCTGATCTTTGCTTCAACGCTGATTTTCAAAGGACTTAGTTGCTCATATGTTTTCTTAATTATATCTCTTGCATGAGTTTGAGCTGACTGCTTCAACTTTAAAGACCCTGAATTTATCGAATTTCTATATTACATATATTTTGGCTTGAAACCAGTCTATTTTCTGAGCTCATCATTTTCATGTAATACCTGGTCAAATCCAGTCAATCATGACCAATAGTATTACAATTCAATTTCCCAATATCTTCTCTAGGAGCTAAAAGTGCATTAAGTATGTGATCTAATTTCCAAGTTAAGTCTGATGAGAGTTTTACTAAATATGTTACCATTGAGTGACATGTGATATTATTTTTCCCTTCCCAGGAATCAGTTTCTTAACTTACCACCACCTGATCCTTAAAATAATGTCATCTCTTTTAGGCTTCTGTGATGGCAGCCTCACTTCCAATGACAATACCACTATCCCTGTTAGTCAAAATAGAACAGGACATATTATGCTATGATAATAACACTAAAATATCATTGACTTAAAACAACATATGTATTTCTAGTTCCAATGTCATGTATAATATGAACTGGCGGGGGTTTCTGCTCTATCAAGAAGTGGGATCTATTTCTTCACTCTTTGAATTTGAGCTTGGTCCAATTTACCAATATGATAGTAGGAAATGTGATACAAACAGAGACTTGAAAACACTAGTACATTGAGTTTTGCCCTTGTTTGCTATAACAAAACAATGAAAGAAACAGATGAATAAGCCCATGATATTCTACTCGATAAAAGCTAAGGCTCCCGATGTCATAATTTAATAACTTCCCAAGATGTGAGGAAGGCCATCTTATATCATCTCATCAGCTTCCCAGCTGTCTATAGACAAAAAAGAGAGTGCAACAGAAATTATTTGAGGCCCCTCAGAGCAGAACTACTAAAAAACTTATGAAGTGGGTAAAATAATTAGATTTTGAAGCCAAGAACTTTACTAAGTCAGATTTTTTTCTCAGTTTTTAGGCTCTAGGTTTATTTAATATAGAAAAATCTAGTGGAGACATGAACTGTTACCTAGAAATGGGGGGCTGCTATAAGAAAAACTTAAAACATGTCACATTAGTCTTAGGTCTGAGAGTTGAAGTCTGGAAAAGCAGCCAGGAAACACATGATGGAGCTTAGAAAAGTGGCAAAGATACTACTACATCACTGTGGAAAATGCCAACCTGATGGAAAAATTGTTAAAACTGCTGCTTGTGGTAATGTAGAATATAGAAACGTACCCAAGACCAGGCACAGTGTCTCACACCTGTCATCTCAGCACTTTGGGAGGCCGAGGCATGTGGATCATTTGAAGTCAGGAGTTTGAGACCAGCCTGACCAACATGGTGAAACCCCATCTCTACTAAAATACAAATATTAGCCGAGTGTGGTGGCAGGTGCCTGTAATTTCAGCTACTTGGGAGGCTGAAGCAGGAGAATCACTTGAACCGGGAGGCAGAGGTTGCAGTGAGCAGAGAACGTGCCACTGCTGCACTCCAGCCTGGGCCACAGAGAGAAAGACTCCCTCTCAAAAAAATGTACCCCAAAAACTTGTAAGCTTGGCCAAAAAGATTTCTAGATATTGAATACAGTAAATTCACAAATATTTATAATGTTGAATCAATAATATTACCCTTTTTCTCTGACACTCCTATTCCCCTCTAGATATAGCCTCTACCCTTCTTTGCAGGAGACTCAACAGTGTGGGCTACATTAGTAGGGTATATTACACCCTGACTTGTATTAAGTTCAAAAATTTAGGAGCACTGGATGAGAGGGCAGGGAAATTCTTATATTTAATACCATGGCTCCTTTCCTGTGAAGACACAGGTTGATAGAGATTGAGTTCTACTACTAAAGGTCCTAATTCCTATCCCACTTACAGTTACGGCTCTCTCTCCAGTTTCTTTCTCCTGGTTTCTTCTTTTAAGACCTGGCTGGTAACAGCTTTCCACTGTTGTTAGACCAGGAGTGCTTTACACTACTTAATGGATTTCTTTTAAGTCTTCCTGGATTTTTTTAATAGCACCCTGAGTTACACATCAATTGAAAGATTATTATCATTAATATTATTATAACTAAGATAACTAGTTAGAAAGCCCTTAAAATTATAGATTACTTTTACAGGTCTTAATTTGTAAGGCTTCTTTGTATTTAATATGATAAAGACAGATTTATGCTGAGTACCATCTACTTTTCTTGTAGCTAAAGAGAAAGAGGAACTATTTTCTATCCACATGACAATGACTTTTTTAGAAAACTGTTAGAACAACCTGCAATTCTTTAATGCCTAATACTTGAATTTTACTACTTAGTACAGAGGGGGAAAAAAGGCTAGGGGGTGGCCTGAGAAACCTAAAACAAATTATACAAAAAATAAAGACAGAATAGGATTATTAACAAATGGAGCATGGGGCATGACCTCCTATCAATTTATGTATCATTTGTACAAGTTTCAAAATACAATTTAATATAATGTTTAAGAAAACATTTATTTGTGTTATAACAGTAGGAAAAAAATCAGATTAGTTACCCCTATAGGAAGGCAGGGGATGACTTGGAAGTGTCATATGTTTATAAATATAAATGTAATAAACTGTGGCATGTATAAATAAGAAAAAAAATAGATGAATGTAATCACGTACTGCAGAGGAATACTGGAAATGATTAAGTATTACTTTACATCAATTTTACAATTTATTTTGAACACATTGAAATGAAAAGTTAGTTGGAATTTACATGAAATAAGTCATTTTAAAGGAAATTTAGGTAAAAATCCATTGCTTAAGTGGTAAAATTATAATCACATATAAATAACGATAATGCTTCACTGTAAAGAAACATCAAAACAGAATTTTCTAAGTAGGCTTGAAAAGCATATATAAATAATGAAAAATGTCACAAATATTATCTAGAAAAAAAATAGTAAAAGGGAGACTATGTATCAGACGATGCCAACAAATCTTTTTCCTCTTTTATGTGTGGGCCAACAAAATATTCTCTAAACTGGCAATTATGAGAATCTCAGCAAAGATAATTAACATAAATACTAAATGCACCAGTCAACATACCATTTACTCGCTAAAATGCATTTACTCTGTTTTCTTACTAAATGTAAATATGTTTATTTAATATAATATTTTCACTTTCTCTTCAATCTTAGAATACATTTTGGACTTATTGCAAATGTTATTTAGCTTTAAATATCATCTATAACCTGGATAATTCAAAATTTATACTCCTGTCACAGAAGTTTCTTGAACTTCAGATGTGCAAATCCAGTTGTCTACTTGAAATCTCTACTCAGATCCCTCACAGATATTAAACTCAACTAGTGCAAAGCTAACCTCTTGATCTGCCCAACTCCCAAGCCTATTGCATGCACAGTCATTAACATAACATTTGATGAAGAACTTATTCTTTCATTTGCTCAGACTAAAAGTTTTGGAGGCATCTTTGATTTTCTTTCTCTCACATGCCACATCCAGTTCATCAGGAAATTCTGTTGCCTATTCCTTCAAAATGCATCCAGGATCTGACCACTTCTTTCCCTATCCATTACCATAATCCTCATCCAAGACACCATGAATTCCAGCCTGGACCACTACAATATTCTCCCAACTCATTTTTATTTTCATCCCTGCTAAGCAGTATTTTTTAAACATGTATGCCAAATCACAATTTTGTTTCAAAACTCTGCAGTAGCTTCTCATTTTCCTGAGAATAAAAGCCAGAAATGTTTTTTGTTTCTCATTCTGTCCAATCCACAATGGTCATTTTTCTGCTTCTTGATCAGATTACATACACCCCCATCTTAGAACATTTACATTGGCTGAAAAGCTCTCTTCTCAGATATTTGCCTTACTAATTCCCTCACCTTTTCAAGTTTGCTCAAATGTCACCACCACATTGAGGACTATGTAGTCCAAATTATGGCAAGGTCACTGCCTCCTTTCCACCTATTCTTGATCTTCCTTACACTATTCTATCTTTGTGTTTGTATTTATTTATATATTTAACTTTTTCAATGGTAGTTATATATATAGTGTCAGGCACATAATATATGTTAAAAATATTTGTTGAGTAAATAGATAAATGAAAAAATGAACATTTATAACTAATGTATTCTAAAATTAGGTAGGACGTAAATGCATAAAACACATAATTGGCAAACACGCTAATATAATTTCTATTTTCAGAGGATTAAGTCATTTGAAGCTCATCCATTTTAGTACTACTTAAATTAGTATAATTGCATTTTAGCTTCCCTTTTTTCTCAGGTAAATGCCTTCCCACTTATATTTTAAATGTCATTTGATTTTCACAGTTCCTACTAGTATATTTGCAAATAAAGGCAATTTAAATAAAAAAAATTACGATCATAAGATAAACCCATTTAATGAGATGGTTTACACAAATTATATACAATTTAAATATAGATAAGATTTTGTATAAACTGACATCTTGCTATATGTCTCATATTTATGTTGTTTCTTGTTTGTTTATACTCCTCAACAGCTATTTTTTTAAGTTTATATGAAAATATAATTTTGAGGTCTACATGATAGGTAAAATGATTTTATTACTACGTATATCACTGCCACAATGGAAACAAAACACTGAATACTACTTAGATTAGAAAGATTTTATTTCATTTCATTAGATATAATGACAATTGTACTTTCATGCAGCATCGAAAGCAGTTTTGATTTTGTTTTCTCAGGATTTGCTTTGCCCTATTGAGTTTGGAAAGTTGGTACATTTAAAAGTTGTAAAATTAACTTTCCACATTCAACTAAAATGTAATATGATAATATTGTGGTTCTTCTTCTAGAAATTAGTAAAAGAACAAGTTACAGTACTGAGTACAAGATCTGATAACTAAACATAGCATCTCCACCCTGCTCACATAGCTGGAGAATTTTGAGATAAGAGGAAAGTAAATTTTACTTATAGATTAAGGTCACTGGAGACATAAATACTCTGAAGAGTCACATGAAACTAGGGAGAATGATAGTAAAAAAGAACAAATTTAAATGTGCAGATGTATCCAGAATCAGATTTTATCAGCATAATTTTGCATTCATTGCATCTTTGCTTTGAGCCAACAATAGAAAAGAATGAAATTTAAAATTTTGAAAAATAAATATATACAAACATTACATTTTTTGCTCTTTTAGAGCACAAATTTTTATCTTTTTTTCCTGAATTTATTGAAATGTACCTTTATTTTTAATAAAAGGAGTTTAGAATGATAAGATTGTAGTGGATAATAATTAAAGTATCAATTTTAAGGAGCTATCATATGCATTCAGTTTTTGTCTTAAATTTACTTGAATTTCATCACTCGACAGCTGCAGAAAATTTTTCCAATAATTTCTAAATAATATAGTTTCATAGTGAGAAACTGTCATAGAAATATTGTATTTTATTCATCAACTGGCAGTAAGGCACAGGCTATGATCAATACTGTTCTTATAATAAGTAAATTGGTAGTATTGGGGCTGAATGAGCATAAATGCATGATACTTTTCCTCATCCATCATAAGGATCACAGTCTACACTTCTTACAAGAGACAGATCAGCAGGAGAAAAGCATAACAAATTTGTTTAATCAAAATTTTAAACAACAAGGCAGTCTTCAGAAATGAAACCCTAAAGACACAGGAAAAACTGTTGTTTTGCTGGCATTAGATGAAAAATGTACAGCCATATAGAAATGCAAATGCACAAAATTATAAACCAGTGGTAGACTGAAGGGGGAACCCAACAAAGTCTGTCTGTTTGTATTCTTCTTGGCCTCTTTGTGGAGCATTCCTTCCCCCTAGCATGGGGCAGGACTTCTCTGGAATGAGAGTTTTAAAGGGAGAAGGGAGGAGGGGAAGCAGTATTTTTCTAGATTTTATGGCTTCTTTTTTAAGGAGAGGAGTGCTAGTTTCTATGACCTGCCTTAGAAAAAAAGAATTCTGACTTCTATGACTTACTGTAGAGGAGAAACTGGGACAGGAGACGGAAGTACTAAAGCTCAGAGAGATGTTACTTCTGAGACTCCTTCAATGTTCTTCAGCTCAAAGCACCTGCATGCCAAAGTGCCGTAATTTGGAATATCATGTTCTGAGCCCTAGCTGGTGTCAGAACACATCATCCCAAAATATGACTGTAGAAAACCAGAATATAGCACCACAAAATATAATTCTTTGGCATATTTTGAGCAGGTTATATTAAGAAATCGCAGCCACAGGAGTACCTCTAAAAACCTTTTTGTAAAGGAAATTTATATCTATGAAGCAAATTTTCATTAGTAAAAGGGATCTGTATCAGAAAGAGAGCTGCTCACAGACAACTTTTATCTTCTGAAATACTTTTATCTGCATAACAAGGCAACCTTTATTCACCATATATTTCTGCCCTTCATCCTTCCATAATTTGTCTCCACCAGGACCCCTAATCTCTTATTCCTTTATGTAACTCAATATGTTATATAAGCTTCAATCATCTGGTCCTTCTTTGAGTTTCACATTTTTGTACGACTCTCATGTGTGAGCATGTAATTAACCCCATCACCCCTGTTTATTCTAGACCTATAACTAAAGTCCCAGTGGGCCCCTAGAGGTGAGGTTGAGCGTGTGACCTATGAGGAGGTATGGTATGCTCAAAAAGAACCACTTAAGTTTTCTAATTTATATAAGCAGAAATCTGGAGAACAGGCATGGGAATGGATATTAAGGATGTGGGATAATGGTGGAAGAAACATAGGGTTAGATAGGCTGAATTTATTGATTTGGGCCCACTAAGTAAGGATTCTGCATTTAATATTGCAGTTTGGGGAGTTAAAAGGAAGGATCTAATGGTTTATTTGCTTGGTTAGCAGAAATATGGATTAAAAGATGTCCTGTTGTGAGCAAGCTGAAAATGCCTGATCTCCTTTGGTTTAACACAGAAGAAGGGATCCAAAGGCTTAGGAGGACTGGGATGGTGGAGTGCATTTGTAGCTTTAGACCTGCTCATCACAGCTGGGAGAATCCGGAAGATATAAACTTCACCAATGCCTTGCAAAATAGATTTGTGAGGGTAGCACCTGCATCTTTGAAGAGGCCTGTAATTGCTCTTTTCTGTATGTCAGATATAACAATGAGAACCACAGTTACACAACTACAAAATTTAAATACAATGAGAATAATTGGATCCCGAAGTGGAAGGGGCCAAGTGGCAGCACTCAACCATCAAAGGCAAGGTGGACATAGCTACCATAATGGACAGCAGAGGCAAAGAAGCAATCAGAATAGTCTGACTTGCGTAGAGCTTTGGCATTGGCTAATTAGTTACAGTGTTCTTATAAGTGAAATTGATAGGAAGCCTACTGCATTCCTACTGAATTTACATAAACAGAAAATTTCCAGCTCGAATGGACAAAAGATTAATTTGAATTATAAAAAATGAGAATCATGGCCCCTCAGTCAATTTCCAGACTAGAGCCAGTCCCAGAACCCCTTGAATGAAGGGGAGGCCAGGTCTCAAGGAGAAAGGATCCCACTACACTACCAACAATTTATGGTTTTAATCTTTCTCCCATCCTTTCCCAAGGAGACCTCTGGCCTTTTATCAAGGTAACTGTGCACCAAAGAAAGGGAAATGATAAGACTTTTCAGGGACTATTGGACAGTGGCTGTGAGCTGATATTGATTCCAGGGAACCCAAAACATCGTTGTGGTCTTCCAGTTAAATTATGGGCTTATGGAGGGCAGGTAATTAATGGAATTTTAGCTCAGGTCTGACTTACAGTGTGTCCAGTTGGTCCCCGGACTCATCCTGTGGTCATTTCTCCAGTGCCAGAATGCATAATTTGCACAGACGTACTTAGCAGCTGGCAGAACCCTCCATATTGGTTCCCTGACTGCTAAGGTGAGGGCTATTATAGTGGGAAAGGCCAAATAGAAGCCATTAGAGCTGCCTCTCCCTAGAAAAATATTAAATCAAAAACAATATTGCATACCTGGAGAGATTGTGGAGATTAGCGCCACCATCAAAGACTTGAAAGACGCAGGGGTGGTGATTCCCACCACATCCCCATTCAACTCTCCTATTTTCCTGTGCAGAAGACAGATGGATCTTGGAGAATGACAGTGAATTATCATAAGTTTAACCAAGTAGTGACTCCAATTGTACCTGGTATGCAGCCATTGATTTGGCAAATGCCTTTTTCTTCATTCCTGTCCATAAGGCCCACCAGAAGCAATTTACCTTCAGCTGAGAAGGCCAGCAATATATCAATATACCGGGTGTGTTACTCCGACCCATTTATTGAGTAACCTGAAAGACTGCAGGTTTTGAGAAGGGTCCAGAACAGGAGAAGGCTCTGCAAAAGGCCCAGGCTGCTGTGCAAGTTGCTCTACCACTTGGACCATATGACCCAACAGATCCAATCCAATGGTGCTTGAGGTGTCCCTGGCAGAGAAGGATGCTGTTTGGAGCCTTTGGCAGGCCCCAACAGGTAAATCACAGCAAAGACCTTTAGGGTTTTGGAGCAAAGTTGGGCCATCCTCTGCAGATAAATAGTATTCTTTTGAGAGACAGCTCTTGGCCTGTTACTGGGCTTTGGTGGAAATTGAACGTCTGACTATGGGTAATTGATATGGTTTAGCTCTGTGTCCCCAACCAAATATCATCTTGTAGCTCCCATAATTCCCACATTTTGTGAGAGGGAGCTGGGGGGATATAATTGAATCAGGGAGGTGGATCTTTCCGGTGCTGTTCTCATGATAGTTAATAAGCCTCATGATATCTGATGGCTTTAAAAACTGGAGTTTAATCTCCTTTGGCAACACCCTTGCATATAAACTCAGGATCAATACTTTGCATCCTTCAATCCAATCAAGCTGACACTCAGTATTAATCATCATGAGTTCACCCCTTATCAACGTGAACCCATATACATCCCCTGAGATTATACATAATCTTCAAATAAAGAAAATAATAAGGTCATAATTATGCCTAACATAATACAACTACCCTTTGTACAACTGGAAACACACCAATCCCCAACCCAAATGCTATTACATAAAGTTAACAATACTTAAATGCTCATATAAAATCAACAAATCTTATGTCACATGATAAAGGAAAAAGGAAATAAAATGCAAATATTTTCTTAGTACAAGTGTATACATGCACAAACATGTTTTTAACAAAAGTAGGAGGAAATACTCATGACAATTACAGTCCTCTTATCTGCAACTGGTCATGTGGCGATAGCTGGTATTGATGACTACCTTCTTCTACTACCCATTCTGTATTCCCTTTGCCTTCAGCAAGCATTTCAGCAGGTCGTGGTTTTATTCCTGGTGGAGTGACCCAAACCTTCATTCCTTGAAGAGTCTGGGCCATTTGCGGTCCTGCCTGGATTGGGCTGTTGTAGTTTCCCATTGACCTTAATCATAGGGCATGGTAATACTAAGAGACGCTATAATGGATCTTTTGTGTTCCATGTGTACTCTTCCTTACCTCCGTTGTGGAGTAGGACTGATTTCATCTTGATAGTCTGGGTCAATCACCCCAGTCAACACTGTAACTGTCTTCTTAGCCTGTTGACTTAAAGGTATATATGGTACTGTTTCTCCCATAGCCAGGATTCATGGATCCAGGAATCAAGGGGTAGAAGTGGAAGTGGCACCACTCACCATCACCCCTAGTGATCCACTAGCAAAATTTTCGCTGCCTTTTCCTGCGACTTTACGTTCTGCTGGCCTAGAAGTCTTAGCTCCAGAGGGGGAAACACTTCCACCAGGAGACACAACGATGATTCCATTAAACTGGAAGTTAAGATAGTCACCTGGACACTTTAGGCTTCAGCTGTCAGTGAGGCCAGGATATAAAGCAGGCAGGAAAATGTAGAAAGGCTAGACTGGCTTAGCCTCCCAGCCTACATCTTTCTCCCTTGCTAGATGCTTCCTGCCCTCAACATATATATATATATATATATATATATATATATATATATATATATATATATATATATATATATGTGTGTGTGTGTGTGTGTGTATATATGTGTATATATGTATATATATATATACACACACATATATACACATATATGTGTATATATGTGTATATATATGTGTGTGTATATATCTATACACACACATATATACACACACACACACACATATATATATATATCTTATTAGTTTTGTCCCTCTAGAGAACCCTAATACATATGTTTATGGCTAAATCAAGTCTAAATTGTGAATTTAAGAAACATATTATTGTATTTCCTAAATTGTCACTAAATAACAGTTGTTATTCAACAGTTTATTTGATTTCTTTTAATATTAATATTTATTTTCAGTTTGTATTACTTGTGGGAAATGTTTACATTTCAAAAGAGGATTCTGAAGATAAAATGTAGATATAGATAGTCTTGCCTCAGGCAGTATGTAATACTTAGACAATACCACAAAATAGTTATAAAACAAGTGCCATAAGGAGGATAAAAAATAATCTGCAAACTAGCATTTCAAGAAATGCAGGCTTAATCCACATAGCATTTTAATGGGTTTTTCAGATAGTTCAAAAATATTAATTTTTGATAAGTTGAACCTTGACTTTTTAGTCTTAGTTTAATTTAGAGTTTTCAAAGGCAGTTACAATAACCAGTGTTTTCACATTGCTCCAGAGGCCGAGGTCATAGGTTTGACATATCGGCTGGCTTGTTGGTTTAACCTAAAAACCGTCGACTTCCTGGTGAAGAGTCCAAAGGCCTCTCACAAGTGGCCCTCAGTGAAAATGCTAATGTCACAGCAGGAACTCATCACCAATGGAGAGAAAAATACATAGAATGGTGATGTTCTGACACAGACTGTAATATCTTTCTAGTCCAGACCCCACAAGCTAACACTTGCAATTTGACTGAACATCAAGGGATCATTTGAAAAGAGTAATCATAATTAATTTATGTCAGTAAATAATTGCTAGCTATGATCATCTACACACACAAATTTACTCATTTGTCACAACGAACAACTGTGCCAGTTATTGTTTCTTTGTGTGTGTTTACCTCTCTAGAATGAGTTGCTTTTACTTATATGTCACACACACACACACACACACACACACACACACATTTCTGTAAGGATTAAAAGAGCTAATAACTGCAGTATATATTTACTTGAAAGTAATGTTGATTTTCTGCCAATGAAATAGTTATAAAGACAGTACTTGATTAAAGAAGCAGGACTTGGTATCCTTGTTGTGTGGAATATTACCTAGATGAAATAGTGGGCATGGACCAGACAGGTTCACAGGCCAAATTAAAATGCTCAAATCACGTGGTTTATTAAATATACATACTCCACACAGCATGAAGCAAGTTGAAAGAGATGAAGTACGTTAAACCATTTAAAATAGAGTGTCAGTGCATTGGAAAGACCATGCTATCTGAATTCATGTTACACAATGTTCAATTGTCCTCCCTCTCTGCCTTCCCAATGATGATTTGGTTACCACAGTGAGAGCTGAGGTTCAATCAGGGGGGCCCGGTGTCAGAAAGTACTCTGGGCAAATGACACCGTAACAAACAACAGAGAAACACACGTATAAATATGTTTGGCAAACAGATATAGCAGCCAATTAACTTGTTGAGCAGCCATAGGTCTTATGTGAGTTTATTGGGCATAGAACTTTCGAGGCAAACATGGCTGTCAACAATGGGTGCCTGAATTAAGACCTCATAAATAATGAGTGCTTCATATGCCTCATGTATATTTACCATATCCTATTGCTCAATGCCTGCCTGTGGGCCTCATGAATATTTAATGCCTCATGAATAAACTGCACTCTTGGTCCTTCCATCCTTCTCTATGTTTAACCTACACATGCTCTAATTACTAACTTCTTGTCTGTACTTAACACAAATTGTGAGTTTCTGGGTTTTTTTTTGCTAGAATTGGATATTCTCAGACAATACAAGAAATTCACATTGTAATCTCCTCCTCAGCTATCAAACTGAACTGTTTTCAACAACTAATATAATAAGAATTTTCAAAACAGGAAAAAGAGAATATGTGTATGGATACATTTTCATGTGTGTGTTGAGATGTAGGTGTGGGTGTATGTCTGGATGGATATAAGACAGATGATTGACAGGCATTACAGACAGATAATAAAGATAGATATTTAGTTTACTTTTTCACAATTAATTGCATTCACATGTAATTTTGAGAAACTGACTTAAATGTATAACAATTATTTTTGTTTGGAAACATGGGAGTCACAAGGTACATGGTTATTAAAGAAAATTTTTGAACATTAACATAAATTTAATTAATTGATAACAAAGTCAACAACAAAAGTATTTCAAAAGCAGGTGTTTTTTCTGAAGAGCTAATTAGCCATTGAGTTATTTTATAAAATTAAATGTATAATAATGTTAAAACTTATCCTTTTGTCTCTTTACTTCTGCAAAGTTATTAAATCTGAATATAAAATAATATATATCCAGTTTATATTATTCTATGTGCCAACTACCATTACTACTGGGTAAGACGACCTTATCCTGTAGCATTTGTCAGCCTTCACATGTTCAATCTCCATAATATAATGTCTAGGAAATTCCATTTGGTAAACTGCATCAGTTTTTCAGTGTAATCCAGTTTGTCGATTTGTGTGTATGTGTATGTTGGGACTAAAAGTAGAAACAATTGTATAAGCTTTCTGTACACAGTATCTGTACACAGATACTACATGGTGATAATGAACTTGCTTGAAAGAAAACAAAAAGGCAGAAAAACAGCCATAATATAGAATGTCAGTTTTAAATTAATCAGAATAATACACGTATGTGGCTTTATGGATTAGATCACATTTACTTTTAAATGTTGCGTGTTTTGTTTTGTTCCTTCTGCAATCAAACTAAAATGAGACCAATTATACACCATTTATACACTGCAAAGAAATGTACATGTTTGTGGAGAGCTGAATATGGGTGTGAAGTGATCAGTTCTAGTATTGATCTACATATTTAAATTTTAAATGATATAAAGTGAAATAAATATGAACTTTATGGCAATTGAAGATAAATCTTCACTTCCAATATTTTTTTTTTTTTTTTTGAGACGGAATCTCACTCTGTCATCCAGGCTGGAGTGCAATGGCGTGATATCAGTTCACTGCAATCTCTGCCTCCCGGGTTTAAGTGATTCTCCTGCCTCAGCCTCCCAAGTAGCTGGGATTACAGGCACATGCCACCAAGCCCAGCTAATTTTGTGTTTTTATTAGAGATGGAGTTTCACCATGTTTGGCCAGGCTGATCTTGAATTCCTGACCTCAGTGATCCACCTGCCTTGGCTTCCCAAACTGCTGGGATTACAGGCATGAGCCACAGAGCCCAGACCACCAATAATTTTAAATGTATTAATTCAAATTGTATATCAAAAGTATCTGAGATCGATCTCAATCAATTTAGGGAGTTTGTTTTGCCACGGTTAAGGACATGCTGGTAAACAGCTGAAGGAGATCCTGAAGACACGTGCCCAAGGTGGTCAGGTTCCAGCTTGGTTTTAGACATTTTAGAGAGACATGAAACATCCATCAGTACTTGTAAGGTATACATGAGTTCACTCCAGAAAGTCAGGGCAACTAGAAGGGGGGTGGGAGGCATCCAGGTCACAGATCAAGTTAAAGATTTTCTGATTTTCAATTGGTTGAAAGTGTTATTATTAACAGAAAGGAATGTCTGGTTATGATAAGGGGTTGTGGAGAACAAAATTTTATCATGCACATGAAGCTTCCAAGTCGGAGGCTTCAGAGAGAATAGATTGTACATGTTTCTTATCAGACTGAAAGAGTCTGTTCCATCAGTAATTTCAAAAGCGAGGAAGATATAATGAGAAGCATGTCCAGCTCACTCTTCCTATCATGCCTGAATTAGTTTTTCAGGTCAACTTTGGAATGCCCTTGGCCAAGAGTAGGGGGTCCATTCATATGGCTGGGGAAACTTTAAACTCGTTTTGGTTAACAAAAGTTAAATATTATCACCAACTTTCCAACTTGCAACGAAATTGCTATGGGATCTTTGGGGTGTCAGTTTTCAAGCCAGAAACCTGTGGCTGGTGTTGCCTTTGCCCAAGTTTTGCTCAGGCCCACTGGGCTGATTGTGCCAACTTGGCCTGGCAGTCTGTGCTAAGCTCATGCTACCAGCCTGGGTCCCATGCCTCCAAGGGAGACTGGAGACAGGCATGGAGCAGCAAGGGGTGTGTGAGCTCCTGGCCACTGCACAGTCAAACACACCAGCTGTTGCCACAGGGCAGGCAGCTCCAGGTACTGGCATGGCCACCAGCTCTATGAGATGTTGCAGCTAGACCAGGCACACCACAAGCAGCTTCACCAGCTGGGAGCAAGGAATGCTGCAGTGCTTGGAAGCTTGGAGACACCAGGAACCACAGGGCTCCAAAGAGGGAGTCACAGCCCTGGCTTGGGGAGCTCCCAGGTCTGAGACCCCTGAAGGGCCATAGCTCATCTATCCTTTCCTTTACCGGCAACAGGGTGAGCAAGGAGCATGTTTAAGCCCTGTGTGTGTTACAGCAACTCTTTTAGCTTTGCCATTCAGCAGGTTCCAAGTTCTTCTCCTGCAACCAGGAAGAATGAGGTATGTAGACAAGTGGAGGGTGAGCAGATGGAGATGAACTTTATTGAGCAATAGAACAGCTCAGAGAATACCTACATTGGGCAGCTTTTCTCCATAGCCAGGGTGTCCTTACAAGTGTTCAGCTCCTAGCAGAGAGGGTGGCTCCTCTCTGCAGGCAGGTCATCCCAACAAGTGTTCTTTTCTCAGGAGAGAGGGTAGCTCCTCTCTGCAACTGGTCATTCTGACAAGTGTTCAGCTATCATCAGAGAGGGTAGCTCCTCTCTGCAGCTTGTCATCACATTGTCTGCACCTCTTGGCAGACAGGAAGCCCTAGAGAGGATGGCTCCTCTCTGCAGGCAGGCCATCCCATTGTCTGCAGCTATTGGCAGAGAGGGCAGACCATCTCTGCAGATGGTTGTCCCATCGTGTCTCTCTCCTCTGCTCTGCTCTGCCTGAGCCCAGGACTTTTATGGGCTTCAGAGGGGAGGAAGTGTGTGCTGATTAGTCCACGGCAGCCATGGGTGGGTCTGGAAAAGGCAACACAAGTTCCCAAGTGGGACTGGCAGCCTGGCCCCCAGCCTTCAGGCTCTCCTGGCCTGAAGGTAGAGCCCCAGCAGGGACCCGACCCTTTCCACCCAGGAACCTGTGTGCCTCCTGTTGCTGCTCATGGTGACTGGGCTCAGTTCTAACTCTGCTCTGAGGTTGGGGCAGTCACTGACAGCAGGGAGAAGCCATGCAGCAGAAGCAGGCACTTCTAAACCTGCAAGGGCAGGGGCGGCCTTCCCAAGCCCTAAAAGTATATAAGTATACACTGTAAGTCTACTTGAGATCCAAAGGATTTGCCTTTGTGGAGTTTGAAGCAAAAACAAAAGAAGCAAAATCTACTGAAGTAGTTCAGATCCTAAAAAGAAAAAAAATGCAAAAAATTTAACAAGTATTATAAATAGTAAAGCTTTTTTTGCAATCATTTCGGTTTTTTATCAACCCACCAGAAGCAGCACCAAAGAAAACTGGCATGTTCTCTAAGAGTGAAAACTAAACCTATTTTGCTCTTTAATAACTGTAGTTGAAGGAAACTGAAATTAATGATAGCATTGTTACAGAAGAAAAGGAAAGGAAAAATAAGAAGAAAGGCTGAATGACGGAAGACAATGGCCAGGCTAAAAAGTTAATATTGACACAGGCAATACAAGCATCTGCAAAAGGAAAAAATTGAGAACTACATCTGGAGGCTCTGAAATAGATACTACTAAACCTCAAAAGCAACCTTTAAAGGTAAAGAAAAATTGAGAAAAACCTGAAATATTCAGCTTTCCTGAAGTCAGAACAGGGAAAAAGAGAAATAGCTCTGAAAATGCAGAATTCCTGGCTTCCAAACCAAAAGCAAATAAAATGTCTCAAAACACACATTTTAAAATCTTTAAAAGTTTACAAAGAAAACAGAGGTATAGCAACTTTAAGATTATAATTAGATAAACAAGGTTATGTTTTACCCATTTCATAGCCACAAATGTCTTAACTGGGTTTTTAATTGCTCAAGATTTAGAAATCTCTACTGAAGAGGAAAAGGATACTGAAGATATAAAAGATGACGCTCTCTTTAAAATAAGGAAGCATTAAAAAAAACATAAAAAGAAATATAATATGGGAAAGGTTATCCATTAAGAGTACTATCAAAATAAGTATATGGTAAAAATTCTATTGCCATTGGCAATTGATATTACACTCCATATAATTGTTATATTTTTGTTTCATGTTCCCATTGTTTGTAATTTACATATAAAAACAAATGATTTTTGTAGATTGGAATTTTTTTGGTAAATTGATTAACTGTAGAATATTTTGTGGATTTTTTTCTATGTAAAAAGTCAGGTTTATAGAATTAAGTCATTTGTCTTCTTTTTGTTTAAACTCTATGCCTTTCGTTACTTTTTGTGTTCTTTTTTAATTATTATTATTTTTTGTAGGAATAAGGTCTCATTAGTTTGCCCAGACTGGTCTGCAACTCCTGCCTCAGGTGATCCTCCCACCTCAGCCTCCCACAGTGCTGGGATTAAAGAAGTGAGCCACTGCGCTCAATCTACTTATGTTATTCAACTGGCTTGGACTTCCAGTATGATGTGTAATGAATTGTGAAAGTGGACTTACATTCTCTTTGGAGAAATATGCTTAATATTTTCACTATTAAATATGTTGTTAGATGAAGATTTTTCATAAATGTTCTTTATAAATTAGAAGCCCCATTCTATTTATAATTCATTGAGTTTTTTCTTAAACAAGTTTATAGATTGTCAATTGTTCTTTTTGCATTGATTGAAATAGTCTTATGACTAAAGAGACCACTTTTTAAAATTTTTGATGTCATTGTGTGAGTTAGAATAATGGATTTTTAAATATTAAACCAACTGTGTAATACTGGCATAAATCTAATTTTTCACTGGTATTTTCCTTTTTATATTTTGGTGAATTTGATTTTCTAAAATTTTGTTTTGTTTTATTTATAAAACATTTGACTTTGTAATTTCATTTTAAAATTCTTGTGAGATTTTTGGATCAGGGTCTTCCTGGCCTCACAAAAGCAATTGGATATTTTTTTCTGTGTTGTTTTCTAAAAGAGTTTTGTTTGTTTAATATCAGTATTTCTTTTTTAAACATTTGATAGACTTCATCAGTGAAGCCATCTAGGCCAAGAGATTTTTGTGGAAGGGTTTTCCTTTAGGATTTTATTTTTTTAGTAGATATGGGGTATTCAGGTTGTCTTTATTCTTGGGTCAGTTTTTGCAATTTGTGTTACCTAAAGAACTTGTCCATTTCATCTATTGCGTCTAATGGCATAAAATTATTCATAATATTCACTTACCTTTTTAGTGTCTGTAAGATCTTTGTACTATTTTATTTCATTCCTATTATTGTTAATTGATAATTCACCTATTTTTCATTTTCAGTCTTGCCATGCATGCATAAAATATCTTAATATTTTCAAAAAAACTCATTTTTTTCTTCATTGATTTTCGTTGTTTTTACATTTTCTAGTTCAGTGATTTCTGATCTTTTCTTTATTGTCTTTTCTCGTACTTATTTAAGTTTATTACTCTTACTTTTCTATCTTCTTGATATGAAAACTTAGATTATTAAGTTTAACATGCTTTAATTTTCTAATGTAAGCCTTTAACACTATGAGTATCTAAGCACAATCAATATGTTGTATTATTAATGTTTGTTTCAAAATTTTCTAAATTTCTCGTTCTTTTTAGTGTAATTTTTTAAATATCTTGCTTGATTTCAAATATTTAGGGCAATATTTAACTTTATGATAGTCACAAATATATTCTGTATAGTGTTACTCCTTAAAATGTCTTGAGAATTGTGTTTTTTCTCTTAAGGATATTGTCTATTCATGTACACTCAAAAGAATTTGTTTTCTATACTTGTTGGATTGGGTGCTTTGAAATGTCTACTAAGCCTAGTTGTCTTAAGTAAGGTACTAAAAGAAGTTGTTAAAGTTTCCAATTATGAGGGTAGGTCTATATATATCTCCCATTATTTTGATTAATTTTTGAGTCATATGCTTTGAAGTTCTACTGTTAAATTTGTTTCTGTATTTGATGAATTGACTCTTTTATCATTATGAAATGTTTCTCTTTATCTATGGTACTACTCTATTTATGTCTGTTTTGTATGATATTAATGTAGTTATTGCAGCTTTGTTATGATTAATATTTGCATTTATATATGTGTATATATATACATACATATATAAAATATATATATATAGTTCTTCTCTTCTAAATAGCATATGGTTAGTTCGTGCTTTTTTATTGCGATATTTTACTTTTAATTAGAGTGTTGCATAGAACAATAACAATAATGAGATTGAAGCTATAATAAAAAGTATCCCAACAAAGAAAAGTCCATGACCTGATGGCTTTGCTGTTGGATTCTATTGAAGATTTAAAGAAGAAATAATACCAATCTTACTCAAGTTATTCTGAAAAATAGAAGAGGAGGCAATACTTCTAAACTCATTCTATGAGGCCACCATTATCCTGATACCAAAACCAGACAAAGACACATCAAAAAAAGAAAACCACAGGTCACTATCCCTGATGAACATTGGTGCAAAAATCCTCAACAAATAACTAGCAAACTGAATTCAACAACACATTAGAAAGAAAAGATCATTCATCATGAACAAGTAGGATTTATCTCAGGGATGCAAGGATGGTCCAGTGTATGCAAATCCATCAGTATCATACATCACATCCACAGAATACAGGACAAAATCCATATGATCATTTTAATTGATGCTAAAACAGTAATTGATAAAATTCGACTTCTTTCATAATAAGAACCCTAAAAGAACTAGGTATAGAGTGAACATATCTCAACACAATGAAAACCATTTATGACAGACCCACAGCTGGTATCATATTGAATAGGGAAAAAGTGAAAGCCTTTCCTCTAAGATCTGGAACAAGACAATAATGTCCCCTTTCACCACTGTTATTCAACACGGTACTGAAAGTCCTCACTAGAGCATTTGGATAAGAGAAAGATATTTAGGCCATGCTGAATGGAAAGGAAGAAGTCAAATGATCCTGTTTGCAGATGATATGAACTTATATTCGGGAAAACCTAACTACTCCACCTGAAAACTATTATAACTGATAAACAATTCAGTAAAGTTGCAGAACACAAAGTCAACATACAAAAATCAGTATCATTTCTATATGCTAAAAGAAAATAATCTGAAAAAAATCAAGAAAGTAATCTCATTTACAATAGCTACAAATAAAGTTAAATAACCTTGCATTTAACTTAATCAAATAAGTGAACAATCTCTATAATAAAAACTATAATGATGGAAGAAATGGAACAGGACAAAAAAAAAGGAAAGATATTCTATGTCAATGGGCTAGAAGAATCAATATTGCTAAAATATTCATACTACCCAAAGCAGGTTACGAGTCAAGACAATCCCTAGCAAAATAACAATGACATTCTTCGCAGAAATAGAAAAATTAATCCTGAAATTTTTAAAGAACCAGAAAAGACCTGGAATAGTCAATACTATCCTGAGCAAAAAGTACAAAACTGGGGCCAGGCACAGTGGCTAATGCCTGTAATCCCAGTCCTTTGGGAGTCAAAGGCAGGAGGATTGCTTGAGGCTAGGAGTTCAAGAGCAGCCTAGGCAACAAAGTGATAACCCATCGCTACAAAATAAAAAATTAGTGGCAGGGGTGCATGCCTGTAATGCCAGCTACTTGTGAAGCTAAGGTGGGAGGATTTCTTGAGCTCAGGACTTTGAGGATTACCATGAGCCATAATCATATCATTCCACTGCACCGCAGGCAACAGAGCAAGATCCTGTCTCAAAAAAAAAAAAAAAAATATATATATATATATATGTACATAACTGGAGGGTTCATTAGATAACTTCACATTACACTACAAAGCTTTAGTAACCAAAATAGCATGGTACTACCATAGAAACAGACACATAGACCAATGGGACAGAAAGGAGAACCCTGAAATAAATCCATGTATCTACAGTGAACTCATTTTTTACAAAGGTGCAAAGAATGTAGACTGAGGAAAGGACAGTTTCTTCAATAAATAGTGCTGGGAAATCTGGATATCCATATATAGGAGGATAAAATTTAAACTCTATCTCTCCCCATTTACAAAAATCAAATAACGGGTAAGACTTAAATTTGAGACCTCAAGCTATTAAAAAACTAAAAGAAAACACTGGGGAAATTCTCTATGACACATGTTGAGCAATGATTTCTTGAGTAATACCCTATGCAAAAATGGACAAATGGGATCACATCAAATTAAAAAGCTTCTGCACAATGAAGAAAACAATCAGCAAGGGGAAAGATAACCCAGAGAATGGGAGAAAAATATTTGCACACTACCCCTCTGACAAGGGATTAATACCCAGAACACATTAGGAGCTTAAACAATCCAATAGGAAAAAAATTTAATAATCTTATTTTAAAATTTATCTAAAGATAGCAATAGACATATCTCAAAATATGACATACAAATGGCAAAGAGTGTTTGAAGTAGTGCTCAACATCGTTGATGATCAGAGAAATGCAAATCAAAACAACAATGAGTTATCATCTCATCCCAGTTAAATGGCTGTTGCCCAAAAAACAGGCAATAACAAATGCCATCAAGGATGTGGAGAAAAGGGGACCCCCTTACACTGGTAGGGGGAATGGAAATTAGAATAACTATTATGGAAAACACTGGAAATTCTCAAAAAACTAACTATTGAAATACCATATGATTCAGCAATCACAAAGATTAAGTATGTACCTAAAAAAGGAAATCAGTATGTCAAAGATATATTGGCACTCACATGTTTATTGGAGCGCTATTCACAATAGCCAAGATTTGGAAGCAACCTAAATGTCCATTGACAGATGAATAGATTATAAAAATGAAGTACATATACACAATGCAGTACTATTGAGCCATAAAAAAGAATGAGATCTTGTCATTTGCAACAACATAGATGGAACTGGAGACATTCTGTTAAGTGAAATAAGCCAGATACACAAAGGCAAACTTTGCATGTTCTCACTTATTTGTGAATGGTAAAAATTAAAACAGTTGAACACATAGAGACGGAGAGTAGAATGATGGATACCAGAGGCTAGGAAAGGCAGTGGTTTCAGGGAAGCGGGCATGGTTAATGGATTAAAAAATGTAAATAGAATGAATATGAATTACTATTTGACAGCACAATAGGGTGATTACACTCAACAATAATTTATTGTATGTTTAAAATATCTATATGAGTACAATTGGATTGTTTGTAACATAAAATGAATAAATGCTGAGGTGATGTGTACTCAAGTTACCCTGATGTGATTATTATACGTTGTATGCCTACATCAAAATATTTCACGTATACCACAAATATGTATATATACCTACTATGTAGTCACAAAATTAACCAAAAAAAAAAAGAAAGTTTTCAGGACCACAGGCAAAGACATAAAATGTACTACAAATGTAAGAGAATCTGAATACATCAATTTACTTTAAAAATACAAAAAAGAAGGTAACATCATGGATAATTTTCAAGAAACAGGAAATTAAAATAAAAACCAAAAAACTTAAGAAATGCAAACCAACTTGTCCTTGAAGTTTCAAGATTAAAGCAAAACAGTTTTTAATGTATTGGAACTCAGATAATACTTGTAAAATCTTTCCAAGGAATCTTCTAAAGGATTAGCTTCAACCAACCAAAAAATGACGACAATACAATGTAAACAGACTAATGGGTAAGTATTTTATATATTTATTTCTAAAGCTAAGAGTAAAACAAGGGTAGGTCCATATATTGAAAAATAGTCAACATTGTTTTGATGAAGAAATAATGCACCTAATAAGATGGAAGCAGGAAAAAAAGAGGAAGTAGAAAAATATAAATTGACTATAGTATAGGAGAACAGACTGGATTCAAAGGATACGATTTAAAATTGATGGAAAGTAAAATGTTAAATAAGAAAAAGGGAGTTTAAAGGTCTCCAAAAAGCATTAATACACAAAAACTACCAGAATCGAAAGGCAAACTTTCCTAAAAACCCAGAGAAATTAGAGGCATAAAAACAAAGATAATCAAAGAAAAAGAAACACAGTAAATATAAAATAATATAAACAGTAATTAGAACATAATATAGCAGAGTTGAGATCAAACATGAGAATAATAACAAATAGAAATGGGCCTATTTAAAAGAAAAGGTTTTAAAATTGGCTCTTAAAACGACATCTAATTCTATGCTGTTTTCAAGAGACACATTAAAATACATTGATTCGTATAGATGAAAAATAAGAAAATCCATAAAGATTTACCAGAAAAATGAAACAAAAAGAAAACAGAATTTGCAATTCTGATATCAAAGTAGACTTCAACCTAAAGAGCACTAAATGAAACAGAAAAGTCATACTTTATAATGTTAAAAGCCACCTTCTAAAATGCAGATAGCTGTTGAGCCTATCATTTGGCAAACAAATAATAAATAAATATCTATATTAAACAAAAACTAGGGAAGATGCAATAATAATTAAGAACATGCTGATAACAGAAGACAACACTTCATTCTCACATGAGACAGGCAAGTGAACAAAACTAATTTGGGATGTAAAATCTTTAAAAGACATAAAGTATATGTTTTGAATATATATAGAACACTATGCTCTGATAATACAGAATGTACCTGCTTCCAAGCACTCATGGAACTTTCATGAAAATGGATCATGTACTAGACACAAGGAAAATATGAGTTTTCACAGAACAGAAATATTATGAACAATATTCAATTATCACAATAAAAAGATTATAATTAAAAAGTAAACTATCATATTTAATAATACAATATTAATAATTGTTTAATAACTCTATAATTAATATATAAAATACTTACCCATCCATCTATTTATATTGTTCTTTCAGTCACCTTTTGATTGCTTGAAGCTCATCTTTTAGTAGGTACCTTGGAAACAATAGCTTCCTTTATAAATCAATTTTTAATAAATCATCTTCTTTTATTGCTTATCAAGACAATTGGTTTTGATGCACATTAGTATATTTAAAAATATTCTCAGTTACTTCTACACACTTATGTATGAGACAACAAAATAAGAGTAATCATTAAATAAAAAATCTAGTAGCAGTAATATGACAAATATTGTGAGATTAATTGATGCATTGGATCAAAATATCTTATATATTTTTATGAAAATAATATAGAATTGTAAGATAATAATTATACAAATTATTCCAATATAATATGTTATGAGGTAAGGACTTTATGGTGAAAAATAACCCTGGTTTAAATCTTAGTTATCTCATAACAAACCACATTTGAAATGTGGTTTCAAAATAAGAGACTCATTTTCTACACTCATAGAAGTAAAGTTTCTATCCTGGTCTTTTGCTTAGTACATGGTGCAAATGGCATTGAATACTGTTGTGATAGTTTTCTAAATATAATGAGCTAACATACACCCAAAAATACCATGGTACCAAACCGGTGTAGTCAGAAATAGAACACTTTATGAAGGTGATAGACTGTGGCATGCAGAGTTCTTCAGTGTAGAAAACATAAATAACCCTAGCTAGATTAAGTAGCAGGAACTTATTTCCAGGTATTAGTAACATATGTTTGTAAAGGGTGGTACAAGATTATAACTGGAACTTCTTAGGAATATTCTCAGAATTATTGCAGAACTAACCGGAAAAGCAGCAATTGCTACCACTGACACAAAATCTACCCTTTACCTTTCCCAAAAAATGGAGCCATCCATTTTCAGCTGCATATGGATGTGTCTTTTTATTGACAAAACCTGTCTGTTTCTGTGTCCTGGCAGCATAAGAATTCTGAGAAGTGTCAGTTTGGGCAACTCCAAACTCACACTTTCCAGAATTCTTATGCTGCCAGGACACAGAAAGGCTTTGTCAAAGTGTGACTTTGGAGTGAGTTTGCGTGAAAGCATGTTGAAAATGTGGTATCTCCACACTGTGGAACATGATCAGAATATAGAAATGGTAGTCAAAACTTTTGGGACTGTTACAAATAACAGTAGTCAACTACAGAGGGAAACACTATCCTTGCTAGTTGAAATTCTGCCCTAGAGCAATGATGCCCTATATTGCAAGGAAAACATCTGTTCAGTTTGATGGGCATAAATCATATTGTTAAGGCAGTCCAATCAGTTTAATGCCATTACAGTTTTGAATTATATAATTGATTGTTGTGAATTTCTGCAGGCCATGCAATCATTTAATAATTTGACTTTCCAAATACTTTTCCTTGAGCAAAGAATGTTCATGTCAACTTAAAACTTTCGTGTAACTTACATTATTGATCTAAATCAATATCTTGGTACTTTGGTTTACACACGCCAGTCTTTCAGTTTCTATTAAGTTCAGATAGCATCATTAGTCTCATCAACTCTATGGTCCTGAGAATGTTTCTGGAGTATTAAATCATTAGGAAAATCCTATCCTTTGAGTTACTTCATTAGAAAGTTATTGATCTTGTTTGATGATGAATTGTTACTTCTCTGAAAGTTTGAAAGTCCTACCATCTCAACAAATTAGACTGCTTTTGTTATTTGCATCAGTTAATTAGGCAGTTTTGTTATTTGCATCAACATTTTGTCTTGGTGCATTTTTTGCATTGTTTAATTTTTATTTTATAATTTTATGTATATTATCCATGTTGAATTTTTTAAAAATTACAACAGCAAGACATTTATTTTAGAAACACTACTGATGTCCTATTGCACGAAAAATTCTATAAAACTAATTATGTTACTTAACCAAACTTCCCTAAGTTATTTGTAGGTGTTTGAGTAATTTAAAACTTAGTTAAAAGTAAAAATGCTAATTGTTTTTACAATTTCAGCTTTTATCATAGATTAAAGGGTACACAAACAGGTTTGTTACATGGGTATACTGCATGATGCTGAAGCTTGGGCCACCAGGCAGTAAACACCGTACCCAACAGGTGTTCTCAGCCCACACTGCCTTCCCATCCTCTCTTATCTATTGGTCCCCAGTGTCTATGCTTGGGGTCCCAACGATCCCATCACCCGGACAGTAAGCACAGTACCCAATAGGCTGTTCTCAGCCCACACTCCCTTCCCATCCTCTCTTATCTAGTGGTCCCCAGGGTCTATTGCTTTCATCTTTACATTAATGTGTATACAGGGTTTAGCTCCCACTTTAAGTGAGAATATGCTATATTTGGTTTTCTGTTCTTGCATTAGTTTACTTAGGATAATGGTCTCCAGACTGCATAGGGCATGATGAGGTTTCTTATTTAAAGTATAATGAATAAATCCAAAGATTTATATAAAAATAATCTAATTCTGGCCTTAATATTTTGAGCCCCCTCATAAGAATGTTATTAAACATTCCTAATCATTCCCTTCATAGTTACTTCATCTTTCTGCCATGGTTTACACTCCAGGAATTGCTGGAATTGCTGCTATTTATATCTTTCCTGACCTTTAGAACCACTACAGTCAAACAAAAATATTGTATCAAAATCATAAATGAGAAGAAAGTCAATACTATTGGCTCCAACTATAGGAAAAATTTCAGTTTGTTCACACGCACACACACACACACATACATACACACACACATTTATATGCAGATAATGAGCCCTAAGGATAGTTGAACTAAAGCCATTTCATTTAAGACAATTCTGCTTTCCCAGATGACATGCTAATGAACCAAGTAAGCAGTTCTAAGTCATTGATATCACATTATTCAGCACACAATTTCCAAAAACAAGTTAATGAACCAGTTTTTGAAAATCATTTAGAAGAGACACAGTTTGACACATACCAATGAAGCCAGTTCATTTGCTTGCTAAAATAGACTGTATCTTGGGTCCTTTCTAAACTAAAGCTAGCTTGACTTTGGCTGTCATCAGAAATAGTATAAAAATAAAAATGAATAAGTGCATTCCTAGGCCATTGAGAGGACTGTTTTTTTCTATTAACGTAATAAACTATATTCAAATGACCACTTATATCACCATAAGAACTAAATGCCTGATGAAAAAGTTGAAACAAAGCCTGTGTCCCTCATTTACTTAAGTGTCCTGGAAGTAATTCAAAGACCCTCTATAAGAAGAAAATGGCTTTCCTCATTCTGAGGTATTGGTATATCATTTGTTTTTACTGTGTTTGTGTGCATCCTTCCCTGTTTCTGGTGGTTTCTGTTTATGTGGAGACAAAAGAAGCTGGAATATTTTAGTCTACTGTTTCTCATACACATTCTCTAAGGCAAATACTATGTGAATTTTGTTGCGCTTATCGGTGCTTCAACTGAGAGTTTCTACGAAAACACTTTTAGAAAAATCCAGGAGGAAATATTCCCTGCATATATAAAACACTTTTTCTATCGTCCATCATTACATCTCCTCTCTCCTAAACACTTTCATGCTTCCTTACTGTGACTGTCTCTAACCATTTTTGGTAATCCAAGAATTTATCACAAAAAAGATTCAATTTCTGAAAACACAAATATTGCAACCTCTAACCAGAAGCTCTTTCCTTTTAATTTTCTCAATGATTTTACTTACATTTTACCCATTGTTAATCTAATCTAGACAAAACCATTTATAGATATCTGCTCCATTGCTGTCACATAGCTTTCAGTCTATTGAGAGACATTGAATAATAAACAATTCTATTACAATATGATTCAGTGCTGTGATAAGCCAGCATTTTCTCAGGTCTTGTGGTTTTTATTTACTTAATACCTCCCAAATGCATCCACCAATTTTCTCTCTTTACTATATGTTTTTAAAAAATCACAGCCATCTTTTACCTGGATGATTCTGACAGTTCCTCAGTGAACCTTCTTGACTTATAGATATGTGTTCAATCCATTTCTCATGGAGCTGCCAGAATAATCTATTTAATAGAAGCATCTTTTACTCCTTCCTTAAAATATTTCCTTGTGGTCATCCCGTTAATACTGAAGTGAGGAACTAATTTTTTTACATGATTTGCTAGACCCATGGGACATTTCTTCTACTGTCCTATCTCTTTATCCTCACCTTATTTCCTGCCCCCTAGTTGTAATACGTAATCTACAGTCTAGCCATGCTGCATTGTTTTGGACGAATTATGTTTCATACTTAGCAACAATGCACATACCATTTCTCTGATTGAAACACACTTCCCATAATCAGCTTCCCCAACTTCTAGTTAACTTCTCTTTTCTTTGGCCTCAGAATTTTCATGCACTCGTGGGAAGAATAGTGTTTCATTGTGTTTACTGTATTTTTCAGCCAGGTTGGAGTCCAGGATCATACATAAGCTAAATTCTGCATAGATTTATGTCTTTAAATAGAAAGTCCTATGAATTAATAATTAATGTCCATGCCTTTAAATAAAAAGTGCTTGGATGTGGGATCCCTCTGAAAGAAATACCCCAGCCTTACTTTTTTTTATTTTATTGGATAATAATTACGTTTCTGGCTCTAGCAATATCCAAGATATCTTTCTTTTGAAATCTCTTCAAAAGCAACTAAACCTAGGTTTATTTCTTTTTCTCTTTCACAGCTATTTTCGCTGATTGTTAAGAGACATTAAGTTCACTATCTAAATTTGTAATTTCTGTTGTTTTTACTTCCAGTGTCAAACTAAACTGTACAAACTAAGTTGTGGATTCATGTAGCTAGCCCATGCTAAATATCTGCCATCTACAACATGGGCCTCTATTTATTCTGGATGCCTTAATCACATAAGCATCATCCTTGGATTTAAATTTCAGATTGCTAGACTGTCACTACCATTCATAGAGGTAGAGTTTAATAAAAAAAACATGAGAAAGTAACAGGAGTCTTAATTATGAAAGGGGCATGCCTTCTCTTTGGATTCAGTAAAGAAAAAAATGTATTGAAGTTATTACAAACCAAAGACTAAAATAGGAATTTGAAACATGTGTGCACAGTAGAGTCTCTTTCTAGAAATTGGATTTTCTTATGAAGTCAAATAATAATGGAATTTGATTTAAAAACATGTTTATTTAGTTTTACCTTCAAAATAGGAGCAGTGTGAAGCAGCATGGGCATAAAACAATTGTAAAGCAAAATATGCTGGTTAAACCGAGGAAGAGAGAGAATTCCTTAGCACAACATTTAAGATCTTAGAGAACAGAGTAGGTAGACATGAAAGAGAAAAATAAATGAACCTGGGTCTAGTTGCTTTTGAAAATATTAAAAAAAAAGATGTCCTAGGTATTACTAGAGCCAAGAGTGTAATTATTACCCAAAGAAAAATGTAAAAAGTCAGGCTGAAGTGATTCTTTTAGAGGTATCCCAGATCCAAAAAAGCATGTGGAGTCATATTGTTAAGGTGTGTACAGTGAGAGCTATTGGTGAACAAGCTCTTGAAGACTGAGACAGCCTTGCAAAGTGGTTACATAAAAGACAGACTGATTTAAGAGGCAAACAAATGGGAATATCAGAACAAGTGTTAAAATATTTTTTGAAGTGTTTCACATGACACAGTAACTGTGGTTGTTAATACAGATACTGCCTGTGTCCTGAGGAAATGCACAATATAAATTTTGAAAATAGAAATTTAAAGGATGTGATATGTACTAAATACAGGACATAAAATATGCTGAAATTGATCTTGGCAGTACTATGATACATTGAATGCTGTATTAGATTAGTTATTAGTCTAATTGAAAAATGCCCCCTGTATGCTATTGTGCAGCTCAGAGAAGTAAAGAAAGGCAAGATTATCTTTAAACAGCAGATAATTGTTCACTTGCAAGCAAATGAATTCATACTTATTACTGAGTTCACTCATAAGAAAAAAAATGTAAAGAATATGCCATCAAATAGACGTTTGAGCCTGAAAGCAAAAGCTAAGTTAAAGGAGAGCAGGAAGTGCTGGTACCCAAGCAAGAGGCCAACGTAACCAGGTTACATGGAAAAAATGCAGATGATTGCCTTCTCAAAAGGAATACATCAGAGGAAAATAACACCCAAGTTACATATCTCACAACTGCAGAGGATATAGTGGAAGAATGATTAGCATACTTCTAGTGAAGATGAGCAAGTAACTTGTTTCAAGACTGTTCTTTCTCCCAAAAACATGGCCATGGTATATGAAATACAAAATGATAAAACAAGAAGATATCCAGATCAAAAATGATATACTCCTCTGTAATAGTTTATACTGCCATCAGCAGTAGATTAACCTATTAGTACTAACTTAATTTCTTAAAACAACACAAACTTATTGCATTAATTTCTGTAGGTTTAAAAATCCAACACAAGTCTCACTGGATTAAAAATCAAGGTGGCAGGAGGGCTATATGTCTTTCTGGATATTCTAGGGAATAATCCATTTCTGAGCCTTTTCCAATTTCTAGAGGCTGGCTGTATTTCTTGGCTCATAATCACCTCTTCTATCTTCAAATCCAGCAACAGTGAGTGCAGTCCTTTTCACAACACATCAATTTGATCTTCTCTTCTCTTCCTTCTTACACTTTTAGGATTCTTAGAATTACATGGGCCCCACCCAGAAGAGGCAGCATAACTTCCTTATTGTAAAGTCAGCTGATTGGCAACTCTAACTCCCCCTTGACATGTATTATAACATATCAGCAAGTTCTAGGGATTAAGATTTAGACATCTTGGGGGAAGGGTGCTATTTTGTCTTCCAAAATAGACGCTTCTGTGTAATAGCAGTGGAACAAAGGATAAGCAAGGTTAATATGGGCATGAAGGCAGTGGCAATCAGGGAATCTGGCTTTTGAGATATATTATATTAGGTGTTATGCTATTCTATTGGACACATTATAAAATATCTGTAATAAAATAATACAATGAGTAGTGCTAGGACATTTGGATTTTGTCCATAAGGAACGAGATAAAATTAGATTCATTCTTTACCATATGCCAGGAAAAATTTTCAAAATTTATAAGTAAAATATAAATCATAGCATATTAAAGAAAAAGATAGATGTGGGGCAGACTTTCTAGCCATGATGTAAAATGCACACAGAGAAAATATATTGGTAACTTATAAAAATTAAGGTAAAAGAAATTTTTGTGAACTAGCCTTACAAAAGTGAGAGCAGGGCTTTCCTTATAGATTGCTAATTTCCTCCAGGGGCAATGACTTTCCTGGATAATTAGAGAAGTAAAGGCTAAATCTAATTAGCAAAAGCAAAATACACACACAAAATAAAAATAAAATAAAAATAAAGGAAATGTTAGAAAATAACTTACATTCCTCTGGTCTCCTTTCAATCAGAGTCATCAGGTAGAGTCACAGTCCCTCTCCTTCTCCTATCCCAGGAAATCTAACATGCCTTGAATCTTGACATTTTAAAATTGGTTGGCACTAACCCATCAAAATACTAAAGGTAAAAATTCTTAATTTATTTCAGCTATATTAGTTACAAATATCATCTCCTAACTGTCTTACCTTTTTACAATCCTCAATGTCTCTTTTGGTAAAATGTCTAATTTAAAGCTTATTGTCTCAATCTTTTTCTTTACATTGAATATTTTTGCATATCGCTTAACAAGTCCTTCTCTACTCTTAGGTCATGAGGATATGCTTCTATGTTTTCTTTTCAAAATTTAATAATGTTGTTTTTCACATTTTGCTTTCAATTCAGTTTGATAAAAAGAAAGTAGAATAAGCACTACCACAAACAGGATTATTCAAATAGCCAACAAACATACAAAATGGTATTCAACTTCCTTACTAATTGGATAGATAAATAAACAAATAAAATTAAAATAATATGCCTGGCTAATTTTTTTTTTTTTTTTTGAGACAGAGTCTCACTCTGTTGCCCAGGCTAGAGTGTGGTGGCACAGTCCTGATTCACTGCAACCTCCACCTGCCAAGTTCAAGTGGTTCTGGTGACTCAGCCTGTTGAGTAGCTGGGATTACAGGTGTGCAACACCATGCCTGGCTAATTTGTTTTGGTATTTTTAGTAGAGATGGGGTTTCATTATGTTGGTCATGCTGGTCTCCAACTTCCGGACTACCTAGGCCTCCCAAAGTGCTGGGATTTTTTATTTTTATTATTGATTGATTGATTGATTTTTTTTTTTTTTTTTTGAGACAGAATCTCACTCTATTGCCCAGGCTAGAGTGCAGTGGCACAGTCCTGGTTCACTGCAACCTCCACCTACCAGGTTCAAGTTATTCTGGTGACTCAGCCTGTTAAGTAGCTGGGATTACAGATGTGCAGCACCATGCCTGGCTAATTTGTTTTGGTATTTTTAGCAGAGATGGGGTTTCATTATGTTGGCCATGCTGGTCTTGAACTTCCAGCCCACCTAGGCCTAGGGTCACCTACACCTCCCAAAGTGCTGGGATCACAGGTGTGAGCCACCATGCCCAGCATACCCTGGCTAAAATTTTTAATGTTTGACAGTTTCAAATACTGGTGACGACATGAAGCATGAGAAATTTAAGCACCGATTTGGGGAGTGTCTGTCAGGGATACTTGCACCAGCATGTAACCGGTACAAGCTTTTAGAAAAAAACAGCCATTATTTAATAAGTTGAAGATATACAAACATACTTTGTTTTATTGCACTTTGCTTTTTCACACTTTGCAGATAATGCATTTTTCACAAATTGATCATTTATAGTGATCCTGCATTCAGCAACTGTATTAGGAACATTTTCCAAAAGCAGGTGCTCACCTTGTGTCTGTGCCACATTTTGCAATTGCTGCAATATTTCAAACTTTACATTATTAATATATCCACATTATTAATTAATGTGTCCACATACATTATTATATTAATATATCCACATACATTATTAATATATCCACAGTGCTTTCTGATTAGTGACCTTCGATATTACTATTGTAATTATTTTGGGATGACACAAGCTGTTACTATATAGGATGGCAAACTTATTCAACAAATGTGTGTATTCAGATGAATCCACTGACCAGACCTTTCTGCAATGTAAAATATGTTCTTATTGTCTTTGTGAAAAGTAAATTGACTGTAAATGTCTAGATTTATTTCTGGGTTCTCTAGTTTGTTCTTATCACATTGCATTACTCTGATCTTCTCTTCTGTTCCCTCCTTAAAATGTCCCAATATAGAGAACCCAATTCTATGGGTTCTATTTATATGCTTATATATCTATGTGTCTGTTTATATGCCAGTACCATGTTGTTTTGTTTACTATGGCTTTGTAGTATATTTTGAAGTCAGATAGTATGATGCTATCAGCTTGATTCTTTTTATTCAGGAATGCTTTGGCTATTTAGGGTCTTTTGTGGGTCTATACAAATTTTAGATTTTTTTTTGTTTATGTGAAGAATGTCATTGTGTTGGTCTTTTGATAGAAATTGAATTGAATTTGTGGGTCACTTTAGGTGGTATTGACATTTTAACAATATTAATTCTTTCAATCCATGAACTTGAGATGTCTTTCCATTTTTTGTCTATCATATTAAATTTTTTTCATCAGTGTTCTGTAGTTTTTATTGTAGAGATATTTAATTCCTTTGGTTAAATTTATTCCTAGGTATTTTACATTTTTGCACCTATTGTAAATGGAAGCGATTTCTTTTTCAGTTTGTTCTCTATTGCAGTATATAAATGTTTGTTTATATTGCATCCTAAAACTTTACTGAATTTATTGGTTCTAATAGTTTTTTTTCTGGTTGAGGTTTTAGGCTTTTAATTTTTAAAATCCATAAAAAAATTTTTAAATAGAGCTTGGGGTACAAGTAGTTTTTAGTTATGTAGATGAATTATATAGTGGTGAATTCTGAGATTTTAGTGCACCTGTCACCTGAGTAATGTACATTGTACCCAGTGTGTAGTTTTATATCAAGCCCCCTCCCATCATCCCCCTTCTGAGTTTCTGAAGTCCGATATATCACTCTGTATGCCTTTGTGTACTTATAGCTTAGCTCCCACTTATCAGGGAGAATAGACAGAATTTGGCTTTAAATTCCTGAGTTACATCACTTAGAATAGTGGCCTCCAGCTCCACCCAAGTTGCTGCAAAAGACATTGTTTTGTGTTCCTCTTTGTGGCTGAGTGGTATTCCATGGTGTACACATATATGACATTTTCCTTATCCATTCGTTGGTTGATAGGCACTTAGGTTGATTCCATTTCTTTGCAATTGTGAATTGGGCTAAAATAAACATATGTGTGCATGTGTCTTTTTCATATAATGATTTCTTTTCCTTTGGATAGATACCCAGTAGTGAGATTGCTGGATCAAATGGTAGATCTACTTTTAGTTATTTAAGGAATCTCCATACCATTTTCCATAGAGGTTATACTAATTTACATTCCCACCAAGAGTATACAAGGGTTCCCTTTTCTCCACATCCATGCTGAAATGTATTGTTTTTTAACTTTTTAATAATGGCCATTTTTGCAGGAGTAAGGTGGCATCTCACTGTAGTTTTAATTCGTATTTCTGATAATTAGTGCTGTTGAGCATTTTTTTTCATATGTTTGTTGGCCTTTTTTTTTTTTTTTTTTTTTTTTTTTAAGACAGAGTCTTACTCTGTCCCCCGGCTGGAGTGCATTGGCCCGATCTCGGCTCACTGCAAGCTCCGCCTCCTAGGTTCACACCATTCTCCTGCCTCAGCCTCCCGAGTAGCTGGGACTACAGGTGCCCACCACCACACCCGGCTAATTTTTTTGTATTTTTAGTAGAGACGGGGTTTCACCGTGTTAGCCAGGATGGTCTTGATCTCCTGACGTCAGGTAATCTGCCTGCCTTGGCCTCTCAAAGTGCTGGGATTACAAGCGTGCGTGAGCCACCATGCCCAGCTGGCCATTTTTATATGTTCTTTTGAGAAATGTCTGTTTATGTTATTTGCCCACTTTTCGATAGTATTGTTTGTTTTTTTCTTGCTGAGTTGTTTGAGTTCCTTGTAGATTCTGAATACAAGTTCTTTGTCAGATGCCTAGTTTGCAAACATTTTCTCCCTTTCCATGGGTTGTTTGTTTACTCTGATAATTATCTTTTACTGTACAGGAGCTTTTTAAATTTAACCAGGTTTCATTTATTTATTTTCATTTTTGTTCCATTTGCTTTTGGAGTCTTAGTCATGAATTCCTTGCCTCGGCCAATGTCCAAAAGAGTTTTTCCAAGGTTATCTTCCAGAATTTTTTATGGTTTTAGGTCTTAGGTTTAAGTCTTGGATCATTTTGAGTTAATTTTTGCTTAAGGGATCCAGTTTCATTCTTCTACATGTGGCTAGCCAGTTTTGCTAGCATCATTTATTAAATGGGGTGTCCTTCCCCAGTTTACATTTTTGTGTGCTTGATCGAAGACCAATTGGTTGTATTTGTCTTTACTTCCAAGTTTTCTGTTCTGTTTTACTGGTCTATGTGACTACTTTTATGACAGTACCAAACTGTTTTAATAACTATTGCCTTGTAGTATAACTTGAAGTCCAGTAAGGTAGTGTGCCTCCAGGTTTGTTCTTTTTGCTTAGAATTGTTTTGGCTATGTGGGCTCCTTTTTGGTCCCATATGGATTTTAGAATTGTTTTTCTAGTTCTGTGAAAAGTGATGTTGTTATTTTGATAGGAAGTACATTGTATCTATAGATTGCTTTGGGGAGTATACCTTCCACAAGAATGATTCTTCCAATCCATGAGTGTGGGATGTATTTCCATTTGTTTGTGTCATTTATAATTTCATTCAGCAGTGTTTTGTACTTCTCCTTTTACAGATCCTTCACTTCCATTGTCAAGTATATTCCTAGGTTGTTTTTTGTTTTGTTTTGTTTTTTCTGCAGCTGTTTTTAAAGGAATTGAGTTTTTTATTTGATTCTCAGCTTGGTCATTGTCGATGTATAGCAGTGCTACTGATTTGTATACACTGATTTTGTAACCTGAGACTTAACTGAATTCATTTATTAAATCTAGAAATCTTTTGGCAGAGTTCTTAGGATTTTCTAGGTATATGATCCTATCTTTGGTGAACAGCAATAATTTGAATATCTCTTTTCCAATTTGGATACCATTTCTTTCTCTTGCCTGATTACTCTAGCTAGTACTTACATTACTATGTGGAATAGAAGTGGTGAAAGTGAGGACACTTGTCTTATTCCACTTCTTAGGGGAAATGCTTTCAACTTTTCCCTATTCAGTATGATGTTGACTATGGGTTTGTCATATATGGCTTCTATTAGTTCGAGGTAAGTCCCTTTTATGCCTACTTGGTTGAGGGTTTTTTTTTTTTTTTCAGAAAGGGAAGCTGGATTTTATTGAATGCTTCTTGTGCATCTGTTGAGATAAATATATAGTTTTTGTTTTTAATTATATGTATGTGATGTATTACATTTATTGACTTGTATATAGTAAATCATCTGATATGGTTTGGATCCCTGTCTCCATCCAAATCTCCTGTGGAAATTTAGTCTCCAAGCTGGAGGTAGAACATGGTGGGATGGGATTCGATCATGGGGGCCATTTCTCATGAATGGTTTAACACCATCTTTCTAGTGCTATTCTCATGATACAGTTCTCACAAGATCCAGTTGTTTAAAAGTGTGTAGCACCTCCCACCTCTCTTTCTTTCTCCTGCTCTGAACCATGTGAAGTGATGGCTCGCCCTTCACCTTCCATCATGATTGTAAGTTCCCTGAGGCCTCCAAGAAACCAACGCCACTATGTTTCCAGTACAGTCTGTACTGTACTGGAAGTACAGTACCCCAATTAAACATCTTTTCTTTATAAATCACCCAGTCTCAGGTATTTCTTTATAGCAATGTGAGAACAGACTAATACACCATCTCTGAATCCCTGAGATAAAACCCACTTGATCATGATGTATTATTGTCTTGTTGTATTTGGTTAGCTGTTATTTTGTTGAACATTTTTGCATCAGTTGTTCATCAGGGATATTGGTCTGTAGTTTTCTTTCTTTTTCTTTCTGTTATGTCCTTTCCTGCTTATGGTATTAGAGTAATACTGGCTTCATAGGATAACTTAATGAGAATTCCTTCTTTCTCGATCTTTTGGAATAGTTTCAGTAGGATTGGTACCAATTCATCTTTGAATGTCTGGTAGAATTCAGCTATGTAACCATCTGGCCCTGGGCTTCTTTTTTGTTTGTTTTTTTATTATTACTTATTCAATTTTGCTGCTTATTATTGGTCTCTTCAGGGTTCCTATTTCTTTCTGATTTAATCTAGGAGCATTGTATGTTTCCAGGAATTTATCCATTTCCTCTAGGTTTTCTAGTTTGTGTGCATAGAGGTGATCATAGTAGTCTGAAATTATCTTTTGTATTTCTATGGTGTCAGTGGTAATGTCTCCAGTTTTATTTCTAATTGAGCTTTGAGTCTTCTTTCTTCTTTGCTTGGCTAACCTAGCTAATGATTGATCAATTCATTTATGTTTTCAAAGCTTTCTTTTTCATTGATATTTCAAATATTTTTTGTTTGTTTCAATTTTATTTAGTTCTGCTGTGATATTTGTTATTTCTTTTCTTCCCCTAACTTTGGGTTTAGTTGTTTTTGTTTCTTTAATTCCATGAGGTGTGACATTAGTTTGTCAATTTTTGATTTTTCAGACTTTTGGATATAGGGATTTAGTGCTATACTCTCCTCTTAGCATTGCTTTTGCTGTCTCTCAGAGGTTTTTATAACTTGTTTCAATATTATTATTCATTTCAAGACATTTTTAAATTTTTACCTTGATTTCATTTTTAACCCAAAAGTCATTCTGGAGCAGATTGTTTAATTTCTATGTATTTGTATAGTTTTGGGTATTCCTTTGGAGTTGATTTCTAGATTGATTCCACTGTGATCTGAGAAGGTATTTGATATGATTTCTATATTCTTAAATTTATTGAGACTTATTTTGTGGCCTTTCACACAGTATGTGTTGGAGAATGTTACACATGTTGATTAGAAGAATGTATACTCTGCAGTTTTGGGTAGAATATTTTGTAAATACCTGTTAAGTTCATTTGTTCTAGAATGTAGATTAATCCTTTGTTTCTTTGTTGATTTTTTGTCTTGATGATCTGTCTAGTGCTGTCAATGGAGTATTGAAGTGCCCTACTAGTAATGTGTTGCTGTCTATCTCATTTCTTATTCTAGTAGTAATTGTTTTATGAATCTGGGACCTAAAGTGTTAGGTGAATATACATTTAGGATGATAATATCTTCTTGGTGGATTGATTCTTTTATCATTATATAATGTCCTTCTTTGTCTTTTTATTTTAACTGTTGTTGCTTTAAAGTCTGTTTTATTTGATATAAAACAGCTACTTCTGCTCACTTTTGGTTTCCATTTCTGTAGAATATCTTCTTCCGCCTCTTCACCTTGAATTGATGTGAATCCTTACATGTTAGGTGAGTCTCTTGAAGAAAGCAGATATTTGGTTTGTGATTTTTTATCCATTCTGTCAATCTGTGTCTTTTATGTGAAGCATTTAGGCCATTTACATTCAGTGTTAATGCTGAGATGTGAGGTACTGTTCCATTCACCATGTTGTAGCCTACTTGGTTTTTTTCATTGTGTTATGATTTTATAGACCCTGAGAAGTTTATGCTTTCAATAGGTTCTATTTCGGTGCATGTTGAGTTTTGTTTCAAGAATTAGAACTCTTTTTAGCATTATCATGTTATCAGTAAACAGGAATAATTTGACTTTTTTTCTTCCTAATTTGGATGCCCTTCATTTTTTTTTCTCTTAATTGCTCTGGCTAAATCTTCCACTAACATGGAATTGCTACTAAAGTGTTACTTTTTAGTTACTACTAAAAAGTGGTAAAAGTGGACATCCTTGTTCCATTTCAAATCTAAAAGAAAATGTTTGTAATTCGTTCCCATTCAGTGTATAATGTGAAATGTGGGTTTGTCACATATGGCTTTTATTGTTTTGAGATATGTTTCATCTATACAGAGTTTGTTGAGTTTTATCATAAAGAGATGTTGTATTTTGTCAAATGAGTTTTCAGCATCTATTCAAATGATCATATGGTTTGTGTGTTTGATTCTGTTGATGTGCAGTGTGATAATTAAGGAATCAGAGAGACTGAGGGGTTGAGGAGGAATTATTTAATTATTTAGGTGCACCGACCCAGTCAGATTAACATCCAAATGACTGAGCCCTGAACAAAGAGTCAAGCTGCCTTTTAAGCATTTTGTGGGGTGGGGGGAGATCTGTGCAGGAGGAAGTGTATTACAGAAGTGAGAAACAAAGGCAGTTATTCAGTTAAGACATGCATTACATTATTTCTTACTTTTCAAGGAACAACATGTTTTACAACTTGAGATTATCTTTCTAGTGACTTTGCAGCTGCACAGCTAGAGAAACAGTCTTCACAATGCCTGGGAAAGGGAGAGATAAGGCTCACTAGCCACAGACAGAAAAACAGGCAGTTAATTTTAAAGGACTCCAGCCCTTTCTCTTCCTCAAGGGGAATTGGGTTTTCTTACATACAACTGAGTTTTTGCTTATGCAGTCTTTAATTTCTTTTAATTCCTGTTCCAGATGGGATGTTTCACATTTATTGATTTGCATATGTTGATTCATCCTTGCATTCCTGAGATGAATCCCACTTGAACATGGGGAATAATCTTTTAATGTGTTATATTTGGTTTGCTACTCTTTTCTTGAGGAATTTTGTTTTTATACTCATCACAGATATCGACATGTGATTTTCTTTTTTGTTGTGATTTTGCTGCTTTAGTTTTTGTTTGGTTATTAGGATAATGCTGGCCTCACAGAATGAATTTAAAAGTGTTTCTTCCTCTAAAATTTTCAGAATAGTTTGAGCAAAATTAATATTAGTTCTTTTTAAAATATTTGGTATAATTCCACATCAAAGCCATCAGGTCCTGGGATTTCCTTTGATGGAAAAACTTTTATTACTACTTTCATCTTGTTACTTGTCAGTGGTTTGCTCAGGTTTACTATTTCCACATGGTTCAGTCTTGGTTGGTTGTATATGTCCAGAAATTTATCAGTTTTTTCTAAGTTTTACAATGTGTTGGTGTATATTTGCTCATAATACTTTCTAATGATGTTTTGTATTTCTGTGACATTAGTCATTATGCCTCCTTTTTTGTTTCTGATTTTACTAATTTGGGTCTTCTCTCTTCTTAGTCTAGCTAAAGCTTTGTTAATATTACTTTTTTTTAGAAAACCAACTTTATTTTATTGGCTTTTTAAAATTATATTTTAGTTTCAATTTTATTTATTTTTGCCCTGATATTTATTATTTTTTTCCTTGTATTAATTTGGGTTTTGTTTGTTCTTGACTTTCTAGTTTATTGAGCCACATCATTAGGTTGCTTATTTAAAATATTTCTACTTTTTTGATATAGGATTTATTGCTATCAACTTACCTTTTGTACTGATTTTTATGTTTTCTCTGTATTTTTGTATGATCTATTTCATTTGTTTCAAGAAATTTTTTGACGTTCTTCTTAATTTCTTCATGAGCTATTTATTGCTCAGGACCATGTTGTTTAATTTCCATGTGTTTGCATAGTGTTCACAGCTTTTCTTGTTATTGATTTATAGTTTTATTCTATTAGTCAGAAAACATACTTCATATGCTTTTGACACTTCTGAAGTTGCTGAAACTTATTTTGCAACCTAACATATGGTCTATCCTAGAGAATGTTTCATGTACTGATTAGAAGAACATGTGTTCTGCAGCAGTTGAATAAAATGTTCTATAATTATCAGTTAGGTCCATTTGATCTAGAGTATAACTCCATGTTTCTTTGACAAATTTCTATTGGGATGATATTTTCATTAATTACAGTGGGATATTGAAGTCCCCTAATATTAAGGTATGTTAGTCTATGTCTTTTTTAGTATTAATGTTTGTTTTATATATTTAATATGACTGGTGTTGGATGCATATATATTCATAACTGTTATATCCTCTTGCTGAATTGATTGCTTTATCATTATATAGTGACCTTTTATTCTCTTTTCACAAGGCTATATTATCTGTTACAAGTACAACCACTTTTAATCTTTCTTGATTTCCATTTGCATGTGATTTTTTTCCCCATTCCTTTACTTTTAGTCTACATGTGTCTTTATAGCTGAAGTGGATATCTAGTAGACACATACAGTTAGGTCTTGTTATTCCATCCATTTGGCCACTCCGTCTTCTAATTGGAGCTATTAGTTCACTTACATTTGATAATATTATTGATAGGAAACAATTTACTACCACCATTTGTTGCTCGTTCTTTGGTTGTTTTGTAACCCTTTTGTTCCATTCTTCTCTTATTTCTGTCTTCCTTTGTGGTTAAGTGATTTTTCTCTGGCAGTATGTTTAATTTGTTGCTTTTTTAATTTTACTGTGTGTATTACATGATTTTGCTCTGTGGTTACAATGATATTAGAAAAAAGAGTCATATAGCTACAACAAGTTATTTTGAACAGATGACCATCTTCTTATGTTGTTTATTTCTTAACAGATTGTTGTAGTTTACTGTTATTTTTGTTAGATTTGTTTTTTAGTCTTGATACTAGTGATATGAGGGGATTACACACCACAATTACAGTATTAAAGTATTGAGAGTTTGTTGTTATATTCACCTTTTTCATTGAGTTTTAAAGCCTCAAATGTTTTCTTTTTGAACGTTAGGAATTTTTTTTCTTTCAGATTAAAGAACACTCTTCAGTTTTTATGTAGACAAGTCTAGTGGTGATTAAAAACCCTCTATTTTTATTATTCTGGGAAAGAGACTTTACCTCTCCTTCATATTTGAAGAATGATCTGCTTGATACAGTAACCTTGGTTGGCAGGTTTTCTTCCTTCAGCATTTTGAATATGTTGCCACACTCTCTCCTGGTCTATATAGTTTCCATTGAGAAGTATTTTGCCCGACAAATCAAAGCCCCTTTATGTGTTATTTGTATTGGCTGATGTGTCAGACCCCGGGCATCAGAAAGTGGTCAATTCATGGGTTGGTAAACTAACAGTGTAGGTTTGAAAAAGGATAGTTCTATTAGAAAGAAAGAACACTGCAGAAGTGTGCATTGGGCTATCTCAGCAAGAAAGAACTGAGTGTGCCAGGGTGAATTTTTCCTTAGGGGTATTTAAGGACCTTAAAGCAGGAGCTTAAGGGTAATTTGATCCATATTAGCCACATAGGTCAATATAAAAGATTACATTTGTAGAAATTTTCATGCCTTAATGTCAGCAAGGGTTGCACAATGAGTTTTGATAAGCATGTATTCCAGAGGTATATAAAAATTTTAGACTGGGCGTGGTGGCTCATGCCTGTAATCCCAGCACTTTGGGAGGCCGAGGCGGGCAGATCACGAGGTCAGGAGATCGAGACCATCCTGGCTAACACGGTGAAACCCCGTCTCTACTAAAAAATACAAAAAATTAGCCGGGCGTGGTGGCGGGCACCTGTAGTCCCAGCTACTTGGGAGGCTGAAGCAGGAGAATGGCATGAACCTGGGAGGCGGAGCTTGCAGTGAGCCAAGATCACGTCACTGCACTCCAGCCTGGGCGACAGAGTGAGATTCCATCTCACAAAAAAAAAAAAAAAAAAAATTCTAGTTACTTAAAAATTTTGGGAAAGAAACCTGGAACCAGATGCCTGCTTTAGATAATAGCTAAGTCCAATTACTTCTAAATTCCTCAGATTAAGGAGTTTCTCCTCTGGGTGCTCCACTTCATGGTCTTCAGGTGATCTTTACTCTCCTCATTTAGCTTTTTTTTTCCCCTTGCTACTTTTTGGATCCTCTCTTTACCCTTCCTCTTTGAGACTTTGATTGTTATATGCCTTGGAGTAGTCTTATTTGGGTTAAATCTGTTTGGTGATCTCTAATCTCTTGTACCTGGATATTTATATATTTCTCTAGGTTTGGAAAGCTTTCTGTTAATATTTCTTTGAATATTTTCTTGATCTTGCTCAAATCCCTCTTGAATGCCAATAACTTCTAGATTTTCTCTTTTAAGGTTATTCTGTATATCTTGCAGATGATTTTGTTTCTTTCCACATGTTTTTAAATTTATTTATCTGATTGTTTTCCAGAAGCCTTTGAGCTCACTGATTGTTTCTTCTACTTGATCCATTATGCTGTTCAGAGCCTCCAATACATTTTTTAGCTCAACAAATATCTTTCTCCTTTCCCAAATTTATGTTTGGTTTTCAAAAGTATTTCAGTTCCTTTGTTAAATTTTTCTAAGTTTTTTAATTGATTTTCTGTGTTTCCTTGGAGTTTGCTGAGTTTTATTAGAATTGCTATTTTTAAATTTTTATTTGAAAGCTTATGCATTCCGTCACTGGCTCTTGCTTTTTTCATTTGGAAAGGTCATGTTTCCCTGATTGCTATTGTTTCTGTTGGATATCCATATATGGCTTCAAATGAAGGATGATTTATTCCAGTCTTCACAGTCTGGCTTGTTTTGGTTGTTTTAGAGTATGTTTGCCTAGAAGTTGTTTTTTTTCTTTTTTCAGTTGCCTGTGGGTGATAAAAATATCAATCAAAGTAACTGGGAAGGAGTGGGATGTTAAAAGAAGTCAAAGCTGGCAACATCTTGCAGTTGAGGAATGACAGGAGAAATGCTTTGAGTCAGATACAGCATAGTGGTAACCTTGAGCATTCTGTTCAGCTTGAAGTAGGATTCTGCTCATGGCTTGTGTTACATCATAGTATCCATCCTTACGAATAAAATTGTGATGATATGAGTAGAAATATGGGAGAACTAGTATACAAGGAATGAAATAGTGAGATAATTGAATACATGACTTTGACAAATAAAGAAGTAGAAACAGAAAAGACCATGACTTAATATGCAAGTACTTACATGGGGTTAGGCAAATCTACATGTGTGAGGGGTAAAGCAGAAATACTAACTGCAGGCCCCCGAATGGTGGTGGCAACATTAAGAAACTGATAGAATCTTTTTTTGCAGAGACTAGAAAGTGACCTTAGAATTAAAATTATTGAAAAGAAAGCTTTCATGGGCGTCCGTGTGAAGAGACCACCAAACAGGCTTTGTGTGAGCAACATGGCTGTTTATTCCACCTGGGTGCAGGTGGGCTGAGTCCGAAAAGAGAGTCAGCGAAGGGAGATGGGGTGGGACCGTTTTATAGGATTTGGGTAGGTAAAGGAAAATTACAGTCAAAGGGGGGTTGTTCTCTGGCGGGCAGAGTTGGGGTCACAAGGTGCTCAGTAGGGGAGCTTTTGAGCCAGGATGAGCCAGGAGAAGGAATTTCACAAGACAATGTCATCAGTTAAGGCAGGAACAGGCCATTTTCACTTCTTTTGTGGTGGAATGTCATCAGTTAAGGCAGGAACCGGCCATCTGGATGTGTACGTGCAGGTCACAGGGGATATGATGGCTTAGCTTGGGCTCAGAGGCTGACATTCCTGTCTTCTTATATTAATAAGAAAAATAAACAAAATAGTGGTAAAGTGTTGGGGTGGCGAAAATTTTGGGGGTTGGTATGGAGAGATAATGGGCAATGCTTCTCAGGGCTGCTTCCAGCGGGATTAGGGGCGGCGTGGGAACCTAGAGTGGGAGAGATTAAGCTGAAGGAAGATTTTGTGGTAAGAGGTGATATTGTTAGAAGAAACAATTGTCATTTAGAATTATTGGTGATGGCCTGGATACAGTTTTGTATGAATTGAAAAACTAAACGGAATAAGAGAAGGAGAAAAACAGATATTAAAGGTCTAAGAATTGGGAGGACTTAGGACATCTAATTAGAGTGCCTAAGGAAATTCAGCATAGTCCTGTCAGCAAAGATTATTTATTTACTTCAAGAGTTAAGAGTGGCAGTTTGGGGATAGCACCAGGAGATATCAGCTGTGATGGCTTGGAGAAACAGTGTAAACCAGCAATGTAAACAAGAGCAGGGTATGTATGAGTAGTTCAGAACAGTGAATAGGAGTATGACTAGAAAGAAGATAGTAGGGATGACAAGTTTTTTGAGGCACAGTCTAAGTTAGTCTGGTGTCTGGAATGAGACTGAGGCCTAATAAAAAGGAGCGTCTATACAGGAGCTCAAATGGGCTGTACCCTGTAGCATTCTGAGGACAGGTCTGACTTCTGAGAAGGGAAAGTGGTAAAAGTATTGTCCAGTCCTTTTTAAGTTGGTGGCTGAACTTGGTGAGGTGTGTTTTTAAAAGACCACTAGTCTGTTCTACTTTTCCTGAAGACTGAGGACTGTAAGGGATATAAAGGTTTCACTGAATACTAAGAGCCTGAAAAACTGCTTGGCTGATTTGACTAATAAAGGCTGGTCTGTTATCAGACTGTATAGAGGTGAGAAGGCTAAACTGAGGAATTATGTCTGACAGAAGGGAAGAAATGACTGCAGTGGCCTTCTCAGACCCTTTAGGAAAGGACTCTACTTATCCAGTGAAAGTGTCTACCTAGACTAAGAGGTATTTTAGTTATCTGACTCGGGGCATGTTGAGTAAAGCTAATTTGCCAGTTCTGGGTGGGGCAAATCCTCGAGCTTGACGTGTAGGGAAGGGAGGGGGCCTGAATAATCTTTGAGGAGTAGTAGAATAGCAGATGGAACACTGAGAAGTTATTTCCTTGAGGATAGATTTCCACAATGGAAAGTAAATGAGAGGTTTTGAGAGGCAGGCTAGTGACTTGTACTATAGCATAGCCTGCCTTTGCTGGTGTGTGGCGATTAGGCCTGGTGGAACCGCCATTAATAAATCAAGCGTGATCAGGGTGAGGAACAGGAAAGAAGGAAATATGGGGAAATTGGGTGAATGTCAGGTGGATCAGAGAGATACAGTCATGAGGGTCAGGTGTGGTATCCAGAATAATGTGGGAGGCCAGATTGAAGTCCGGGCCAGGAACAATAGTACTTGTGGGACTTAACAAAAAGTGAGTACAGCTGAAGGAGCCAGGGAGCGGAATGTATATGCATCAGGTATGAGGAAGAAAATAGATTTTGGAAGTTATGAGAACTGTAGAAAGTAAGTTGAGCATAGTTTGTGATTTTGAGGGCCTCTAAAAGGGCGGCAGCAGCCGCTGCACGGAGACATGAGGGCTAGGCTAAAACAGTAAGGTCAAGTTGTTTGGACAGAAAGGCTACAGGGTGTGGTCCTGGCTCTTGTGTAAGAATTCTGACCACACTAACCATGCCTAGGAAGGAAAGGAGTTGTTGTTTTGTAAGGGATTGAGGTTTGGGAGATTAATCGGACACGATCAGCAGGGAAAGCATGTGTGTTTTTATGAGAATTATGCTGAGATAGGTAACAGATGAGGATGAAATTTGGGCTTGACTGAAGTAATGGGGGCTGTCTGTGAAGCCTTGCGGCAGTACAACCCAGGTAATTTGCTGAGCCTAATGGGTGTCAGGGTCAGTCCAAGTGAAAGCAAAGAGAGGCTGGGACGAGGGGTGCAGGGGAATAGTGAAAAAAGCATCTTTAAGATCAAGAACGGAATAGTGAGTTGTGGAGGAAGGTATTGAGGACAAAAGAGTGTATGAGTTGGGCACCACAGGATGGATAGGCAAAACAATTTGGTTGATAAGGCACAGATCCTGAACTAATCTGTAAGACTTGTCCAGTTTTTGGACAGGTAAAATGGGGGAATTGTAAGGAGAGTTTATAGGTTTTAGAAGCCCATGCTGTAGCAGGTGAGTGATAACAGGCTTTAATCCTTTTAAAGTGTGCTGTGGGATGGGATATTGGCATTGAGTGGGGTAAGCATGATTAGGTTTTAATGGGATGGTAATGGGCATGTGATCGGTTGCCAGGGAAGGAGTAAGATGTCCCATACTTGTGGGTTAAGTTGGGGGGATACGAGAGGAAGATGAGAAGGAGGCTTTGGGTTGGGGAGAAGGGTGGCAATGAGATGCGGCTGTAGTCCAGGAATAGTCAGGGAAGCAGATAATTTGGTTAAAATATCTCAGCCTAATAAGGGAACTGGGCAGGTGGGGATAAAGAAAAAAGAGTGCATAAAAGAGTGTTGTCCAAGTTGGCACCAGAGTTGGGGAGTTTTCAGGGGTTTAGAAGCCTGGCCGTCAATACCTACAACAATTATGGAGGTAAGGGAAACAGGCCCTTGAAAAGAAGGTAATGTGGAGTGGGTAGTCTCTGTATTGACTAAGGGGACGGACTTACCTTCCACTGTGAGAGTTACCTGAAGCTCGGCATCCGTGATGGTCTACGGGGCTTCCGAGGTGATCGGGTAGCGTCAGTCTTCAGCTGCTAAGCCGAGAAGGAGTCAGTCAGAGAGCCTTGGGACACAGTTCCAGGGGCTCTGGGAGTGGCTACCAGGTGAGTTGAACAGTCCGATTTCCAGTGGGGTCTCGCACAGATGGGACACGGCTTAGGAGGAATCCTGGGCTGCAGGCATTCATTGGCCTGGTGGTCAGATTTCTGGCACTTGTAGCAAGCTCCTGGGGGAGGAGGTTCTGGAGGAATGCCTGGCCACTGCGGTTCAGACGTTTGGAAGTTCTTGTGTGCTGGAGGTGTGGCTGGGGTTTGTCTCACAGTGGAGGCAAGGAATTGCAACTTTTTTCTATTATTGTACACCTTGAAGGCGAGGTTAATTAAATCCTGTTGTGGGGTTTGAGGGCTGGAATTTAATTTTTGGAGTTTTATTTAATGTCAGGAGCAGATTGGTTAATAAAATGTGTTTTGAGAATAAGATGGGCTTTTGACCTTTTAGGGTCTAGGGCTGTAAAGTGTCTCAGGGTTGCTGCCAAACAAGTCATGAACTGGGCTGGATTTTTATATTGATGAAAAAGAGCCTAAATGCTATCTGATTTAGGATAAAGAAAAAGGAGCATTAACCTTGACTATGCCTTTAGCTCCAGCCACCTTTTTAAGAGTAAATTGCTGGGCAGGTGGGGGAGGGCTAGTCAGGGAACGAAACTGTAAGCGGGACCGGGTGTGAGGAGGGGAGGTGATAAAAGGATTATAGGGTGGAGGAGTGAAGGCTGAGGAAGAATTGGGACCTAGCTCAGCCTGGCGAGGATCAGGCTGGGGAGGAGGGGAGAGGTCAGATGGGTCTGTAGAAAAGGAAGATTAGAAAGACTCAGGGACCCTTGGGGTTGCGACTGAGGGGACAGGCGGGAGGGAAAGAAGGAAGATTTGGGATGAGTTGCACCGGGCACAGAGACTAGGGAGGGACCGATGTGTAAAAGAATGCCTGGACATCAGGCACCTCAGACCGTTTGCCCATTTTGCAACAAGAATTATTTAGATCTTGTAGGATGGAAAAATTGAAAGTGCCATTTTCTGGCTATTTGGAACAACTGTCGAGTTTGTATTGGGGTCAAGTGGCATTGCAGAAGAAAATAAGATGCTTAGATTTTAGGTCAGGTGAGAATTGAAGAGGTTTTAAGTTCTTAAGAACACAGGCTAAGGGAGAAGATGGAGGAATGGAGGGTGGAAGGTTGCCCATAGTGAAAGAGGCAAGTCCAGAGAAAAGAGAGAGTAGAGAAATGGAGGGAAGGGGTTCGGGGGTTCTTACCCTCCAGAAAAGCAGGAAAGGGGTTGGGGCACAGAGATATGAAGTTGGGGCATGGAAATAAGGGATTGGGGCACAGAGATATAAGAGGTTGGGGTGCGGAAATAAGGGATTGGGTTACAGAGATGTAAGGGGTTGGGGTGCGGAAATAAGGGATCGGGGTGCAGAGATATAAGTGGTTGGGGTACTTGCCCCTCCCCTAGAAAAGCAGGACTTGCCACTAAGGGTGAAGGAGAAGGGGTTGGGGGTTTCTTGCCCCCCAGAAAGGTGAAGAAGGGGTAGAGACATGGAGAGAAGGGGTTGGGGTACTTGCCCCTTCCCCAGAAAAGCGGGACTTGCCGCTAAGGGTGAAGGACCAAGGAAGGCGTCCCTGCATGGTCTGACACCTCTGAAATGTTGATGAATAATCAGAGAGGCACCCCTGCAATGATTAAACACCAAGGGAAGGCTGCCTTCCCTAGTCTGTGACCAGTGCTGGAGTTTTGGGTCCACGGATAAAATGTGTCTCCTTTGTCTCTACCAGAAAATGAAAGGAATTGAAATTAAGAGAAGGGAGAGATTGAAGTGTGGCGCCAAGATTGAAAGGAGAAAGAGATTGAGGGATAGTGAGGGAGGTTGGAGAAGAGAATAAAAAGAGGCTGCTTACTGGATTTGAAAATGGTGAGATGTTTCTTGGGCTGGGTGGTCTGAGGACCTGAGGTCGTAGGCGGACCTTTCTCATGGAGCAAAGAGCAGGAGGACAGGGGATTGATCTTCCAAGGGAGGTCCCCCGATCTGAGTCATGGCACCAAATTTCATGAGCATCTGTGGGAAGAGACCACCAAACAGACTTTGTGTGAGCACCATGGCTGTTTATTTCACCTGGGTGCAGGCAGGCTGAGTCTGAAAAGAGAGTCAGCGAAGGGAGATGGGTTGGGGCCGTTTTATAGGATTTGGGTAGGTAAAGGAAAATTACAGTCAAAGGGGGGTTGTTCTCTGGCAAGCAGAGTGGGGGTCACAAGGTGCTCAGTAGGGGAGCTTTTGAGCCAGGATGAGCCAGGAGAAGGAATTTCACAAGACAATGTCATCAGTTAAGGCAGGAACAGGCCATTTTCTCTTCTTTTGTGGTGGAATGTCATCAGTTAAGGCAGGAACCGGCCATTTGGATGTGTACGTGCAGGTCACAGGGGATATGATGGCTTAGCTTGGGCTCAGAGGCCTGACAAAAGCTACTATAAAGAAAAGAGAAACAAAATGTGCCAAAATTTTGTAAAAGGATTGAGTTTTAGGCAAACAGGTTACCTGGTAGTGAATTAATCTTTAGGAAACTCATGTTTAGAGTAGATATCCTGTCCATAATTATGTAAACTGAAAACTTTTTCTGGTCTTAATATTCTGTGGTTTAGAAATATGAGAAACAGCTAAAATAAATGGGCTTTAACACCCACAAAAATACAGATAGCAAATAAATAGAGAAATCAAAGCTATCTTAAATGCTAGTAATTAATTCTAAAAGTACCTAGCTCTCATTAAATTCTGCTTTATGCTGCATTCTTTAGAAGGATGGGATTGATTTGTGAGCAGCAAATCTGGTACAGCCATATTTTTTTTTCAACATGAGAAAAGAGGGAAATAACTTTTAAGACATTAAGTCTTTCAGAGCCACATTTGTGATTAAATTGAGCAATTTTAGCTCACTGCTTAAAAAAGTACTATATAATGCAAAAATTATGCACAGAGTGAATAATAAAAGATGTGACTAGAGAGATTAAAAGTTAAACAAACCTGCAGAAATCACAGCATGACAGCAAATTCCAGATGGCTGCATTCCCCAGGGTCCTTAAGGAACTTTGAAAGGGTAAGCTGCACGTCATCCAACAGATTTTTATCTCTGAAAGCCTATAAATGAAGGAAGAAATGTTCTTGAAAATCCACCACTTCAAAGAACAGTTGTTTTGAACTCTGTGTGAGGGCTTGGCCAAGTTCATGACTCAGTCATCCAAAAAAGCCCATGCCCAAGGGATTACAATTGCTCTAACAAGAACTTGCTCCTATGCCCTGAATGCTATTTGTTTTGCAAATGTCTCTGAAGACAATTCAGAAATCGTGTGTTTTCTTTTCTATCTTCATTGAGGTACAATTGATGAATAGAAATTGTATATATTAAAGGTGTAAGATGTGATGACCTTATATATGTAAACACTTAAATTATTATAGCAATGGAACTAATTAACGCATCCATCACCTCACATAGTTATCTTTTTGTGTGTGGTGAGAACACTTGATATCTACTCTCGATGCAAATTTGAAATATGCAATATAATATTATGAACTATAGTCACTATACTGTATATTAGATCCCCAGAACTTATTTATGTTGTAACTGAAGCTTTGTACCCTTTGATCATTATCTCCCCTGCCCAACTTTGTCATCCCTCCTACAACCACTTCCCATCCCTAGAAACTGATATTTTACTTACTGTTTCTATGAGTTTGACTTTTTTAGACTCCACATATGAGATCATACAATATTTATCTTTCTATGTCTGGTTTATTTTATGTAGAACATGTCTTCTAGGTATATTCATGTCGCAAATGATAGAATTTCCTTTTTTAAGGGTGAATAACAAACATTTAATTATATATATATATCTCACATTTTCCTTATCCATTGTTCCAATGACAGACACTTAGATTGCTTTCATATCCTGACAATTGCTAATAATCGTGCTACGAAGATGAGAGTGCCAATATCTCTTTGAGATACTTATATCAATACCTTTGAATGTATACTCAGAAGTGAGATTGCTGGATCATATGAAGTTTACTAATTTTTTAAGGTAACTTCATACTAGTTTTTATAATATCTACACAAATTTACATTCTCATCAAAAGTATATAAAATTTCTCATCTGTATAGCAAACCCCTGTGTCATGAATTTTACCTATATAATAAACCTTCACAGCTACTGTTGTCTTTTTTTTTTTTTTTTTTTTGAGATGGAGTCTCGCTCTGTCACCTGGGCTGGAGTGCAGTGGCAGCAATCTTGGCTCACTGCAACCTCTGCCTCCCAGGTTCAAGCAATTCTCCTGCCTCAGCTCCTGAGTAGCTGGAACTACAGGCGTTCACCACCACACCTGGCTAATTTTTGTATTTTTAGTAGAGATGCGGTTTCACCACATGGGTTGGCCCGGCTCGTCTTGAACTCCTGACCTTGTGATCCGCCCGCCTTGGCCTCCCAAAGTGCTGGGATTACAGGCGTGGGCCACTGAGCCCAGCCTATCCTCACTAACATTTCTTATCTCTTGCTTTTCTAATACTAATCATCCTAATATATCAGAAGTGATATCTGATTGTGGTTTTAATGTGCATTTACCTGATTATTAGTAATACTGAACACTTTTTCATATACCTTTTGGCCATTTGTACATCTTCTTCTAAAAAATGTCTATTAAGATCCTTTGCCTTTTTGAAAATTGTGTTATTTTTGGGGATTTTTGCTTCTGAGTTGAATTCTGAATTGAGTTTTAGCCTTTATTAGACACATGGTTTTCAAATATTTTCTCCCATTCCATAGGTTGTATTTTCACTATGTGGGTTGTTTCATTTACTGTGCAGAAGCTTATTAGTTTGAAATAACCCCATTTTATTTTTGCACTTGCTGCCTGTGCTTTTGGTGTCATATCTAATACATCATTTTAAAGACCAATCTCAAGGAGTTTTCCCCTACTTTTTTCTAGTAGTTTTATGGCTTTAAGGCTTCCATTTAAATTTATAATTCATTTAATGTGTGTGTACAGTGAAAGATAAAAGTCCAATTTTATTCTTTTGCATGTGGATATCAAGTTTTCCCTCTACCATTTATTGAAGAGACTATCATTTCTTCATTGTGCATTCTTGGCACCTTTGTCAAAGATTAGTTAACCATATGTGCATAGACTTATTTCTGGGCTAGCAATTCTGGCCCATTGTTCTATATGCTGTTTTTTGTGCTGGTATCATGCTGTTTTGAATACTAGAGTTTTGTAATGTAGTTTGACATCAGGAAGTATGAAGTCTTCTGGCTAAAGATTGCTTTGCTTACTCAGGGTCTTTTGTAGTTCCATATGGATTTTAAGATTTTTTTTTTCTTTTTGTTAAAAAATATTGAAATTTTGATAGGGATTGCACTGAATCTGTGGATCACTTTAGGCAGCATGGACATTTTAATAGTATTAATTATTCCAGTTCATGTAAAGAACATATCTTTTTGTTTTTGTGTCTTCTTCAGTTTCTTTCAGTAAGTCTTATAGTTTTTAGCATACAGATCTTTAACTTCCTTGGTTAAATTTATTCCCAAATATTTTATTCTTTAGATGCTTTTGAAAATAAATTTGTTTTTCTAATTTCCTTTTCTGATACTTTGTTATTAGTATATAGAAATACTACTGAATCTTGCTTGTTGATTTCGTGTCTTGCAACTTTACTGAATTTATTTGTTCTTTTTTTTTTTTTTGACAGTCTTGCTCTGTTGCCCAGGCTAGAGTGCAGTGGCCTGATCTTGACTCACTGCAAGCTCTGCCTCCTGGGTTCATGCCATTCTCCTGCCTCAGCCTCTCAAGTAGCTGGGACTATAGGCACATGCCACCACACCCAGCCTGGCTATTTTTTTTTTTTTTTTTTTTGTATTTTTAGTAGAGACGAGGTTTCACCATGTTAGCCAGGATGGTCTCAATCTCCTGACCTTGTCATCCACCCGCCTTGGCCTCCCAAAGTGCTGGGATTACAGGCGTGAGCCACCGTGCCTGGCCTATTTGTTCTAATAGTTATTTTGTGGGAGCTTTAGGGTTTAAAATATATTCAATTATGTCATCCCTAAACACAGAAAAAAATTACTTCTTCCTTTATAATTTGGATATCTTTCCTTTCTTTTTCTTGTCTAATTGAATTTGGCTGTGACCTCTAGTAGTATGTCGAACAAAAGTGTTAAGTGTGGGCATCCATGTATTATTTTTGGTTTTGGAGGAAAATAGATCATCTTTTCACCAGTAAGTATGACGTTAGCTATGGGCTTGTCATATAGCCTTTATTAAGTTAAAGTTAATTCCTTCTATAACTGATTTGTTGAGAGTTTTTTATAAAAAAGGGGTGATACATTTTATCAAATGCTTGTATTGCATCTCTTAATATAAATCATATTATTTTTATCCTTTACTCTGTTAATGTGGTGGGTCACATGTGTCGATTTGCATATGCTGAGTCATTCTTGCATGGAAAGACATGGAAATTGCATCAAATTCTACTTGACCACGATGTATAGTCCTTTTACCATGGGATTGAATTTCATTTGCTAATATTTAGTTGAGAATTTATGCATTTATGTTCATCATGGATATTGGCCTGCAATTTTCTTTTTTTGTAGTACCATTTTCTGGTGTTTGTATCAGGGTAGTTCTAGTCTCATCTAATGAGTTTGGAAGTATTTCCTTTTATTCCATTTTTTTGAAGAATTTGAGAAGAACTAGCATTCATTCTTCTTTAAACGCTTGGTAAAATTCACCTGCTAAGCTGGTTGGTGCTTGACTTGTCTTTGTTATGAGGCTTTTGATTACTGCTTCAATTGCCTTACTGTTTATTCGCTCTGCGGTTTTCTGTTTCTTTGTGATTTCATCTTGGTAAGCTGTATGTTTCTAAGAATTTATTTCTTCTAGTATATTGAATTTTTGGCATATAGTTATACATAGTAGTTTTTATGATCATTTGTATTTCTTTTACATCAATGATAATGTCTCCTCTTTCACTTAAGATTTTATTTGAGTATGTCCACATAAAAATTTATTTTTTTGTATCTTTTCAAAAAAACAACTCTTAGTTTTATTGATTTTTAAAAATTGTATTTGTAGGCCTGTATTTCATTTATTCTGCTATAATATTATTATTTTCTTCTGTATTCTTCTATAGTCATTACTTTCTTTCTCCTACTTTGTACTGATTTTTTTTTCAATTCCTTGAGGTATACAGTTAGGTTGTTTATTTGAGGTCTTTTTTATTTCTCAATATAGGCATTTATTGCTAAAATCTTCCCTCTTGGAACTGCTTTTGCTCCATCCCATAAGTTTTACTATGCTTTCTTTCTATTTCTGTTTGTTTCAAGATATATTTAATTTGTTTTCTAATTTTTCTTTGGCATATTGGATTTCTTTGACTCCATATTTACCTTAACAGTGAGTTTTATATTTTCTTGTATATTCATGTTCAGGATAATGCTGTGTAAATTTCATATATTTGTGAATTTTCCAGTTTTCGTCGTGGTATTTATTTCTACTTTTATAACAGTATGATCAAAAAAGAAACTTAACGTTTCTTTTTAAAAGACTTCAATCTTTTAAAATTTATGCTGACTTGTTTTGTGGCCTAACATGTGATCTATCCTTGAGAATGTTCTATGTGAGCTAGAGAAGAATGTGTATTCTGTTGCTGTCATATGTAATATTGTATATATGTCTATAAGGTCTATTCATCTAAAATGTAGTTCTTCTCCAATGTTTCCTTCTTGGTTTTCTATCTCCATGATCTGTCCATAGCTAAAAGTGGGGTATTGCTGTCATCTGCTGTTATTTTATTCTTATATATCTCTCCCTTGTACTCTACTAATATTTACTTTATATATTTAAGTTCTCCAATATTAGGTTCTTGCAGATTTACAAGTGTTAAATCCTTTTGATGAATTGAACCCTAATTATTGCAAAATGACTTTCTTTTGTCTGTTTTTACAGTTTTTGAGTTAAGTTTATTTTGTCTTAGCATAACTATCCCTGCTCTCTATTTGTTTCTATTTGCATAAAATATATTTTTTATTTTCTTCACTTTCAGCCTGATGTGTGTCTTTAATGCTAAAAGAAGCCTCTTGTGTGGAGTATATTATTCTATCATGTTTATTTTGATTTTTACCTATTCAGAAACTCTGTACCTTTTGATTAAAAATTTATTCAATTTACATTTTAATTTTTTCTAACCATTTTGTAGTTCTTTGTTCCTTTCTTTTGCTCTTGCTTTCTCTGGTATTTGCTTGCATTTTTGTTGGCATATTTAAGTTCTTTTCTATTTATCTTCTGTGTATATATGAAGCTTACATATAAGCTTACATATGAAGCTTACATTAAAAATATCTTATAGTAATAGTCTATTTTAAGCTGATAACAACTTAAGTTTAATCACATACAAAAACCTCACTTGCACTTCTCTGCCACCACATATATGCTAGTATTGTTACCCTTTGTATCTTTTAAAATTATGTATCCATTAACAAATTGTTGTAGCTATAGTTATTTTTAATAAATTTGTCTTTTAACTTTTATACTAGAGTTAAAAGTAATTCACTTTCTACCACTATAATAGTTGAGTAATCTGAATTTAACTCTATATTTATCTTTAACAGCAAGCTTTATATTTTCTTACATGTTCATGTTGATACTTACTACTCTTTTATTTTAACTTGAAGAACTCCCTTTAGCGTTTTTTGGTAAAGCTGACCTAGCTGTAATTAGCTTCCTCAGATTTTGTTTGACTGGGAATTTTTTTTATCTCTTCCTAATTTCCAAAAGAAAGATTTACTGGGTATAGTAATCTTAGTCAACCATTTTTTTTTCCTTTAAGTACATTGAATATGTAATTCCACTCCCTCCTGGCTGGCAAGATTTCTGCTAAGAAGTCCACTAGTAGACTTATGTGACAGTAGTTAACTTGTGTGCGACCACACTCTTTTCTCTTGCTGCTTTAAAGTTTGTCTTTCACTTTTAGCAATTTGTTAATAATTTATCCCCTGGTAATGTTTGTATTGATCTTGCCAGAGACCCCTTGAGCTTTGTGAGTCTGGATGTTATATGCCTCCCCAAATTTGGAAAGTTTTAGTCTTTTTTTTTTTTTCTCTTTCTCTCTTCTTCTGTGGAACTCTAATAACATATATACTTGTTTGTATGACGGTATACCATTGGTACTATATGATTTCTTTACTCTTTAATATTTTTTTCTTCTAACTTGGTAATTCCCAGTGGCCTGTTTTCAAGTTTGCCAGTTCTTCCTCTGCATGATTGAGTCTTCTGTCAAAGCTGTTTACTGAATTTTTCAGTTTTGTTATTATATTCTTCAGCTTCAGGATATCTGATTAATCATTTTTACGGTTTCTAAATCTTTATTAAGCTTATTATTTAGCCCATATATTATTTTTGAGGTTTTATTTAGTTGTCTATATGTGTTCTCTTACATCTTCTTGAGCTTCCTTTGGATGATTATTTTTAATTATTTCTCAAGCAACTTATAGATCTCCATTTCTTTGGGATTGTTCATTGATGCCTTATTAATTTCCTTTGGTGATGCCTTGTTTGACCAGTTCTTTATCATCTGTGTAGCCTTGTACTGATGTCTATGCATTAAAAGGAACATTCACCTCTTCCAGTCTTTACAGTCTGGTTTCAGCAGGCAATGACCTCCTGTTGAGTCCCTAGGGATTGCAGTCAATCAGCATTGAAACCAAGTCATATAGCTGCTCCTACGTTTGCAATGGGGTCCATGATTCATATGTTGTTACCAGGTGCTTCGGTGAGTGTGGATTCTGCTTGGTCTTTAGACAGACAGGAGTGTCTCATTAATCTTGGTCAGTGGCTCTGGCACTGGGCAAGGGTTCACCTCATGATCTGCAATTAGGTTCACAGATGATGGGGTCTATTACCAAGTCTGTGGGCAAGTGTAGCTTCCAATAGGTCCCTGGAAATCTCCCACTGGGTCAATGGGTGGATTACTGGGCACGTGAGACTACTCCTGTGCTACAGATGCTTGAGGCTAAAACTAAGTCATATGGCCACTTCAGGATCCACAGTCATATTGAGGCTGGTAGCCTACCTTTGATAGCACAAACAGGCATGTCTCCCACTAAGTTGCTGGGCAGGCAGGACTGACCCTTGACCATGTCTGAGAGGGGCTGGACCTCAGTAACAGGTTCATTTTAGGATCTGTAGCTAGACCAAAGTCAGTTTGCCTGTCTTCCTGGGAAAAGGTAGGCATGTGTTTCACCAGTCCCTGGGTGGCCAAGACTGTTCCTGGACTGCAGCTATCAGAGCCTGAGCCAGGTTACAGGCTGCATCAGGGTCCACAGCTCGTACTGAGGTCAGTAGGCCTGAGGCATGGGTAGGTGTGGCTCCTTCTTGATCCCTGGATAGATGGTGTTGGTGGCAGGACCAAGGCCAAATGGGACTGTAACCAAGTCCACAGGGGGACATGGCTGTTTCTGGGTCTGTAGTTGGGACCACAGCCAGTAAGCCTGGCACCTAGGCACTGGCCTTACTTCTCAAAACAATTTTATTTGGTCTTGGGCTTCATCAGTGTTTTGCAGCCTCTTATCTCGATACCAAAGCTCTCACAAAGCCACATGTGTCTATGGTTTGCTGCCAAAATACTGTTGTTGGAGGGATACAAGTGGGTAACCTTTTATTCCTACAACTTGCTGATATTATTCCTAAGGTTTTTGTGTTATGTTACCTCTATAATAGAGGTCATAGGAAAACATGGGACTAGGTAATACAGGAAAAACTTTGGGGCCCCCAAGTGAGACCTATGTACTTGATTCATGAGATACCCTGGGATTTTAGAGAGGCTTGTTTCTGGAAAGCTTTCACTTCTAAAAACCTTTAACTCTTGTTTTTATGGAAAATAATTTTGCTTTGTGAAATAGTTCACTCTTTGAAAGAAGACAGAGCTGGTTTTGACTGTTGGATTTGCTACTTTCTTGGCAGTATGCTTCTTAATTAACTTCAGTTTTTACATTCTTTTTTAAAAAAAGGGGAATAACAATGCTTATTTCAAGAGTTGTGACTATAAATGGAACACGCTACTTAAAGTATCCAACACATTGTAAAGCACGCGATAAATTTATCAATGCCAGCTTTTCACCCTTTCTTGTGCCTGTGTGTGGATGTGTGTGTTTCAAATTTCTAAATCACTGATCTCCTCACATGTTGTCTCTAAAATTTTACCCTGATTCAAAATAACCTCCCATGTATAACTTGAATATAATGCAATATGCATACAATGTGCCTGATAACTGAATTCTCTCTGTCCATAAAACACAAAGTGTGCAAATGTGCACACACACAAACACACACACACACAGAGAGACAAAAGCATATAATGCAAAATAGTTACATTTTAAATGCTCAATGGCCGCATGTAACTATTGGTACAAATTGGAATGGCAGTTTTAGAGTTAGAAATATGAATTTAAACTTAGATAGGAATTAGTCAGCTCAGAAAAAAATATTCCTGATATTTTAATAGAAATTTCATGTTATGCCACTAGCAAATTTACTTTCCCCTTTTCCAAACCATGGTTTTCATATTATTTCTTGCTGTGAACTTCTAGTACCGCTTGCACCCATTACTCAGCTAATGACCTTGCTTAGAAATTCAAAGAGATCAAATAATCAATATGTTACCTTCTGCATCCTCCTACTATTGATATGCACTACACATATGTATTCTGCCTCTCTTGAATTAAAAAAGATGAACTGCCTTGCCATTATTTAAGATAAACTTCATCAATTTTTAATGGGTCATTCTGCCTACTCAATGATTCTACTGTTACATACAATTATCTCCCTTCTTTCCTTCAAATTATATTTGTTTATTGTATTCCTCCCCTACTACACTGAATCTTCATTAAGGAACAGCTTATTTGTTTTGTTTTTGTTTTATCTTTCTATTCTTAACATCTAAGATTATGCTTGGCATCTAATAAGTACTCAATATTACCCTAATTAAATCTGTGTCTCCTCCTAGTTAGTCACAAAATGATGTCATATTCAAAAGTAATGTTAAAAGTAATTAATCCTGTAAAGTACTTTAAAACTTTACTTAACATCTCTGGAAGAGGCACTATAGAGGCAAATTTATTTCATGATAATATTTGTCTCCTGAATCATCATGGTAACTCCAAATATCTTCAATTTCTCTCTCTGTTTGTATCTATCTATCTATCTATCTATCTATCTATCTATGTATCTAATATTTATCTGTTTCTTCCATGTTAAGATTAGCTCTTCAGTTAATGGATAAATTTATTCTTTTCAGGATTATTTAAAACATCTCAATATTCCAAACATTAAAAACACTATCTAAAAGGCTTTCAGATAAATACAAAAACATCCTTATTAATTTTGTAGCAGGTGAACATTTAAATACTTATAAATGTCCATTTTAAAATAAAATGAATGGATGATTGATTGAACCATATTCTACATGTGAGTTGATGTATTATAGTGGACAAGCATGTATTTCAAGCCAGTCTGTCATGACCTCAGACTCCTTCTGTGGCACTTATTAATGGCTAAAAATTGATATGCTAATTAACCTCTCAAATTTTGTTTGTTCTGGTCTGTAAAATGGCAGTAGAAATATCTACCATGTGTTCAGGAATGTGAGAGTTATGTAAAATAATACATATAAAATAATACATATAAAAGTCAATTTAACACACCTAACCTACTGAACATTACTGTTAACCCAGCCTACCTTAAACATGCTCATAACACTTATATTAGTCTATAGTTGGGCAACATCATCTAACACAAAGTGTATTATATAATAAAGTGTTAAACATCTCATGTAATTTATTGAATACTGTACTGAAAGTGAAAAACAGAATGATTGTGCTCAATGTACAGTTCCTTCTGAATGCTGCTTTTGCATGATTATAAACTTGAAACTAAATAAAAACAAAAACACAAATAACCCCATAAAGATTGTGCTTCTAGCTTTTAGCACTGGCACTATTTCAATTTTTATAATTTTTCATATCAAATACCTCACAGTAGCTTAAGAACACAATCCCTGGATAACTGCATTTTTTTCTTCCTAGAAGGGCTGAGAATCATTACATGTTTGCCATCACTGATCAGAGAGCAGTTAGCATCTTTTTATCAAAAAACAAAAAAATATATAAATTTTATAAAATTCCTAAGGAAAATGCATTTTAACTTAACTGTATGAATTTTTAATATCATCTGGCTTATGAGATACATTCTATAATTTGATTTGAATGGCAGTATTATTCTTTTCCTTATTTTTACATTTATTCTTTATTGTCTGCAGAAAAAAAATGATATAATGAAATACTTAAGTTGTGTCCATCTTTGAAGTTGAGAACAGTTGGTCTCTCAGAGATGATTAGTACCTCTAGCAGGCTCAACATCACATAATTCAATCTCCTTTGAACCTGAATTGAGTGCCAATAGTGCTATTTATTCTGCATTTGAGATGACAGTTGATGGCTAATATTTTCTGTGGGGAAAAACATAGCCTTAAGAAACAAACTTAGCATGCTTAACAGTGAATTGTGGTACAGCAACAATAGAGACCCAACTTATTTTTAAAATTCCAGCAACCAAAACAAATAAAAAATATGATGTTATAATGTATATATTATAATATTTGTTACATTAATAGAAGGTGAACTACCTGTTATTGTAAAAGAAAATCCAATTTACTGTCTGTTGCCTTCAATTTTGATTTGACAAATGCTTAATCTTACGCTGTGTTTCAAGTCCTGTCATTTATCTTTTGGAGCATGTACTGTAATGTCTCCTTGAGGCAAATAAAACTATCTTTGCATTTCATTTACTAAAAATGCTTAGGTATATTTGAGTTTATTAGGTGCAAATATGTGAGAAGCTAATTCTGTTGTTAAGATCTTTTTGGCATGTGAAATCCATCATGACTTTAAGTTTGAAACTGTTGATTGCATCCTTATTTGTATCAAAAGAAGAAGGCACATGATGACTATTTCTATTGTCCTCACATATACACCATGTAATTTTGTGATCCATATCAAACTTACTTAAACAACTTCATCAATTGTAAGTATTTAATTATTTCCTTCAACTAGTTTAATTGGATATAAAAGCAAGTTTTCCATAGGCTGGAATTATTTTACAATATGCATTAAAGAAAAACCTTCACACTGTAAAATGTTAGTTCTCTTTATTCATTTACTATTAGACAACTATTCCAGAGAATGCCAAATTGTATGTGAAGGAACATCTTAGAAACAAAATCTCACATTTAAAAAATAATTACAATGACTGTCAGTTCATGTTGTCATATGAAACACATTTTTTGTTGTCACTCCCTCCAAAAATTCCAACAAAAAGACAGTAAATAAATAAGAAGGTACATATTCTCTAACACATAGAGAATAGAGAGCAAAAGAAAGCAGGTGAAATACATCAACAATACTTTAGAAGATGGAAAGAGTATGAATGACTATACTACCTGATTTGCATAGTGGAAAAAGCTGAATCTAGATGCTGTGTTAAGGATGGCTAATCAAATTTAATTCAATGCATCACAAAAGTAATCAAGAAAAGATTGAAACTGAAGGCAACTAGTACCTCTAGTAGGGTTGCCAGGTAAAAGAGAAGACACGGCTGGGCACGGTTGTTCATGCCTATAATCCCAGCTACTCAGTAGGCTGAGACAGGAGAATGTCTTGAACCTGGGAGGTGGAAGTCACAGTGAGCTGAGATCGAACCATTGCACTCCAGCCCGGGCAACAGAGTGAGACTCTATCTCAAGAAAAAAAAAAAAAAAAAAGACACACAATTACATTTGAAAATGAAAGAACATTTTTTAGAACACTATATCCTAAATATTGCATGAGATATACTTATGCTGAAACAAAATCACTCTATCTGAAATTCACATATGACTGAGCATCCTCAAATTTTTTATGTTAAGTCTTGCAACCTACTCTGAGGATAGGTTGAGAAGTGGTACTGAGATCTGTGTAAGGATTAGTTGAAAGTGGAAGTAATAAGCAGTGTAATTACTAGATCTCCTCTCTCACCCAACCCGTAGTGCAAACCACCTCACTGCAGCCCAGCAGGCAATGGGGTTTTACCCCCTGAAGAGACTGAACCAGAGACACTGTATTTAGGGAGATGCATTCTGTACAGTACATTAGGATCGAGTCACCATCCTGAAAACACTGGAAGTAAAAGTCTGAATAATGAAAAATAAGACCCTCTAGCATATTGTCCTCACTAAGGCTATAAATTTTAGAAGACAGCATTACCTACCCCCACTCCCATCAAATCAGAGATTTAGAGATCACTTTTGAGAACAGGCTCCCCTAACGAAAGTGCACAGATACTTATGTTTGAGGGTCATCAAACGAAGTGGCCCAGGTCTCTCTCTTTTTGACCACTCCACAGCAAAACTGAGATGTTGGCAGGGTTGTCTCATGCTCATAGGAATTATTTTAGATTTTCAGTATCTCCTTCTGAAATAAGCAAGATTGCCAAATATTCATCCATTTATTAATTCACCAGGTATTTGTTGACCCAAACAGTTTTAGAAACTGGAGATACCTCAGTAAACAAAAGATCAAGATATACTTGACAACTTCTAATACTAAAGGAAAAAAGTAAAAATTTAAAAAGACAAAGAGATAATAAATCAATAGCAATAAAAATCGATGGTTAGTAGATTCAGAAAAATAAAAATATATCTTGTCCTAATACAATAACAGCTTATTCTTTTTTAAAAATTAAGATAATAAATAGTATTTGGAAATGTAAAAAAAATCATTGAATCAAAATATTTTTAAAATGAATTGGAGTAAATATCACATAAAGAAAATTAGAAAAAGACTATTAGAGAGTAACAGAAAAATAATAAGAAATTACATAATACAGCTAGGTCAACCAACATAAGTTACAGACAGGGAAAAAAGAGAAAATTAGAGAGTATAATTACATAAAAATAGAATTCCAGAATTAAAGAAAATAAGTTTTTATATAAAAATGTGTCAAATATTCAGAACAATAAGTGAGGAAACACACACATGCACAAAGAACACACTATGTGTGAGACAGCAAAACAAGAGGGATTTTAAAAAATCCCAAAATATTCCAAATCAAGAGAAAACTAATTCACTTTTGCATATGAAGGACCAGAAGGAAAATGACATCAGACTTCTTCATAGCAGCAAAAGTAGCTGGAAGTCTAATGAGTAATGCCTTTAAAAAAAAAATCTAAGAAAAATGTATTTGTGACTGAAAAGTCTAAATCCAGCCACTCTACCAATCAACTGTGAAGACAGAATATTTTGAGAGTTGTTTTCAGATTCTCAAGATTTCAAAAACTTATCTCCAACTATCTTTTTTCAGCAAGAAATTTAAGGGAATTTAACCCTTCAATAGTAGAATACAGTAGGTCATGAAAAGCTATGTTCATATCAAAACAGTTAAAGAATTGAAAGCGGTTTCCTCTGCAGTTCGAAATATGATTGTGTACTTTAGCGCAGGATATTGTGTTTTTGTTGCTGTTGTTTCTTTCTTTGGAGCCCAAAAGTATTCTGCCTTTTAAAACTGCATATAAACAATACTTTGGTAAAAATTAAAATTAAAATTAAATCCATGGAGAGCTACATGATTCAATTATCTCTCTGCACAGAATAAGAAACTCAAGTAAACACTGTATCAATTGGAGCCATAGAATTCCAATTATCTCCTGGAATCAATTTATGCAATTTGGATGAAACACTTGTTGAACTCTGACTTTAATTACTTGAGCACAATAATGTTAACAAATCAATATAAGAAATACCCAAAGATTCATGCAATTTCTAAAGCAAAACATCAATAAAAGCATATCTTCAGACGGTATACAATTTATTATACTTCCAAAACTTATTGTATAGTCACTTAGTAACATGAATACAATGAAGTGACATGTGTTACTTAATTTTCTTCACAGATCTAAGTTCTTTAACTCCAAACATTACACTCTGGTGATTAAATTTTGTTAATCACAGGCTTAATGATTAAAGTGGAGGTGACTTCTAGTGAAATAATAAAAATGTAATTAATAATAGGTCCTACCAAGGAAAATCAAGCACAAAATTGCTGAGTCTATTTTAAAAATAAGAGCAAGATAAAAAGTGATAGTAAAGAACTAAGACAATTTTATGCTGCTCTAGTTACCCCAAAGCAGTAATTATTTGGAAAGTTATATCAATCTAAAGTGGACTCTGACTGACAGGAGAAGCAGACGTTTTCTTTCTCTTTTCAAAAAATTGTTACTTAAATTATCCATACAATAATTTACACAGAGTGTGCTTAGAGTGAGCGTATTTATTTATACCAAGTAGTTTTGGTAAATATCAGAAATAATGGTACCTAATGAAAACAAATTCTTGGCTAACTTCTTCAGTAAAGGTTTGCTTCCATTTCCCTTTTCTATTTGGCCCTCACACATTTTATTTACCCTGTGGATAACTTGGTAACAGTGAGCATGTTCCTCTAGGACATTGGGAAACTTGGCAAAAAGCTGATATTCCTATCATGCTTCTTATACTCCACAGCTAAAGTGATAACTTCTGGCAGAAATAGCCTTTTGCCTGGAGGATGTCTATACCCAAACCAGAGTAGAGGGAGGATTTTCTGATGCTATCCAAAAGTTAACAAGAGGGAAACTGAGGAGATTGGTCATGGGGAAGTGTAGACAACAGATGCAAGAATAAGGATGAGGCTACTCCAGCACAAAGTGTTAATTGTTCAATTATATTTTTAAAATCATAAATTGCAACTGTTATGCCAACATTCAGCATCTGTGTGAGAAACTCTTTACTACCATGAAAATTATTTCTAAATTGTTTGTCAGTTATCCAAAAAATTCATTCAGAAATATTTATTAAAAAAATTTTATAGAACTTCTACTATGTACCAGGCATTTTTTAAAGTGCTAGGAACAAAACTATGTACTCACAGACAATTTTTTTGGTCTACTCAAGCTTACATTCTAATGGGGGGAGAGAGAGGTTGACAATAAATTAAATAAGTGAAATAAATAAATAAGTGAAATATTATGCAATATGAAGTTAAGTGTGTTACTGGTGGTGAATCCATACAGTTCTGCAGCAATGTCAATTATTGCCTCTTCAGAAAAAAGAATTTGACTGAGTGGCATAAGGCAGAAGGAGAGGCCAAGGCAAATTTTAGAGCAGAAGTGAAAGGTTATTAAAAAGCTTTAGAGCAGGAATGAAAAAAGTAAAGTACACTCGGAAGAGGGCCAAGCAAGTTACTTCAGAAATCAAGTTTGCAGTTTGACCTTTTGATTTGGGGTTTTATACACCGACATGCTTCCAGGGTCTTGTGTTACTTCTCCCACCATTCTGTCCTTGGGGTGGGCTGTCTGCATTCTCAGTAAGTTGCCAACACACAGTACCTTGGGCTTACCAAAATTTTGCGCATGCTCACTTGAGGTGTTCTTCTCTTAACAGTCGCATTCCTAGGGGAAGAACATATACCGGTTAAACTCTGCCATTTTTTTCTCTTAGTGTGTAAGATCAAGGCCACTCATCCAATTCCTGAGATCTTATCAGGAAAATGATCACCAGTTTCAGGTTTTCCTATCTATTGGGAGACTGCCTTTTACTGGCACTAGCTGCAATCAATTATTGTTTTAGAGGGACAGCGTAACAACTGCTTGACCATCAGCTGATGGTCACTTGACATTTCTGGTGGTTGTGGGGGATGCCCTCTCCTGCCCTGCTTATGCCAGACTATAAGCAGGCATACTATAACATTTTCCCCCTCAAGGGTCAAAGACCCCACTTCTTTGGGGAAAATGGCTGCCTCCTGCTGACAGAGACCTGATTGTAGTTGTACTGTTGGTCTTGGCCTCTTGCTAGCTGTCAGGGCAGGGTTGGCTCCATGGGTTCATGAAAGCTGTATCCAGTCAGGTCCAAGGGAGACAGGGGCAGGACTTCACCTGCCATGTCTCACTGCTGGGCAGTCTAGGGTCCCCTGTAGATGAGTGACTCTTGAATATTGAGAGGTCATATCTCTCACTGAGGATCCTCTAGAGCTTGATGGCCTGAAGGTGATAGGAAACAAATTGGTTATTTGATTTAGAAGACATGGACCAAAAAGGAGCAAACGTACAAGACTAACAACTGGTCCTAAAAGGGGAAGAACCCAGCCGAACCATTTCCAGCTTCCTTCCCAATTTAACTAACTCTGGGAGGCTTATTTCCATACACTAGAAGTGGCTTGGTTTGGGAGCTGTCTGACATTGTCTTCCACTTTTCCTGATTGATTTACCCAAAGGCAACATTTTTTATCTAGGGATAAACAAATTCCTCTCTGTACTTCCATTAATATATCTGATCCTCAATGATTTTGGAGGACAACACCAGATAAGGAGTCCATTTGTTCTTGCACAATTGTTAAGATTTTAGCCATGGCATCAATGTTTTTGGCTATTTCCTTTGAGAGCTGGCTACAGGCTAAGGAGGGTTTTGTGATTCCAACAATCCTGGTTACCATACAAACTATAATACCAAGTCCCATGAAAAGGAAAATTAATAGGATAGCACTCTTCACCCTGAGCAAGATGGAATGCCTGTGGATTGGTACTGGAAGAGAGAGATTGCCAGGGACTATGAAAATATCCAGGGATACATAGCCTATGGTACAAGTTATAGTCCAGTTAGTGGGGAGGTATTGGGGAACTGATTGGCTACAAATATAGAAGGCTCCTTGGTTTTTAAGACAAGTAGAGATGTGAAAATGAAATAAGGTGGTGAGGACAGCTCAAAAAAAAAAAAAATCCCAAGACTGCTGACATGCCCAGGTAGACGGTGGCTATAGTCACGCCTGCTAAGACTTGGGTGCATGGGGTTGCTAGCTGATTCCAATATGTGCTCAGATTTAGAATACTGATCCAGATTGTTACATTACTCATCCCTCTTGTTTCTTCTGAGCTGCAGCCAAAGATCACTAATTGGTTCACAGGAATAAGCAACATTAATCTAAATTGCAGACAAAACTTCAAAAACAAATAATAAGTATGCAGTCTAATAGCAGGTGTACCATAGTTCTTCAGACATAATTTTTCTCTTGCCAGTCCTCATTTTTATTAAAAAAATCATGATAGGACTAATTTGCTTGCAAAATAAGTTTTAGAGTTATTATATTTAGCCTGATTATTTCCATACACCACAGAAAGAATAATTATTTGCCATATACATTTATTTTTAATTGGTTTTGATGAAACTTCATTTCAAAAGAAATCTCAGATAAGACCTTTTTAACACCTTAAGCCTAGCCATGAGTTTGCCATCAAATACCTGTATGAGTTGGGTAAATTTCTCTCCTCTCAATGTCCCAGTATAGCTTGGGGCTCCTGGGCCTGTCAGAAAGTTACATCTTTACTTGCCACAAGAACAAACCCTGTAAAGGGACTATGCAGACAAGGTATGAGGCTAGTTTTCCCAAGGGGCTTTTATTAGATCTGTAAGTTGAAGTTGATCTTTTAAAGGAGAGCATGCCATTCAAGTTAAAGTCTTGGTAAAATAACCAGTTTCTTCAATTGTGTACTGTTGAAAAATAAAAAATAAAAAATAAACAGATTCTTATTGCACTTCTGCAAGTAACTTTATTGCCAGAAGTTAGGAATATTCATAAATAGTTTCCAAATTTTTGAGATATCCGGTAGAGAGAAATATGCTCCACATTTTATTTATAGGAGTATTTTTCTAAATCATTAAAAGCGGTAAATAGTTCAAAAGAACAATTTTCTTGGCTTTGGAAAACAAAGTATTAGCAATGTTTTAATAAAAAAGGCATGAAAGGATAATTTTAGTCTTTTACTAGTTCAGTCCATGCAGTTAATGCCTGTTCTGCTTAATATTCATGAACATTTCAGCTCTCCATGAGAGTCTTGAAAGTTTTTCCCTCTATTCTGCCACAGTAAACAGTATCCAAAATTATCAGAAAAACCTGCATTTAAGGGCACTTGTTAGAGTCCTATAACTGATTATAAAACAACCTTTAAAGAGGATCAAAATAAGACAATTGTCCATGGAAGACAAAACATCTTAGATCAGCCACAGTCAAAAACACAACTGAAAATGAAATTTGTTACCTCTATGGCACGCAATAATTTAACATGGCAATTGTAATTATTATTGATAACACATACTAAGACATATCAGAATTATAGGAGACACAGAATTTCTTTTATAGAATCAATTTTTCACAAACCTTCCACAAATTGTTTAAACATTTATCTTTATCCTAACTTAAAACAATACTTTACAAAAATTAATTCAAGATAGATTAAAGACTTAAATGTTAAGACCTAAAACCATAAAAACCCTAGAAGAAAACCTAGGCAATACCATTCAGGACATAGGCATGGGCAAGGACTTCATGACTAAAACACCAAAAGCAATGGCAACAAAAGACAAAATTGACAAATGGGATCTCATTAAACTAAAGAGCTTCTGCACAGCAAAACAAACTACCATCAGAGTGAACAGGCAACCTACAACATGGGAGAAAATTTTCGCAATCTACTCATCTGACAAAGGGCTAATATCCAGAGTCTACAAAGAACTCAAACAAATTTACAAGAAAAAAACAACCCCATCAACAAGTGGGTGAAGGATATGAACAGACACTACTCAAAAGAAGACATTTATGCAGCCAACAGACACATGAAAAAATGCTCATCATCACTGGCCATCAGAGAAATGCAAATCAAAACCACAATGAGATACCATCTCACACCAGTTAGAATGGCGATCATTAAAAAGTTGGGAAACAACAGGTGCTGGAGAGGATGTGGAGAAATGGGAACACTTTTACACTGTTGGTGGGACTGTAAACTAGTTCAACCATTGTGGAAGTCAGTGTGGCGATTCCTCAGGGATCTAGAACTAGAAATACCATTTGACCCAGCCATCCCATTACTGGGTATATACCCAAAGGATTATAAATCATGCTGCTATAAAGACACATGCACACGTATGTTTATTGCGGCACTATTCACAATAGCAAAGACTTGGAACCAACCCAAATGTCCAACAATGATAGACTGGATTAAGAAAATGTGGCACATATACACCATGGAATACTATGCAGCCATAAAAAAGGATGAGTTCATGTCCTTTGTAGGGACATGGATGAAGCTGGAAACCATCATTCTCAGCAAACTATCACAAGGACAAAAAACCAAACACCGCATGTTCTCACTCATAGGTGGAAATTGAACAATGAGAACACTTGGACACAGGGAGGGGAACATCACACACCATGGCCTGGGGCCTGTGGTGGGGTTGGGGGAGTGGGGAGGGATAGGATTAGGAGATATACCTAATGTAAATGACGAGTTAATGGGTGCAGCACACCAACATGGCACATGTATATATATGTAACAAACTTGCACGTTGTGCACATGTACACTAAAACTTAAAGTATTAAAAAAATACTTTAACCTTCTAAACTAGGCAAAAATAATTCACATTCCCATGCAGTCTTATACTCTTTTGCCAAAAGCACATTCTCTTTGGTTACATGCTATTTCTAAACCCCTGATGTAGGGCTATCCAGGTTAAAGTTATTCATTAAAGATTTGGATAGCTTTCACAGGAGAAATAAGGCTAGAGGGGAAGATGAAATCAGAGGTGGGTAAATATTAAGTAGGCACCCGTCTTGAAGGAGGTGCCATTTTCCCCAATTACTGAATAGTAGTTGAAGGAGAGTTGCTCAGAGAAGGAGACTAGCACAGGATAGACAGCTCTTGAACCCAAGAGGGAAACTTATAATTTTACTTGTCCTTGGCTTTGTCCTTAGGACAACCTGGAGGAAGCTGGAAAGCTTGTAAAGCAAATAGTTGAGCCCGCCTTTTGTCTCTGCATTTTATTTTCTTAGTCCTGGCCTTCTTGTCCTGATCTCAGTTACAAAAGACTAAGGAGTCTAGTTTGATGATTTCCTGTATAACGGCACTAGGTTCTAAGGCCAACTTATGTAATTTTCTCTCAGTTCATTTTTAGGCCAAACGGTATTACAAAGAAAAATGAGTGTTTTGTTTTAAGATTTGGAGGAATCAAACATCCCAGTTTTGGGGTACGCATCTGAGGTGCATGTCCTGTGGTATGGACATGTGATTTCCCATCTACAAAGAGAGAACAGAAGAGGAAAAAGGGAAAAGAAGAAGTCCCCTCTTATTCTTCTACTATCCTGAATACAGCACCCCTCATTCATACTTAGGGTTCTGGAATAAACCAGTCTTACCATTTACCCTTAACTTTTTTCTCATCTCATCACAATTACCTACTTGAGAACAAAGGACATACCAGAATGAATAGTGGGCCAACTGTTCACCCTTGGGTTGATGGAATGAGCCGGTCTTACCGTGTACCATTAACCTTGCCTTCCTCTTTGTAGCCTAAGACCAACCTTCATCTCTCTCCTACAAGTCTTGTGTCTGTGGCTTTGGGCTGGTTTATATCTTTGTCTCCGTAACCTTATAGTGACTCTCGCTTGGAGCATTCTAGCAACAAAATGATTATCTCTTTTCTTACATTCTCATTTTCCCTGTTCTTTGAATAGTTGAGAAGCCTGTATTTTAGCTAACTGCTACAAGTGGGGTGGACCTCCCTCCCTTTGAATAAACCTTGAAGATCTTGATGCATATTGAGAAGGGTGTGGAAGTGATTAGAGAAATGGAGGCTACAGGAGGAAGTGGGAGGAAGTGAGAGGAATAATTCTGGAAAGCCTTCATATGCTCACAACAACAACAGCCCTTGGATTTGAGAGGGCAACATTTATTTGCCCTCTTGACATGAAGTAGTAACATCTGGAGGACTTGGGGCTTGGAGTAAGAACTCGCAAATGGCAAAGGGAGAATTTCCCCTCCTCCCAAAGGGGTGTTAATTCAAAAAAAAGCAAGTAGGTGGGATCCTTAAAGGGCCACAGACAGAAGTACAGAGGTAGGCCCTATGCAGGCAGATAAACTGCTTGAAAAGCCACTGGAAAACTCAGCCCTGAGGTATAGCAGGAACAAAAAGTGTATGGTAAGTCTTAAGGAGCTGGCACGGCCAGAGTTCCAATTAGTGCCTTTCCTAGAAGTGTGCCAGCAGACAGGGGAAGGATTGGAGGTCAGCCAAGCTGGTAGGGTAAAAACAAGTATAAATCTTAGGGGATAGCTGCAAGAAAGCCTGTGTCTTTGCTGCCACACAAGCCCAGCAAGAGCCATAGGCACATGAATAATAGGGATTGTGGGTTTAAGAAGTCATGTGGCATGTAAAGTGAAAGCAAAGAGGCAGACTTGCCCCTGAGGTAGATGGTCCAGCAGGTGCACAAGGCCGTTTCAGAATGCACTCAGAACAAACAAGAGAATAGGCCATGCAGGTTCTTGGGAAAGGGCTGACTTTAGTTGAAAAAAAAAAAAAAAACAGAAGAAACCCCAGACATTGCATGATTTCAGGCTTTAGCCCTACCACTCTTGTGAATCTCCTGTCCAGGAGGGCCATTAGTGCTTCAGTTATACTTGGTGTGGATTCCAAGGTCCTTCCCACTCCTAAAGGCTACCCATCAGGGTGAACAGAGAGACCAACCTGGGGGAGCAGAGTCACTTGTGGCCAAGAAGAATTGTTCTGGGGTTTGGTTTGCAAGACAGCAAAAGGGCAGAAGAAAACAGCATATGGGGGTTGAATGCCCCCAGCAGAACAAGGCAAGGCATAGGGGTGTCTTACTACTGGGGATCATACCTGAGTCACACAGCACCAAAGTATGTTAGCAGTGGAACTTGTCTGAGACATGTGGGCCAAGCGGGCAACTTGAGATACCAAGTGTACTGTTTTACTTTTGACTTGGGGTTTTACACATTGGCATACCTCCAGGATTTTCATCCCTTCTCCTCTGATTCTTCCCTTGGGGTGGGCTGTCTGCATTTGCAATGGCCTGCTAGGACTTGGGAGGGGAACATGTACAATGTGTTTACTGGCGTTGTGCACGTGCTCACTTGAGGCATTCTTTCCTTACCAGCCTAATGTTCTTAGAAGGTCATATACTAGTTAAACTCTGCCATTATTCCTCTTAAGGTGCAGGCTTGAGTCCACTTGCCCAACTCCTGAGCTCTTAGTGGGAAGTTGCTGATCACCAGTTTTAGGTTTTTTTATCTGTTGGGAGATTGCCTTCCCCTGGTACCAGCTGTGACCAATTATTATTTTAGAGAAACAGCTTAACAACTGCCTATCACCTGATGGTCACCTGACATTCTTAGTGGGGATACCCCTCTCCTGCCCTGCTCATGGTACTTACTGTAACAAGTGCAAGCACAAGACAAAAAAATACAAGAGGATATTTTAATAATTCAATCAAGATATATTGATGGTTTTGCCCATGTTAGAAGGGTTGTAAGGCACAGTAATAGGGTAACTGGGGGTAAAGATTTTTAAGAAAAATAATTTTCTAAGTTAGATCATAAATTCATTAGTTGTATTCAAGGAAAGTATTTTTAATGATTTGATGTTGATTGTAAACAGTTAGTTTTTAGAATATGTTGATATTGAGGTTAAAGATTTAGCTTGTAGGTCAATATTTCCAAATTTGCCAAATTGTTGGCAACAAATTTGGAAGTGCAGAATCTACCTAAGTCCTTCATAAATGGATTTATTAGCCTCTCCCTACTGCCTTTTTTGAAACTAGAGTTTTACAGCTTCTAATTTCCTCTGGGTAAAGTAGTATCTTTAAAACTTGCTTGTTTGTAAAAATTACCTGGTTTGCTTATCAATACTGTAGATTCTTAAGCTTTCCTGCAGACTCATGGAATCAGAATCTTTATACATGGGACAAAACAGCAGTTTCAATAAACAGCCTAGGTTATTTACACATACCTGAAAGTTGGACAGCCACTCATTTGCTAACATGAAAATATAGAAAGAATAAATTCTTAATAATTCTTAATAATTGTTTTACTCTCACATATTTAGAAACCTCAGTACAAGATTAATAATATTCTGTCTTTCCAGTCTTATAATTCTCTATACATTTATTTATAATCAAGGGATTACCATAAAGATATTAAACTACATGGCCTCTCATTTCCATGGACCTCTTCCATGGCGTTTTGTTTCACTTTGTGATGATCCCAAACATTGCAGAAACTTATAGTCTCACCTAACATGAGTAATCCCTGTTTATTTCAGTCAGAGGTAAGGTGCACAATTATAGAGCCAACATTATAACTCAAGCTCTCTTAATACTAATAGACATCATAAATTTGCCTTCAAATTAATCTAGTCACTTCTTGGTTTAAAGTTATTTGTTAGCATTTTATATTAGATTGTGTTAATGTTTTTAGAGGAAAGCAAAATTTCGGTATTTGAAAGGAAAAAAATCCAATAATGTGAATAAATATCTAAATTTAAGGCTTTTCACTTTCAGCTATTGATTAAATGCTAGTACTATTGCTAGTAATATTACTAGATACACAAATTCACAAAAATCATGTAGTGCACATTATCAAGAAGTCATCTAGTATAGATATTATATAATGTTATGAAAATATACAAGAATAAGTGTGCCTGCCTAGAAATAGATGTTGTGATTTGTTTTTAAATACTTAATTTGTCTAATGGCTTTACAATATTTAATAGTTATGCTACATCTTCTGATTGTAAAATAGTTGGTGGTTTTACTAGAACAATGAAAATACTATAAAATTTCTTTTCAAAATCAATGAAGTCCTATACTGAGTTCTATTATGTAAGTTCACCAGAGACTTAACATCAATTATTAATTTAATCTTTGTTGTCTTGAGACACACACAGACAAGACCTCATCAGGAAGCATATATACACATGCACATACAAAATTTCTGGCAGATTATTGAGAATACAATTTCCTGGCATAAAAGACATGTTTATAGCAAACTAAGAGGTTCTTAAAGGCAATCCTAGATGCCTTTGGAAGGAACCCTCATGTACAGCATAGTGACTGCAGCATTGACTTGGCATTTAATGAATATTTGATGATGAATGAATAATTGAATTAATTCAGATCCATGTTCTTGACTGAAAACCAAGGTGACTTCTTTACCATGTGCTTGAATAAAGAGATGTTTAATTACAAACTTGATAATGTTGTTTCATTAGTTTTTAGACACTAAAATACAAAAACCAGACCAATTTATCAACAGACCACTATTCATGATCCAGCATGATTTGTTCAGGATTGAGAACTAATGGCTTCTTCTGGCATAGACCTTCAAATTCAAAAATAATCTATTTACAGGCATTAGGTTGACATCCAATTTCAGTTCCTATAGTAACACATTAGAGAAAACAGTTTTTTTTTAAACAATTGGTTTCCTTGACATGTGTTTCAGTGTGATATTTACACTGCTGTCTGTGCTTATTATAGATTGCATTGATTATATAGCAGGAGTGTTAATGTTACTGAGTGGTTTATTCTTTCATGGGACTGCAGCACAAACAAGGTAGTCTAACTTGTGTCAATGTGTCCTGATAGCCTGAGAAAAATTTTCACAAATAAAATCCAACTAACCTTTCTTTCCCTGATCTAACCACAAATAACCCCCACAAACAAGGGTCATTGCAAAGACTTTGACTAATTAGTTGTGAAATCAAAACTTAGGTAATTATATACTGCCGCTAAAAATGGACTAGCAGAAGATAAAACATATTTGTACAAAATCAGGCAATCCAAAGTTACACCAGTGCATTTAATCTCTAAATCCCTCCTGGTGTAATACTTAAAGACATTCTTAATTTAATAAGAATGGCAAAACAACAAAACTTTTACAATTTAAGTGAAAGTAATTTTATGAAAAAAAAATTTTAAGTGAAGTCAATAGAAAGGAGATCCTAAGGTCAAAGTCTTGTGCATTTGACTTTGTTTTAACATCAAAAGACATAATACAGAAATAGAAAATAAGATCTCAGAGTGGAAAAATGTATTCATATCACATAAAACAAAGATTTTATATTTATTATATATAAGAAGTACTTACAAATCAACAAAAAAATGGGAAAACGACATATTGGTATTTCATAAAAGGGGACAAAAAGAATAGCCACTGGGCAATAAGTACAAGGCCATGAAATATAGAGTAAAATGTAATATCATTAATATCCAAAAAATGGCTACAAAAAGAATTACAAGATGAGGCATAGCAAGAAGTAGAACAAGGGAAGCTCCTTCATATTGCTGGTGGTAGGGGGAATCAATATATTCACTCTGTAAAAATGTTTGGCATTGTCTACTGAAGATGAGCGTACACAGCTAAACAATTTCACACCTAGATATATAATCAACAAAAATGTGTGTGCTTATGCACTGAGAGGCATTTAAAATAATGATCATAGCTCCATTATTTGTAACAATCAAGAGCTGAGAACTGTTATGAGACCCATAAACAGTAAAAACAGATAAAATAATGTATACATATAGGGGAATACACACAAATAAAAGTAAACTATACCATTACACATGGATGAATTCCACAAACATAATGATTATTAGAGAAGCTCAAGTATAAAAGATTATATACTATACAGTCTCAGTTCATTGAGTTTCCTCCAAAACATAATAAAAACTAAGTTTTGTGATTAATATCACAACATGCAATAGTAAAAGAATGAAGAAAAGTTTAGAAAAATTTATTACCACAGCAATCAATTTATTTGTTTTTCTTAGGTGGTAGAGATGGAGTTTTTGTGGAAAATTTCTTTAATGGCTGGTAATTAATCTTTCCTGACCTGACTCATGTAATGGTTACATATGTGTTCAATTTATAATTTCTTAAATGTTACAATGGTTTTTACATACTTCTCTATTTGTGTTATTTCATAATAAAAAAGATTAAATATATAGATACCTGATACATATACTTTAAAACTTAGACCTTATTAGTCATCAAATTAATACCATAATATCAATTTTGTATGTTTAATCACTAAAAATTAACTCATACATAATACTGGATGTTGTGTAATGATATCTGTACTATCAAATACTGTTAGCAGATATGCAGATTAAAAAATTAAATAATAGACAGTCAATAGTAAGTGTTTTAATATAATAAGTGCCAGATGTGCTTTATTTCTAGTAATTCCTATTCCAGAAATATCCTTAAGGAATTAATCTAAAATAAGAGAAGTGTATTTAAAATAGATTAATTATTGTATAATATATAGAATTAGCAATGAAAGCTAAAGTGTCCAACAATAGAAAATATTTGAATTAAATTGACATTTAGATTATTTCTATATACTTTTATTATTATATATGAAAGACTTGCACATATGGTACAATATAAAATATGCAAAAAAAATTCCGTATAAGCCTGCCAAAATGTTAACTTTGATTCACTCTCTGCCTTGTAAATATGAAATATTTTTTCTTCATAATTACTGTTTGCTCTTCCATATTTTATGCACTAAATATATTTTATCACATAACCTGAAACAATTAGCAAAAACATACAAACTAGATTTATTAGATAATTCTTCTTTTATCTTTTAATATTTCATTTCCAATCTGACTATACTTTATTCTGTTGATTATCAGTGCTGATTGCACTGGCTGGAACTTGTGTTGCAAAGTTGAACAGGAGTGACAAGAGTAGATAGTCTTGGCTTCTTCTTGATATTAAGGGAAGACATTCAGTCTTTCATTATTAAGTTAGATGTAAGTTTCTCATAGAGTCCTTTATATCAAGTCAGAAAGTTTTCTAGTCCAAGTTTGTTTAGAGTTTTTCTCATAAATGCATGCTAAATGCTATAAAGCACTTTTTCTCTGTATTTAGACTATAGTGATTTTTGACCTTTATTGTATTAACTGGTGTATTAAATAGAATTCAAAGGTTAATCTAAACTTAAATTCCTAGGATAAATCCTACTTGGTTATAGTGCATAATTCCTGTTACATATTTCTGGATTTAGTAAGCTAATATTTTCTTCATGATTTTTACATCTATATTCATGAGGGATTTGTATCTATAGTTTTCTTTTCTTGTGTTATCTTAATTTGGCCTTGTTTTCAAGGCAATGTTGACCTTATAGGATGAATTGTAAGTGTTTCTTCTTCCTCTATCTTTCTGGAAACTTTTGTAGTATTTAAAAGCTGAAAATCTTCAGAACAACCATGAGTGGCTATGGTGAAGGCAAGCTGGAAGCAAAAATTATGAGACGAATCTTTCAAGCTAAAACTTCTCTGAACTTATAGGTCAGAAAGCACTAAATGATGTTGGGGCACATCCTCTTGCAATGGCAAGCACTGGGGCAAGGGAGGAGGGCTGAGAAAATACGTAAACCATGACCAGCAAACAGAAGAAAAGGTTCACTTGTCATGGACATCAACAAATTCTAGTGCAACTTCTTAACAGCGTTTAGGCAATATGAAGACATGTGGACCAGAAGCCATTCTAAGTAGGAAGAGGATGTGGGATAAACATCTTTAACAATGCTTTAAATGTAAATTGCTTTATCATATGTCTGGAAACTTTTAAATCAAAAAACATTGTTTAACCTGCAAAACTCATTGTTACCTTCAATTATCAAACACAATTTCTCCTCTAATTTCATCCCTACAAGCAGTAGAAAATAATAGAAGTGCTACATTTTTTTTTCAGTTCTGATGGGTGTAAATTACAAAATTCTCTGGTTTAACTTTCCTTATAGAATATATTACAAAATCTAGATTATATTTAATTTGATTTTATTTTATTGATAGATCAGGTTGACACAAATGCAGAGAATCAGAATCTAGAGCTCATAGAAATCCTGAAGAGCAGGTGGAAGATGAGAGATTACATTAGAGCATGTCCTACTGGGAAGATGTTGAATTCACAGAGGCAGGGAAAAGTGTAAGGATGTCTCAACTAAGAGGTTTAAATAACTCAACATAACATAAATGTATATTTTCAGATGTATAGTAAGTCAAATTAAGTGTATAATAGAGCATTATTATAGCAGGCAATGCTCACTAGTCTAAACAACAGGTTGTCACAAGTCTCAGGTTATTATATTTTCAAATATTTATAATTGGATTTGAACACAATTTTCTCCCTCAAGTTGACTATTCTGGAAGTATTTTTAAGAAAAACAGATATTATATGAATCTTATTCAGTATGAACAAATAAACACCAAATAATTTTTAGTAGAAATCAGTGAATTTGGTTTGATAGGTATGTAGATAGATGTAGATGCATATCAAGAAAAATGGTTTGAAGCAAATATTTTGGATATGCTCTTACAATAAAAATCATACTAATATTTCATTTCTGTATTACTTCATCAACTTCTTCATTGGAAAATCAGAAATATTTATTACTGATAAAATTTATTTTTTGTTTTATGTGAATACAAACTGAGTTATAGTGTTACTCATTATAATTTTAGTTTAGAATATCTAACTTTGAGTTAAAATGTTACTTGAATTCCATTTTAAACTACATTTTCATATAATTCGTTTCTCAGCATAAGTTGACAATATGGCCTAAGTAGTGAAAACATTGAAGAGAACCAAATAATTACATCAAATAATATTTATTGTATTTTCAGCATAGCTTCTACTACACACAAAGCAATTCTCCCCCAGAGGGAACAAGCATTTTCTCTAAGACAGCATAATCCAAATGTGGATCAGCTTCATAATTTTGTTCCATTTTTACCAGAAACATCAGGGTAAAACTATAGCTCTCCATTTCTCATGTTTCATATGGTATTTACCACATTTTACACAGCTGATTAGTAAGAAATTTGACTCAAAGTCTAAAGGGCAGGAGGCAGAGCTAAATGGCTGAATAGAACCTTTTCTTGATTGCCCCCCTGCAGAAACACCAAACTGAACAGCTGCCTACATGAAAAAGCACCTTCATAAGAACGAAAAATAAAATCAGATATGTGTTGTGTACTTGGTTTTAACACAATAACAAAGAAAAAGGCATTGAAGAGGGCAGAAGGACAGTCCTGCATTGCCTGCACCACCCTTCCCACAACCCTAAGCAGTACAACATGGAGAGAATTTATGTGCTTTGGGGATGGAAAGCAAAGTGGGAGTACGGGATTTGCATTGGAACTCAGTGCTTCCTGTCACAGTAAAATACAAAACAGGGCAGAATTCTGGCAGAGGTGCCCACAACGGGAGAATTTAGACAAACCCTGGGCCAGAAGGGACTTTTCCACCCTAGCAGAAGAAAACTGAGTCCTGGCCCACTTTACCACTGACTGACTAAAGTGGCCTGGGTCCCCAGATAAATTTGAGAGGAAGTTAGGCCATAATGACTGTAGTCCTTGGGCAAGCTCAGGTGCTGTGCTGGTCTCATAGGCAATGGATTTGCGGTGCAACCCAGAGTGGCACTCCTGTGGCAGCCACAGGAGTGCCTGCATCACCCCTACCCCAACTCCAGGCAGTGCCACTGAAGGAGAGACTTCTTCTACTTCCGGGAAGGAGACGGAAGAATACAGAGGACTTTATCTGGCAATGTGGGTTCCAGTTTAGCCACAGTAAAATAAAGCACCAGGCAGATTCCTGAAGCCCCTGATTCCAGGTCTTAGCTGCTGGATGGCATTTCTATACCATACCTTGGCTACAAGGGAATCCACTGCTCTAAAGGGACAAACCCAGTCCTGGCTGGATTCACCACCTGCTGACTAAATCTGAAAGAAAAAGATATTAGTAAACAATGAAAAATCATCTGAAGGTATAAAACTCAATGATATAAGTAAGACCCAGAAAAATACAGAATACTTTAACACTGCAATTACAGTTTACAATTCACTCATATTTCTAGTAGGAACCCTGCAAGATAAACCCATCAAAAATAACAACTACAACATTTTAAGAGACAAGACAGTACAAAACAATATAAACAGAGACAGCAGAAAGCCTAAAAGTAAGGAAGAAGAAGTTACAGTGGTGAGTTTTTTAGTTGTCTCTGCTTATTTTTCTTCTTTGTGATAAGAATTAAATTGTCATCAGTATAAAATAATTGGTTATAATACGCTATTTGCAAGACTTATGATCACAAAAAAACCCCATAATAGATCCACACACACAAAAAAAAATAAAAAGCAAGGAATTAAAATATCTACCAGAGAAAATCATTTTCACACAAAGGAAGACAGGCAGGAAGAAAGAGAGGAACAACAAAACAGCCAGAAAACAAACAGCAAAATGACAGTAGTAAGTCGTTACCTGTCAGTAATAACACTGAATGTAAATAGACTAATTCTAAAACAAAAGACGTAGAGTAGCTACACAGAAAAAAAATAAACAACACAAGACCCAACTATATGCTGCCTATAAGAAATTTACTTCACCTATAAAGACACACATAATCTGAAAATAAAGGGATAGAAGAAGCTATTTTATGCAAATGAAAGCCAAAATATATCAGGAGTATCTATATTTACTTCTCATAAAATAGACTTCAAGACAAAAATTGTAAAAATATACAAAACGATTGTTATATAATAATAAAAAGATTAATTAAGCAAGAAAATATAACAATTGTAAATGTATATGCATCAAACACTGGAACACCCAGATATACAGAGCAAGGATTATTATTAAAGAGAGAGACAGACGGCAATACAATAACAGATGTGAACTTTAACAACCCACTTCAAGTATTGGACAGATCATCTCATTTGACAAAGAAACACTGGACTTAATCTGAAGCATACACTAAATGGACCTAACAGATATTTACAGAACATTTCATCTGAAAACAACATAATGCACATTTTTCTCCTCAACACATGGAAGATTCTCAAAGATAGACCATATGTTAGGGAACAAAACAAGTCACAAAAATTCAAAAGAATTTAGAATTATATCAATTATGTTTTCTAGCCACAATGGAATAAAACAAAAATAAATAAGAGGAATGTTGGGCTGATAAAAACACACCAAAATTAAACAATATGCTCCCAAATGATTATTGAGTCAATGATGAAATTAAGAAAATTTTAAAATTTCTTCAAACAAGTAAAAAAAAAAAACACAACATACCAAAATCTATGGAATACTACAAAAGCATTAGTAAGAAGAAGGTTTACAGCTGTAAATGTCTACATTTAAAAAATAGAAAAATTTGAATAAACAACCTAAGAGTGTATCTTAAAGAACTAGAAGAGGAAGAAGAAACCAAACCCCAAATTAGTAGAAAGAATGATATGATAAATATCAGACCAGAAATAAATGAAACTGAAATTGAAAAAAAAAAACACAAAAGATCAACAAATTAAAAATTTGGTTTTTTTTGAAAAGATAAACCCTCAACAAACTATTTAAAAAGTAGCAAGAAGACACAAATTAATAAAATTAGAAATGTAAAAGGAGACATTACAATTGATACCACAGAAATTCAAAAATCACTGGAGATTGTTATGAGCAACTATTATGAGCAAATATATGTCAATACCTTGGAAAACCTAGATGAAATCGATAAATTCCTGGACACATGAAATTTACCAAGATTGAACCATGAGGAAATCTTAAACTTGAATACACCAATAACAAATAACAAGATAAAGGCAGTAATAAAAATTTTCCATTAAAGAAAATCCCAGGGCCTTGCAGCTTCACTGCTAAAAATTCTGCCAACATTTAAGAAGATGCAATACAAATCCTAGTCAAACTAGTTTTAAAAAATTCAAGGTAAAGGGAACACTTCCAAACTCACTATATGAGGCTACTATTATCCTAACAGAAAAATGAGACAAGGACACAACATAAAAAGAAAGCTACAGGCTAATATCTCTAAAGAACATAGATGCAAACTCTTCAAGAAAATGCTAGCAAACTGAATATAACACATTAAAAGATCATCATAATCGAGTGCAATTAATCTTGGCGATACAAGTGTGATTTAACATATGAAAATTAATAAATGTGTTACATCACATCAACAGAATGTAGAACAAAAACCATATGAACTTTGCAATAGCACACAAAAAAGTTAACATCCCTTCATGATAAAAACTCTGAACAAACTGGGAATAGAAGCGAAATACCTCAACACAATAAAAGCCTATATGAGAAACCCACTGCCCATATTACTTTAAATGAGGAAAAACTGACAGCCTTCCCTCTGACATGTCCAACAACACAAGAATGCCCACTTTCACTCCTTTTATTCAACACAGTATTTAACATCCTAGCCAGAGCAATTAGAAAAGAGTAAAAATAAAAGCCATCTGAATTGGAAAGGAAAAAGTCAAACTATCCTTGTTTGCAGAAAATCTAATCTTATATTTAGAAAACCTAAAAACTCCATCAGGAAGCCATTAAAACTGATAAAAAATTTCAGTAAAGTTGCAGAATACAAAAATCAACATACAAAAATAACTAGCTTTTCTATATGCCAATAGCAAATTAGAAAAGAAACCAAGAAAGTAATCCTATTTATAATAGCTAAAAAGGAAATTTAAAAGCTAGAAATAAATTTTGCCAAAGAAGTGAAAAAGCTCTACATTGAAAACCATAAAACATCGATGCAAGAAATTGATGCAGACCACACAAAAAAACCAGAAAGATATTCCATGTTGATGGATTGGAAGAATCAATATTATTAAAATGCCCATATTACCAAAATCAATCTACAAATTCAATACAATCTCTATCAAAATGTCTGTGAGATTCTTCATAGAAATAGAAACAATCTTTCTGAAATTTACATGAAATCACAAAAGACCAAAGAAATCTTGAGCAAAAAGAACAAAGCTGGAGACATCTCATTGCATGACTTAAAAATACAATACAAAGTTATAGTAACTCAAACATCATGACCCAGGCATAACAACAGACATATAGACCAATGGAACAGAATAGTAAACCCAGAAATAATTTCATACATCTACAGTGGGCTCATGTTTACAAAGGTATCGAGAACATGCATTGGGGAAAGAGCAATCTCTTCAATAAATGGTGCTGGGAGAACTGGATATTCATTTGCAGAAGAATGAAACTAGTCCCCTATCTGTCACCGTATACTAAAGTAAAATAAAAATGTTTTAAATATTTAAGTATGAGATGTCAAATTATGAAACTACTAAAATAAAACTTTGGGGAAACCCTGCAGGACATTGGACTGGGCAAAGAGTTCTTGAGTAATACTCCACAAGCACATGTAACCAAAGAAAACATGGACAAAGGGGATCACATCAAATTAAAAAGTCACTGCACAGCAAAGAAAACAATCAACAAAGTGAAGAGATGGTCCACAGAATACGAGATGATTTTTGCTAACTACCTATATGACACGGGATTCATAACCACAATAGATAAGGAGCTCAAGCAACTCAATAGGAAACAAAAATAAATCTTATTTTTTTAATGGGCAAAAGACCCGAATAGATACTTTTATCAAAAGAAGACATACAAATGGCCAACAGATAAGTGAAAAAATGCTCAATATCACTAATTATAGAGAAATGTCAATCAAAACTAAAATGAGATATTATTTCACCTCAGGTAAAATGGCTTTCATTTTAAAAAGGCAATAACAAGTGATGGCAGGAATGGGAAGGAAGGGGAACCCTCATACACTGTTTATGGGAATGTAAATTCATACAGCCCCAATGGATAATAGTATGGAGGCTTCTCAAAAAAAATAAAAATAGAAATACAATAGACCCAGCAATTCCACAGATGGGTATATATATCCAAAGAAAGGAAATCAGCATGGCAAATTTATATCTGTATGCCCATATTTATTGCAGTACTACTCGCAATGTTTATCAAGATATAAATGAACGTATGTGTCCATCGACAAATGGATGGATAATGAAAATATGGTACATATACACAATGGAATATTATTCAGCCATAAAAAGAATGAAATCCTGTCATTTGCAATCACATGGATAGAACTGGCAGACATTATGTTAAGTGACATAAGCCAGGCACAGAAAGACAAATATTATATCCATTCGCTTACATGTGGGAGCTAAAGAGAAAAAAAATGAAGTCATGGAGATAAGGAGTAGAATGATGGTTACCACAGCCTGGGAAGAGCAGTGGGGGTGGGAAATAAAAATGGGGTGATTAATGGAAACAAAATTACAGTTAGATAGAAGAACTAAAATTTATTATTCAGGAGAAAAATAGGCCGACTACAGTTTACAATTATACATTATTTCAAAATAATTTTAAAAGGTGAAATCAGAATGTTCCTAACACAAAGAAATGATAAATGCTTGAGATGATGAATATCCCAATTACCCTGATTTGGTCATTACACATTGCAGGCTTCTATCAAAATATCACATGTATTCCATAAGTATGTACAACTGTTATGTATCCATAATAAAGGTTTTTAAAAAACAGAAATTTGACTCATGGCTGTCTTTTCTGTACAGTTACTTACTTAGCACAACCTATATTCAAAGTGGTCATATATTTTCAACGCACCACACTTACCTGAAATTTTTTCATGGAAATTTTCTGTGCTAAATAGCAGTTAGATTTATTTTCAATATAATACAATGCCTCTTTTCAAAACCTACTTTCTGAAGGGTTAATGCTCACACACATACCATGTATATAATGCATATGTACTATGTATAATATTTTATATGTATTTTATGTAAGAATAATTTGGATAATTTCTTTTTCATTTTATTACTACAAATGATCTCCTAAGGCACATCAAGCATATGCTGATGTTTTTTCAGCATGATGTATGAAAACTGTGTGGTAAGGATGTAGCTTATTAATCTTATTCTCCAGAGGTAGTTATTTTATACCCTAGACCACAGATTTAATTATCTATATCTTCACAATGCTTACTTTGCAAACTAGAGGTATTTTTAGCAATTATTTAATCTTACCTTGAATCCAGTCATAGTATTTTGATGTCCTCCTGGAACTGCAAAATCTACAATTTTGTCACATAATGTATTTGGAAAATGAATAATATTTATTCTAAATGTGATCTCTGTTTTATCTAGATTAATTAGTTCTGTCAAATTAAACTATTATTTCATGTTATGCCTAAATTTATGCATTTTTCTCCATTATATATAGAGAAAAAACAAAACAAACACAGGCAAAGGAGCTTTAAGTGCTTTAATAATACAAAAGTATATCTTTCTTATCAAGATGAAGGAAGCTGTGAATGCAAACTTTGAAACAGCACTAACTCTTTCATTTTTTTCCTACTACATTCTGCTATTTTAAGAAAAGTCCTAATTAAACATATGCTAGTTACTTATATAAAATTGTTTTTATTTTTAGTCTCACTTTTTGGTAAAAGAAAATTCCATTTCAAAGTCAATGATATAAATTTTTTAAGAATATTTGAGTAGACTGCCTTCAACAAATTGGAGGAGGCTCAAATCTAAAAACTAATTTTTAAAATAGTAAGAGCATAATTATTGCTTTTATTAAAAAGTGAATATAGGAAGAAACAAAATGAGAATTAAACATTGAATATTATTTGGAAATTAATGAATGAAAATAATTCCTCTTTCTGTTGTTTAGTAGCATGTTATAATAACATATTACTATCAGATATTCACTATTTAATATTTTTGAATTAACAGTGTATCAAGATTAAATTCTGCCGGTGCCAGACAGATTATGTGAACATAAATAATTATATTTTATAGAAAAATGTGTGGACAGGTACTGTTTTAAGCACTTTACACATATTCTTAATACTACATGTAACTCTTTCAAAAAGCTATTTTAATTCACTAATTTACTATTGAAACAACTAAGGAATAAAAAAACAGATAAATTTATCATGGTTATAAGACCTAAAAAAATTTACTTTGACATCTTTTAGTAATAATTTGGGCAGCCTGACTTCAGAATTCACAATCCACACTCATAAGCCCATGAAGGGATCTTTGCCTCCTACTATTATAAAGCTTCAAGTTTATGAGTTCACAATTCCATGGTTCATGATATTGATTTCTACTCATCCTTCTGGGTATTCACATCTTAGATTTGTACATATTTCAAGAAGTCGGGGAAAACTACTGAAAATGTAATACTGTTATTTTGAAAGTACAAAACTTCAAAGTTTATTAACTGGTATACATTTAAAAATATTTTAGATATTACTAGATAATTTTTAATTTCAGAATGTTTGCTTGTCCAGTGTGGAAATAATGTTTTTAGTATGTGGTTTTAATTTTGCCTTCGACAAAACAGAATAATTTAATTATTAAATTTGGTTTAAACTTTTAATTAGAAATAGAAAAAATTTTACAGCTCACAAAAATATAAATCTAGTAATTCAGACTAAATAATATAACTAAATCTAAAATAATTATTTATTAACATGATTAGCAAACATTAATTTATGTCAAAATTATCTCTAATACCTGGAAACCAAAAATAGTATTTATATCACATTGTAATACAATAACCAAAATCAAAGTTTTATTAAAATTAATTTAAAATTGTGATCTTTAATTACAGAAATATTAGAAATATTAGAAAATTAATTAGAAATTAGAAAAATTTCCCCTTAAACTTACATTTTTCTTAAAAACTAACTGTGGGGTGCAGCATACAGGAATCCTGAATGTAGCCACTCCATCCTAACAAGTACAAAGTTTAAAAAATATAGAGAAAGTAACAACTCCTTAGGTCCACAAGAGAAGTGAGGTCATAGGCAAATTGCTACCCACAAAATTGAAGAGACTGTCAAACAAATAAAGAGTCATCATTTACAATAGGAGAAACTCATGAGTAGCAACCTCCATGGGAACTAATGCTGAGTACATTATGTTTGACTACTACAAAAAATTAGAAGATATACTAAATGACAAAAAACACTGTATGAATATACAAAGCAGGAATCAGAACCAGACTAAGATGTGGCAAAGATGTTGGAATTATTAGACAAATAATTTAAAGCAAGTATGGTTTATATGCCAAAAATACTAATGGATAAAGTCCACAATGCGTAAGTAAGAACAGATAGGCAATGCAAGTAGAGGTGAAAATTCTCATAAAGAAGCAAATAGAAATTCTAGAAATCCAAAAACCATAGGAGAAATTAGGAAGGCCTATGAAAACTCATTAGTTGACTGAATACAACTGATAAAATAATCTCTGAGCTTGAGGATATCTCAATAGAACCTCCTAAAACTAAAAGAGGAAAAGACTGAAAAGAATTCAGAAAAGAATATTCAAGAACTATGTGACAATTATAAAATGTGTAAACACATATAATGAGAATACCTAAGGAGAAGAGAGAAAGAAAGAAACAGATGAAATATTGGAACAATAATGATCAAACATTTCCTTTAAATTGATAGGCACCAAACCACAGATTTCAGAAGCTGAAGAGAACACCAAGTAGGATAAGTGCCAGAAGAACTACACTCAGGCATATTATTTTCAAAGCACAGAAAATCAAAGAAAAAAAGAGAGAATATGGAATCATATAAAATGTTCATTTAAAACAACAAAAGACAGAAAAAGAATGGAAGACAAAAAGAGGAACAAAGAACAAAGACAAATAGAAAGCATTAAAAATATAATAGATATTAATCTAACTATATAAGTATTCATTTTGAATTTTAATGTTCTACATAAATCAATTAAAATATACATTTTCAGAGTGGATCAAAAGACAAGACCTAATTACATGTTGTCTAAAATAAACTGATTTTCAACATAAAGACAAATATAGATTAAAAGGGAATGGATGGGGAAAAATATACTATGCTAATATTAATCAAAGGAAAGCAGAAGTAGCTATATTAATTTTAGACAGAAGCATTAAACAAAATTAAAAGGTTCAATTCTTAATGTGTACACAGTTAACAACAGAAAATTAAAATATGTAAGTAAAGATTAATAGAACTTTAAGGAGAAATATATAAACTCACTGTTATAGTTAGAGATTGCAACAGCTTCCTTTCAGAAAGAGGCAGACCCAAAAGGTAGAAAATCAGTAAATATTAGTAGAACCCAACAACATTATCAATTAAATGGATATACTAGGTGTATGTGTCCTACTTTATCCAATAACAGCAGAATACATGTTATTCTCATGCTTACATGTAATTTTCACTGACACAGGGCACATTCTGGGACATAAAACACACCTTAAAAAGTTTAAAAGAATGGAAATCATACAATGTCTGCTTTCTGACCACAGTGGAATTAAACTAGAAATTAATAACAGAAATATAGCTGGTAAAAATTTAAAATACTTGGAGATTATCTAACAGGCTTCTTAATAGCACATGGGTGAAAAAAGAAATCTCAAGAGAATTTAAAAATATTTTGAATGAAATTACACTGAAAACACAGTTTATCAAAATGTGTGGGATGCAACAAAAGCAGTGCTTCGAGGGAAATTTATAGCAAGACTAAGCTTCCAGCCTAGGACACTAGAAAAATAAGAGCTAACTAATTCAAAGTAAGCAGATGAAAAGAAATACTAAAAGTTTAATCAGAAATCAATAAAATTGAAAACAAGAAATCAATAGAGATAATCAAGGAAACAAAAATCTGATTGTTTGAAAACATCAGTAAGGTTGATAAGTCTCCAGTCAGGCTAATTAGAGAGAGAGAAAGAGAGAACACAAATTCCTGATAAAAAAATAAAAGAAAGACCATCACTACATATTAATGGACCTTAAAAGGATAATAAAGAAATGCTACGAACATGTCTCCATTCACAAATTTGATATCCTAGATGAATGAATGAATCAATTCCTTGAAAAATAGAATCTACCAAAACTCATAAAAGAAAATCTGAATAGGCCTGTATCAGATTTTTAAGAAATTTAATTAAGTATTAATTACCTTCTCAAACAGAAAGCACAAGCCCTAGATGGGTTTACCAGTGAATTTAAGAAAGCAATTATACCAATTCTCTAGAACCCCTTTAAGAACACATAAGTAAAGGGCATACTCCCTATCTCAGTCTCTGAGGCTAGCATTACTATTATATCAAAACTAGAAAGAGAAATTTCAAGGAAAGAAAACTTCAGGCCAATATTACTCATGAACAGAGATGCAAAATTCCTCAACCAAATATCATTACATTGAATCCAGCAATATGTAAAAAGAATTGTACACCTTGACCAAGTAGGATTTATTCCAGATAGGCAAGTCTGATTCATCATGCAAATATCAGTTAATGTAGTCTATCATATCAACAGGCTAAGCAAGAAAAATCACATGATCATATAGATGCAGAAAGATCAATTTACAAAATCCAACTTTTAGTAAACTGTGAATAAAAGGAAACTTCCTCAACTTGATAAAACTTAACTACAAAAAGCCTACAGCTAACATCATACCTAAAAGTGTTTTGATTTTTAATCCACTCAGCCACTTTTTATCTTTTGATTTGTAACTCTAATTCATATAATCTTAAAATAATTATTGATAGGGAAATATGTACTATTGCCACTTTGTTAACTGTTTTCTGTTTGTCTTATAGTTCTTTTGTCCCTATTTTTCTCGCTTTAAATCTTCCTTTATATTTCATGCTTGTTGTTGTTGTTGTTGCTGTTGTTTTGGTACTGATGGACTTCGTTCTTCTCTCTCTCTCTCTCTTAGCTTTTATTTTTGATTCGGGAATACATGTGAAGGTTTGTTACATAGGTAAATTCATGTCTCAGGAATTTGTTCTTCCAGATTACTTTATCAGTCAGAAATTAAGCCTAGTACCCAATAGTTATCTTTTCTGCTCCTCTCCCTCCTCTCCTCCTCACCCTCAAGAAGACCCTGGCGTCTGTCGTTTCCTTCTTTGTGTCCATAAGTGCTCATCGTTTAGCTCCCACTTATAAGCGAGAACATGCAGTATTTTGTTTTCTGTTCCTGTGTTAGTTTGCTGAGGATAATAGCCTCTAGCTCCATCCATGTTCCTGCAAAAGACATGATCTTGTTCTTTTTTATGGCTGCCTAGTATTTCAAATCTCAGGACCCATTTTCTCTTTTTATTTTGTGTAACTTCCATGGGTATTTTCTTTGTGATTACCATGTAGCTTACATAAAATATCTACAGTTTTAACAGTCTCTTTTAAACTCACTTCACTTGCATAGCAAAACTGTACAATTTTACCTCTCCTCTCTTAATATTATATGCTATTGATGTCACAATTTACATTTTTATATTGTGTATTCATTAAAATTATTTATAGTTAGTTCTGACATTTTAATCCTTTAACTTATATTTAAAAGCAATTTATCCATTATTATAGTAATACAGGATTCTGTTTTTGTCTATATAATTACCTTTACCAACAAGTTTTATAGTGTCTTATGCTTTTGTGTTGCTGTTTATTGTCCTTTTGTTTCAACTTGAAGAACTTCCTTTAGCATTTCTTGTAAGGTAAGTCTAATGGTGATGAATGAACTCTCTCACCTTTTGTTTATCTGAAAAAGTTTTCATCTCCCTCTTCATTTTTGAAAGATAGGTTTGCTGGGTATAAATAGTATTGTTTTTAAAATATGATAAAGAGAGAATTTGTGCAACACATTGAGTTTGACTAACAACTATTGGTAATGCAAAATTCTTAAAGGCAGCAATATTGAATAATAAAATAGTAATCATTTCTTCGCATCATTCATCTAGAATCATTTCATGAATGAGTTTCCATCTTTCCAATATCCTTTGACACTACATTAATTTGCAAACTACATTTGCTTAGATATGGTTGTCATTTCATTCTAAAGGAGCAGATTATAGTTTTCATTTCTACACCAGAACTAAACTCTCCTTACTTTGCAAAGGCATTACATATAATTAATTCTCAATATGTAGCCCACATGAAAGACTATATACAAAAATATTTCTTTATGTGTTTCTGTGTCTTACAAATTTGAATACTCAACTAAAAATTAGAATTTTAAAGGGAAAATTATTTTAAGGAAAAGTAGGGCTAAATTTTCACAGGGATGATAATATCACATTTTAACTATATTCTCTTCAGCTTTTAAATCATTTAAAGTCTTAATTTGTGATAATGCTTTTAAATCATTAAAGTCTTAATTTGTGATAATATTTTCTGGTAATAGGCAAATTACCAATGCCTATTAAAATCTAATATTTAATAATATGCATTCACCTTAGTCTAGCCAACTCACCTATGATTTTAATTAAAAAGGATTATAAATTTTAAATATCTATTTATGCTATCTGTGTTTTCTATTTTCCTAAATTAATTTATGCTTTTAAACAAACATTTGAAATTGTTTGTATAGTATTTATTTTGAACTTTGAAATATTTTTTGTATAGTATTTTCATATTTTGAAATTATTTGTATAGTATTTTCATATTTTGAAATTATGTTTGTATAGTATTTACTTTGAACTTCGCTTAACATAATCACAAGAAGTAGAGATTTAGAAAAAGCAGTTTATTCTGTATATCCTGGACATCAGTTTTTTCTACATTTGCAAGCCCACTGTAAAGTTAGAGGCAATAGTTACAATCACCATTAGGTAATAAGTTTTAGGAGAACAGAAACTTCAGAGATAGCAAGATTAATTCTTAAAGGCTAATACTCTTCTTGATATATAGTATTATAGGTACTCAATAAATAGTTCTTAAAAAGCTTAGTGACTGATTTGATGAATGTGTATCACAGTGCTCCAATGAACTTTCCCTGCACTTTCTATTATAAATTTACTCTTGTAGTTATGTATCAGGTTTTATTTTTTAGACAGAGTCTCATTCTGTCACCCAGGCTAGAGTGCAGTGGAGCGATCTCAGCTCACTGCAACCTCCACCTCCCAGGTTCAAGTGATTCTTCTGCCTCAGCCTCCCAAGTAGCTGGGACTACAGGCATGCACCACCATGCCCAGGTAATTTCTGTATTTTTAGTAGAGATGAGTTTTCACCATGTTGACTAGGTTGGTCTTGAACTCCTGACCTTAAGTGATCCACCCGCCTTGGCCTCCTAAATTACTGGGATTACAGGCATGAGCCACTGCACCTGGCTTGTATCAGGTATTTTTAATTACTAACAAATTAAATTATCATAACTCCTGTCCATATTTTTAGAAAATGTAACCTTATCATCAATTAACCATGAATCCCCAATCTAAGCATGTCTTAGCCTTCTTATGTACAATGACCTTTTTCCTTTTCTTATCTGTAATATGTTGTCATAGTTAAATCTTGAACTTGTCATCACCAGAAAAGGTAAACCTTAAAACCTTAATATCAAAGGTCATTTTGTCCTCCTATCCCATTTATTCAAGGACAATACCAATTTATTCTGATTGCCAATACTAGACCATTTATTCAATGATTATGTCAGTATCTTGTCAGCTTTCTCCTAGATCCACATTGTTAAAGTCTGGATTCTAGTCTGACTTATTAATACCCCTTTGTAAAACTAATTTCTTTTTGCCTTTCTTGCTCCTAAATTCTTCATTTCTATTCTCTAGCAAACTCTTATCTTCATATATAACCTGACTATTTAATTATCTATGCCAGGGGCTTAGTTAAATATGGGAAGAAGAAGAAGAAGAAGGAGGAGGAGAAGGAGGAAGAGGAGGAGAAGGAGAAGGAGGGGGAGGGGGAGGGGTGCACAATAAATGTGATTGGTATCACTATGATTTATCACCACAGGTTTACATTCTAATTTCCTAGATGACTACTTTATAATATCCTTTTTGCTCAAACTTCCATGTACCTTCACAACTCTAGTTTCAACCAATGACTTCCAACATCCTGTATTTTAAAAACTGAAAAATTGTAGCTATTTGATGCAAACTCCATCATCTTTCCACCACATATATTACAGCTTACCTGAACCTTCACTCACTTTCTCCTTCTACACTTTGCTTTCAATGAAGGAACTGTCCCTGCTCCTGTTCAAGCGCTCCACTTTCCCCTTCAAACTAATTAGTTCCATCTCCTTTGCCATCACTTTATTATTCCATCTAGATCATTCTCATAGTCTTTCAAATGTGTCCTTAAAAAGAAAACAAATCAAACTCTTTCCTAGGAGCCAAGGCACTTCCAGCTACCACCACATTTCTCTGCATGCTACTCTTCAGTCAATTATAATAATGGGTTCATTGTCTCATGTTTTATTTGCTCAGAGATTATATTTCATAACATTTATCTTGAAATATTTACTTTTACAAGTTACAACAGAGCAAAATATTACAGAAAAACTTTCTCACTACCACCTCATCTCTCTAGTTCTACTCTTTTCCTCGAAGGTCAACAGAGTTTTCTTTTAAATATAAATTCTTCAATAATGTTTGTGTATAGATTACTTATTTATTTACATATTACACCCTTGATCTTATTTTATAGGTTTAAAAAGTTAAATGAGATCATATGATACATATTTTATGCTATTTTGTTTCCTTTTAAAATTCTCTTGGGCATTAGTTCATGCCAAAGCATAGTAATCTTCATGTTTATTAGTAACTGCATAATTTTATATTTTATGGACACACTATTATTGGATCACTTCCATGTAGACAAATAGTTTCCAAATTACTACTAGTATAAATAGAATGGCATTACAATACCTTTATGTGTCTCTTTGTCTGTATATGAACAATTTCATTGAAATAGTTGACTGAAAAATAACAGTCGAACTGTATGCATGTGTTATAATTTTATTATAAACATATTTTTCCAAAGTTATCTAGATATCTGTAGTAAGCTAAATGGTGTCCCCTAAAAAGATATGTATAAATCTGATCTCCTAGCACCTGTGAATGTGATCTTAGAGAAAATAAGGTCTTTGCAGATGTAATTAAGTTAAGGATCTTGAAATTAGATTATCCTGAATTTAAGATGAACTTTATGTCCATGAAAGGTGCCCCTATAAGCTAAAAAAAAAAAAAAAAAAAAAAAAAAAAAAAAGGGAGATTTGATATACAGAGACACACAAGGAGAAGTCCATGTGAAGATGCAGGTAGAGGTTGGAGTCATTCAGCTCTAAGCCAAGAAATGCCTGGAGCTTCAAAAGCAGAAAAAGAAAAAGAAGGATTCTTTTCTAGATCTTAGGAAGGCGTGTGATCTCGACATCTTGGTAGTGGACTTCAGTATCTCCACAACTGTAAAAGAATAAATTTCTTTTAATTCACCATGTTTGTGATTTTTTTTCTTTGTTTCTTTTTTTCTTTTTTTGAGATGGAGCCTCGCTCTTGTAGCCCAGATTGGAGCACAGTGGCACGATCTTGGCTCACTGCAACCTCCACCTCCAGGGTTCAAGCTATTCTTCTGCCTCAGCCTCCTGAATAGCTGGGATTACAGGCGCCCACCACCACGCCCAGCTAATTTTGGTACTTTTAGTAGAGACTGGGTTTCGCCATGTTGACAAGGCTGGTCTTGAACTCCTGACCTCAGGTGAATCACCTGCCTCAGCCTCCCAAAGTGCTGGGATTACTGGTGTGAGCCACCACACCTGGCTGTTGGTGATAATTTTTATATCAACTCCAGGAAGTTAAATAGTATTATATTTTACACATATTATTCAATTATAATAGATAATGCATTTTCTAAATTTTTTTAAATTATCAGATTAAGAATACACAGAGTGTAAATATTATTTTATTTTTCAACATCTTTATATAGAAACATACTAAATCTACTCAAAAAGTCTAAGGGACAGTATAATAAATCACATACACTCCTTATCTAGATTCCCCAATTGTCACCATTTTGCCACATTGTTTTATCTCTCTTTCATTTTTTTCACTGAATCTTAGGAAACTGGTCTGCACATACAGTGAAACTTCACCTTCAGATACTTCATTGTGTTTCCTAAAAATAGTGACACTGGCATTTAGGAAGAGTACAGGAGAATTGTTATGTAGAATTAGATTTCTCTCAACTTGGGATTGTCTGATTATTTATCCTTATTAAATAGAAGTTATGAGGCTTTACTAGAATAATATGTAAATAATATTTAAGATGTCTCTGATGACTGTGATTATTAGAATAATGTGTAAATAATATTTAAGGTATCCCTGATGATATTGAGGAAGTTACAAGGCATGCCAAGAGTAGAGTATAAGTCAGTAAGCTGTCTTTGGGACTGGGGAGTCCATGTTCTTCTGGTTAAAAGTCTCACTTAGGTTCTACCATGTCATTCTATCTGACTGAAGAAGATTCCACTCTCTTTCTCTGTGACAAGTACCTCTGTTACCTATAGTTCAATTTGACAAAAGGAAAGGGATGAGGAGAGTGAGGAGTACAGGTGCAGTTGAGGTGTGGGGATGTGAAGTGGGTTATCACTTAGAATACAAGCTGATTACTCTTTCACAACTAATCACCAGTTTTATTGTTTTTGAACATTGTCCAACTCTTTGTTTTATTTGAATTTAAAGCATTGTGAAACCTTATCTAGCATTTCATAAAAGCCTTTCCTGTTGCTTTGGATGAAGGTTTTTAATGTAAGGACAACCCCATCTATTAGGGGTTCCTCAACTCCTCAGCACATTTTTTCTCTCTCTCTCTCTCTATATATATATAAATATATATAGCTATATATATGTATAGCTATCTTTTATCTAGATTTATAAATAGCTATATATATCTTTATATATCTGTCTATATGTGTTTTATATATATATCTTTTTATTGTAATACATAATATATGTATGTAAAAATACATTCCTAAATGTATATTAATTCAATAGTAAAGTTTACATTGAATCGTGTAAATTTGATTTCCCTATCAGGAAATCTACCAACACATACTGTACTTGGAAAAACATTCAATTATCTTACTAACCCCACAGAGCCATGTAAGACTGACCTTTGTCTACTCCTCCAACCTCATCTCATACTGCACCTGTCTCCCTGCCCCCATCTGAGATCCAGCCATACTGTTATTTTTTATCTTTCTTACTTTCCCAAAAAGCTTTTTCCTATATTAGGGTTTTTGCTATTCCTGAAATAATCCTACTACTCAGAAATTTTTATAACTAGTTATCCTTTATGTTTTAGATTTTAGCTTAAATATCTTTTCTGAGGAAAATTATCTGATGATTCCATCTCAAATATTACAAAGACACACACACACACGCACACACACTGTGTTTTGTACTTTATGGTATCTACTACTATCTAAAAAAAACTGTTTGTTTTACGTGTTGGTGTTCAATCACCCTCATGAGTTTGTAAGCTCCCTGAGTTTAGAATGTCTTTATCATGTTCATATGGTTTTATCCATTATGTTAATCTGTGTTGACTCAGTTTTGCTTAAAATAATAGACTTAAATAGATAGTAAATATACAAATCAACCTACATCAGGACTATATAAGCAATGTTCACTTTAACCTGAATATAATTTTAGTCAAGAACCCATGTATACAACTTTGTAAATTGTTGGTCAAACAGAGAAAAGACAGCTGTGGCCCTAAGAATAAATACTTTTAATCTCTTTAATGCTTCTCAAAATGAGAGAGCCTCAAGGCTAACAAAAGGTACAACTCCTGGATGATAGTTCCAACAAATTTCGATCAAATTATATTATTAAAAACCTCAATAGACAAATAGGAGAAAATGAAAAATAAAAGAGTTCATAAAACAGCAGCTGTGCAATTTCTTGCAAGTATTTACCCTAAAAGAAAATAAACTAATTGGATAGTGAAATCAATTGGCATATCTCTGGTTAACAATCAAGAGTAAAAGACGATTTCAAAGGCTTTTGTTTTACAGGAAAATAATTGAAAGAATGAAATATGAAAGCTTGAAGGTACAGGCCTTCTGCTTTCAGAAATGCTTCACAAAAGAACCACTCACTGAGGAGTAACTGCTGAACATAGTACACGAAATGATTGAGACAGGAATTCTGGTGGCACAGGAGAAATATAGCTCCTGTGTTTTTTGGAGTTTGTGAACAGAGATGTCCTGGATATCTTAGTTGAGAAGAGGAAGAATTAGAACCATGGAGCTGGACTACCCCATCTCCTAAAGGATTGCTGTTTATTCCTATTTTAATATATTACAAAGAAAAGGGGATAGTAAGTATCTAAGAAACATAGTTAAAGAAAATAAAGACACATCAGAAAAAAATGGCCAAAAATTGTGGAACACTATACTATAATATTTAATGAATGAGCTGAAGGAAATCAAGAAAATGCTAGAGTCTAGACTAGAGCAACGAAAACTAGAATTGTAAAAGCTCATGAGTTGTTTAGACAAAAGAGATACAATAGAAAGAGATCCTTCAGTTCTCAGAAAATACACAGAAATAATATTTTTAAAAAATAAAAATAGGAAGATTAAACTAAAAAGACAATAAGAGCAATGGACACCCAGAAAACATTGTGATATAATGTCTTCTTAATAATGTTTTGAGTAAAGATGTTTGTTTTCAGCAACATCTACCAAAGCAATTAAAAATATATGCAAGTTATCATGCCAAGCAAAGCAAAATATTTCATCTAATAAAATGTACCATTTTACTGATAATAGCTGATAAATGAAGGTCCTATAATCAAGCCACAGCTTGATGACAAATAATTTTTTGAGATAACTTTGTAAGAACAATGTAATGAATGTTTCAGGACTGCCAATCCAGAGTGTGATAGAAGAAACATTACAGTCAAATAATCAAAGACCCAGAAATTATTCTTTTTGCCAGTGAATTCTTTCTTTCCTTTGAGCAGGAAACATAAGATTCCAGACAAGGCAATGCTGGATGTAGCAATTTCACTGCAATAATCCAGTCTGTTCTTAGCAATATGTTCTAATAAAGAGCTTTCACTTTTGCAAAGAATCTACTAAGACATTAGCGTCAAGTTATATGGAAATTCATCAGAACCAGACTAAGGTAAATTATTTCTGTTTTCAATGTTCCAAGCCCCCAAAATAGTAATATAAACTCATAAAATCCCTAATATATATTGATAATTTATCATACACCTTTCTGCAATGCATGTTCTTGGCACTTTTGTTGAAAATATGTTCACTGTAGGTGTATGGATTAATTTCTGAGATTTCTGTTCTGTTCCATTGGTCTCTGTATCTATTTTTATGCTAGTAACACTCTATTTTTGTTCCTATAGCTCTGTTATATAATTTGAAGTCAGGTAATGTTATTCCTTTGTTTTGTTCTTTTTGCTTAATATGTCTTTTGATATTCTGGGTCTTTTGTGGTTCCATATAAATTTTAGGATTTTTTTTTCTATTTTTGTGAAGAAAGTCATTGATTGGTATTTTGATAGGGGTTGCATTGAGTCTGTAGATTGCTTTGGATACTATGGACATTTTAACAATATCGATGTTTTAAATTCATCAACACAGAATAGTGTTCTTTTTTGGGGTCCTCTTCAATTTCTTGCATCAGTGATTTATACTTTGTAGAGATTTTTCACTTCTTTAAGTTTATTTCTAGATATTTTATTTTATTTGTAGCTATAGTAAATTGGATTACTTTCTTGGTTTCTTTTTTGTTTCTGGTTTGCATAGAGAAATGCTACTGATTTTTTGTGTGTTGGCTTTGTATCAGCAACTTTACTGAATTTATCAGTTCAGTAGTTTTTTCAGTGGACTCTTTAGGCCTTTCCAAATATAGATCATATCACCTGCAAGCAAGGATAATTTGAGTTCTTCCTTTCCAACTTGGATGCCATGTATGTCTTTCTCTTGTCTTATTGCTCTAGCTAGAACTCCCAGTACTACATTGAGTAACAGTGGTAAAAGTGGTAATCCTTGTCTTGTTACAGATCTTATAGGAAAGGCTTTCAGGTTTTTCCCATTCAGTATGCTATTAGCTCTGAGTCTGCCATAAATGCTTTTATTGTGTTGGTATAAGCTCCTTCTATAACCAGTTTTTTAAACGTTCTTATTGTGAAAGGATATTGAATTTTATCAAGTGCTTTTCAGCATCAATAGAAATGATCATATGATTCTTGTCCTTCATTCTGTTGATATAATGTATCATGTTTATTGATTTACTTATGTTGAACCATCCTTACATCCTTGAGATAAATACCACTTAGTCATAAGGAATTATCTTATGTTTTTCTTCTTTTTGAGACAGGGTCTTGCTTTGTTATCGAGGCTGTAGTGCTGCAATGGCAAGATCACAGCTCTCAGGCCCAAGCAATACTCCCACCTCAGCTTCCTGAGTAGCTGTGACTACAAGCAGGCACCAACATCCCTAGCTATTTTATTTTCAATTTTGGAGAAATAGTGTCTCCCTACTTTTCCCAGGCTGGTCTCAAACTCCTCAGTTCAAGTAATCCTTCTGCCTCAACCTCCCTAAGTGCTGGAATTTCGGAAGTGAGCTACTGAACCTGGCCTTGAATGGTATTTTTATTGTGTTGTTGAATTTGGTTTGCTATTATTTTGTTGAGAATTTGGCGTCAATGTTCATCAGGAATATTGGCTTGTAGTTTTCTTTTTTAAATATGTCTTTGTCTGGTTTTGGTATCAATATAATACTACCCTTATAAATGAGTTTGAAAGTATTCTCTCTTCCTCAAATATTTTGAGTAAGAGTGGTATTAGCTCTTCTTTAAGTATTTGGTATAATTCAGCAATAAAGCCATCAGGTCCTGGGCTTTCCTTTGCTGGGAGACTTTTTATTACAGCTTTGATCTCATTGATTGTTATTGGTCTATTCAGGTTTTGAACTTCTTCATAGTTTAATGCTATTCCTATCAGCCTAGCAATGACATGTCTCTCAGAATTTGAAAAATATTCTCAAATTCATGTTTAACAAAAATAGCTCAAATAGCCAAAGCCATCTAAGCAAAAAGAACAAAGTTGAAGGCATGACACTACCCAACTTCAAACTATATTGCAAGGCTACAATTACCAAAATAGCATGGTATTGGTGTAAAAAGGGATACCCCAATGGAACAAGTTAGAGAACCCAGAAAGAAAGCTGTGTACCTACAACAATCTGACCCTCAAGAAAGCCAATAAAAACAAGCTGTGAGAAAATGACTTCCTAGTCAATAAATGGTGCTGGTATAACTGGCTAGTTTTATGCAGAAGATTAAAACTGGGTTCTTTCTTTTCACTATAGAGAAAAATGAACTCAAGATGAATTATAAACTTTAATGTAAAAGCTAAAACTGTAAAAACTCTAGTAGAAAACATAGGAAATACCATCCAGAATGTAGGGCTTTGCAAAAATTTCATGATAAAGTCTCCAAAAAGCAATTGCAACCACAACAAAAATCACTGAGTGGGACCTAAAGAGCTTCTTCACAACCAAAGAAACTATCAACTGTGTAAACAGACAACCTATGAAATGGAAGAAAACATTTGCAAACTATGCATCTGACAAAGGTATAGTATCTATACTCCATTAGGAACTTAAAAAAATTAACAAGCCATAAATAAACTATCCTATTAAGAAATGAACAAAACCCATGAGCAGACACTATTTTAAAGAATACATACACATAGCAAAGAAGCATATAAAAAAATGATCAAAATCACTAATCGTTAGGTGCAAATCAAAACCACAGTAAGATACCATCTCACAACAGAGTGGCTATTATTAAAAACTCAAAAAAATAACAGATGTTGGCAAGGTTGCAGAGAAAAGGAAATGCTTATATGCTGCTGGTGTGAATGTAAATTAGTTCAGTCCCTGAGGAAAGTAGTTTGGAGCTTTCTCAAAGAACTTAAAATAGAACTAGAACTACCATTTGATCCAGCAATCCAATTACTAAGTGTATAATGAAAGAAATAGAAATTATTCTACCATGAAGACACATGCATGCACATTTTCATTATAGCACTATTTATAATAACAAAAGCATGGAATCAACATAGCTGCCCATCAGTGGTTGACTGGATAAATAAAATGTGGTACAAATACATCATGGAATACTATGCAGCCATAAAAAAGAACAAAATTATATCATTTGCAGCAACGTGGTCAGAGCTGGAGAGGCCATTATCCTAAGTGAATTAATGTAGGAATAGGAAACCAAATATCACATGTTCTCACTTATAAGTGGGAGCTAAACACTGAGTATACATGTACACAAAGACAGGAATAATAGACCCCAGATCCTACTTGGGGATGGAGGGTAAGAAGGGTGTAAGAATTGAAAAACTACCTATCGGGTACTGGGCTCATTACTTGTGTGATAAAATAATCCGTACACAAAACCCCTGCAACATGCACTTTATCCATATAATAAATCTGCACATGTACCCTGCTGTACCTAAAATAAAAGTTGGAAAGAAAAAAAAATAGTAGAGGTAAAAAAAGAAATGATTTTGCTCTTTCACATATGTTGTCATATTTTGTTTTTCCATTTTCATTTGTCTTAAGAAATTTGTTTAATTTTCCTTTTAATTTTTTCATTGACATACTGGTTTTTCAGGAGCATGTTTAATTTCCATGTATTTGCAAATTTTCTGAATGTATCCTGTTATTGATATCTAATTTTATCTCATTATTATCAGAAAATATACTTGATACAATTTTAATCTTCTTAAATTTGTTAAGAGTTTTTCTGTGGGCTAACATATGCCCTGTCCTGGAGAATGTTCCATGTGTCAATGAGAAAAATGTGTATTCTACAGCTATGGATAGAATATTCTGTATATCTCTGTTAGGAACATTTAGTATAAAATGTACTTTAAGCCTAACTTTTTTTGTTTTGTTTTGTTTTGTTTTCTGTTTCAAGGAACTGTACATTGCTAAAAGTGGGGATGTTAAAGTTTCATATTGATATTGTCTCATATTCTATTCTTCCCTTCCAATGTATTAATATTTACTTTATATATTTAAGTACTCCAATGTTGGATGCATATATATTTACAATTGTTACATCAGCTTGCTGAATTGATTACTTTTTCATTCTATAATGACTTTTTTCTTTTTTTACAGTTTTTAACTTAAAGTCTATTTTATTTAATATAAGTATGGCTGTTCCTGGATTATTTTGTTTTCCATTTATGTGTGATATCTTTTTTCATCCTTTCATTTTCAATTTATCTGTTTCCTTACAAGTGAAATCAGTATCTTGTAGACAGTATATATCTGGGTCTTTTTTTTTTTGTATATCTGTGTCTTTTCATTGGGTAATTTTAATCCATTTACATTCCAGGTAATTATTGATGGGTAAGCACTTACTACTATCGTTTTGTAAATTGTTTTTTAGTTGTTGTTTTAATATCCTCTGTTCCTTTTTTCCTGTCTTGCTGTCTTCCTTTACAGCTAAGTGATATTCTCTTTTGCGATGTTTTGATTCTTTGCTTTTATTTTTTGTGTAGGTACTGTAGATTTTTGCTTTGTGTTGATTCTGAAATGTATTAAATAAATCTTATAGTTATAATAGGTTATTTTAAGCTGATGACAACTTAACTTTGATTGAAAAAAAGAAACTAAAACAAAGCAGGAACAAAAATACTCTACAAATTTACTCTACTTCCCTTCTCACATTTAAAATTTTTAGTGTCATAATTTAATTCTTTTGTATTGCATATTCCTCAACAAATAATTTTAGCTATTAGTATTTTAGTAGCTTTGTCTTTTAAACTTTATACCAATATATCATAATTTACACACCTTTATCACTTTGTTAGCATATTGTAAATTTGATTGTGCACTTAGTTTTACCAGTGAATTTTATACAGACGTTGTTGTGTTACTCATTAGTGTCATTTTCTTTCAGCCTGAAGAACTCCCTTTAACACTTCTTATATGATACATCTGGTGGTGATAATTTTTTAGCTTGTCTTGGTCTAGGAAAGTTTTTATCTCTTCTTTAGCTCTGAAGGACTATTTTTCTAGGAACAGTATTCTTGGTTGACAGGTATGTGTGCGTGTGTGTGTGTGTGTGTGTGTGTGTGTATGCCTCCAGCCCTTTGAATATATCTTCCCACTCTCTCCTGGAGTATAAGGTTTCTGCTGAAAGGTCTGCTACCAGCCATATTGAAACTCTCTTATATATTATTTGTTTATTTTCTCTTGCTGCTTTCAAGATTCCCCTTTGTTTTTGATCTTTGAAAATCTGATTATATGGGTTAAATACCTTTAATTCAAAAATCTAAAATGCAAAATTTTAAAACATTTAAAACTTGTTGTGTGCTGAGATGTTGCTCAAAGAAAATGCTCATCAGAGCATTTTAGATTTTGAATTTTTAGGTTATCAATGCTCAACCAGTATGTTATCTACAAATATTTCTGAAAAATGAGAAATGCAAAACATTTCTGGCCCCAATTATTTTGAACAAAGAATATGCAACCTGTAATATATGTAGAGCTAATCCCCCTTGAAGTGAATTAGATTGGATACCACTGACCTTCATCTACTTCTATATTTAGATCTTCAGGTTTGGAAAATTTTCTGCTACTATTTTCAAACAAGTTTCTTCTTCTTTACCTCTTTTCCTTCTTTAATTCTTATAAGAAAAATATTTGCTCCTTTGATGCTGTCCCATGAGTCCTATAAGCTTTTTTCACTTTTGACATTCTTTTGTTCTTTATTCTCCTCTGACTTTACATTTTAAGATAAATTTTGTTTGGGTTCACAGATTCTTTCTTCTGTCTGATCAATTCTGCCATTGATGCTCCTTGTTGCAGTTATATTTTTTACTGTATTTTTTTTAGCTATAGCATTCCTATTTGATTTTTGATTTTTATAATTTTTATTTCAATCTCTCTATTAATTTTTTATTAGCCTTCACAGACTGGTTTTCTCTGGGAAAGTCCAGCAGTCAGTGTGGCACCGGGTTGCACCAGAAGCCCAGTGCAGCTCCAGCCAGCATCAGAAACCTGAAGCTGCTATGGCAGGTGAAATGCTGAGATTAGCCAGAGTCCTAGGACTGCTGAAGACTGCTGATGACTTCCTGATGTTGAGGGCTTTCTGGAGCCCAGGGTCATTGATATTGGTCTAGTGATGGTGCAGGCTGGAGATCAAGTTCACTATATAAGCCTGAAACCTAGGGCTTTGTGGGCTAACCTGGTGCCAGGGAAGGTCCATAGTCTCAGTCCATGAATACTGGCCTGGAATGCAGGATCATGAGGATCTGCCTGGCACTGGGTTTTACTGTGGCTGGCCCAGTGTTGAGGTCCTAGGCAAAGTCCTGTTCTCACTTTCCTCTCTTTCTCCTAAATGGATAATAATTCTCTCCATGATGTCCTGCCTGGGTAGGGGTAGGGGTGATACGAATAATGTAAAACTGTTCTTTCTACCCTCTTAAATCCATATCTTCTTCTTATTGTGCTACAACCAGGCACTGTGATAGCTCCTGTGTTTTTTTTTCTGCTCTTATGAATATATTTCCACACGTGAATAGTTATTCAAATTGACTCTTCTGTAGGGTGATAATTGCTATAGAATTTAATTCACCATCCCTCACCTCTCCTCTATCTGACATATCTTTAAGGGCATGCTAATGTGAAAAAGTCAAAGTTGAGATTATGATTTAATGTTTTATGATTTAGCATTATATATTGAATAAAATCATTACATTTTGTATAAAAATTATTAAAACATATGCTACATTGAGTTTTATTTATTATTGTAAGTTCAATCAGATGTATAGAATCTATAATCAAGCACCACCTTCTTTTTGGGAACAGAATTAGCAGATTTTGAAGAACATAAGAAAATTAAATGTCTCACAAAAAGGAAGACCCTTGAATACCTTAGCTGATGCAAATCTTTAAAAATCAATGAAACAAATGCTGATAAATTTTTGTGTTGTTTTCACTAAATTATTTATTTAATTAAACTTGTAATATAAAATGAATGGAATTCAGGTTTAGCCGATTCACATTTGAATGTAAATTTTTGCTACTTTCTGGATTATCTCTGTCAAGATATTTAAACACTGCAATATTTACGTAACTCTTTTTTTTCCCCATAATGTCAGGAATGGAGAAAAATCAAAAATGAAAACAAAAGAGAAAATAAAACAAAAGTGCCTCCTCTGAGTAGCTCAATTTTAGAAGATGATGTAGAAGCAACAACATTGTTTTGAACTACTTTACTGATCTGTAACTATGCACAGTTCTGAGAAGAGCCATCATCTAATAAAATTATGCATGATGAAATTTGATACACAATGCACTCATAAAAATATTAAGAGATTGAGGCTCCAATTTAGTGATAAAAATGTAAACAATCTTATTATAATTTAGTATATTTTATTTGAGAAATAAGCATGTAGTGGGGCACATGTAACTACTTGGAAAAACTGTCCCACTGGTCAGAATTTACCATGAAATTTTATGTTGCCAATTATGTTAGTATGTATGAATTACATTGCGGACAGGGAAGAAAGACAAAGGAAAACCATTATGATGGTTAACATTGAATGTCAACTTGATTGGAATGAAGGATGCAAAGCATTTTTGCTGGGTGTGTCTGTAAGGGTGTTGCTAAAGGAGATTAACATTTGAGTCAGTGGACTGGGAAAGGCAGACCCATTCTCAATCTGGGTGGGCACAATCTAATCAGCTGCCAGCATGGCCAGAATAAAAGCAGGCAGAAGAACATGGAAACACTAGATTGCTTTAGTCTTCTGGCCTACATCTTTCTCCCATGCTGAATGCTTCCTGCCTTTGAATATCAGGCTCCAAGTTCTTCAGCTTTGGGACTGACACTGGCTTACTTGCTCCTCAGCTTGCAGACAGCCTGCTGTGGGACTCCACCTTGTGATCATGTGAGTCAATACTCCTTAATAAACACCCCCTTATATATACATCTATCCTATTAGTTCTGTTACTCTAGAAAACCTAGACTAATACAACCACTGTGTGTGCCTTAAAAAGAAGCCCAAAGGAGGACATGTTAAAATAGTACTTTGTTGCTTTTTTAAAAGTTGCAGGAATATGATGCTTTTTATTATTTTTATCCCTATTTTCCTCAAATCTTTAGTGAGCATCAATTAGTTTTTAATAAAACTCATTAATGAATACAAAGTGGAGATTATATATATAAATGTATTTATAATAAATTACACAAATTATTACAAAGAATTTATAATTTGATATAGTATTTAATTACAGACATAAATATTTACCAGAGTTGCTCTTTTTCTTATTACCTCATAATTGATTGCACACATATATAATTTTAATCAGTGAAAAATAAAATAGAGTTTTCTGTATTTTTTTTATTTTTTCTAAAAAAAACAGATACATGTGCAGAATGCGCAGGTTTCTTACATAGGTGTGCCATGGTGGTTTGCTGCACCTATTGACCCATCCTCTAAGTTCCCTACCTTCATCTCCCACCCCCCAACAGGCCCTGTTTTGTGTCATTCCCCTCTCTGTGTCCATGTGTTCTCATCACTTAACTCCCAATTATGAGTGAGAACATGTGGTGTTTGATTTTCTGTTCCCGTGTTAGTTTGCTGGGAATGATGACTTCCAGCTTCATCCATGTCCCTGCAAAGGACATGATCTCATTCCTTTTATGGCAGCTTAGTATTCCATGGTGTATATATACCACATTTTCTTTATCCATTCTGTTATTGATGGTCATTTGTGTTGACTCCATGTCTTTGCTATTGTAAATAGTGCTGAAATAAACATAAATGTGCATGTGTCTTCATAGTAAAATGATTTATATTCCTTTGCGTATATAACCAGTAATGGGATTGCTGGGTCAAATTGTATCTCTGGTTCTAGACCCTTGAGGAATTCCATACTGTCTTCCACAATGGTTGAACTAATTTACATTCCCACAAACAGTGTAAATGTATTCCTATTTCTCTACAGTCTCACTAACATCTATTGTTTCCTGACATTTTTTAATAATAGCCATTCTGACTGGCGATGGTATCTCATTGTGGTTTTGATTTGCATTTCTCTGATGATCAGTGATGTTGAGCTTTTTTCATGTTTGTTAGCTACGTAAATGTCTTCTTTTGAGAACTGTATCTTCATATCCTTTGCCCAGTTTTTGATGGGGCTGTTTGTTTGCTTTGTAAATTTGTTTAAGTTTCTTGTTAATTCTGGATATTAGATCTTCGTCAGATGGGTAGATTGCAAAAATTTTCTCCCATTTTGTAGGTTAATGATAGTTTCTTTTGCTGTGCAGAAGCTCTTTAGTTTAATTAGATCTCATTTGTCAATTCTGGCTCTTGTTGCAATTGCTTTTAGTGTTTTTGTCATGAAGTCTTTGCCTATGCCTATGTCCTCAATGGTATTGCCCAGGTTTTCTTCCAGAGTTTTTATAATTGGGGGTTTTACATTTAAGTCTTTAATCCATCTTGAGTTAATTTTTGTATAAGGTGTAAGGAAGGGGTCCAGTTTCAGCTTTTTGCTTATGGCTAGCCAGTTTTCCCAGCACCATTTACTGAATAGGAGATCCTTTCCCCATTGCTTGTTTTGGTCGGTTTGTTGAAGATTAGATGGTCGTAGATGTGTGGTGTTATTTCTGAAGTCTCTGTTGTGCTCCATTCATCTATATGTCTGTTTTGGTACTAGTACCATGCTGTTTTGGTTACTGTAGCCTTGTATTATAGTTTGAAGTCAGGTAGCCTGATGTCTCTAGCTCCATTCTTTTTGCTTAGGATTGTCTTTGTTATATGGGGTCTTCTTAAATTCCATATGAAATTTAAAATAATTTTTTTCTAATTCTGTGAAGAATGTCAATGGTAGTTTGATGGAAATAACATTGAATCTATAAATTACTTTGGGCAGTATGCCCATTTGCACAATATTGTTTTTCCCTATCCATGAGGATGGAATGTTTTTCCATTTGTTTGTGTCCTCTCATTTTGTTGAGCAGTGGTTTGTAGTTCTCCTTGAAGAGGTCCTTCACATTCCTTGTTATCTGTATTCCTAGGTATTTTATTATCTTTGTAGTGATTGTTAATGGGAGTTCACTCATGATTTGGCTCTCTGCTTGTCTGTTGTTGGTGTAAAGAAATGCTTGTGATTTTTGCACATTGATTCTGTAGCCTGAGACTTTGCAGAAAGTTGCTTACCAGTTTAAGGAGTTTTGGGCCTGAGATGGGTCTTGATTCTTTATCTAATTTGCCAGTCTGTGTCTTTCAATTGGGGCATTAAACCCATTTGCATTTAAGGTTAGTATTGCTATATGTGAATTTGATCCTGCCATCATGCTACTATTTGGTTATTTTGCACACTAGTTGATGCAGTTTCTTCATAGTGTCATTGGTCTTTCTATTTTGGTGTGTTTTTGCAGTTATTGGGACTGGTTTTTCCTTTCCATATTTAGTGCTTCTTTCAGGAGCTCTTGAAAGGCAAGTCTGGTGGTAACAAAATCCCTCGGCATTTGCTTGTTTGAAAAAGATTTTATTTCTTCTTCGCTTATGAAGCTTAGTTTGGCTGGATATGAGTTTCTGGGTTGAAAATTCTTTTCTTTAAAAATGTTAAATATGGGTTCTCAATCTCTTCTGGCTTGTAGAGTTTCTTCTGAGAGGTCCACTGTTAGTCCAATGGGCTTCCCTTTGTAGGTGACCTGGCCTTTCTCTCTGGCTGCCCTTAACAGTTTTTCCTTCATTTCGACCTTGGAGAATCTGATGATTATGTGTCTTGGGGTTGATCTTCTTGTGGAGTATCTTAATGGTGTTCTCTGTATTTCCTGAATTTGTGTGTTGGCCTGTCTTGCTGATTGGGGAAGTTCTCCTGGATAATATCCTGAAGCATGTTTTCCAGCTTGCTTCCACTCTCCCCGTATCCCTCTGGTACTCCAATCTATTGTAGGTTGTGTCTTTTTATGAAGTCCCATATTTCTTGGAAGTTTGTCCATTTCTTTTTATTCTCTTTTCTCTATTCTAGTCTGAATGGATTATTTCAACAAAGTGGTCTTCAAATTCTGATATCCTTGCTTCCGATTGGTTGACTTGGTTGTTAATACTTGTGTATGCTTCACAAACTTCTCATCCTGTGTTTTTCAGTTCCATCAGGTCATTTATGTTCCTCTCTAAACTGGTTATTCTAGTTAGCAATTCCTATAACCTTTTATCAAGATTCTTAGCTTCTTTGCATTGGGTTAGAACATGCTCCTTTAGCTCAGCATAGTTTTTTATTACCCATCTTCTGAAGCCTACTTCTGTGAATTTGTCCATCTGATCATCCGTCCAGTCCTCTGCCCTTGATGGACAGATATTGTGATCATTTGGAAGAGAAGAGGCACTCTGGCCTTTTGGGTTTTCAGGATTTTTTCATTTTCTTATCTTCCTGAGTTTGTCTAGCTTCGGTCTTTGAGTCTGCTGACCCTTGGATGAGGTTTTTGTGGGGACTTTGTTGTTGTTGTTGATGCTGTTGTTGTTGCTTTCTGCTTGTTTGTTTTTCTTTCAATGGTCAGGTCCCTCTTCAGTAGGGCTGCTGCAGTTTGCTGGGAGTTCCCTTCAGGCCCTATTCATCTGATTCGCTCCTGTGCCTAGAGATGTCATTCATGGGAGTCCAGAGAATAGCAAAGATGGGTGCCTGCTTCTTCTTCTGGGACCTCTGACCTCAAGGTGCACCAAGCTGATGCCAGTAGGATCACTCCTGTATAGGGTGTCTGACAACCCCTGTTGGAGGGTCTCACCCAAGTTGGGTAGCATGGGGAACAAGACCCATTTAACAAGACTTTGTTACTTGGTGGAGGGGCTGTGCCTCACTGTGGGGAAACCCACTTTTCAGGGCTGCCTGGATTTCTCAGAACTACCGGAGGAAAAGGCTATGTCTGCTGGTCAAGAGAGACTACGGCCACCCCTTTCCCTAGGAGCTCAGGCCCAGAGACATCGAGGTTCTGTCCCTGAGCCTCTGGCTGGAGTTATTGGAGTTCTTGCAGGGAAGCACCTACCAATGAGGAAGGATGGGTCAGGGTCAGGCCTGAAGAAGCACTCTGGCCACAGACTGCCACAGATGGTGTGTTGGGCTGTGGGGAACAAGTCTTGGGCCCAAGCCATCCAGCCTCCCTGGCTCCAGCAGGGGAAAAGCTCAGCCTGGAGCAATAGAGATAGATGCCGCCCTTTCCCCACCCAGGGAGCTTAGCATATTAGGCAGTTCCGAGTTCCAGTGCTGGCTGCTGCCCTCCCCCAGGGAGCTCAAATAAATGGCTTTGACAGCAGGCAGCTGCAGCTGCGGTGCTGGTTGCCGCTCGCCGGCAGTTCAGTAGCCTTAAGCAGATTCCAGCTGAGAGGCTGTTGCAAATCTGCATGTTCCGGGGTTCTAGGGTTGGGACACTAGGTCCTGGTGGTGTGGGTTCACAGTGGGATCTTCCAATCTATGGGTTGCATAGTTCCGTGGAAAAAGCACGCTTTCCCTGGCTGGGTAGCATGCTCACTCACTGCCTCCTTTGGCTGGGGGAAGGGGGCTTCTCTGCCCCGTGTGACTCTCAGGTGGGCCGCCGCACCACACTGTTCTTCCTTCTCTCTGTGGGTCACGCTAGCCTCCTAGTCAGCTTTGATGAGAGAACCTGGATACCTTGGTTGCCAGTGAAGGATTCACAGTTTTATTATGGTTTTTCTGGATGGGAGCCTCGGAAGGCCGCTGTTTCTAATCGGCCATCTTGGCCCCACCCGCTGACATTTTCGTATTTTCAAGCACAAAATATCTCAACCCTCTGCTTCTAATCTTATCCACATTGCCAACTTGTGCATTTAATCTTGATCCACATACATTCAGTTTTTTTTTAGAAAGTTGTTTCTCACTCAGTTGAATGGATTCTTCATATAATTTATTTGTCAACCATAATTTCAAAGTGAATGATTAGGCAAATCCATCATGTATACTAAAATGAATTAGATAGATATTTATGAAGGCATCGTAGTTTACACTTGGTAATATAAGCTAAATGACTGAATGGTTTCATTTTACTCTGGTTCACTAAGCAAGGATTTATCATTTTTTCCTTGTTTCTCCTTGTCATTGACAGACAAAGAACCAAGAGATTAAGTTTATTTTCAAAACATTTTTTAAAAGTAACTGCAAGGAAATAAAATAATAAATAAACTTTAAAGTATTGGCTTCACTCTAGTTTGTTATACAGACTAATTTTTAATTGTAGAAGAGACCTGGAAATTGGAAAGCTTAAAAATCTAGCTAGCCAGCTCAAATATGCTCCTTCTACTGAGACACTATTAGTTTCTTATTAAGTAATATAGTAGTATTAAATAATATAAAGTATGACACATTATTGCAAAACTCATTTATATCCCACTTTTAAGTTGTCACATTACACCATTGTATTATATAGCCCACTACACAGAAGTATGCATATTTTATCCCACCTCAATTCCTTGAGTTAACAATACTTTTCAATTTGAGTACATAAAATTAACAGTGCTATGCATAGAATAAGAATTGTGAGGAATTCACAAACTATAGAATTCCAAAAGAATAGAATTGATAAGAAAATGATAACATTTTAATAGTAAACCAAAGCTGAAAGTATGCAAAGGAGAGAATTGTTTTTTTAGGCAGAAGCAAACCTTTTTCTCAGCCAAAAGTGAATGAATAACAAAAGGAAGAGGCTGGGCGCGGTGGCTCATGCCTGTAATCCCAGCACTTTGGGAGGCTGAGGCGGTTGGATCACCTAAGGTCCAGAGTTTGAGACCAGCCTGGCCAACATGGTGAAACCTGGTCTCTACTTAAAAATACCAAAATTAGCCGGGCGTGGTGGCAGGTGCCTGTAATCCCAGCTAACTTGGAAGGCTGAGGCAGGAGAACAGCTTGACCCGGGAGATGGAGGTTGCAGTGAGCCAAGATTGCACCATTGCACTCCAGCCTCGGTGACAAGAGCAAAATGCCGTCTCAAAAAAAAAAAAAAAAAAAAAAAGGACCCTAGGGCAGCCATCACTGGGACTGTACATTCCAGAATCTGAGCCATGGAGCCTATACCATGTCATCGTTAGACAGAAGGTAACAATGACATTTACCTCCAAGATAAAGTAGTGAATGTGGCCAAGAGACCTGGAAAGATAGGTTCTTCCTCCAAGTAGCTAGACACTGTGGAGTACTGCAAGTAAGGCTACCAAAAAGTTGAGCTACCAGGAACCCTCACCAATTATGCCACACTCTCCTTCCACGATTCCTGGTAACAAACTCCAAGCTCCTGTCACCAAACCAGCATCTTCTGATAGTCCAAAGGGAACTCAACAAAGATAAGTCAACAAACATTCAGTAAAATTACTATAATCTTAAGTGTGCCAGTAAATATTTAACAACTAGGCCTTAATAAAACAAACAAGCAAACAAACAACAAAAAACCTTAATTTGTGGCATTTGCTGATTTCTGTGGTGTAAATATTTTCATCATAACCTACTTCATGCCAACCAAGTGAAGCTTCTGAATGAAGATTCAGGGAGAGATGCACAGGATTGGCTCCCTGAGCCATAATAAGCTTGTTCCAGCATACCATTGACTGTTATGCAGCTGTTATTAATTTTCATTCACTTAGCAATTGTTGATTGAGCTCTTCCTATACCAGGTGTAGTTGGAGGTAATAAAGATATGTGGTGAACATAGTAGAAATGGTCTCTGTTTTATGAGGTTTAGGTTCTAGTTGGGGTAGCCAGAAAAAGAATGTTTAAAAGCTGGATAAAATAATTTCAGCTTCTTGTTAAGTGTTTTGAATATAAAAAAATAGTGTGACTGAAGTATAGTGGGATGGATTTGGAGCAATCAGGGAAGACCTCATATTCGAGCAGATGCCTGCATGATATGAAGGGGAGAGGGAAAGTCTGAGTTGAGCGTTTTAGGCAGAGAGAATAAAGCCCCTACAGCAGGAGCCAGTCTGGTGTGTCAGGCACAGAAAGAACACATGGTGGGTGGAAGCACAGAGTGAACAAGTGGGAGGAGATGTGACCGGAAACATGACAGAAGTCAGGTTACATAAAGCCTTGTGGAGAATGGTGAGGAAGTTGAATTGTATTCTAAGGACAAAGTGAAAACTTTTGAGACTCTTAAGCTGGACATTGACCTGAAATTGATAATTTGAGAGTTAATGAAAAAAAAAAAAAGAATAAAGCAGGTAGATCACTTAAGATTCTACTCAAGTATAGACTGGTAGAAAATATTTGTTCCTTTTATTTCAGAAAAAAAGACTCCTGTCAGGAAACCAAAAAATCTCACACAACTCAGTTTAAAAATAGAAAAATATTTGAAGAGACATATCACAAAAGCAGATCTGTGAATGACAAATGAGCTCATGAAAAGGTGCTCAACATGATAGTCTATACACTACACACATTATGATGGCTAAAGCTGCTTATCAAATGTTGAAAAGGAGGATGTGAAGGAAAATTAAGCTGTCATATACTGCATTCTACTCCTATGCACTTAGCAAAGAGAAAAGAAGACATATCTCCACACAAACACTTCTACACAAATATTCATGGCAGCTCTAATTGTAACAGTCAAAATAATAGAAACATGTCTATCAACAAGTGAGTAGGTAAACAAATTTTAGTATATTCATATAATAAAATGTTTATAATGAAGAAATTGATGAATCTCAAAACTAATAGTGACATAAAGTAGAGCCATGCTTGCCTAGGGATGGAGAGGAGGGAGGGATGGTTATAAAGAGATATGGGAAAACTTTGGAAGGTGATGAAAATGTTCATCATTCTTATTGTGGTTATGGTTTCATAATTGTGTACATGTGTCCAAATTGATCAAATTATGCACTTTAAATTCATTGCACTTCAAATATGGTTCAATACAAAAAAAAGGGGAGAAAAGGCATTGTTTGCCAGTGTAAGCAATAAATTATAATGACTTGGTATGCAATAGTACCAGTTTCAGATGAAGGTATGTGTTAGATTTAAATCGAAGGCAACTTTTGGTGTCTTAAAGGAGGAGAGTTGGGACAGTTAGAAATGCATGCTGATTTCAAGGGATATCTACCAGGATATCTGTTTTCTTTGGAATTGTTTATCTCTTCTTTATCCTTTGTATCTATTGGGAGAGAGAGGACTTTACCATTCATTAATTACAAAATACTTGTTGTTCATCTTCACTGCATTTGTCTCTGTTAAATTAAGAGCTAGCTTCTGAAAAAAAATTAAAAATAACTTATTCAATCAGATTCATCTTCTGACTTTTATTGCAATTTATTGTCTTTGCATTATAGATAGTTACATAGGATTCTGAAATTTCTGAAACAATTAAGTATTTGGCTATAAGGAATATTAGAAAGAGTCAAGTAAGAGAAGAAAAGTTAATCATATCAAAAATATATAGATTGATGCAGAAACATCAAAAATGGTAACTCTTTTGTAAACTCCCTCAACATTAATCTACTAGATTATATCATACTTTAAAAATAACTAGGCCAGGTGCGGTGGCTCACGCTTGTAATCTCAGCACTTTGAGAGGTCAAGGTAGGTGGATCACAAGGTCGAGAGATCAAAACCATCCTGGCTAACATAGTGAAACCCCGTCTTTACTAAAAATACAAAAAATTAGGCAGGCATGGTTGCACGCACCTGTACTCTCAGCTACTCAGGAGGCTGAGGCAGGAGAATCACTTGAACCCGGGAGTCAGAGGTTGCAGTGAGCCAAGATCATGCCACTGCACTCCAGCCTGGACAACAGAGAGAGACTCCGTCTCAAAATAAATAAATAAATAAGTAAATAAAATAAGTGAAACATTTAATATTTATAATATTTGTTAGCATTAAAACTGTTTCACAAATAAGATGGTTGGATCTTGAAGAGTTTAACATCCACAAGTAGTCATAAAATAAGCATTTTATTAGATTAAAGTTGAATCATTCAATTCTTTCTATATCAAATCATCTTTTTTCTGATATATTTATTGTAATGTCATAAAATCATTTAAAAATATTTTTATAATACTTTATTTCAGGATATTTTCATTTTCTGTACTCCAGCATTAACTTTAATTTTCTTGCATTAAAAATCTATCAGAGATTAAACTATCAGAATTAAGCTAGATTATATTGTCTTTATCTTAATGACCAGAAAATGACAGAAATAGTGTCTCCTTCCTCTAAACCCATCTTACTAGGAGAGCAGTACCTTGTCATTGTTTTTAACCTCAAAGCTATATCAATTCTCTGGTTCTGAGTCCACCTTTCACCTCTTCATTCCACAGGAGAGAGGAATAGTGTTTGCTAATCTTCTGTATTTTGAAGGCAAAATATTCTACATGTGGATGCAATGGTTTTGCACATTTATAGAAGCTTTGATTGACTTCCAGCATTAAGTAGAAGTCAGAGCAAAACCAGATGCAAGAGATTGTGCTCTTTGATGTTTATAAACCAATGTATCTAATTTTACTACAAATATCTATAAAGGACGAAGGTATTGTATGAGGCCTGCAGAACTTACAGAGATGAGAATAAGAGTGGAGGCCCTCAGGATTTTGGAACAAATCCAAGGCCTTTTCACCAAAAACAAGTTACCTTTTGAGGAACAAAATGTGTCTCATTGCTGTGCTGTGGTAGAGATCAAACATTTGACCTTGGAATAACAGATAATCAGCAGCCGGGCGCAGTGGCTCACACCTGTAATCCCAGCACTTTGGGAGGCCAAGGTGGGTGGATCATGAGGTCAAGACATCGAGACCACCCTTGCCAACATGGTGAAACCCCATCTCTACTAAAAATATAAAAATTACCTGGGTGTGGTGGCATGCGCCTGTAGTCCCAGCTACTCAGGAGACTAAGGCAGGAGAATTGCTTGAACCCGGGAGGCGGAGGTTGTAGTGAGCCAGGATTGCACCACTGCACTCCAGCCTGGGTGACAGAGCAAGCCACCATGTCAAAAAAAAAAAAAAAAAAAAAAAAACATAATCAGCAAGTTCAGCCCTTTATCATGAAACTTATGCCACCATATCTACCAATTCACAAAGTTAATCATGTTCAGCATTTCATCATCAAATAGAAATTTCCAGCAAGGCCCAAAGGCACAAGTAATTTGTCTCAAATCCCCAGCATGCATATTTTTTTTCTACATTCCTTTCTCAACTAACTCCAATGGCCTCACAGGATATTAACTGAAAAATTTTGTCTGATTTAGAGTTAGCTTTGTGTCATATTCTGGAGACACTGTAAACCAATGTATATAGCCAGGAGAACACTATTTGCCCTTCAGTGGTACTCCTGAATGATACTTGAGAAGGAAAATATTCACAGTAGCTATAAACTCCCAAAGAACATGCAATTGTTTATACTGACTCATGGGCAATAACTCATAGTTTGGCAATATGTTTATTGTTTTGAAAGGAACTGGTTTGCTAGAGTGCTGACAGAATTGTATAGAAATTTATGTAGATGCATCTCTCATAAAGGACCCAGCAAATGATAATGCTTTCTCCCATGTGAATGTTCAACAATATTTTTCCTAATATAGGGGCAGCTCTCAACAGTCAAGTAACCGAAATGGTCCAGTGTGAATGTAAGTCTTCTTCCTCAGCAGAGCAGCTTAGCCAATGGGTTCATAGACACAATGGCCATGATAGCAGAAATGAGTTTATACATGGGCTCAAAAATTAGGATATGCTCTAACTGAGGCTTCTCTGGCTATTACTGTTGACCACTGACCAACTTGCCAGCCTTAATGACATACTCTGTTAACTTGATATGAGAACATATTTCAGGGTATCAGCCAACCATTTGGCATGACTAATTACATTTGACTTCTAGATATCTGTTTTTCTGATTTCATACTGATTTGGACTTGGATTTACATTCTCTGCCTGCTTTGCTTTTGCCAACAAGAGCATCTAAGGACTTACTGAGTATCTTATTCACCATCACAGAATACCTTATATTTCCCCCCAAAAATTATTTTACTGTAAATTATGGTATAACTCAATGGTCCTTATTCATGGAATTCACTTATTAACATGAGCTTCTGTTATCCAAAAGTGCTAGGTGCATAAAATTGTGGGCTTATCTATTAAAGTATAACTTACATGACCAGCTTAGAGGCATTATCTGTATTGTGAAATTGACTTGGAACTAATGAACAATGTAATACTTTTCCTTTACAGTCAGAATATGTGAATCCAGGAGCAAAGGCTTGGAAATCCAAATGTCACTTTTCTGACACATTTGAAACTATATTTTATCTTTATGTTTTTGAATTCGCCTGGGTTAGAAGTCTTAACACCATAAAAAGTAATGTTATGGTAGTTTATACTGTGGTAAAAAATAAATTCTTAAATCTCTTTGGCATAACACAATGATTTATTTCACACACACACACACCCCCACACATCACAGTCTGATGCAGATCAGGCTGTATTTCCCATCTGGTAACTACAACAACTAGAATACATGGTCTCTAACTCCACTGAAGAAGTAGTGATATCTGCAGCTTCAAATAAGATTCTTTTAAGGACCACATCTGGAAACAGCTAATGTTATTTCTTACTAACTTATATTAACCAAACCTCTGTCACACGGCCCTAGCCAACTGCCAGAAAAAAAAAAAAAAAAAAAAAAAAAAAAAAGAATGGAAAAAGTCTTCCTGTGGTCCTTGAAAGAGGAAGCAATATAGTAAATTCATAATAGGGTCTCTGCCCCAGAAACCAAGGAAGAAATATCTCCTGCTAATGAAAAAAATATTAATTCCATTGACTTGGAAGTCAAAATTGCCATTAATGGGCCCCTCATAACATAGAAGAATGGGCCAAAAAATGACATGTAATATTGATGCACTGATTGATCCTGATCATACAGAAATGTTATTATTGCTTTCCAATGGAGATGCATGTTGGGAATGTAGTGTGTTTTTAAGATGTCTTTTAGTGCTTCCATGTAAACATTAAGCGAACTTCGACAGGCAAGATAACTCGAGCTTGATGTCGAATTAATGTTTGAGTTCCAGTGTAAGGTAAAAGTTCTGGATAAGCTGAAGTTCTGGCTAAAGGGAGAGGAAACATGAAATACATAGTGGAGAAAGAAAGTCATATAGAAGGCCTTCAAAACCGTCTCCAAAAATTAGGACTTTATTTGCTTAAATATATATTTATTCTTGCTTTTCTTCTATATATTTACAAATTTTGTATTTTAATTGATTTTTTTATTTTTCTCCTCCCATTTACTATACTACTTAACATAAGGTTAGTTTTGAAAATTTGCTTTAAATTTTATGATAGATTACAGAGTATCAAGATGGGATTTTCAAGAGGTAGTGTAGGAATGGGCATCACACAGATATCTTATACCTGGTGCTAGATGCACTGGAACTTAGCGTTTTCAGCATTTCTGGAAGTGAGTATATTCTTGTTCTTTTCCAAGGAGAGTTGCATTAAATTGCAGGGAATCACTTTTTCTGTTTAAAAATAGAATAGAAAAAAATAGAATAAAAAAAGACACTGAGGGGATATTAATGTATAAATATTTATCATATTTTATAGTAAGCAGCATTTTTGAACCCTCTTTCATTCTAAATTTAAGACATTTATATAATTAAGTCTGATGTATCCAAAGGAAGCTAGAAACTCTCAGCTTTCTTGAACACAAGGCATAGGCACAAAATCTAGGTGCTACCAATGAAATGTAACTGCTTAAGATTTTGATTTAGAAAAGTTGCATGAAAATGTAGGAGTCCTGAAAGAACCATTATATGGTTGAGAGGTAATGAATGTGTCAAGTTTTGAGATGTGTCTGTGGTGGAGATTTTAACATCAGATGCACAGCGTCACTGGTATGAGCTCTGTTGTGTGTTCCTAAGAGTCATCAATATAGTCTCTGTTGGACAACTATGTGATGTGATATGGGCACTCGTCCTTGCTGGAAAGCCTTCAGATCTGATTCTCTAGTCCCCCTGAATGTCAATTGACCATGTAATACTCTTTAATGAGTGTTTTTCTTTTCTTTTTAACTAGACAAAGTGTTTTTTCTTGCTTGAATTTAAGGATACTGGCTGATACAATGTAGCTGAAGTTTAGAGCAACAAACTAACTTATCCATGATCAGAATACTTCTTATAAGTATGAAATATGTTCTGCCCCTATGGCTTTCACTTTTAATCTTATTCTATTTCAGTATTGCAGTTTTGCCTTTTCTTTGGCTGGGTCTTATTTCATGTTGCCTCACCTTTCCCCCACTCAATTCCAAGTTAAATTAAGTTTTTTAAGCAATAAAAACCACTTGGCATTTATGTTACTAGGGAGTTTCAGGACTGATGTTTATTCCAAATTTGGTTCCCATATTCAGAAATGAAATGAGGAAAGAATAATGTAGTAAACAACATAGAGGAAAAAACACACTACAAAGATAGATGAGCAAATTACCAATTAACTAATTACCAAGAGTTGCAATTTATCTTCATTGAAATGCTGGGACAAGTGTGATTGGCAAATTGAATGTGAAGGGGAATGCATCCCATTTAGTCATTTAATAGGATAGGCAGGTCAGATTTACAAATGGGGATTCACTATGCATTTAAACTATTTATTCCCCTTTCACCCTCCAGACAGATTTTGAATAGAGTAAGAGTTCTTTTTTTCTAAGTGTGCCAATAGGCATTGTTTTTCTAAAATCGGGGGTAAAACTTTGCCCATTTACTAATAGAATTTGGAGAGTGTCTTCAAAAAACTGACCAAATAGTCAGATAAGAATGATTCAAAAGACAGATTATGTTTTATCAAAGCCTGTTTATGAGTACCTAAAAACATTATCCTGGTCAGTATTAAATAATGTATGAATACATTATCCTGGTCAGTATTGAAGATACTGTTGATATTGAATGTGTGTGTGCGTGTGTGTGTGATGTGTGTGTGTGTGTGTGTGTGTGTGTGTATGTTTCAAAACGGGTGCAGGGGAGAAAAAGGCAAAATAGTGGCGGTCAAATTGTACATGTAGAAGACATCTAATAAAATCTGTAATGACCTCATGGTGAAGTGATAAGAAGTATTCTGGTGTATTCCGATCTAGCCTAAACTTATAAAAAAGAAAGTTATCTCAGAGTATATTTTATTTATCTTTTTATGTAGAGAGACTCTAATACTCTCATGCAAGTGGTTGGGCAAAATAATTCATTAAAATGCTCATTTTAAGGTAAGTGTACAAAGAAAAAAATCTTGTCAAAAGAATAGCAACTATGGAGCGACTCGTATTGATTTTTATTAATAGAAATATGAAAAAACTGCATTTATATGCCAAGATTTGTATTATACTCTGAAACAAAAATAAAATGTAAGCCAATTAGCCCTGACAATTACAAATGTATCACAATTTATTTGCTTAAACCGCTAAAGGAGAACACACTTCACAAAGTAAATGTCAGCTGTAAAGACACAATGAAGATTTGACATTCTGATTTCCCACCCTATCCTTTGCTTCACCTTGGTGTGCTTTATGTAATACATTTTTCTTGTGTGTTTAAACTCAAGCAATCGAATAACAATGGTCCAGAATTCATAAGTATAATTTAAAATTTTAATAATTCTTTCTCGTGTATTTGATATGGATAGGCCCTAGATGATTCCCTACTTCCTCCATGCTGACTAGCAGTTACATTCCTTCTTAGAGCAGATTCTCACTAAGCACTTCTTGAATTAACAGATTATGAATTTCAAGGAACATGAGCAGACCGATCTTCAAATAAAACTTATTTTACTTCATAAAATTATTATTTTATGGTAAAGGTAGGGGTGGCTGCAGGATCACCTGAAGCCTTACTGTTAAATAAATATTGCAAATTTTTATTGAATTTTTTTAACTTATATTTATTAAATACGCATTAGATGAAAACAATCTTTGTTCAGTGAATACAGCATTTCCTAAAGTCACTTATAATGTACATGACTTAATGTTTACATAAAATCAACAACAAATTTCAACTGAGCAAATAAGGCAGTCAGTCACAGTTATTCACTAACAGTTTTTAAGCTTTAAGTTATTCCAAGTAATATCATAAAAGAGAATGTAGTTATTATCATGCTGAAGTAATTACTTATTCTGAAAAGTGAAGAAAAAGGACTCAGTTCACCAATGAGCTGTATACAACCTCTCATGAGACTAGAAAAATCAGTTTTTGTACAAGCTTCAGGGGCATGTAAGTACATGTTGAAGAATTTATAATACTAGCATTGGCAAAGGAGCCATGTTCCCAGTAGGAAACAAGATCCTTAATGATGATCAGACTTTAATATCCATTGCCACCAGTGAAAATAAAAGGCTGGACAAGACAAAAGAAAGTGTAAACTGGAAGATTTTCTTGAGACTCATAATGGTGATTATAATTTTAATAAAGGAGCTTTGTCCTGAAATATTGTTACTTAGCATAATGACCAAACAGAGAGATAATACAGATGTGTATTGTTTTTTAAATTATTTTATATCTTTGTAAAAAGCTTTATTTTAATATTTTTGTGTTAATCAACTTTATATATACATATTTTATATTTGTATTTTATCAAATGATCAATTAAATGTTAACTGTATCATTTGATGAACTTTGGAAATTTTACATACTGTATACAAGCATAACCACCACTCCAATAAAGATTTAGAATATTTTTAACTCCCTAGAAAATTTTCTAATGCCTTTTCCTCCTCTAGCTTCCTGCAAACCCCTAGGAAACCCATGATATTACTTCCATTATCATAGCTTACTTTTATCTACCACCTAATTTCATATAAATACTGCCATATGGTTTGTACTCTTTTTGTGACTAGCTAGAATATATTTTTCATAAAACTCATTATATTGATGATGTTGAGTATCTTTTCATGTGTTTGTTGGCCATCTGTATAACTCCTTCAGTGAAATATCTGTTCAATGATTGACTTTGACTTTTTTTTTAATAAGTTCCTTTAGGTTCAGAAAGTTGAATAATTTTACAAGTTCCTTGTAATGGACAAGTATATGTGTACATATAAAATCACAGTTATAATACTAGCATTGTCAAAGAAGTATATATATCATACATATCATAATATATTTTGGCAAAGGATATATTTCCCACGGTCTGTGGGCCTCTTATGTACTTTCTTAGTGTCCTTTTTATTTGAAACTTTTATTGAGATAATTACAGAGTCACATGTGGTTATAAGAAATAATATACAGAAGGATTATGAACTCTTTACCCAGTTTCTCCAAAAATAAAATTTTGTAAAATTCTAGTCTAATATCATGAACAGGATATTCACACTGATACATTCAAGATACAAAAATTTCTATCACTGCAAAGATTCCTCATTATCTTTTATGTGATCATAAGTGGTACCATGTTTTCGATTTTGTATTCTGTGTGTTCATTTTTACTGTATAGAAGTGTAACAGATTTTTGTGTTGATATTGTGCCCCATGACCTTGCTTAACTCATTTATTTTATAGTTGGATGTTTTGGTACATTGTTAGTATTTAACAGATGGACAATCATGCTCTATACAAAAGGGGAAAATTCTTTCTTTCAAATTGGTATTTTTTTTTGTCTTTTTCTTGATGTCTCATTGCAGTAACTAAGATTTTTACTGCATGTTGGGTAAGAGTTTTGAGAGCAGACATCCTTGCCTTTTTTATTGAGCTTAGAAATAATGCATTATCTTTCACCATTAATGGTTATGTGATATGCAGGTTTTTTAAAAAGAATATTTCTTATCAACCGTAAGTAATTACTATCTATTCCTAACTTACTGATCTTTTTTTTTTTAACATGAATGAATGTTGGATTTTGTTATACCTTGCCTGTATAAAGTTATAAGATCAGTTGATATTTTTTCCTTTTTCCTGTTTTATGGCGAATTACATTGATTGATATTTGAATGCTTAGTCAGCCTTGCATACCTTGGCGATACTTTATAATTTTATTTATAGTTGTTAGATTTGGTATCCTATTTTATTTGAAGATCTTTGCATCAAAGTTCATAAGAGAAATTGGTCTGTTTTATTTTTGTCTTTTTTTATATATCAGAGCAATAGTGGACTCACAGAATAGTTTGAAACATACAAAAGTATTGTATTTCTAATACAAGCAATGAAGAATATAAAAATAGAATTAAGAAAATAATTTCATGAACAATAGCACATAAATGAGTGAAATACTTAGGAATACATCTAACCAAGGAGGTGAAAGACTTGTATATGGAAACAATAAAATGTTGAAAGGAGATAAAGGCCTAATAAATAAGAATACATTCTGTGTTTATGAGTTGGAAGATTTAGTATAGTTAAGAGGCCAATACTTCTCAAACTCATCTGTAGATTCAATGTAATTTCTATCAAAATTTTGTGCAACAATGGATAACCTGACCTTAAAATTCATACATAATTATAAGAAACCCTGAATTGTTCAAAAAAGAACAAAGTTGGAGAACTCATACTTCCTGATTTTAAATTTATTACAAAGCTACAGTAATCAAAACAATATAGAACTATCAAAAAATAGTTATATGGATCAATGCGATGTAAAATGAGAGTCCAGAAATAACCCACATATCTATGACTAATTGATTTTTGACAAGGATGCCATTACCATACTATGGGGAAAAATAGACTGTTTAATAAATGGTGCTGAGAAAACTTTTGGAACATGCGAGAGAATAAAATTTGACCCTTACCTCAGATCATCTACAAAAAGTAACTGAAAATGTATCAGTGACCTAAACGTAAGAGCTAATACTATACAATTCTTACTAGAAAACATAGGAGCATAATTTTATGTCATTTTATTTGGCAATTGGTTTTCTTTCTTTCCTTTTCTTTTTTTTCTTTTTCTTTCTTTTTTTTTTTTTTTTTTTTTGTTTGAAGGCAGAGTCTCGCTGTCGCCAGGCTGGAGTACAGTAGCACGATCTTGCCTTACTGCAACCTCTTCCTCCCGGGTTCAAGCAATTCTCCTGTCTCAGCCTCTCAGGTAGCTGGGACTACAGGCACACACCACTACGCCCAGGTAATTTTTGTTTGTATTTTAGTAGAGATGGGGTTTCACAGAGTTGCCCAGGCTGCTCTCGAACTCCTGAGCTCAAGCAATCCAACCGCCTCAGCCTCCCAAAGTGCTAGGATTACAGGCGTGAGCCACCACACTCGGCCAGTTTTCTTTCTTTTTCAATGAATTTCTCTATTATTATTCTACTTTCAATTTTCTTGATTTCTGCTCATCATTATTATTATTTCCTTTGTTTTGCTCTTCTTTTTGAACTTATTGAGGTAGACATTTAGAGATTAGCTGATTTGAGACCTTTCCTCATTTCTAATGTTAGCACTTAATGCTATGAATTTTCCTCAAAGCATTGCTTTTGCTGCATTTTATATATTTTGATATGTTGCGTCTTATTTTCACTAAGTTAGAGTATATATATATATTTTTTTCTCTGAGACATTCTCTTTGACACATGTAATATTTAAAAGTGTGCTATTTAATTGCCATGTAGACATTTTCCTATTGTTTTTCTATTATTCATTTTTACTTCTATTATATTGTGTTCATCAAACACAGTCTATCACAGAAATATTATAGTTTTTTAAAATCATCATATATAATTTGTAAAGCTCATATGGAAAAGTATAGCCGCTGTGCTGCTTATATGTCTACTCTTTCCATTATTCTTTCTTCCTTCCTGATGCACCATGATTCTTTCCTTTATCGTTTTCTTTTTATTTAAAGACTTTTCTTTAGCCAATCTTTGGGAGTAGACTTTCTCATTACAAATTCTTCTCATTTTTCTTTATGAGAGAATGTCTCTGTTTCCTCTATATTCCTGAAAGTTAGTGTCATTGGATATAGAATTCTCAAGTTAACAGTTTTTTTTTTCTTTTTCAGCACTTGAAAAAATATGTCATATCCTCCTAGTCTCCTTGGTTTCAAAGGAGAAATCTGTCATTCAAATTTTTGTTTCCCTACAGTCAATGAACTATTTATTATTTTCTGGCTAATGTCAGGTTTTTTGTCTTTATTCCCAAAAGTTTAGTTAAGATGTGTATTAATGTGGTGTGGTCTCATGGTATGCCTTTAGCTTTTTGAACCTATAGGCTAATGTCTTTCACTAAATTTCAAAAGTTTTCAGTCATTGTTTCTTTAAATACTGGTTCTGTCCCACTCTCTTTCTCCTCTCCTTCTGGGGTCTGATGATATGAATGTTAAAACTTTTGTTATTGTTCCACAGCTCCCCAAAGCTCTGTTTATTTCTTATTCAGTCTATTTTTTCTATATTGTTTAGAGTAATTCTATTGAGCTGTCCATAAATTCACAGAATCTATGCTCTGTCATCTCCACTAGATTAAAGAAATCTAGTGATTTTTCATTATCTCTATTGTTTTTTTTTTTGGCTATATCAGCTTCATCTGATTGTTTTATTTAATTTCTATTATGCTGTTGAGAACATATATGTTTTCATTTGCTTTGAGTGAATTTACCATTGATTTTAGAGCATTTTTATGATGGTTACTGCAAAGCCCTTGTCAGATAATTCAAACACCTTTAAGTTGGTATCAGTTGATTATCGTTTTTCATTCAAGTGCTATTTTCTGAGTCTTGACATGATGTGTAATTTTTGTTTGCATGCTGAACATGTTGCCTATTATGTTAGAGGGGCCAGGGACTTATTTTTTTTTTTTTATTTTAACAGGTACTCATTCTTTTTAAAGTGTTTACACTTTACACTGTGTTGCCTTCTTTTATGTGTTGTACTTTCATACGTTTAATTTTCAGAGAATGTGTGGTCATTAATTTTGGTCTGCTTGGTTTATCTGATGCTACTAGTGTTACTACAAACCTACTGGTGGTGTTTTAGGGAGTAGAAGGATTTTCCCCAGTCCAGGGAAAACCTGGTACCTCTTGGTAGAGGAGGGGATTCTTGGGCCCTCAGGGACTGTGATGGTTAATATTAAGTGTCAACTTGATTGGATTGAAAGATGCAAAGTATTGTTCCTGGTTTTGTCTGTGAAGGTGTTGCTAAAGGAGATTAACATTTGAGTCCGTGGACTGAAAGAGGTAAACCCATCCTTACTCTGGGTGAGTACCATCCCCTTAGCTACCAGCACGGCTGAAAAAAGCAGGCAGAAGAAGATGGAATGAGCAAACTTGCTGAGTCTTCCAGCCTTCATCTTTCTCTCGTGCTGGTTGCTTCCCGCCCTTGAACATCAGACTCCAGGTAATTTGTCTTTGGACTATTGGACTTACACCAGTGGTTTGTCAGGGGCTCTCAGGCCTTCAGCCACAAACTGAAGGCTACCTGTCCGCTTCCCTACTGTTGAGGTTTTGGGACTCGGACTGATCCACTACTGGTTTCCTTGCTCCTCAACTTGCAGACGACCTATGATGGGACTTTACCTTGTGATTTTAAGTCAGTTCCTCTTAATAAACTCCCTTTCATGTATACATATATCCTATTAGTTCTGTCCCTCTTGAGAACCCTGATTAGAGGTTTTTTCAGGCTGGGCTGCTTGTTGTGATGAAGTATTCCTTGCTATTGTCACCCAACACCCTTACATCACCCATGTCTTTTGAAAAGCAGAAATTTTTATTTATTTGATTAAAGAAATTTTACTGTAAAGTGTGCATGTGTTTTACTTTTATGCTTAGTGTTTTATAATTTCTAAAATATGTTTCCTACCCAATGGCTGCAGAGCTATTGTCTTCTGTTTTCTTCTCGAATGTTTCTAATTTAACTTTTATGCTTTGGCATATAATCCAAAAATTAATTTTAGGTATGTAATGAGATAGGGATTGAGAAATATGTTTTAGATATATTATTCTAGTTGTTTGAACACCCTATTCTGGAAAAAAGTTTCCCATTGAATTACTTTATCAACTTTATTTAAAAAATAAATTGTCTTTATACACATAAATTATTTCTGGACCATCTATTTTGTTCCATTAATCATTCTTCTAAAATTAAGCCAATACCACATGTTTTGAGAATTGTAGATTTATATTAAGTCTTAAAGTCATATTGTATCTACCTTCTAATATTTATATTATTTTAAAGAATTTTACTATTCTTGGTTCTTATGAAGTCCATATAAATTTTACAATCAGTATGTTGATTCTAAAAGAAAAGAAATCCTTATGGAATTTCTATTAGTATTGTATTTAAATCACTTCTAAATTTGAGGATTGTTATTTGTTGAATTGCTTTTCCCTCAAAATTCACGTTGATGTTCTAACCTCTAGTACTGAAGACATGACCTTATTTGGAAATAGAGTCATTGTAGATGTAATTATTTATGATGAGGCCATTGACATAGAGGGGGCTTCTAATCCGAGATGATTGGTGTCTCTATAAATAGGGCAAATTTGGACACAAATTCGCATAGGAAGAGAATGAAATGTGAACATAAAAATGGAACACTCTTATCTCAGATTTCTAGCCTCCAGAAATGTGAGACAATAATTTTTATTGTTTGAACCTTCCAGTTTGGTGGTATGTTGTTAATGCAGCCCTAGAAAACTAATACGATTAGTAAGGACATCTTAACAATACTGAGTTTTTAAGTTTATAAAACTGGTATTGTCAACCCATATAGTTAGGTTTTCTTTAATAACTCTCTAAAGCATTTTGTAGTTTTCACTATAGAAGTTTTACATGTTTCATTAAGCTTATTTTAATATTTTTATTTATTAATATATTGCAAATGATATACTTAAAATTAATTTTTCTAATGATATACTCTTAGAACATAAATTTTAATTTGATTTTTATATACTGGCCATGTGCCCTGCCAGCTTACTAAGTTCACTTATTAATTTGAGTGGTTTCCTTTCCAGAATCCATACTTTGAATTTATTTTCTTGCATTATTGCCCTGATTAGGACTCACAGTACAATGTTAACTACAAGAGGAGAGAATAGTCATCCTTTTTGTTTGTTTGTTTCTCATCTTGGAGGAACTGTGCAATGTATAATTGTTTAGTGTAATGTTTGACAGGTTTTTTTTTTTTAGGTACTCTTTATAAGACTGAAGAACCTCTATACTATCCTTGGTTTTCTCAAATTTTATTATATATAAATCTTGAATTTTGCCAAATGCTTTTCTATTTAGTAAAATTAATTATATATAATATTCTCCTTAATTTATGTGGATACATGCAGTACAAATTTTATTGAACAACTAATACACTTTTTCACTCTATCTCAACTAGTTAAATACCTTTTACTCTTCCTATTTCTCAAAATACACATTTAAAAATAAAAACATTTCCAATAAACTACCCCACTCTTCTAAAATAAAGGGTATGCATCTTTCATGTGACAAGATGACAAGACCTATGTTTATTCATACATCTTTACACTTTATACTGAGTCAAGCTTCAATAAGTTTAATTACTGCAATTACTATAGCATGAAATCTGTAACATAAAGTAATCTACTGCTTAGTGATACAAAAAATTAAGTGGGGATACATGATGTTTAGAAATATTAACTTTTGATACTGTCACATTATTAATAAATCCATTATAGGCCTATTTATAATTTTAGACCTGTGACCTTACTGTGTTAAATATAGTATTCATATTAGAAAAACAACACTTAGCATTTGGCATTTCTCAAAAGTGACTGACTCAATTAACATAAGATTTAATCATGTGACAGGATACAATTTCGGTGGCTTAATCACAAATAAGTCATCTAGACCATTTTCTACCCCTAGAAGAATAAACCTAAATATGCTTAATCAGTGTGTAAAATCCTCCAGCCAATTGTCATAAACTTTCAAAATTGTTAGCCATGGAAAAGAGAGCATGATGTCTCTTCTTGTTAATTTTCAATAAAGTGTTTAGGCATTATTTTCAGTTATATGTTCAGAAAATTAACATAAGCTCTTTTTTGAACATGATTAATTTTCTAATGCTTAGCAAAACTAACCATCAGTTCTACTAGTATATATGGTTACATTACAGTCTACATTTTCACTAGTCAGAGCAAAAGGAATCCAGCTGGTATTCGCTGTCAAAGTTGACAACTAATGAGTGTCTGAGCTCTACCACAAGTGTAATTCATACTGGGGTGGGCCACCCAGATTCCTTTCAGGAGTTTGGGTCTTGTTCTCTGTGCTGTCTTTGGTCATTGCTCTCTGGAAGGGAGCTGCCCTGCTCATATAATGCTGTCTCCTCAGAGGCAGCCCACATTACATGGCAGGTCAGTGTGGTGATACAGAGGCTGACCCCACTTGCCTTGATCAGGGACAACTCTGAAGGGCATCCAGCCCTAGGCTTTGAGCAATCTCCTGAGGCTTCTGCTGCAATGTCATCCCACTTCAACTTTTCCCTCTGCCCAGTCGTGCTTCCCTCTCTCTTCAGTGATATTGCTCCTGGCAGCTCTTCCCAATAAACCATCCACAGCAAATCTCCAACTCAGGATCTATTTCTAATGAGAACCAACCTATAATTATGAGTCACAATGTCTTATTTTTCAGGAGCCGTCTACATTGAGAAAGCTTTTTATTCTATCTATCTATCTATTTATTTATTTATTTTTATTTTGAGACGGAGTTTCACTCTTGTTGCCCAGGCTGGAGTGCAATGAAATGATCTCGGCTCACCACAACCTCTGCCACCTGGGTTCAAGCGATTCTTCTGCCTCAGCCTCTCAAGTAGCTGGGATTACAGGTATGCGCCACCATGCCAGGCTAATTTTGTATTTTTAGTAGAGATGGGGTTTCTCCATGTTGGTCAGGCTGGTCTTGAACTCCCAACCTCAAGTGATCCACCCGCCTTGGCCTCCCAAAGTGCTGGGATTACAGGCGTGAACCACTGCGCCCGGCCTAGAAAGCTTTTTTTAAAAAATTATAGAATATTCTCTCCTATCCTCTGTTCATCAGTTAGATCCCTAAATCCTCCTCATAATTTTTGTATCATTTCATAATAATCTCCTTTTAGAAGACTGTTTGATCTTCCCCACTCCTGTTTAAGAATTGCTATTTCTTTTGTGCTGTCATACAACTCTGTTCATGGCTGTTTTCCAGCATGTATCATACTATAAACTAGTTAATTTTATTAACTAGAATGGAAAAAACTGCTTTTGTCAGCATTTCAGACAGGTTTAGTCAGGCAGAAATGCCTGGGCACTAGAGAATGGGGACTCCAGTGGGTCCCATAAGAAAGTGCAGTAGAGCAACGAACAAAGATATACCATCCAGAGTGCTCCATGCAGCAGGTGGGTAACTAGGAGGGAGTGTGTGGGCTGTGAAAGGCAAGAGAGTATCAGGGTTGATGGTACTGATATGGCTGAGACTTTTCAGGGAACTCTGTGATTCCGTGTTACATACTTCCAGTCAAGACTAAGATTGCTAAAGTCAAACACTGCTGAGTGGGATTGCAACTCTTATGCAAAATAGTAAAGAAGGCCAAGTTTAATTCAGTTACGATGTGGGCAGAGCTAATGAAGTTACAGGATCTCAGAATGAGAAGCACAAGGCGGTATATAAAGTATAGAAACATAGCAATGGCACCATTGACTTCCATATGAAGGCTCTTAGGGGTCTGAGCTCTTAGATTCTTCTCTAGAGGTATTTTAGCTTATGGCTGAACTGTCTGGGCCTTCATCATTCTCATCATTCTCCCATTGGTAGGACTAGAGTAGTATTATCGGGTTTCAGGGCGGCATTTTAAAGAAAATGTTTATATATAACTACATACTGACATATCTCCATAAGCAGAGCTCGAGTGTTAAAGTATTGCCCCCACACCCACCCCAATTTCAATTCTTTATAGAACAAACAGTTGCCACAGTCTGAATGTTTGTGTCCCTCCAAAATTCATGTTAAAATCCTAAACTCCGAGGTGACATTATTAAGAGGTGAAGCCTTACAGAAGGTGATAAAGTTATGAAAGTAGAACCCTGATGAATGGAATTCATGTTCCCATAAAAGATATCTCTGAGAGTTCCCTTGCCCCTTCCACCATGTGAAGACACAGCAAGAGGGCACGATCTATGAGAAAGCATGCCCTCACCAGACACCAACTCTGCCATTGCCTTGATCTTGGATTTCTGAGACTCCAAAACTGTGAGAAATAAATTTCTGTCATTTATAAACTACACAGTATATGGTATTTTGTTATAGTATTTTGTTATAGCACGCTGAACAGGCTAAGACACCAACGTTTAACTGATCTTTCCACTTTCTCCCAAGGCTATTATATCAGGAGCAGAAGTTTCTCTCTGGGTTACATCCTCCTAAGGCTATACTAAAATTATTATGATACTTGCTTAACTGTTATACCTTACTAAAGAATATAAAATGTATCCTTCAAATGTATCAAAGTATTCAAGAAAAAATGGTATTAACTGGCAGCTGAATATTTTTGCACATGAAAATGTAATTATTATAAATTACAATAAATTAATAATTTACAAATCAGTATGTTGCTTCAGTTCATTTTGTACTTTTATAAGGAGCAAAATCTTTGACTTTAACTCTTCTAGTTATAACTGCTAGTTTCCAAACATGAGTAAAATTCCTATTGGAAGTAAAGATAGTTTGTAACAGTAAAAAAGAACTCAAGTCATTTTAGAATAAAAAAAGCAAGAAAAACAAAAAAGTCGGAATAATTGTCAATCTGGAAAGCAGACTATGAAATGACAAATGTGGGGCAAACAAATATAGTGCTGTGAATGTGTAGTGTAACACAGATAACTGACAAAATGATATGCCTGAAATTATTACTCTCCTCTGTTGTACAAATATCTTGTAACTGGGCATTTTGTTAAAGACAATAAGAATTGTGAAGAGAAATAAAACAGAAATACTTTATTTCGAGAACAAGGTAATAAAAATAACGGAGACTGACTTAGCAGTACCCGTATGATTCCCTGAGAATGATAGTTTAAAGGTTCTCTGCAAACCCCATCCTTTATTGTAGGTATTTTGATAGAGCCCTCAGTACTGAAAATACAATTCATGGCCTCTTAGCCAGACACTGGCTGCTTATCACAACTTAACAGAAAGTGAGATGAAGCTTGTCAAGAAGAAAATATGGGGCATTTTAGTGGAAAATCCACCGAGACTGGGCTGCATACAATTATTTGATAAATTTAAAATAGAACAGATTGCCAGAATTATTTCCCAGCAAAGGCATTGCTGAATGACACAGAATTGATGTGTTACAGAAATAGCTGATAAGGGACTAGACTGCAGCCCACACTAATCAAATTCCAGACTCTAATAGCCCAAGGGAATTCAAATTCTTCAAGCCAGGGGCACAAACTACAGCCAATTCCATCACAGTCATTGTAACAATATGCTTACATGGGTAAGCATGTCTACCTACAGTTATCACAAATATAAATGACAAAGTTTAACCTTTTCTCCTTCAAAAGCCTCTTTTAAACTCCTATAGGGGGTTTTAAAGCTAGGTCAAAAGCAACTGTACATTAGAACTTCTTCAGAATACTAGGGAAGTAGTATTTTGCACTTGATATTTGCAAACTTAAACAATTCAACTTATCCCCCTAGTTATATCTAGTTATAATAAATGGAGAAACAACTTGGGTAGCTTTCATGGGGCAGACTTAGGGCACATTCCCGAAAAGCAGACCGTGATATGAGCATCTCTTTGGCTGTGATTAAGGAAGAGTTCCCAGGGAAAACTGGTAAGGGGATGGAGGAAGCAGGACAGAGAAGTGAAACCAAGCAAGGTACAGGCAAAGTCCTGCAAAAGGCAACTTCAGCCTGATCCTGTGGGAAAATTGCAGTTTAATGTCTCCTGAGTTGCTCTGAGCCGGGGAGCTGGACTTTGGTACTCTAGCATCAGTTTGATCATTGACTAAAGGCTTCCGCCGTAGGATATAACTTAGAGACACAGCTCTCTGGTACCTTAGGAAAAGCAGGCTCCAGTAGCTCCAGGGCACTCTTGTGGTAAAGAGCTGCAAATTCTGGCTGTTGGAAGAGAAAGCAAACCAAGGAGGGAATAGCAGAGGAAAGGAGAGGACAGAAACAATAAAAGGTATCCAAAGAAATCTGAGCCAAAGATCAACACTCTTCACTAAAAGGGCCATCCTTGAGAATGGTTGCAGAGCATAATCGTACTACTTTGTTATCAATTACTAGTAATATATTGGCTCAAGCCATAACAGGAGCACAAAGGGAAAAGCTAAAGCTTTTCTTTTCATCAATATCTAGTTGAGGCACAGTCCATGCAGCAGAAGCTACATTACAGAGGAGGCATTTGAGAAGGGCTTTGAAGGACAAATGTGCTTTTTCAAAAGAACATATGGCATACAGCATTCTAGGAATAAAAGTAGCACGAGCAAAATGGTGGAGCTAAAAATATACAGGGTAATCTGAAATACAGTGAATAAAGCATTCTGGATTATCTATCAAAGGTAGGGAGTGATATGCTTCCAGAAGTAATTAAGAATAAACTAGAAAACTTTCTTTATCAAAAGTCCTTGTCATTAATTTGTCAGCAATAAGCAGTTATTAGAGTTTTGAGAACCTAAATGGTATGAATAAACCCATACATTAGGAAGAACAATCTAGCTATGCTATGTTGGTTGGCTTAAAATGTCTCCAGTCAAAACCTTAAGATCTTGAACTTGGGTCACATGAAAGAAAATGGAAAAAGAAAACATTGCAGAAATAGAATCTACATTATTTGACAGCTTGCCAGGTAAAGAACTAAATGTGAGTATGGCTTTTTGAATCTAGGTAACTGAAAAAAAATTGGTATATTTAATAGCAAATGAAAAATTTGTAAAGAAAGCTGGTTTAGGAAGGATGATAATTCAGTCATTTTATTTATTTGTTTTTACATTATTTGAAAACATATGAAGGAGATAAAACGCTAGGAATAAAATAAATTATAAAAGTAAATCTAAGATTACATAAATAAGAGGAAAAAGCTTTCATCAAAACATAGAAACAAAGAACAAAAACAATTTTTAAATATGAGATGTTAAATCCAGCTGTTGCCTATTATAATCATTAGTAAATGTCTGTTTGTTCGGATAATTTTAGTCACTAAGCATTGTATGGATAGTACATGCCTAAAAGAAAATAAGCTAGCACTAAGATTATCACCAAGGACAAACTGTGTAGATGCTAAACAGGATAGACTAGAAGGTAAAACCTAATTAGAAGGCAAAGCTTCATGATTCGGTTACAAAAGCTTCATGATTTGGTTACATGGAGATAAATGTGCATGCCCAGTCTGGGTGTAGAAGTAGGCTACATTATTGGACAGCACAGAGAATAGAATGAGTCCAGAAAGACTAAGTTGTATAAACCTTGTTAAAATAAAAAGAGGGGAGACACAGGCCTTAACTTTTGTGTAAATATAAATCCAAAAATATATAGCACCCAATAAGGGTGCTATATCCATACGGGATATAGCACCCTTATTGCTTATCCCACCATGGTCTGTCAATGTGATCAATAAATCCTATATTCCAATAACCACATAGCAATACCTAGGTCCCTCACATGCTTCTACTAACTAGTTGACATCTCTACCTAAAAGAAATCACATCTGGGAAAATGTAGCAATTCACTCTCCTGGTGTCTCCTGTGAGTGCATAAAGTTTGCCCTGCCCCCGCTATCATGTCAGAGAGAGGTGACCACCCAGAGGGATAAATAGAACAGAGGGACAATATATAGTAAATATATGGTCTCAAAAATCCAATAGTCATCAATACTGCTTAAGTGAAAAATTAGCTGGAGTGTAGGAAAGGAAAAGAGAAAGAAAGAGGAAAAAATAGAGATATAGATGATATACAGATATAGATATAGCTAGATATAGATAAATATAAACATATTAACTATGTATAGATAGAAGCCCCTGATGAGAATGATAATAAAAACCCAAAAATTTCTAGCAGCCTGAGCAAATGGATTACATAATCCTCTATCTATAAGAAGCACAGAAATATAGAAGAAAGGTTTTGAGAGGAAGCTATATAAAGAAGTCATTTATATAATGTATTTAAGTAATATAATTACATAAATATGAAAAAATGAGAGGATCATCATTCAATAATCACTGTTTTTCAATCATTCTTTAAATGTTTATAATTATATGCTATAAACGCAGTACAGTGTTGTCAACAGGGGGCACTTCAGTGAACACGAAGGCATATACTTTGTTCTCATCATTTTGATTTTGGATCCGTGAAGGGAAGGCAGAGATTCAGCATTATTAAAGAGTGGCAATTTTTATGAGAGACATTTCTTTGATTTTCTGACCTTCAAATGAATTACAAAGACATTTTCTTTTGTATTAATCATATAATGACCTATTACTGAATTCTCTAGCTGTTTATGCTAGATTTTCTCTTAATTCTTTTTGGGTTTCAGGTATAAAATCATGCCATCTGAAAATGTTAAGAATTTTGTAAATCCTTCTTTGCTTTTTAGCCACATATTTATTTTACTTTTCAATTTCAGTCCTATCACTGACAGGAAAAATTAAATAAAATTGGCAATAGAGATCTTTCTTGTCTTATTCTTGTAAATAAAGGGAAAATTTCAAATTTCATTAGTACCCAAGATACTGGTTAATGATGTTACCTATGTCCACATATCTTTATATTTCATTAGGAATTTTTATCAGAATGAAGTTTAATTTCACCAAATACCTTGTTTGCTAAATATGAAAATAATATTGTTGTTTCTAGTACTGATTAATATGTTTAATAATGTTAATCAACATTCAAATATTGAATTAAGCCTGCCATTTTGGGATGAATAATATTTGTCATGGTAGTTTTCCTTTTGAAAAAAATAACAAAATAATAGTATAACAATATAAGGGATATAGACTTATCATCCATAACTAACAAATGCTAACACATTTTACACTGCCTAAAATTTAAATGTGTGTATGAATATACACATATATGTATTCATATGAAGTTCCTGATTTCATCTTCTCATTCCAACTTCCTTTATTTCTTCCTTCTACAGAATACAGCTTTATAATTATCCTAATATATTTAGCCCATGCATCTGTTCTTTTATTAACATTTTATCACACAACACACACGCACACAAGTGAACACACACACACATAACACCTGTGGTATTGTTTTGTATGTTTTAATATATGTAAGAGTAACCATTCTCCATGTCTTTTGATGTGACTTGGATATTTTGGTATATTGCTTATATCTCTCCATTAGCATGTGCTTCTTTGAGACTATTTTAGTTCACTTTTTTGATTTCATGAATAAATGTTTGATAATAATTTTCATCAGTTTGGAGGTTATAGCATTTTTCATGTGGCTTTTTTCTTTAACTTGCTTGTTTTCCTTGTTTCCCTCTTTGCTGCTTGTATATGTAATGGTGGCCTATGCTACCTCCTGTATATCCCACAGACACTTCCCTCCATTTTCACAATTTGTGAGCCATGCGGTCCAAGACTGTCATAATAATCCCAGAGTCTGGTCCCAACACCCTTGCACATAGCCTGCCTTTGGGTATGGTTCTCTTCTATTCTGGTCCACAGTGGTTTTCTTCCTTTCTTAACTCAAGTTAAGTATTGAGTTGTATGTTTTTATTCTATAATGTCTATGTGTTTTGAGCAAGGCGAAGGTTTCAGCATATGCCCAAGATTCCACTTTGAAATGGAAGTCTTCAACAGAGAAGACTGATTATATTGTTCCTGGCTAACAGGGGGTCTCCTTGGTTTTCAGGGAAATAACTTAGTCACCATTTTATTTTATTCTGTAACAATGCCTTAGTTGACTGCCACCAAACCACAGTCTGATATATTTACAGCCTGCTTTTGGCAAAGCTGATATGATTGAAAGTTTCTTTTTTTTAGCCCCACAACCTCTGTTTCTGTGGTAAGATACCAAATGGGGCTAAAGTAATGTTCTAGGAGCTCTTCTGGGCAGTCAGCACCCCTTCCATTGCTACAGTAGACAAGATTGTGCCAAATTTCTAGCTTCATTGAAGCTGTAGTTTTGTTTTATTCTTGTTGGTTTTGCTTTGCTTTGTTTTGTTTTTCCAGTGTATTCAGCTGGTTTCAGGGTAAGAGACCGATTATATGTTTTCTATGCCATTTTAAACCAGAATTATTCAGGCTATCCTTAAAGCTTAGTTAATATTAAAATATATATACAACACAGATTCAAGAACAGTTTGTCCTGGATTATACAATTCATTATTTTAAAGTTCCTGTCTCCTTCTCCACATAATTTCATTTAGAGTACCATTTTTTTTGTTTGAATGTTTGGCTGTTTCTTAGTTTGGAAAGTTTGCCTCTTGCTAAAATAAGCATTTTAAAATAATGGTTTGTGTTCTAATTATAAAAAGAATGCCTAATTGTTTTAGAAATTTTTGGAAAAGCCAAAAGAAACAGATGGAAGAAACCAATATAATTATTTTCTCCAAAATTTCTCAAGATCTTCTCTGAGGCAAAAACTTATGAACAAAACGTGTTCAATGCTTTTCTCCATCTGATTAGAATGCTTATTTTTTCCACAAGTAACATAGCTCACAATAATTTATCTCTTATGGAATCTAGATAATTATAACATTTACTATAAGCCTCCTTTGAGATTTTTTTTTTGTTAAAAAAATATTTTAAAGACAAGGTCTCACTATGTTGCCCAGGCTGGTCTCCAACTCCAGGCTCAAGCTGTCCTTCCACCTCAGCCTCTCAAATAGCAGGGAATAATACAGGCTTGCACCACCATGCCCAGTGGGATTTGCTTACTTAAGTTTCTTTGAAAGTTTAGAACATTATTACTAGAAATGTTAGGAATAAAAGAACGCATTGATAATAATCCCACTTAAGCTTTAATGTCCAAAAAGCTAAATTAATTCAGAGAAAGGAATTGTGAGTTGCACATACTATACTATCACAGCAAAAAAAAAAAAAAAAAAAAATCGTCAAATTACCCACAACTTAGTAATGTGATACTCACCGACTCTCTGGGTAAGGGATTTGGACAGAACATAGAAGAGAAGACTGTCTTTGCATCATAATGTCTCAGGCCTCATCTGAAAGACCCAAAGGGTGGGGACTGGAATCATCTGAAGGCTCATTCATTCACTTATCTGGAAATTTATATTGACCCTTGGCTGGAGATCTCCATTCCTTTCTATGTGAGCCTCTTCATGTCTCTCTCTGTGGACTAGAATGAGCTTCTTCCATGGTATAAGGAATGGGTTCCAGGGAAATCTATTAGAAAGACAGAAATAGGCCAAAGTCACATCCTCTTTTATGTTATAGCCTCTGTAGTAAGGCAGCATTACTTACACTACATTCTGTTTGTAGAAGCAGCCATGAAACCCTGTCCTGCCCAGGTTCAAGGGTAGAAAAAATAGATTCTACCTCTTGAAGGGGAGTGGCTTTCTGGAAAAACAAGTGGGACCTGAAATATTACTGTGGTCATTTTAGGAAAAAATAATCCTTCAGTGATAGAACACAGAGAGTAAAAGGTAATAGGGAATGGCCCTTCCCTTCTGGAACAGTTGCTCTATTGAACAGAGAACAAAGTTCCTCTCCCTCAGAGCTATTATTGGGTGCTTCCATGGGATTGCCTAGGACTTGGGTGTAAGGGGACAAAGGAAATAAAAAGAAGATTTCTACAATCTCTCAGAGCTTGTAAAGTCTCCTTCCTCAAGCCAGAATTGGAGTGGCTTCTGCTGGAGTGCTCTGTACCACAGTTCATTTCTGAGATTTGGGCAGAAGGATACTACGAGGGAAATGGTAAACTCACCCTCAGAGCCATGGTACTTCAAATTCTGGTGTTCTTCCCCCCGCCACAAGCTGCTACCTACCATTCAGAAGTTTCAAATAGCTGCTCCATGTATTCTAATATTTATAATTTTACAAAGTGGGAGAACTGAAACTGTTCTGAAGAGAATTTATAAATAAAAAATATATAATACCTATCATAAAAACGATTATAAATATATACATGTAATAAAACATTATACTTATATTTTAAAAGTGAATTGAATCTATCTATATACACATAATCACATGAATAAGCTCCAAAAATTATCCAAGTAAAGTAAGTTGTAAAAGAACACATGTATTGTACAATACTTTTTGTGTAATTATTAAAAATTATATCAAATATTAGAGAATATACAGAGGATGAAATTTGAAAGACTAACCAGTAAATAGTTAATGCTGACTATTGTTAGTGGGGAGGATAATAAAGAATATTTACATTCTGTATTATAAATTTTACCAATTTTGTAACATAAATTTTCTCACATGTTAATATCTAAAAACAGGTATGTCTTTTAATCTCCATAGACCAGGTAGCAGTTTGGATTTAACATGGCGTTGTACTTCCATCCAGTCTTGCATAATGATTGTCAGTGGCTTGGATAGAGAAAAGTAGCATAGTCTTTTAAGAAATGGTGTATTAGCAGTGCTCTTAATGGAATACAGGAAAATTCTGTGGGAAAAACTACCTTACACCTTACTGAACATATTATAAGACCTCAATGAAGAGAACATTTTAAAAGAAAAGAATTAAATATCTAAATAAATGGAGGAATATATCATTTTCATTTTCATGGAGTCAAATAAATGGTGCTGGGCCTATTAGATATCCTTATGAATAACTTGATCCCACTCACATAGCAAATCAATTCTAGGCAGAATATAGACCTAAGTAAAAGTGGAAAATAACATTTAAAAAAAATTCTAAGACTTTATATTTATGAATTTGGCATACAGAAAGATATTCCAATTGAAACAAACAAAAAAATCATAAAAATATTGATAAACATTAAACAATTTAAAATGTTTATTAATCCAAAAACATAATTAAGAGTACACAGAGGCAAGTCACAGTAGGGGCCAAAACATTTGCAATCCCTGTAATTAATAGAGGACTAAGATCCAGAATACATAAAACAACTTCTACAAATAAAACTAAAAGACACACAGAATTGAATAGAAAAATGGGCAAAATACTTGAGAAGACTCTTCACAAAAAAGATTCAAAAAGCCAGTAAAAATTCTGAAAATATGCTTAAAATGCTCATCCCATTAGTAATAAAATAAATGCGAATTTAAATATAATACTAGTTTAACTGGAAACACTATTACACATGCACCACAATGCCTAAAGTGAAAAAGACTAATAAAACTTTTAGCAAAATGCAAAGAAAATAATCAAAACTTTGAAAAACTACATATGTCAGTAAAAATATTTTAATCACTTTAGAAATTAGCATGACAGAGGCCTGGCGCGGTGGCTCACACCTGTAATCCCAGCACTTTGGGAGGCCGAGGAGGGCCGATCATGAGGTCAGGAGATCGAGACCATCCTGGCTAACATGGTGAAACCCCGTCTCTACTAAAAATACAAAAAAAATTTGCCGGGCATGGCAGTGTGCGCCTGTAGTTCCAGCTACTCCCGAGGCTGAGGCAGGAGAATGGCGTGAACCTGGAGGCGGAGCTGGCAGTGAGCCAAGATCATGCCACTGCACTCCAGCCTGGGAGGCAGAGCAAGACTCCATCTCAAAAACAAAAACAAAAAAAGAAATTAGCATGACAGTGTCACTTGAAATGGAATATACTTATGGACAATGACCATGCTTTTTCACTCCTAGGTATGTATCCCATAAACATGTATACCTGTGCCCCAAGAAACATGTAATTAACTATTCAAAAAAGCATTACTTATAATATTCTCAAACAGAAAATAACCAAAATGTTCATCCACTACAGAACAGATAAATAAAATACACTATATTCTATCAATGGAATACTGTATTGTGATGAAAATGAATTAAACTACAGCTCACACATAAAATACATTAATTTCAAAAATATAGTTTTAAGCCAAAGAAGCTATACACACACCCATGCTATATGCACATGCATGTGCAGCCATGCTATATTATTCAATTTCTATAAAATTCATAACAGACAAAACTACAAAACAGTCTTATAAGTCAGAAAAGTGGCTACTTTGGGGATGGAAGGAGGAAAAATAGATTTAGATATGTCAGAGATGGCATAAGAGGAACTTTTTGATTTTTCTAAGCAATATTTCATTTTTATGTGTGTCATGCCTCAGGTGTTTACTTTGTAATATGTTACTGTACTCTACTTAATTTTTATATTTCCTATAAGTCAGCATTTTAAAAGTAAACTCTGCATATGAAAATTTAGCTAAAAAATAAACATATTTTACTTCTATTTTTCCTTTTACATATGTGTGACAAGTAAAATAATAGCACTCAAAGATGTCCACACCCTAGTCCAAAAAACCTGTGCATATGTTACCCTGAATGTTAAAAGGGATTTTTCAGATGTGATTAGGTTAAGGATTCTGAGATGGGAGGATTATCCTGGATTAGAGGTGTGGGCCCAAGGCCCAATGTGATCACAAAAGTCCTTCCCTATAAGAGGGAGGCTGGAGGATCAGAGTCAGAGGAGTTGATGTGATGATCCAAGCACATCAAAGACTGGGGAGGGAAGTGATGGGGAGAAGGGAGAGGGACAGGGAGAGAGGGAGAGAGGCAGAGAAGGAGGGGGAAATAAATTTGAAGATACTCTGCTGAGAGCTTTAAGATAAAGGAATAGTCTGTGAGGCAAGGGATACAGCAGCCTCTAGAAGCTGAAAAAGCCAAGGAAATTAATTCACCCCTAAAGCTTCCAGAAAAACACAGCCCTGCTGACTCCCAGAACTGTCAGATAAATCCATATAGCTTTAAACAATTAAGTTGGTGGTAATTCATTATGGCAACAGTAAGAAATTAATACAATACGCAAAATGATGGCATGTGACTTGAAGAAAGTCTATGTCTACATGAATTGTAAATATATCTTTCTAAATGCATACCATTAACATTTTTAAATAAGAAAGTATTACATAATTGTTTAATTACAAAACATTTTTTCTTGGTGATAAGTAAAAAATAGTTGTATTATCTCAAATTTGATGAAATATGGAATATAATTTCATATGCTGGAGTTTACATTATAAACACATAATAATCAAATATATATATATACACACACATATGAATTAAGAAGTGTTTAAGCATATTTACTTTCTTTCATCAGAATCCATTCTTTAGTTCATAGAGATTAATATCCATAAGACTAATTGAAAGACACGTTTATGAAAGTGATGGCAAGTGAGTTCCTTTGGATTAATGGGCCTCACTGGCATTGACTACTGTAATCATTAACCATTGTGAAAGAAGTAGAACTTTGCTACTATTCACATCCTACAGCTGTGCATGTGACTGTCAACATAGGCTTCTTTGAGGAAAGGTTATCTTTCTGATGCGCTGTCTGAGGTCTTCACAGAAATGTTCAATGTGTCACATAGGGTCCACTCCAAACTAGGCTATCCCAAACTTACTCTCCAAAATTTGGTTTAAAATCATCCAGTCATTTTCCAACGAGGTGATAACAAATAAAGAAACAATCAGACAAAAAAACTTTTATTATACAGATTAGTTTCCTATTGACTTTAACTGACAAAACATTTGGACAAGTTTCGTAATGCTGCCATTGTTCCCTGAATCCACCTTAGAGCATATGTCAGGATGAGGAGTGAGTCTACACTGTTGTAACTTGAGACAGTCTGAGAGAGTTGCTATAAAAATGGCAGAAGCGCTCACGCCTGTAATCCCAGCACTTTTGGAGGCCGAGGCGGGAGGATCACGAGGTCAGGAGATTGAAACCAAACTGGCTAACACGGTGAAACCCCGTGTCTACTAAAAATACAAAAAATTAGCCAGGGCGTGGTGGTGGGCGCCTGTAGTCCCAGCTACTCGGGAGGCTGAGGCAGGAGAATGGCGTGAACCCGGGAGGTGGAGCTTGCAGTGAGCCGAGATCGCGCCACTGCACTCCAGACGGGGCGACAGAACAAGACTCCGTCTTAAAAAAAAAAAAAAAAAAATGGCAGAAGCACTAGGTGGAAACACATCTACATTACTCATTTCAGATCAGAATACCTGGGTGCCATTCTAAGCTCCATTGCTATTTCACACGTGACTGGAATAAATGTAGCACAGCGTGTGATTCTAAGGTGCTTCAAATCAGGAAGAGAGATGACAAATATTGCCTTTAATCAAACATTTACTTTTTAAACTTTTATTTTAAGTTCAAGGGTACAAGTGCAGGTTTGTTACCTAGGTAAACTTGTGTCATGTGGTTTTGTTGTAACAGACTATTGCATCACCCAGGTATTCAGCCTAGTACCCATTAGTTATTTTTTTCTGGTCCTTCCATCCTCCCACCCTCCACCCTCTGAAAGGCACCAGCGTGTGTTGTTCCCTTCTATGTTTCCATGTGTTCTCACCATTTAGCTCTCACTTATATGTGAGAACACGTGACATTTGGTTTTCTGTTCCTGTGTTAGTTTTCTAAGGATAATGGCCTCCAGCTCCATCCATGTTGCTGCAAAGGACATGATCTCATTCTTTTTTATGGCTGCATAGTATTCCGTGGTGTATATATACCAGATTTTCTTTATCCAGTCTATCATTGATGGGCATTCAGGTTGATTCCATGTCTTTGCTATTGTGAATAGTTCTGCAATGACAAAGAAGTTTCCATTTAAAAACATAACAGTTTAGCAAATGTCTAAAACACCTCCTATAATACGAAGTACAACTAAATGTGTCTCTCTTTCTTTCGAAAGATGAAAATCAGGTCAGCCTGTTACTTTACTGTGTTTAAAATATGTGCGCTCAACACCTGAAAAGTTAATCCACACTTTACTCTTAAAAAGCTAATCTTGTCCTCTTTTATTTACCTTCTAATAACATTTACCACTTATTTAAAGATTGTGGGTAAACAGGAAATCGTTTATTATTCTAATATTTCAGAATACTGAAAAGTCAATATTTAGGATTTATTTTCCACAGTTATAAACACAAATGTTTATTTAACATTTCCTTTAAAAAGGTTTTCAAAAATTTAACTATAATTACACCTTCATGCTAATAATAGTGTGAATCCTTATTAATTAAGTTACTTAACTGAACCATGGAACATATAACACTTAGAATCATCACATTTTGAAAACATAGAAAATTGTCATTTTGGGGGTTCATTGATTTATCTAACTTTACTATATTATAAATTATTTATTTATAATATACTCATTGCCAGCAAAACTTTTTAATAGAGGTTTATAAAGGAAATTATTCAGCTGTGAAATTGGAAGCAAAACTGTTGCAGCTCGACTGAATTTTGTTTTTTACTATTTCACCAACAGTAATCTGCACTGCTTTTATAGTGCTTCCAACTAAAAAGGATTATCTAGTCAGAATATATCAGTACATAATAAATGTGCTTCATTTCTTCCAAGTTCTTATAGCTGACAGCCAAAATGAATGTTTGCCTCAGTGCTGGCACCAGGGGTACTTCTGCAGAAACTATTTCATGGTCCATTGAACCCTAAAGGACATTGTTTTTAAAGGCATTTTATCAGAAACAGAGAAGCAAGTTATCGGAGAGGCTATTACAGGTACTACTGAAACTTGAGTATGTACCTCTAGCTTAGTTGATATTTTGAAGACACTACTATCTTAAAGTTTTCAGCTATAATTGTGCATTTCTCAAAACCTTTATAATTTTACCCATCTGATAAAATATCTATATGTATGTATTTGGAAGGTTGGGTAAGAAAGCATAAAAGTTGTAGTGCCTTAAATTATAAATAACGACAGATAGGAGACATTTGCCCCTCCTTTAAAACTTTCATCAGATATTCTGTTTCCATGAATCCTTACCTGATTTTCCCATCACTAGAAAGAGTTATACACTTGGTGACCTTGCTTTTCTCCTCTGTGCTGCTACTGTAATATGTTTAAGACATTTATTGATGCCCTCTCACCAAGCATTGTGTTTGTTTCTTTATATATGCCTTCTCTACAATATTGAATTACTTGAGGGCAGAGTCCAAGGGTTTCATACTTACATCGTTATGCCAAACACCATGACTCACAACACTGATTTAAAAATTTTGAATATGAAGCACTTCTCAAAATAAATGATACAAGCTACATCACACATATTATAGAAGGTCACACAACCTTTATGTTTTATGCTTGGGATTTGGCATAATTTCCTGAAGTATTTTTGTTTAAGCTTTGTTCAAATGCCTTATTGAACATTTTCACATGCAAAAGATATATATCTACATATCTATATCTATATTATCTTCTTATTTTATTAGAGCTAATTTAGGTCAATGTAACCAAATTCAATTGATGGATAGATGCCATCTTTTCATCTTGTTGGTGAGCAATAAGTTCATAGAGTTAGCTTTTATTTTACCTGAAGCTTTCTACTAATGCATTTATTTAGTTGATAATTTATAAACTCATTGAATTTTCTTATTAGAAAACACCATGAAAACTATTTAGTCTAACTCCCATTTACTGGCATTGAGTCTATAGCAACTTCATAAGAAACATCTGTCATTTGTATATGCCTAAAGATTTTAAATGGATTACATTAAAGAATGGCTTACATTTTTGTATGTTTGTATGTTATTTATTTGACTGTATACATACATACACACATATACGTATAGACACACACTATATATATGTATATCTTCTTGGTATAAATAATTTGAAAACCATGACTTGTAATTTTTTAAATGAAAATAGAGTGGCACGGCCAAGATAAAAAGGAAGCCATGCAATCGCTGTATAAAAATATGACTTTCTACTTTTTGAGGTGAAATTGTAAATGTACATAAAAATATCTTAACCAAAGTAAGCTTTACAGACATTTAAATCTCATGCAAGTCTTCATTTACAGGATGCAGAGAGATGCTGTGATCTTAAGGATATTAATATGGCACATGTAAGAATAGTTTACAAGATTTTTTTATGGTAACCACCAATGAAAGCATATGTACCACTAAGAGACAATTCAATTAAAACAGTCCCCATTGAGTTGGGAATAAATAGAGATGTAAATAGGAAGCAAATAGAACTCAAAAATGGAAGTATTTTTCTAGAGAGTAAGCACCATAAGATCCAGCTATATACATTTGATACACTGCTTTATGATTCAAGGATTAAAATCTAGTCAGAATTCCTAAGAGCGGATTTTGAAATTTCTTTGGGTTATAGAAACCTTTGAGAACTTTGATGAAATAAGTGAACAGTCTCCAAAAAAAGAGACGTATATGTACACGACCATGAAACTTTGCATAATATTTTAGGGGATTCATATCTACCTTAAGCCTTATTTATAGATAATAGGTTAAGACTTCATGATCTAGATAAACTTATGTATTCTGCGGCCAGGCGCGATGGCTCACACCTGTAATCCCAGCACTTTGGGAGGCCGAGCTGGGCAGATCACCTGAGGTCAGAAGTTCAAGGCCAGCCTGGCCAACATGGTGAAACCCTGTCTCTACTAAAAATACAAAAAAATTAGCTGGGCATGGTGGCGGGCACCTGTAATCCCAGCTACTCGGGAGGCTGAGGCAGGAGAATCATTTGAACCCAGGAGACAGAGGTTGCAGTGAGCCGAGATCATGCCATTGCACTCCAGCCTGGCTGACAAGAGTGAAACTCCATCTCAGAACAAAAACAAACAAACAAACAATAAAAAATTATGTCTTCTGACATTGAGTTAGGCTTTAAAAGACAATGAACAATAAATAATTGAGGCATAAAATTATTAGTAAAGGGTGAAATGTATTTTGCATTGTTGATTAAAGGCAAATTCCTTTTTTTGAAGGTAGGTTTGTAGGATTGAAATTCCTTTGTAAAATCAGGTGCTGAGCAAGAATTTTCAATGTAATTAATGCCCAGCTCTAGTAAATATAATTAATTCTAGTAGCTACAACAAACCTACCTCCAAAACTCAAAACTCAGTGCCTGTGACAAGAAAAGGTTGATTATGACTTTTTTAAGTCCATTTTTTTTTACCAAAACATGCACACAAATGTTTGCAAAAGCATTATTTATAATCACCAAATTTAGAAGCAACCAAGATGTCCTTCACTAGGTCAATGGGTAAATAAACTATGGCACATCCATGCAATGGGATATTATTCAGTACTAAAAAGAAATGAGCTATAAAGCGATTTAAAAAAATGGACAAAACTTAAATGTGTATTATTTACATTACTAAGTGAAAGAAGCTTATCTGAAAACATTACATATTATCTAATTTCAACTATATGGCATTCTGGAAAAGGAAGAAGCATAGAGACAATAAAAAGATCAAAGTTGCCAGGAATTAGGGGATGAATAAACAGAGCACAGGAGATTTTTAGGGCAGGGTACTATTCTTTATGACACTATAATCATGGGTACAAGTTATCAGATGCTGGTCAAAATCCGCAGAACCTCCAACAGCAACAGTGACCCCTAATGTAAACTATGGGCTTTTTGTAAAAATGATGTGTCAATGTAGGTTCATCAACCATAACAAATGGATGACTCTGATGAAAGATGTTCATAGTGGGCAAGGCTGTGCCTGTGTGCATGTGTGGGGCCGGAGTTAACGAGAACTCTCTGGATTTTCTGCTGAATTTTGCTGTGAACCTAAGTGTTTTAGACATAAAGTCTATGTAAAAGGAAACAAATAAACAGAAAACAATGAGGATTAGATATCCCTTCTCCATCTTGAAGCTAATCATGTGATCCCCAGGGTTGATGTGGAAAAAAGAGGAATGTACAGGACATTACAGCTTAGCAGCTCAGGCTCAATGTTAACTGTGATGGCTAATATTATGTATCAATCTCCCTGGGTTACAGTGCACAATTGCTTGGTCAAACACCAGTCTAGATCCTGTTGTAAACGTATTTTGTTATTCATTAATTTTTATTTGTAATTGATACATAAAGTTGTACAAATTTGTGTGGTACAGTGTGATGTTTCAATGCAGGTATATATTGCATAATTATCAAATCTGGGTAATTACTGTATCTGTCGCTTTATACATCTATCATTTTCTTGTAGTGATAATGTTCAAAATCTTCTCTTCTAGCTATCTGGAAATATACACTACATTGTTATTTGCTATAGTCAACCTACTGTGTAATAAAACACTATAATTTATTCCTCCTGTCTAACTGTAACTTTGTACCTATTGACTTATTTCTCCTTACTAGTTTGTTTCAGTTTTCTATGTCTACATAGTTCAATCTTGTTAAGTTGTATGTGTCCAGACATTTATCCATTTCTTCTAGATGTTTCAATTTGTTGGCATATAGTTGTTCATAATAGTTTTTCTAATGATTTTATGTTTTTCTATTATATAAGTTGTAATGTCTCCATTTTCATCTCTGGTTTTATTTATTTAAGTCTTCTCTCCTTGTTTCTTATTATAGATAACAGTTTGTTGTTTTTTTTAATTTTTCAAAAAACTCTGATATTTTTTATATGGTTTTTTAATCCCTATTTTGTATATTTCTGCTCTGATTTTTGTCATGTCTTTCCTTCTGCTAATTTTGGGTTTTGTTTTTTTTCTTATTTTTCTAGTTCCCCTGAGGTGTAATGTTAAGTTCTTTGAGATCCTTCTACTTTTTTATGTAGGAAGTTATTGCTATAAACATTCTTCTTTGAGCTCATTTGCTATATCCCATAGGTTTTGTTATGTTATGCTTCCATTTTCTTTTCACACAATGAATTCTTAAATCTTACTTTCTTTCATTGACCCATTTTTTTGTCCAGAAGCATGTTATTTAATTTACATAAACTTATACAGTTTATAATATTTCTTTTGTTATTGATTTCTAGTTTTATTCCATTGTGGTCAGAAAAGATACTTGATGTGATTCCAATTTTTTAAACTTTGTTAAGACTTGTTTTGTGAGCTAACATATGGTCTATCCTGGGGAAGCTTCCATGTACTACTGAGGAAAAAAAAAACCGTATTCTACAGCTGTTGGATGGAATGTTATATAAATATCTGTTAAGTACATTTGGTCTAGAGTTTAAAATTCAGTGTTTTTTTTTTGTTGTTTTTCTGTCTAGATGGTCTGTCCATTGCTGAAAGTGGGGTGTTGAAATCCTCTATCGTATTATAGTCAATCTTTCCCTTTAGGCCTATTAATATTGGTTTACATATTTAGGTACTCTTCTGTTGTGTGCATATATATTTACAATTGTTATATTTTCTTGCTGTATTGATCCCTTTATCATTATATAATGGTCTTCTTTGTATTCTGTCATTGTTCTTAAATTAAAGTTTATTTACCTGATAGAAGCATGGCTAAGAGGCTCTCTCGGTTTCCATTTTCATGGAGTATCTGTTTCCATCCCTTCATTTTTTTCTCTCATGTCTTCATAGGTGAATTGAAGTTCTTGTAAACTACATACAGTTGGGTCTTGTTTTTCTAATCCATTCAATCTATGACTTTTAATTGAATAGTTTAATTCATTTCCATTCAAGGTTGTTAGTGATGTATAGGTAGGCTTTATTACTGCCACCTGTTTTACTTGTTTTCTGATTGTCTTGTATATTTTTTCTTCTTTTTTTTCCTCTTTCACTATCTTCCTTTCTGGTTAAGTGATTTTGTCTGTAGTATGTTTTGATTCTGTGCTGTTAACTTTTAAGGTACCTATTATAGCTTTTTGCTCTGTGATTATCATGAGGCTTACAAATAAAATATTGTAGCCATAACAGTTTATTTTAAGCTAACAACAACTTAACTTTGATCTCAAATAAAAGTGACAAAAATAAACTCTACAATTTAACACCATTCCCCACCCATCATTTTGATTTTGGCATGTTTCAATTTATATATTTTCATATTGCTCATTTCTTAAAAAATTGTCGTAGTTATTACTGTCTTTAATAGTTTTGCCCTTTAATCTTCATTCTTAAAATATAAGTGGTTTACACACCACAATTACATCATTAGATTATTCTAAATGTGTCTGTATTGTTACTTTTTCAAATGAGTTTTTTAGCTTCAGATATTTTCTCGTTATATTTTAGCATCCCTTTCTTTCAAATTTAAGAACTCTCTTTAACATTTGTTGTAAGAAATCTGGTGTTGATGAATTCCTTCAGCTTTTGTTTGTCTGGGAAAGTCTCTCTTTTGTCTTAGAAGGCTAGTTTTCTGGGTATGTTATTCTTGGCTGTAAGTTGCTCTTGTCGTTGTTTTCCCTTCAGTCCCTGGAATATATTATTCTGCTCTCTCCAGTGTTTCTGTTAAGAAATATTCTGAAAGCCGTATTGGAGCTTCATTGAATGTGATGTGTGTCTTTTCTATTGCTGCTCTTACTATTTTTTTGTCTTTGATTTTGAATAGTTTGATTATGATGTATCTTGTGGATTTCCTCCTTGGGCTGAATTTGATTGGTGACTACTGAGCTTTCTGTACCTGGATGCTGTTTCTTTCTCCAGGATTGATAAATTTTCAGCCATCATATTTTTAATTACAATTTCTAAGACTTTTTCCTGCTAATCTACTTGAAGAACTCCTATTATGTGGATGTCAGTTCACTTGATGTTCTCCCATAAATCTCGTAAGACTTCTTTATGCTTTCTGATTCCTTTTCCATTTTTGCTTATCTGATGGAGTAATTTTATGTGTTCTGCCTTAGAGGTCACTGTCTTTTCTCTGTTTGATCAACTCTGCTTTTGAAGTTTTCTAATGAGTTTTTCAGTTTGATTATGCATTTTTTTATTTCTGAGATTTATGTTTTTAAAATGGTTTCTCTTTCTTTGTCAAATTTCATATTTTGTTCCTGGATTGTCTTCCAAGTTTTATTTAGTTTTCTATCTGCATTTGTGTGATTCATTGAATTTCCTTAAGAGAATTATTTATTCTGAATTTTTATTCAAGCATTTCATATATATTCAGTTCTCCTTGGTCGAATACTGGATCTTTGTTGGTTTCTTTTAGTGGTGTCATATTTCCCTGAAATTTTACAATCTTCCTGTCTTTACATGCATGCCTGCACACTTGCAGAAAGGGCCATTTATTCCAGCTTTTGAAGATATTTGTTGGTGGTGCTAAACCTTTACTACTTAATATCAGAGGTTAATTGCTGGCTTGCCATTGCTTCTCAGTCTGGGGAAGACTTAGAGTCAATGCTGCACTGGAACTAAATTACTGTCCTGCTGTTATTTCCAGGTCTGGGAAAGATTTCAGCAAGCACAAGATCTTAATTGCCAACCTTTCAGTTGTCTGCAGGTCAGAGGAAAGCGCCATGTGAGCACTTAGACTTTGTGGAAAATTGGGGCAGGGATTTGGGCCTTCCTGTAAATCATACCTACCTGCAGTGTTATGGTGCTAGCCAATCTCCTCAGTGTGACATCTCTACTAAGACCCATGCACCTGTCACTTCAATCAGCACCCCCACTTTTGTCCTCAACTTAGAGTACTAAGTGGTTCAGCCCTCCTGGCACTCTCAATGGTTTTCATGAGATGAGATAAGAGTGGGCTTTGCCTGAATATTTTCACACTGGTGAAATGATCAAACATCCACCTGCAATTCCTCTCTTCCACCTTCAATACTGTGGGTGGAGGGAAATTCTCCATGAGTGGCATTATGCCAGCTATGGGGAGGATATGATGCAGTTGCAAATGACCATTCCTCTTTCCAGTTGTGGCTTCTCTCAGTTCTCTGGGCATAAGGAGTTTGTCTGCTTCTCATCCAAGTTCTGGTGAATTCAGGGTGGCATTCTTGCCTTTTAATAATTTCTAGTTGTACTTTTTTTGACTGAGTGATGCTGGAAAACTTTTTATTCTGCCATCCTGCCAATATTGCTTCTCTCTATATCTGGATTCCACAACAAGGCTTTGGGGTTGCAAATACCTCCATTGACAATTCCTCCCGCTCATGCCAGCTACAGCTTGTTGAGGTATGCTCAGCCTCAGTTTTGATGTCATCTCTGTAAGACTGTTGTTGTCTTCATGTCAGATGCCAGAGCCGAATCCACAAAGTAGGTGGTTCAAAATGGAAGTAGCTGGCCATGGGGTTGGAGAAGATGAAGGAAAACCTACAAGTGTGCAGTGGCAGGCCTGGCTGCTGCTCCATACCAAGGAGATGAGCCAGAAGATAAGCAACAATGTGCATCAGCTACAGAGGCAACACTCCTAACCTTTTGAGCATAAAAGCAAAATTGATGTGAAATTATTTTTTAAGATACTATTAACACTTAAATCAGTAAATTAAGTCAAGGAGATGACCCTCCATATTTGGATGGGTTTTATCTAATCAGTTGAGGACCTTAAGACTGAGTGAGCTTTCCTGAGGAAGAAGGAATTCTCCTCAACACTGCATAATAAAAAAAATACAAAACCTAACTAACTTTGAACTCAAACTTGCAACATTACTCTTACATGAACTTGTAAGCTTTCGGCCTTCCCGACAAATTTTGGACATGCCGGGGCCCACAATCATGTAAGCCAATTCCTTAAAATCTTGATCCCTCTCTCCGTGTGTGTGTGTGTGTGTGTGTGTGTGTGTGTGACTGTATTATCTATTGTGTTATCTATCTAGTATTGGTATTGTTTCTTTGGAAAACCCTATTAATTAATGTTGATCACTTTACTCAAGGTTCATTGGCCAGACTTAACCACACAATTACAACCAAACTCAACAATAACCAGAAAATAAAAGGAAGAACTTGAGATACATGATAACCACTATCATCATTCAATTTTCTGTCTCTTCATGGCTACTGACTTGATATTAGCTGTCCTTCAGGATCTATAGAAGACTGATTTCAAGATCTTCCACAGATACCAAAATTCATGGATGCTCAAGTTGGTGATATAAAATGATGCAGTATTTGTGTACAATTTATGCTCATCCTCCCATAGGCTTTAAATCATTTCTAGACTACTTTTAATACCTAATACAATGTACATAACATGTAAATGGTGATTATACTGTATTGTTTGAAAAATAATGACAAGAATTAAAAGTCTACATGTTCAGTACAGATACAATTTTTATTTGGGATTTTTGAAATCTATAATCAGTTGAAATAATTGATGAAGAATCCACAGACAAGGAGGGTTGACTACACTTGCAAATAAAGTCCAGATTTGGGAGGGGGATACAACCTGTTTGCCTCTATCAATTCTCTAGTATTCTATATAGAAAGAAAAGGTAAACAAATTTCTTGTGTTGTATATTTAGTTTCAAGAAGATGTAAACCTTCCTAGTAGAGAACTAGTCTCATATTACTTAAGAGACAGAAAAAAAGAGAGACAAATGTAAGAACTCTTTTTTTAAAGCAGAAACTTCCTGTGTATAGACAAATCAAGCTAATCAGAAGCAGTTGACCAGATAACAAAATGTTTCAGATAAGAGAAGTACAGAACAGCTCTATTCTATTCTCTCCTAACTCTGTACACACACACAAACTTTCTGATTAAAATGAGCAATTTTCATAAGCTGAGGGCAATATTAAACTTTGAATTTCTGGGACCTTGGCAATGTCAGAGGAGAAAATTCAGAACACTTTCTTTGTTCCTATAAAATGAACTAATTCAATCCATGCATGCTTTGTATTTTTTCTTGCCTCTGTGCATTTGCACATGCTGTTTTCACTGCCAAGGATGCACAATTTTCTGCATTGCTCTTTACTGGACTATTTGCATGTTGCTATGCAAGAGAGAGCCTAAGCAGGATTAGAGTCTTCTTAGACCTCCATAGTCTCTGAGACAAACTAAATTTAAGCTATGACGGCAACAGTGAAATCTAACCCTCAAATTAACTTTTCTCTATTTGGAAATCCTGGGGATCTTCATCCACCGGCCTACTCCTCATCCATATGTGTTTCTGCCCAACACGTGTTTTCTTGCATAATTTGAGGAAATGGAGTGGGAAATACTTGTGATTATGTTCTTTAAATATAAAAATATAAATGTATAATGTAATCTTTCGAAGAACTAAAAAAAAAAAATTGTCTCAGAAGAGTGAGACTTTGGAAAGGGAATAGTGAGGAGAATAAAACCTTCACGTACACATTCTGTACCTTCATATCCGGTTGCTGTTATTTTGAAATGGGATGCATAGATTACCTAAGTATCATATCAATAAATTTAAAATAACAATAGTAGCAAAAGTACATTAACTCTTCCAATCTTCAAAATTTAATTGTATGGAGAAAAATCTGCCTCTTTGTCAAACTTGTATTAATTTAAATATTCAAAGATTTTCAAAATTGTTATTGAAATAAAAGAAATCTAATAGAGGCTCACATTTTATTTTACTTCTCTACACATAGAAGAGGAAGTGCTTAAGAACTTATCTTTACCTAAGAAAAGTCAAAATGAAAGTATTTATACCTTTCAGAAAACAGTGATGTCCACTAAAGTACAATTTTCAATCGTATTATATATTATGAGAGGTTAAACATAGATTTCATAGGAAATAAAATAATCCCCAAATCCAGAGATTCTCTAAGACTTCTTTGTTGGAAATATCTTAAGAACAATTAAGAAGCAGAAGACTATTTGCTCAAATACAACTGTACAGAAAGAAGGAAGTCCTTTCTAATTTTTATTTTGTTAAGGTTCTTTCACTAGCACTGAGAAAAGTCATGTTATAAATGTAAAGAAAGAAATCTGGTCTTATAAGATTGAAATTTACAATAAAGGGGAAAAATGACAGAATGAGAGTTTTAACAAATGGATGTAAAGTTTATGATAATTTGCATCTACATGTGGAATAAATTATTAGCCATAAGCAGAAACTCTGAAACTGTCAAGTCCCCAGAAGCACTATTTATGGCTGAAAATATAGCTAAACTTTCTTTATTCAGTAAAAAAGTTTCAGGCTTTGTAGTAGAGAAAAATAAATAGGGCTCTCATTCTCAATGTGATATGTTTTAATAATCCCTAGTAGAACTGTGTTGCTCTTATTTATAATTATAATCAAGAACTGGCATTAAAAGAATACCTTTTAAAATTAAGAGTTTTCTACTTTTTAAAATTAAGAGGACTTAGAAAGCAAGAATATGCGTTTTCTTGCATAATTTGAGGAAATGGAGTGGGAAATATTTGCAATTATGTTCTTTAATAAAATACTACTCTGCAATTAAAAAAATATTTTACATAATGTTCTATTAAGTTTTAATAAATCTCAAAGCCTTGATTTTCAGGCATATAGATATTTCTGAATATGCTTAATTTCAGAAAAGTGCTACATAAAGCACAATATTTATTATTTATCTATATTTTCCAATGTAGTCAAGCATGAAGAGAAAACCAATGAAATAAGAATAGAAAAAAGCCAATAGATCAAAAGAGGAAAAAATAAACAATTGTAATAATATTATAGGAAGAACACTCTTATTTCCTCCTTCTTATTCTAATTATTTTTTGAAAAACATATTACATACATATTCAATGTCCTATAAATCCTTATATCTACAGTTGTAAGAGAGGTTTGCTCTCCTCTTATTTAAGTTCATTGCAAGGAGTGGAGTCTGGCCAATCAGTCCAATATTTGCAATAAGGTTAGCATGACCATTCTGAATCTTCCAGTAACAGTTGAAATGTATACCTTTTGGTCCTATGTAATTATTAATAGTTCCCCCTTTCACTCTAAAAGTCAACATGGTTTAAATGATATATGATCACCCTAAAGGTTGTTTTATATAATTTCAACTTGTCTTTTAGAATCAGGGGGTTAATGTGCTAGCTTGTTACCTAGGTATATTGCATGGTGCTGAGATCGAGGGTACAACTGATCACATCAACCAGGTACTAAACAAAATACTCAAAAGTCAGTTTTTCAAACCTTGCTCCCCTTCCATCCTCTCCCCTCTAGTGGTCTCCACTGTCTCTTGTTGCGGCATTTATGTCCATGATTACCCATTGTTCAGCTCCCACTTATAAGTGACAACCTGCAGTATGGCTTTCTGTTCCTGCATTAATTCGCTTAGGATAATGGCCTCTAGCTTCATCCATGCTGCCGTAAAGAACATACTTTTGTTCTTTTTTATGCTTGTGTATTCCATGATACACATGTACCCTATTTTCTTTATCCAATCCACTGTTCATAGGCAACTAGGTTGATTTCATATTTTTGTTATTGTGAATAGTGCTGCAGTGAACATACATGTCTCTTTTGAGTAAACTGATTTATTTTCCTCTGGATATATACCCAGTAATGGAATTTCTAGGTTAAATAGTAGTTCTGTTTTAAGCTATTTGAGAAATCTCCAAACTGCTTCCTATAGTGGTTGAACTAATTTACATTTCTACCTACAGTGTGTAAGTGTTCCCTTTCCTCTCTGCAGCTTTGCCAGGATCTATTGTTTATTTTTACTTCTTGATAATAGTCATTCTGATTTATGTGAAATGGTGTCTTATGGTGGATTTGATTTACATTTCTCTGATGATTAGTGATGATGAGAACCGTTTTTATATTTGTTGGCTACATATATGTCTTCTTTTGAGAAATGTCTGTTCATGTCTTTTGCTCATTTTTAATGAGGTTATTTGGTTTTTGCTTGTTCATTTGTTTAAGTTCCTTATAGATTCTTGATATTAGACCTTTGTGAAATACATAGCTTGCAAATATTTTCTTCCGTTATGTAGGTTGTCTGTTTACTCAGTTGATAGTTATGTTTTGCTGTGTAGAAACTCTTTAATTAGTCCCATTTATCAATTATTGGTTTTGCTGCAATTGCTTTTATGACTTGGTTATAAATTCTTTCCCAAGGCCAATGTCCAGAATGGTGTTTCACAGGCTTTATCTAGGATTTTTATAGTTTGAGGTCTTATACTTACATCTTTAATCCATTTTGAGTTAATATTTGCATATGGTGAAATCTAGGGGTCCAGTTTTATTTTCGGTATATGGCTAGCCTGCTATTCCAGCACCATTTATTGAATAGGTAGTGATTTCCTCATTGCTTATTTTTGTTGACTTTGTCAAAAATCAGGTGGCTGTAGGTGTGTGTCTTTATTTCTGGGTCATGTAATCTGTTCCATTGGTCTTTATGTCTGTTTGTAAACCAGTACCATACTATTTCGCTTACTATAGCCTTATAGGACAGTTTGAGATTTGTTGATGTGATGCCTCTAGCTTTGTTCTTTTTGCTTAAGACTGCTTTGTCTATTCAGGCTTTTTTGGTTCCACATGATTTTTGGAATATCTTTTTCTAGTTCTGTGAAAAATGACATTGGTAACTTGATTGGAAAAACATTTAATCTGTAGATTGCTCTGGGCAATATGACCATTTTAACAATATTGATTCTTTCAATCCACGAGCATGAAATGTGTTTCTATTTGTTTGGGTTTAACAAAGAAAAGCCTGACCAGGAACAGTGGTGTGCACCTGTAGTCCCAACTACTCTGGAGGCTGAAGTGGAAGGATCACTTGATCCCAGAAGTTTAAGGCTGCAGTGAGCTATGATCACACCACTGCACTACAGCCTGAGTAACAGGGTAAGACCCTGTGTGGGTCTTACTAAAAAAAATTGTAAAAAAGAAAGTTTAACACTCAGACACCTCAGAAAAAAAATCATAACCCTACCATCCCCCTCCCCCCCACCATTTTTTTTTTTTTTTTTTTTTTGAGGCAGAGTTTGACTCTTGTCACCCATACTGGAGTGCAATGGCACAATTTTGGCTCTCTTCAACCTTCGCCTCCTGGGTTCAAGTGATTCTCTTGCCTCAGCCTCCTGAGTAGCTGGGACTACAGGTGCCCACCACCATGCCAGGCTAATTTTTGTATTTTTAATAGAGAGAGGTCACCACGTTGGTCAGGCTGGTCTCAAACTCCTGACTTCAGGTGATGCACCTGCCTCAGCCTCCCAGAGTGCTGGGATTATAGGCGTCAGCCACTGCGCCCAGCCTGACCCTGTCCTTTTTGTTGTAAGAGGGAAAAAAGATTGAAAAAAAAAAATGTCTTAAGAAATAAAAAATAGGCCGGGCGCGGTGGCTCACGCTTGTAATCCCAGCACTTTGGGAGGCGGAGGCGGGCGGATCGCGAGGTCAGGAGATCGAGACCATCCTGGCTAACACGGTGAAACCCCGTCTCTACTAAAAATACAAAAAAATTAGCTGGGCGTGATGGCGGGCACCTGTAGTCCCAGCTACTCGGGAGGCTGAGGCAGGAGAATGGCGTGAACCCGGGAGGTGGAGCTTGCAGTGAGCCGAGATTGCGCCACTGCACTCCCGCCTGGGCCACAGAGCGAGACTCCGTCTCAAAAAAAAAAAAAAGAAAGAAAAAAAAGAAAAATAAAAAATAATAAGAATTGACTGACAAAACTGAAAAATTCATAAAATATTTTGGCTTTAAGTATGACTAGAGTCAAGAGCCTTAAAAAAATCATCAGGGATTGATTTATATTCTCTCCCTCTCTCTCATCTTTATCTCTACCTCTCTGCTCTATTTTCTTAGAGGGCTGGCTTCATTCTCAAGCAGGTTCTTGAATTAAGACAGTAAGATGTCTGTCAAGGTCTACACAATCATATCGTCATGCTTCTGATTTCAATGTATATTAAAGGTAATTTTTCCTCTTTGGCCTTAATCCTTCTTGGTTCCAATTGGGCCCCTTGGAAACCCTTGAATGAATTGTTTTGGCTTGAGATAATAGAGTGATTGACATAAGCCTGAGTGAAGATCCTATCACAGAGGTGATAGTAAGGTCAAGACCCACATAAACAATGTAGACAAAGAGTGAGGGAGAGGTGATATCCTAAGAAAAATAAAGGTTGGTCACCAGAAAGGGAAATGGATGTTAGGCCTTCAAACAACATATGCTCACTTAAACAAATACAACCTCATCTTGCTAAAACTTAAACTTCAAAGTTTGTTCAGAACCTGAGGTAAACTTAGAGTCAACTTATTCCAGAACATTAGTTTATTGATCTTCTTAAAATTTTTCCACCATTACTATGACTCAGTTATCCTTTGTTCTCTTCTTTGTGATTTTCTCTCCAATCCCACCCTGCTACCAGATAACACATTTGGTTACACCATAATTCCCAGAGCCTAGTCTCTCACTCAGTTCAATAGTACCTGCAATGAGATGTCACTTGATAGGAACATAACCTCCCTAGTCATGAAACTGCCTCTGGCAATATCCTTGACCATGGACTATAACTGAAGCTGTCTTTGTTAGAAGGAGGAATAGACAAATAAATATTTCAATATAAACACGCAGATGTATATATGGATATAGATGTCTATTGGTTATCATTTTTATAAATTTACATAATTTTCAAAATGTCTGAAGGAGTATATACCAAAGTAAGAAAACTTTTGAAGAGAACTCTAGAATTAAAGATTTTAGTCATTTATTAATTGCAAAATTAAAAAAATCAAAAGAGCAATTCCTCTGCCCTCTGTCATGAAGAATTAGAGGAAATTTCTATAAAGGCTACAAATATTATTTTTGAGAAATTATATTTTCTGTATAGCAAAAAACTAAAGTAACTTGGAATTTTAATATAGATATGAAATCAAAAAGCTAGTATTACTTCATGAATGCTGTTTTTTTCTTTTCCAGAAGGCTTAACTTGTATTTCCTTATAAAACATGAGGAATTGTGAATAACTACAGTCTAGCAAGGTTACTAAAGACTGAATAATATTTCTCCCTTCTGTAGGACTTTATCACTGGTGTCTGTTACTATAAGGAAGATATTTTCTGTTGATATCAGGAATGCCAACTTCTAAAGTGTTCCTATGGGTAAAAGTCCAGGTACCTTGATTGTTAATGTGTATGCTACAGTGCAAACCATACCATTATGGGCTTCCTGAGGACAGAATGAATGAACCTCTTAAGTTAAAAAAATACAGTTGATCCTTGAACAATGTGAGGGTTAGGAGCTCTGATCCCCTTCTGCATTTGAAACCCCAATTTAACTATTCACTCCCTAAAATCTTAACTACTAATAGACTGCTGTTGACTGGAAGCTTTACCAATAACATAAACAGACAATTGATAGATCATGTATGTCATATGTGCTATATATACTGTATTATTAATAAAGTAAATAGAGAAAATAAAATGTTATTAAGAAAATTATAAAGAAGAGAAAACAGATTTACTCTTCATTAAGTGCAAGTGAACCATCATAAAGGTCTTCCTTATCATCTTCACATTGAGCAGGGTGAGGAGGAGGAGGAAAAGGATGGATTTGTCTCGCTGTCTCAGGCAAAGTCAGAAGAAACTTCACACAAGTGAACCTACACAGTCTGAATACATTTTGTCCAAGGGTAAATGTAATGGCTAGTTTTAGTTTGCAGTACTTTTTCTAGCCATGTTTTTCATATGGCACAAATTGTGAATGCTCATATTAGAAAATAAATATGCATGGTTATTTCTCTATCGTTGTGCTATATATAAATATAAACTCTTAATGGCAGTTAGAAGCATAGGGCATGTCAGGAAAACAGAGAAAAAATATTATATCTAAGTAAATTAAAATTGGTTAATTGTCTTTGCTGGCAATTTCAGTTTGAGAAGGGAAACCTAGAAAAGAATATTAGAAAAGCAACAAAAAGGAATCTTTAAAAAAGGAATTTGGATGAGGCAATCTCTCAGGCCACTTCAGACATCACAAATTTATTATTCTATACTATTTCCCTTATTAATACATACTTCTACTTGTTGCTATCTATGCAAACATGTAAGCTACTACTGTCTAAACTTTTCCTTTAGTACATCTATACACACACAGCTGTATTCGCCATCCATATTTTTTACTATCTGTTTTCTTTGTAGACAATGAATGCCAAATATCTTTATCCTGTCTCTTTCCATCACGCACCTTTAAATTCTCATATATATAAATATATATGATATATATATAATATACATATTTTTTAATCTTCATTATTAACTTTCTATTTGTGATAGGCAAAATGATGTTCTCATGAACAGTACTCTAATATCAGTTGACTGAGAAAGAGAAAACTCCGGCCTAGTTTAGAAGTCATTTTGCATAACTGGCAGGGACCAGATGAAAGTGGAAAGCTGCAGCACTGCACCCATTTGAGAAACAGCCCTAAGGGATAGGGCAGAACTTCAAACAGTCCACTTGGTTGTTTATGTTTCCTGAAAGGAGACATGGAGAGACATATAAGTCTGTTCAGATATATGGGCTGTGCCCAGTAGTTTGGCTAGGTGGGTCAAAGACTTGGACAGAAAATGATCAGACAACTGGTGACAAGAAGGTGTGGGGATGAGGTGTGTGGCTACAATTTTCTGAGGGGAAATAATATGAGGATATTTGTCTCCCATGTGAAGTCTCACCAAAGAGTGACCTCAGTACGGAAGGATTTTACTAATAAAGTGACTAGGCTGACCTTTCCTGTGGATGTCAGCCAGCCTCTTTCATAGCCACTCTTGTCTTTGCTCACTGGGCTCATGAATAAAGTGGACATGGTGAGAATAGAGGTTACGCATGGGCTCAGAAACATGGGCTACCATTCACCAAGGCTGATTTGACTATTGCCGCTGTGAGGTTGCTAATTTTCCAGCAGCAGAGACCGACACTCTGTCTCCAATATGGCACATTTCCCTGAGATGATCAGCCAGCTTTCTGGTGGCAGACTGATTGTATTGAAAGCTTCCATTATGGAATGGGCAGAATTTTTTTTCTTCCTGAAATAAATACTTATTCTATAAGGATTTGTCTTAACTGTATACATCTGCAAAAACTATCATCTACAAACTTATTGAATGTCTAGGTTGCTACCACGGTATTCCATGTAACATTCCTTTTCACCAAAGAACTCATTTCGTAGTAAATAAAGTATAGCAACAGGCCCATGCACATGGAATTCACTGGTCTTACCATGTTCAGGATGCACCATTCTGAAGCAGCTGCCTTGATTGATTAGTAGAATGGCCTTTTGAAGATTCAGTTACGGCATGAGTTAGGTAGCCACACCTTATAGGACTGGGACAATGTCTCCCAGTATATAGTACATGCTCTCAATTAACATTAAATAAATTGAGGCATTTTCCCAATAACCAGCATTTATCATCCAGGAATCAAAAGGTGGAAATGGGAGTGGCTCCTTATTACCCACCAATAATCCACTAGCAAAATTTTTTTTGCTTCTTGTCTTGGCAATCTTAGATTCTTTTCGCCTAGAGGTTTTAATTTCAAATGGATAAATGCTTCTACTAGGAGACAAAACAATGATTTTATTGGAAATTCAAACTACCATCAGCCCTATTTGGGCTACTTATGAGTTTGAATCTACAAGCCAAGAAGGGGGTTACTATATTGGTTTGAGTGATTGATCCTGATTGCCAAAGGGAAATACAACTGCTACTTCATAATGGATGTAAGGAAGAGTATGTCTGGAGTACAATAGATCTCTTAGGGCATCTCTTAGTTCTACCACGTCCTATGATTACAGTTAATTGAAAAGTACAGCAACCCAATTCAGACCAGACTATTAAAATCTCAAGTCGTTCAGGAATGGAAGTTGGGGTCAACCCACCAAGCAAAGAACCACAACCAGCTAAGCTTCTTGCTGAAGATAAAGAGGATATGGAATGGGAATAGAAAGAAGGTAGTTTTACTACTAGTGGTACCAACTATGATCATGTGACCAGTTGCAGAAGTGAGGACAGTAATATTTATTATGTTTTTCTTATTTTGTCATGAATATATTTGTATACATATAAATCAAACATTTTTATTTTTCCCTCTTATCCTCTTATTATCTAACATAAGATCTGCTGATGATAGATATCTTTATATCTTAGTACTTAACTTTAGGGTATCAAAGAAGAGGAGCGAACATCCCCAAGGACTTTTCCTTCTCTTTGGAGGAAAGAATTAGCAAGTTTTTGGTGGAATGCAAAATAGTTGTCCTATATTAAGTAGAAGTATGACTTCATTGTTGTCTTTATTTGGAGATTAAATAAGGTTTAAACAGACATTTATGGGTGCCAAGTTGATAAAAGTTAGATTGTGATGGTCAGTTCTATGTGTCAGCCTGGCTAATCTACAGTAGTCATTTATTCAATTAAACACCAATCGAAGTTTTGTTGTGAAGAATTTTGTACATGTGATTAAAGCCCATAACCAGTTAACTTTAAGTAAATGACATTAAGTAAAAGAAATTATAAGATGTGGACCTGATTCAACCAATTGGAATGTCTTCAGATCAGAACTGAGGCTTCTCTGAAGAAGAAATTCCACCTGCAAAAATCAGCTTCAGCCCATGCCTGATAGCTCTATCCTGCCCTTCCTGACATCCTCCTCTACAGATTTCAGACTTGCTTAGCCAGGACCACAATCACATAAACCAATTCTTTGGAAAACAACATATAATGTATATCCCCTACTGGTTCTGCTTCTCTATTGAATCCTAACAACACTATTTTTCCTAAATGTAGAAAATACACTAAAATCACATCACTTTCATATCACAAGCTGAATTAAATCCCTCTTCCAGTCCTCCTTCCTTATTCACTGATCAACAAACAGAGCTTGTATCATGGATGCATCTTATATATTTGATTTTAGGGAAATTAGAGAGTATTATTGCTGAATATAAACTACAGAAGTATAGCAGTAATATTTTTGAAAGGAGCAAACCAATAAATAAAATTATGTCTAGACCAAATTTGTAAATAGCTATGCAGTTAACAGGACAATATGGGGAGATTTTTCCTGTAAAAGGAAATTAACAAAAACTATTGATAAGCTGGACTTCCTTAAAGTGACAAACTTCTGCTCTACAAAAGACACTGTCAAAAGAATGAGAAGTCAAGTCACAGACTGAGAGAAAACACTGGCAAAAGACATATTTTGTAGAGGACAGTTATCCAAAATATACAAAGAACTCTTAAAGCTCAACAATAAGAAAATGAATGACCCCATTTTAAAATGGGCAGAAGACCAGATCAGATACATTAAAGAAGATATACAGATAGCAAATTAAAGAAGATATACAGATAGCAAATAAGCATATGAAAAGGTATTCAACATCATATGTTATTAGGGCATTGCAAATTAAAATAACAATGACACACCATTATACATCTATTGGAATGGCCAAAATCCAAAATACTGACAACACCAAATGCTAGCAAGCATATGGAGAAATAGGAAATCTCATTTATTGCTGGTGAAAACTCAAAATAGTACAAACACTTTGGAAGACAGTTTGACAGTTTTTTACAAAACTAAACATACTCTTACCATTTGTTGGCAGTAATTGCATTCCTGGGTATTTTTGTTCACACAAAATTGACATTTATGTCTACACAGAAACCTGAACATAGCAGCTTCATTCATGATTGGCCAAACTTGAGAAGCAACCAATATGTCATCCAGTAGGTGAGTGGATATAGTCTTTGATACATCCAGACAATGAGACATTATTTAACACTAAAAAGAAATGAGCTATCAAGCATGAAAAGACGTGGAGAAAACTCAAATGCATAATACTAAATGAAATAAGCCAAAATGAAAGCACTATGTACTATGTGATTCCAACTATATGACATTCTGTAAAAGGCAAAATTATAGGCAGTGGTTGCCAATGTTTAGAAGAGAGGGAGTGATAAATAGGCAGAGCCCAGAGGATTTTTAGAGCAGTGAAACTATTCTGTATGGTATTATAACGGTGGATACATGTCATCATATACTTGCTAAAACCCACAGCATGTACAATACCAAGAGTGAGACCTAATGAAAACTATGGACTTTGAGTGATAATAATGTGTCAATGTGGGTTCTTCTAGGAAAAAAAAAAATATTGCTCTCGTGGCGGATGTTGATAGTGGGATAGTTGTGCATTTGTGGTATCAAAGGGTATATGTGAAATGTCTGTACTTCCTGTTTACTTTTGCTATGAACCAGAAACTGTTCTGAAAAGTAAAGTGTATTTTAAAAAAAATAAATTTTTGAGATTTTGCCACCATTACTAAAAAAAAAAATCTAAGAGCATTAAAAAAAATAACTATTGTCAAATCATTAAACTTGGGTGAGAAGAGAAGTTTTTTTTCTAATAATACAACCTCTTGAATTAAGTAAATTGGGAAAATTCAAATTTGCCTAAATTCGCATCAACTAAATCTTCATTACTAAGTTTTCTTATCGTAATACAATGAATTATTTAATTTTTACAAACTGGAGATAGAAAATTATTTAAAATGTATACTAGATAAATCATTTATAACTGCACAATCACAAACCATGACCAACCTAATACAAATGTGCTCTATTAAGAGTATCTTATATTGTGATTTCATTATATGTTAAATTACCGCATTAAAATTGCTTAGCTAACATAATAAGATGATGTTAATATATAGTAAAACATATTAAACTATCTAAAGGAATGCGGAAGGAAAAGATATTTTTATAAAGTATCCATCTTATTTACCTTGGATTATATTTTAGTATAAGCAAAATTTTAGTGAAGAAATTTGCAATGCTGAAAGATAGTGACATTTACAATAAAATGAATCTTTGCTTGGATAGAGAGAGTATTGAATGTTTTGGTTTAATAATCACAGTGCCAAAGAACTGATTATTTCTCTACCAAAAAACAAAACAAAACAAAACAGGCCTACTAGTATGAAAGGTGTCAGCAGGGAACTGAACATTAGCTCAACATATATGAGACAGTTCATTGCAGCTTCAAGCTAAATATAACAGAGTCTGTTATTTTTTACACTTCTCAAATTTATACCATTTCTAAAATAATCCATATCTTGACTCACTACATCAGGGACCTCCAGCCCACATACATATTTATTGGATTCATTTTTCATTCTCCATATTGAGTCAGACTGTCTTGTGGATCTCTGATATTCATCTCTTCCTGTTCTTTTCAATGGTCACAAGCTTGTCCCAGCTCTAAGGCCACAAACATGCCTGGATTAGTAAAAATAACAAAAGCATCAGCCTCCACTTAACACTTTCCTGTACTCCTAACAATCATATGTACAATAGCAGCAGTAACTTTTATTAAGCAATAATGAGCCCCTAAATCTGACAGAATAGGAAAAAAGATACATTACAATCAAAATTCTTTGGACAGAGGTAAGCAAACCTATTTCAACAAAAATGTCCAAGATATAAAGTTTGTCCTGGAGCCACTCACGGTTCCCTTCAAAGCTTTGTTACACATCTTTGATACCTTTGCTCTTCACTACAAGTAATCAGAATTTCATCAGCTCCACTCTATGTTTCCAAAATATCCTTTTCCTCCAGAAAATCACACATTTAAGTCCCTTTTTAAAAAAATAAAAAATTTCTTCTTTTTTCAGTTCACATACTTAAATGGTGAAAAACAATTTAGGATATGAAATATTTCATTTATTCATATCTGATAAGAGTTCAATATGTTAGCACCTTCATTTCAACATAACACTACATTTATCCAAGAATAAATGTCATGGGGAACTCTCAGAGAGAATGATATTTGGGTCAACATATTGGTTTTGTATATAGGGGTTTTCATTATGCTAAACAATAGCTCATGTTTTATAATATTGACAGAAGAAAGTATTTTTGCTCTTTTTCTCAAATCTCAATTAATTGTGAATCTCTTAATTATAAGCTGGGTAATTATAAGCTGGGTCGACTGTTATCATAACGGTGTGTGCAAGGTAATCCATGGAAACATAAGCAAAATATACTGCCTTCTTGTTCTAGTTAACAAGTACTAAATTACAGACCTCCTCAAACTTGCTGTAAAACAATATTTTTTTGCTGTGAAACAAAACAATATTGTGCTGTAAAACAGTAACAATAACTTTTCTAGCTCATGCATGTGCAATTTCGGCAGGGCTTGATGAGGACAGCTTGTCTCCACTCTGCACAGCATCAGCTGGGGAATGCAGCTGAAGACTAGATGCATCTGAAGGATTCCTCACTCACATGCTTGACAATTGATTTTGTCTCTCAGCTGAGGCTGTCAGCAAGAATAACTACACATGGCCTCCCAGCATGGTGGCTGGGATCAAAAAGGAAGCATCGAGACAGAGAGAGAGAGAGAGAAAGAGAGAGAGAGAGAAGCTAGGAGAAATCTATATTCCCTTGGAAGTCACTTCCTGACTACTCTGTAGGGTGAAACAGTCAATAAGCTCTACTGGAAACCCCATCTCAACTAAAAATAAAAAAATTCACCAGACGTGGTGGTGCATGCCTATAATCCCAGCTACTCAGGAGGCTGAGGCAGGGGAATTGCTTGAACTCAGGAGGTGGATGTTGCAGTGAGCCAAGATGGTGCCACCCTGCACTCCAGCCTGGGCGACAGAGCGAGATTCTGTCTCAAAATAAATTTAAAAATGCTCTTTGCGAATAAGCTAAAGACTAAGATTTATGCTAATAACAAAACATATGTGAACAGTGAGAAAATAGGAGCTGGCGCTTTCCCTTCTCTCCCAGGAAGTTCTAATTTGACCAGAAGACAAGATAAAAATCTAATCATATCAGAAAAAAAGCTGCCCAAATATTTTTTAAATTACCAAGAAAGCCATTTGAAATATTTAGAAAAGGATACTCCTCTAAGTTTATATTGTTCATTGAGATGTTAGTAAATTATATGAACCTATAATGATTTATAAACATTTAAAATTTAAGCAAACAGAATATGAAGACAAAGCTTTAAGGTCATATAATATTCATACTAGTAATTTATTTAACATCACTAAATACGATGATAAAAGACCTTCTTAGAAGCCAGTTCCAAGGCTTTTAATATATTAGTACAATATTCATGTGAGAATAAATATATAGAGATATGTATAAAAATTTAAAATATATAAACATGTACCATTATGTGTTCAAATATGTATATTGTTAACCTGTATAATGTATATATAAATATATATACAATGTAGAAATTTATGTAAACTCTCTAAATATGTATGAACAAATATTTGTGAGAATCATATATATTTCTTTAGCTTTTTTTTTTTTAGGTTTTGTCTCCTTGAAAGCACATCTCCATGAAAAACCCTGACAATCACACAAAAAAAAGAACTACGCTTCATGGAGGGAGAAAAGCCACGGGGAGATTTCTCATTAGTCACCTGCATGAATCCTCTTGAAGCTTCCAGCACAGCCCAGCTACCAGCTGAATGCAACAGAGTAAATGACCCCAGTTGAAGCCACATAAAGCAGAAGCATTGCCCAAAGGAGCGCCATCTGAATTTTACACTCATGCATTTTAGCCAAATGAAATGAAATGATGATTGGTTTTTTAGCCCCTTATTTTGTTAAGCAGCAATAGATCGTTGAAATGATGAGTATTTGTATGTAGATCCTATTTTGTGATTTGGCCTCTGAAGAAAAGTTTTTTGACCCATTCCTTAGAACCTGCTTGGTTTCATGAATTGTTACTGTCTTTCAAAAACTCAGAAATATGTGGTGTTCAAATATTCAAAAAGGATAAAACTTGCATAATTTATTTTAAAATGATATATATATAATAGCTTGCAAAATTACATATATATGTTTTTAAGCTGATACTTGAATAATCTTTCTTGGAACAGGCAGGATAAATTAGAAGACCTGCCAAAATACTATCCAGTCTTATAAGTCTATAAAATATTTGTGAACATAACCAAAATGTTCTACATTTATACAGAAATGAGAAAATGTATGTTTCTTGAAAATCACATGCTTTATCCTGCAATAGCTACTTATTAGTTCTGTGACCTTGAGCAAAGTACTTAACCTTTCTGGTCCTCTGTTTCTCCACCTTCAAAATGGGGATGATAACAAAGGATTATTTTTAGAATTATGCAAATAAATTTATGTACAGTGTCTAGCACATTTTACATTCTTTATAAATGTTAGCTATAATTATTTATCGTAGGTACTTATGTAGGTCAATTCTCTAACATATGAATCTTTTATATTACCCACAGTGCATCTTCTGACTATAACTGCTAATACAATTTAATCTCAAATAGCTTCACTTACTGTACATATTTCATTCTGCATAAAATGTATGACTGTTCACAAACATTCATATTTGAATATGATCTATATGTTGACTATATAGTAGTAATATATGTATTACTGAAGAATCCCACATTCAGCTCCAATATTTTAGTTAATTGAAAAATGTCTTAGGTTATCAAATCTTACATTTTAATGAAAATGGACTTCTTTAATAATGTGCATTAAAAAGTAAACAATGTAGTTATGTTTTGATATAGCATATTTGGCATAAAAGTTTAAAGTCATACAAAAAATAATTTAAGGCCATTAGGGTATTTCAAGACTAAATTGCCCAACAAATTATCTTACGTGAAAAACTCTAAAATGCCAGGTGTCATATTAAAGTTAAACTGAAATTTTACAGAGGCTACAGATTTTAATTAGTAAAGATATGATATAAAAATTATTTCATAAAAAATTGTTATTCATGTTATAACTTTTATTTAAATACTAAGAAGGAAATTAGCCAGGCATGGTGGTGCACACCTGTAGTCCCAGCTACTCAGGAGTCTGAGGCAGGAGAATCGCTTGAACCTGGGAGGCAGAAGTTGCAGTGAGCTGAGATCGCACCACCCCACTCCAGCCTGGGCAACAGAGCGACACTCTGTCTCACAAATAAATAAATAAATATTAAAAAGAGCTTGGCCCTCAGCCAGAATATTTTTTGTTTTATTTTGGAATTCTCATTTATATGTTACCATTACAGAAATAAATAATTTTAGAAAATAATTATCTCCCTAAGTTAGAAGATGATTGACTGTTGCCAATATGTTCAAGGAGTTTGAAGCATATAACTAAGAATTAGGATAAACCCAAGCAAACAAAGCACCTAGAAAAAAAATGTACCAAAACAAATTGTTGTGTTGATGTGTGTGTGTGTGTTTAATTCACTTCTAGGTTTTTTGTATTCTTGATATTGTTTCACATTGCAGTTAATAAAAGTGAACTGTTAAATGTACAGTAGAAAAACACCAACCATATTATTTTGATCTTGTGAACAAAGATATACTTGACATTGTAAATGTTTCAGTGACAAAAGTTGATGTTTTATCTATAAGTATACTTCTTAGAAGCCAGGGATGTACAATAGCCATAAAACAACTCTGTAGGAAGTGTGTAGAATTGTTTTCCTTAATTCTCCATCCTTATGAAAGTCATAAAATCCTTAGAGGGGATTTGTCTATTAGAGACAATAATTTCTACCCACCACACTCTAACAAGTTTAAAATTTTTACAGAGATTTGCTGTGTTCAGATTGCTGCCGAGAACTTAAACTCCTCCTAATAATATATCATAACAATGGTAGAAAGATTTTTAATATAAACACACACTAAGACAATGGACAGGAAGACCTGAAAGATATCAGTGTAATTTTAGACTATAAAAAGCATACATATCTTTAAAAATTGATGATCGAATTCCTGAAGATGACATGAAAAGCAGGCCAATATATACACTGTAATATTCTGAAAGGGCTAAGGAACTGATGGCACGAAATACTGTGGAAAATGGCATTGAAGCAGGGGTTGAAATCAGGAATAGTGTTGAAAAGTCTGTATAAGGAGCAGTGAAACCCTTGATCCTTTCTCAGATTCAGCACCGCCATGTAATCACTCCTCTACTAAGCAGGAAACTAAATGTTTCATTTACAGAGAAATTGAAGCACAGGGGTCCCAGACCACGGAAACCAAGCACTGTAAAGAAAGCAGAAGAGGGTCCTACTGGAAATTCGACCAGACACAGTAGCCCGTCCCATGAATAGTGGGAGTCAGACTTACACTTTCTAGGCAAGACATTGGAAGATGCTTTTCTGGTGAAACTGACTATCCCCAGAGAAAAGGAAACACAAGTACTCCTGTTGAGGGGTCCGTAAATAAAATAATCAAATTGTGTCTCAAGCACTCTAAAGTGAAGCCTTCCATTTACAAAAAGTTTCTACCAAAATTTTAGTGTCTCTATTTTAGTTATGAACAAAAATACACAAAGGATTTGATAAAAGAAAAGAAAAACAGAAAAAGAAGCCCAGAGAAAACAGAGACAATGTGGGAGTAAAAAATTTTGAAAAGCTTTGGCAAAAATCCAAAAAAATTAATACATTAATGTATTTGTAATACATTAGATCAATACATTAGATCAGTCAAGATGCTGGCAAAAAAATATGGTACACACAAAATGTGACACTAAGGAAACTCCAATGATGGCACTTATCTACCAGTTTTGAACATTAAGAGCAACTAACAAGAGATGCTAAAGCATCCCTGGCCTAGAAAAGGCATGGAATTTTGATCACCCCTAGGTCTGAAGAGGTTGGGAAAACATATTTATCAAGAACTATGAGAGTTGTAAATATAAAAGAGGGCCTCCAGACACAAGCTGTGTCCTTTGAGAGAGAAAACAATTTACTGCCAATCCACAGCCTGACTGGAGGAAGTGAGGAGAATAAATACTCTCCTGTATGTCTCTGTCCGTCCTCTGATCTCCTGTCCATGACCCCCTGTATTAAATCTCAACCAGATGCCAGAGGACAAGGGAGCTCTAGTGATGCAACCCATATGACTCAGACCACAGGGCTCAGCTAGGATCACAAAGGAGGGGAAGAAGGATAGAGAGTGAATCTTATGGGATAAACAGAGAACATCCTGAACAGAGAATAACAGAAGATGAAAACACATCCATAAAACCAAAAGAGAATGATATTTTAAAAAGAATGGGCTACCAGAATCTAATAGTAGATACATAAAAATTAAAATATGTATCATATATTTATTTGTGTATATATTAAACACGCTATGTATATAATCATTGGAAAGTCTTTACATTTGGAAGATAACATTTGGGAAATTTCAAAGACAGTTGAGCAAAAAGATAAGTGACGTGAAATAGGCAACAACAGATTACAAATTTGAAGATTATCTAGGAGGTCCCCATCCAATATTAGGAATTCCAGCAAGACAAAGAATAAAAGAGTGGGAGAAATAAAAAAAAATCTGTCAGAATTGAAAGAAATAAGTCTAGACATTGACAGTGTCAAATACATGCTGAGGAGGATTAACATTAAAGACCCCTCCCTCATCTAAAATATTAAAATAGCACAATTACTGAATTCCAATGATAATGAGTAAATCCTAAAGGTTTTCGTTCACCAAAAGCCAGTTCTGTAAAATGGAATATAAATGAGAGTGGCCTTTGAAATTCCCAATGGCTCCTCAGGACACCAGAAGACCATAGCGAAGGCCTTCAATGTTCTAAGAGAAAATAATATTCAACTTAGATTCCTAAAGTCAGCCCAATTTACAATTCAAGTTTTGAGGTGAAAATAGAGATATTTTGATACGTGCAAGTGCTCAGAAAGTTCAAAATTCACAAATTATCTCCAATGGAAGACTCTTTAGAAGTCCACATGAAATGACACTCTCATGTTTTTCTCCAACTTCTGATTGTTCCTTCTCTTTCTTTGCAGGCTAATCTTTCCTTATGTAAACATTAACATATGCTGTTGGGTGTGTGTGTGTGTGTGTGTGTGTATAATCTTTTCCTTTTATTTCTTCACTAAAGATGTATCTGTTCACATACACATGCATACATATGCACATATGCACTAATATAAACATATACTGATATCTATATATAACAAAAAAATCTTAAATTTAGATTTTTTAATTTGAAAGTATTTCTGAAGAGATGTTATTAATAGTATTTTAAAAGTCTGGTCTTATTTTTATATTAGTTTGCCATGTGAAATAAATATGTCGAACCAAAATCTTTCTAATCCATATATCAAGAATTAGAAGTTGATGTGTTCCACTTCCAAAAGTAAACTTTTTCAAGCTATAAAGTGTTTCAAAGGTTGTCAGCCCTCTTTCAGAAACTACTTCCTCATTGTTAATGTTTGAATGGTAACAATGCCTACATCATAGGCTGATTTGGAGGCTTAAATGCAATCATGTAAGGTAAAGTGACTAGATATAATAGGTGCTCTAAAAATGTAATTGTTTTCACTTTGGCTTGCACTATTTCTTACCTCAGTCTAAGCTTCAATAGAAAAGATGAGAACTTAAGTTAGGAAATGAAAATTCAAAAGAGAAGAAGGTTCTAACTAAAGAAAGTGGAAAAATGAAAAGAAGTCAAAATTACTCGGGTTTGGGGTCATAGGGTTATTTTATTAGCTGTCGTGTATAGAATTTGAGGGGTAGAACGTGAATTTAAAAAAATTTCCTCTGTTTTGTGAGATATAATTCTCCTTAACTGAGTTTTAAAGATTACCTCAGGCTTTTTCTTAGGCTTGAGTTGAATTTGTGAGTGTTTTGAATGTACAAAACTACTGATATTTATCTTGAAGCAAGAGCAAGAAAACTAAATTTTATTCATATTGCAGAAGAAACCACTGCAAATAAGCTTATTGTACGTAGTTACTGCCTTCATTAGTGGCCCATTCTAAAAGACTTTTCCTAATCACTGTTTGACCATAAATAACCCCGCTTGCCTTTTTGCCTTATGTGTGTGTCATATGTTATGGCCTGTGTTTAGATGTCTTCACTCTCTTTTACTTTGGTGGCGTTGAGAAAACTTATCCTTTTAATACGCATTGATACTTCAGAGTCACCTCTCATAGATGGCACTTACGATAAATTAAATCCATTTTCTTTATTTTACAGATGAGAAATCCTAACCCAAATAAGTGAATTTAATTTGTCAAGGTCAAACAGCTAGCAACTGGCAAAAGACTTACAGCTCACGTCTCCTGAACCTAGCTCAGCCTGTAATAAAAACATCTCACCTTGTGTTTTTCTGAAGAATCAAAGATTTGTTAAGTAATTTAAATATAATTATATCTGTAGAATTAAGCCAAAATAACATCTTTGTTTTCTCCAATAACATTTTTTCAACATATACCTCTGACTACTCTGCCTCAGTCCTTGGGGAAATTATACATGCTTTCTTGACTTAAAATCCAAGCTCATTGCTGAATAAAACCATTGCAGCATAAAACTTGGAATTTGACAAGCATTTCCAAATAGAAATATCCACTGTAGCCAGAGTCCCTCTAACTTAAACTTATTTTGAATATTCTTTGTCGCTTCTATTATGATTTCAATTATCCATACATACCTATCTTTTGAAAAAATTATAGTTGTATAATGCCATGAGGGACAAATTTATGAAAACCATTAATTTTCCTATTTGCAAAAGTCTGTTGGCTTCACGTCAGGATTCCGTTGTGAGAGCTGTTTGAACTGCTAGCTAGCTGTTAGAACTCATTGTCATGTCACTGAAGCAAAGCTGTCCTAAATGAAGACAAAGTAGAAACATTACTCCTGTCAAATGAAGTCACCGGGATCTGACAGAAGCTGTTATTGCCTTAGCACCAAATTTCAAAGTCTTCTATGCATGATCTGTTTCATTAAAGGAACCTACTCTCATGGAATTTACTGTATTTTCATAACAATGAAAAAGTAATTTGTTGTATTCACCTATGTACAATGATGGATTAACAGTCTGAATCCTGAAGATATCATCATCAGCGACATTGTCATTGATGCCAGTGTGATGAGCTCAATAACCCTAGCAGTTTAGTCACAAAAGCACCATTATGGTATTTTCTGTGAGGAAAAAAACAAATAGTGACCTTACAAAAAAAAAAATCTCTCCCTTATAAGAGAAAACTTGGAAACTTTTATTGTCATTGATTCAAATAAAAAATGGAGGTAATTTGAAATAGATTACTTGAAACTTTCATGAATAGTTGCCAAACATTTAATCTGAGAAAAATTTTATTAAAATATAATGATATGTGATATAATAAGATATGAGCATTTTCAAGATAATTTATTTTTTCTCTTTAAAAAACTAATTAACATAGAATATGTTTAACATTTAAGGGTGAAATGTTTTCTGGTTCTTAAATTCCAAGTCTAAGCAAATATTCATTAATTTAATGATTATATATATTTTAACAGATTACTTTTTTATCAAAAAAAGTTTTATATTTTTATGTAATCCAAAAATGTCTGTATTTTTATTGTGATTTTTGTCTCTCATTTCATGTTTATAAAGATCAAGTCTATGTGATTATATAAATATTTACCTGTATTTTTTGTTAATGGTTTTTAGGTTGAATTTTTTTAGTATTCATGAATTTATTTCATCTGAAATTGTTGTTCATGTATTTCATCATTAGAGTAACAGATTTAATCAATTATTTTTCCCAAGTGGTGATCCAGAGTACCCCAGGACATTTATTGAATAATTCATTCTTTCTCAACTTTTGTAAGATGCTACTTTTATGATTAACTAATATGTTATACATTCCGGGAAAAGATTTTGGACTTTCTGTTCTGTGATTGATCTATGTAATAATGTATAAATATCACAATAATTATAATGGCATTATAGTATATTTTAAAATCTATGATTAGAAGCTTTTCTTGATTACTCTTTTTTAAGCTCATGCCTTTTTCCAAATAAACTTCACAATTACGGTGAGTACAGTTCTTTTAAAAAAAACCTTTTTTGCTTATATTTAGAAATATTTATTAAGTATTCCAGTAGATAAATGCTTTATGCCTCTCCTATTAAAATCCTCTCTTTTACTCTGGCTAAGAATTTTGAACAGTTTTGCACTGCTTAGTATACTTTTGCTTAAAATTTTTTCATGGTATTATATTTATTATTTATTAAATTCTTTTTGTTTTATTATTAGGTTGCTTTTTATATTTTTTTTACTTTCCATTTTACTTTTAAGAGATTGCTTCTCAAATAGTAAGATATTAATTTCATATATTTGTTTTAACATGCTGAACTCAACATTTTAAAGTGTTCTAGTGATTCTCTTGGGTTTTCTTGCTAGGTAAGTATATAATCTGTTGCTAATGATACTTTGATTTTTTTCTCAAACTTATGACTAAGTTATTTTTTGGTCTTATTCCTTTACCCAACATTTCTGGAATAATGTTAAATAAGAATGGTGAAATGAGCAGATATATCTTTTTCCTATAGGTTTTTTTATAGACAGATATGTAGATAGATATTATAGTTGTGTGAGGTAAACTAAAGTAATATTTTATTATCCCCTTCAACAAAAGGAAGTACCTGCTTTAGTCATCTATGACTCTGGAAAACAGCATTATATTTCTTATATATTAAATGTTCAAAAATAATTATTAAATAAACAAATAAGTAAATACAAAGTAAAGCAAATTAGAAACAAATCCATAATGAGTGCACTTCATAACAAGTACCTGTTTTATCTGAAGCTACATTTTTTTGTTATGCCTTAAGTATTTTCCTAAGAGTGTTCTAGCTGCCTTCCTTGCTGTTTATCAAATTCTTTCTCATGGTTCTGAGATCTGCTCCCAAAGACCATTCTCAAAGCTGGAAGCCTGACACTATTCCAGGCTTCCCCCACATTGAATGCCCACTTGAGCAATGCATCACTGTTTTTAAGGTACTATCTATGATAAACACATTTGCTGGTATCCCACACAAATGAAGTAACCTCCTTTCTCTGATAACTGCCCCTAGCTGTCGTAACTGTGCTCTGTGTCCCTCACCAACTTGCTTCTGTCAGTTGGACCAGAAGTAGACACCAGACCAAAGCCAAACAGCTGGGATCCTGAATGGGGAAGATATAAACTTGAAAGCTAAAGAATATACTCTACATGACATATCTCATGGAGTAAGAAGTTGAGGAACTAGTTTGAGAGAGAATGAAGCAAAAAGAAAGAAATTAGAGGAGAATTAGAGAATTTTCCCAGGATATATGGTTTGTTTTTATTTTTTGATATTTTATTTTTTCACATCCTGATGGCTTCATTTTGTCTCTCAGTTTTCTTAAAATAACTTTTTAATGTTTATATAATATCTCCTCTTTTTTATTAGCTAGTTTTTGCTTGCTTCTGTGACTTCTGACCAAAGTATCTTCATGATGACACTATCAATATATATCTCCTCTATTTTGAGAAACTTAATTGTCTCTCTGAAGACACTGCTGAGAGCTTTATATTTATTGATTCAGCAATTGCAATTGGGTACAATATATCTGGAGCCAGACTGTGTAGGTTTGAATGCCTTCTGTATCATTTACTAGTCTTGAGTCTTTGGTCAAATGCCTAACTTTTCCATGTCTTGTTTTCTTCATCTGTATAATAGCAAGGATAATAGTACCTACTTCACAGAGAATGAAAATTCAAGCAGGCAGTATTTGTAAACCACTTAGAAAAGTGTCTTATATATAGTTTGATAAAACATAAGTGTTTTGTAAATAAGAAATTTCATTTTAAAAACTAGCTCACTGAATTGTAAGCACTGATTGTACTTATTGGATGCTTTTTTTTTTTTTCTAGAATAAGATTTCTCTCAACATACATGAGCATCTCAATCCCCGTTCCAATCTACTGTTGCTTTTAAAGGTCGTTATATTCACAACCAATGCAGGAAGCCATTTAAAGGTGCCGCTGCCACCACAGATCTTGCAGTTAACTCCACCCGGACCCACCCTTCGCAACGCAATCCCTGACGCAGACTTCGCTCCAGATCGCCCTGGGCTTGCTTCTCGCGCCCCTGTGCAAGCCCACCTGAAAAAGCTCAGTAGCTTTTCCTGGAATAACTGTGATGAAGGGAAGGACCCTGCGGTGATCAGAGGCGTAACTCTGGAGCCTGACCCCATCATTCTTCCGGAGAACGTGACCCTCAGTCTCCTGGGCAGCACCACTGTCTCCCTGAGTTCTCGTCTGGAGATGGATTTAGTTTTGGAGAAGGAAGTGGCTGGCCCCTGGATCAAGACCCCATGGCAGCTGTACCTTTGAACACTTTTGGGGGTGCCTGCCCAGAGCCCCTACATACCTATGGGCTTCCTTGCCACTATCCCTTCGAAGAAGGAACCTACTCACTGCCCAAGAGCAAATTCACTGTGCCTTACCTGGAGCTGCCCAGCTGGCTCACCACAGGGAACTACGGCATAGAGAGCGTCCTGAGCAGCGGCGGGAAGCGTCTGAGCTGCATCAAGATCGCTGCCTCTGTAAAGGGCATATAGCACGGCATCCATCACAGCCGAATGGAGGGGTGTGAGGAAGATCCCTTTTCCTCTGTCTTGGGTTTGCCAAGGCCAAATTCCCACTCTCTGCCCCACTTTAATCCCCTTTCTACAATGAGTCCGCTACCCTTACTGAAAATCATTTTGTGCCACTTAACATTTTAGGCTGGGGCAAGCCGCCCTGGCCTAAGGGAGGATGAGATGGACAGTTCTTGATAGCCCAGGGCATCTGCTGGGCTGACCACATTATCCATCCCCATTAGACATTCTCTGTAAAGAGCCTCATTCATTTCCAAAGCAGTTGAGGAATGGGAACCAGTGTGTTTTAGGACCTGAAGAATCTTTATGACTTTCTCTCTCTCTCTTCTCACTCTTTTTTTTTTTTTTGTCACTAAGTTAAAGGCAAAGTGAGAGTATTAACGACTTTGTTCTCCTCCAGCCCCCTGTTATAACGAAGAGGAGAAAGGAGTTGCTCTTAGTCTATTCCTCCCTTAATTTCTGCGGCTAATTTTGATTTCCTTTGTAGATTTGCCCAATTAATACTAGTGTGCAGTATATCCTGGAGAGGTAGGGTGTGTGGGGCAGGAATCCCTTGGCAGAGATATTAGGAGTGCTCTGTTGTTTACAAACTCAGGTACTCGCAGGGCTTAGCAAGAGACTTAAATGAGTGACAAGGACTGTGAGAAACATGTTGATTCCAGGCTTGACTTTGATTTTTCCTTTTTGATTAAAGATAATACTACAATGTAAATATTTCTTATACGATAAAGAAAGTCACAGCACATGTGCATTGATACAAGGCTGCTGAGGCCTGGTCTCTAGTTGGAAATATAATTAAGAGTGGCACAGACTGGAGAGTGTATAGCCAGTCTGTGAACTCAACTGCTACCTAGCCATGACCAGTCAGTGTCACATAAGAATACTGTTGGCCCAGTATTGCCAGACAGTTTCAATGTTTATTCCCAGAGTAGCCAAAAATCCAGATTTTTATATGAAATCTTATCATTTTAAAATATTGGCAACTAATTTTTTTTTAAACACTGTGTGGTGTGATGTGTCCCAAACGGAAACATCAGTGGACAGTCTGGCTCATGGGTGGCCACTTCGCAACCTCTGATCTCAGATCGTGCATGTCTTGTGCTCTTAAGACAACTCCTGTGGCACCATTTCTCCTTCCACAGGGCCAAAGCCATAGAGTCTGATCCCAAGGAGAAGGCTCTTCCTCCAGTGCTAGGAGAGGTATGGGCAGCTTCTGAGCTGTGAGCTGTGGGGATCACGAAGCTGCGTGCCCCAGTCCTGGAGTCCTGTCAGGTGAATGAGGCAGTTGGGAAAGAGTTCACCCCACCAGCAGCTGCTTTTGGAGCAGGGGTCCAAGGAAGAGAGGGTGGCCTCCATGTCAGGCCGCCTGGATTTGTCCAGCATCCTGTTATACCATAACAACTTCTGAACCACACAGCAGCCCTGAATTCTGGGCTCATTTGAAGCCTGAATAGCAATAAATCTTTTTAAGTTGCAAATAAATAAATATCGTTATATTTTCTAGGAAAGACAAATTAAAAATAGACCCAAGCAAGGCCGGGCCCAGTGGCTCACGCCTGTAAACCCAGCACTTTGGGAGACCAAGATGGGTGGATTTCCTGAGGTCAGGAGTTTGAGACCAGCCTGGCCAACATGGTGAAACCCTGTCTCTACTAAAAATACAAAAATTAGCCCAGCATGGTGGTGGGCGCCTGTAATCCCAGCTACTCAGGAGGCTGAGGCAGGAGAATTGCTTGAACACAGGAGACGGAGGTTGCAGTGAGCCAACACAGTGCCACTGTACTCCAGCCTCGGCGACAGAGTGAGACTCTATCTCAAAAAAAAAAAAAAAAAAAAGACTCAAGTAGAAGAGAGAAGCAATACCTGGGGCACAAGGAAAATATGATTCTCTGCCATCGAGTTTTCTGTGACCAAATTCCAAAGGAGAAGGCAGCCCACAGGCCAAGTGAATTTAAGAAAAATTCTATTCTAATAACCGTCTCGACCCAGAAGAAGCTTCCAGAAAGCATATCCTTGGCCTAATTTCCTTTCAGTTTTCTTATTCTGCCCTAGCCTCACTTTCCCTCGTTTCTTCTTTTGTTTCCAAATGATCATATGTATGTGGATATATGTGTGTCTGTGTTTAGTTGCATAGAATAGTAGCCCATTATCATTTGATATTTTGTTGCTATTATGAGTGTCCTTTTCTTATTTCTAACTGCAAGCTCTACTTTTGTTCTTTAGTCTTCTTCTTTTCACTTCTTATTTTTCTTCATATTAAATATTTATTTATGTTCTGTTACCAGTCAAAGTCCTGACAGGAAGTAGATGGCAGGGACACTCAAAAAAGATCTGACAAACTGAAAATCGTGACTGAAGAGAGCTGTGTGAAGGGACTATTTACAGAGGTCTGGTTTGAGTTAAGGAAATAAAAAGGAATGGCAATGCAGCCAGAAATAATATAACCTGGGAGTTGATGTCACCCGTGTGACTCAACTACAGGGCAAAGAGAGAGTTATCACTGTAACCCAGTGGGTGGAGGACTGTAGTAAGAAATGCAAACCATGCCTCTCAAGATGTGAAGGCATAGAATAATTGTGGTAAAGATAATAGTACCTATTTCATAGAAAATGAAAATTCAAGCCGACAATATTTGTAAAGCACTTAAATCAGTGCCTTACTCAAACCCTCCTTCATCTTGTTCCCAAATACTTACTGGTGCTCCCTATTGGCCAACTTAAGAAGAGCTCAACATGTATGCTTGGTGTCATGGACCTCTAAAGCCCTCTGCCTGATCACAGGAAAAAGAAAAATATAATATATGCTAGAATATAATAAATATATGTTATATACATATTTATATAATATATATTACATATTAGATTATATATAATATATATGCTGGCTTTGAATGTAATTTCTCAATTTTATACATTCAATTTTTTGTCATTACTTCTAATTTTTGACTAATTTAAAATAATTTTCTTTTATTTATTTTTAAATTATTAAATTTGCCACTCTAAACTGTTTTTAATCTTAAATTTATTTTTATATGTATTATATTTGTTACTTTATTATTTATTTATTTATTTATTTATTTTTATTTATTTTTGAGACAGAGTCTCACTCTGTTGCCCAGGCTGGAGTGCAGTGGCTCGATCTCAGCTCACTGCAGCCTCTACCTCCCAGGTTCAAGCAATTCTCCTGCCTCAGCCTCCTGTGTAGCTGGGACTACAGGTGCGCACTGCCATGCCCGGCTGATTTTTGTATTTATAGTAGAGACGAGGTTTCACTGTGTTGGCCAGGGTGGTCTCAAACTCCTGACCTCAGGTGAATCCCCCCACCTTGGCCTCCCAAAGTGCTGGAATTACAGGCATGAGCCACCGGGCCTGGCCTGTTACTTTACTCTTAAACTTTGAGTCATAAGCATTTCACTTCATGTTATAATTTATTGTAATTTATTCTTTCTTTTACTCTATTCTCTTTTACTTCAGTTATGAGTAGTTTACATAGTAGTGCCCAGGTATATAGTGGCAAAAAACAAAAGTGGCATAAACAGAAGTAATTTCAGACCCCCTGCCTCGCTATCTCTACTAATTTATCCCACAGACAGTGCATCCCCTGGGCCTATGATGGTTAGGTCATAAAGCTACCTGCTCTAAGATATAAATACAACATAATCTAAAAGAAGCAAAAATTCCAACATACCCCTTTTTACCTAGGGAATTTGGGGACGACAACAGAATTATGAGAAGCAGAGATACCTTAATTCAACAGTGCCTGGACCAACTTTTGACAGATCACAGTATCAAGAAGAGATGTGTCTAAGGCAAGTTAGAGAGAATGATGAGGGTAGAATGCATTTGGTCCCAGTGGGGAAACGGAATTAAAAGGGTCTCACATTTGGGACTGTGGGAGTACATACCTAAGCAAGATTATCTCATTTCAAAATAAGGTAGCCTTATTCAAATAATAAGGTTGAAACTTTATAGGTAAATAGACGGCCACAGTTTTTACTCCCAAGACTTTGTTAGTGCTCACGTGTTAGAAAGGCACCCAAAGTTTTCCACGCTTTTCAGAAAGGTGAGACTACCAAAAGTGAGGATTGCATGGAAAAACACCAAGGCAAAACGTGAGGTGAATCACTTCAGGCAAGAGTTGGGTAAAGGATTGTGATAATGTGATGTAATAAGAAATATAGATTTAGTCTTTGTCTCCAGTTTCTGGTACAGAGCTTCTAAAACCTTTGGAATTTCCTGAGTAATAAGCATGATAGGTGCATCTTTGGTTATAATATTTGGTATTAGGCCCCAGCTTCTAAGACCCTCAGAATCTCCAAAGTGATGAATGTCTTTGTATGCTAATGAGATGACTGGTGTCTGGAGGCCCCTAGATAGCTTCAGGATGGAGGCTGGCCACCAGAAAGAAAGGCATGATTATAGGATTGAAATTTTCAGGTCTACTCTCAACCTGTAGGGAGAGAAGGGGTGCTGGATGGATATTGAGTTTATCACCAATGGCAAATGATATAATCAATCATGCATACATGATAGAACCTCCATAAAAACCCTAATTGACAGAGTTCAGAGAATATTTGGTTAGTGAATACCTCCAGGCACCAATAAAGTGTGAAAAGGTGCATGGAGACTCTGGGCACCCCTCCCCCAGCTTGCCCTATGTATCTCTTCCATTTGGCCGTTCCTGAGTTGTACCCTTATAATATAATGGTAATAGTAAGTGAAGTGCTGTCCTGTGTTCTGTGATCTGTTCTAGCAACTTGTTAAACCTTACGAAGGGGTTGTGGAAACCTCCTGAATTTATAGCTGGTCAGCCAAAAGTTCCAGTAGTCCAGGACTTATGCCTGGCATCTGAAGTGAGGGGCAGTCTTTTGAGATTGAGCACTTAACTTGTGGAATGGAATGTTAATTTCAGGTAACTATTGTCAGACTATTGTAGGATACCCATCTGTTATTAGAGAATTGGTTGGTGTAGGGGTATCTATAAGCCCAGGAGAGAGACCTCAGAAGAAATCAACCCTGATAATACCTTGATCTCAGACTTTAAGCCTCCAGAACTGTGGGAAAATAAATGTTTGTTATTTAAGCCACTCACTCTGTGGTACTATGTTATGGCAGCTCTAGCAAGCAAGTAGATTAATATCAGCTATCATAGTCAATAGCTAGCTTGAAGAAATATATATATATATATATATATATATATATATATATATATATAAAGTAAAGCATACATTTCTCAGTGGATCCTAATGAATGCGCTGCCCAAAACAACACAAGGTCAGGGGTTTGTCTCTTTTCCCCAAATTCACAAATTCTCTACCTTCATATATCTTGATGATATCTTTGTGAAAGAAGTAGGGATGGTGCAATATAGGTCTGAAAGAATGAGCACTTTACCAAAAAGACTATCTACATCAGCAGAAAGTTCATAATTGCAGATCTTAAAATGTACTCCTTTAGCCAGCAGAGTGAAATCTCATGAAGAAAGTCACCTAAATTATTAACAAATAAACTGCCTGTATTTTGCTTGGCTGAGTGTAGGTATAAGCAAATTTGAAACTCTGCTTTAAAAAAAAAATAAACAGAAGAGTCACTTAATAAATTTAGGGGAAGACAACATGAAGAAATGAGCTAATTTTAAGAGCAAACTTTAGGTAAGAACAGGTAGTTGCTCTGGGCACAAAATACAGTAGCAGTAGCAAGCATATTCTTTTTAAAATATATAATTTAATACTACTTGGAAATAAAAATGAATAAATTAGTTACCTCTGCAACAATAGAAGTTAATCTCAAAAGCATTATGATGAACAAAGTAAGCCAGCAAAAAAAAAAAAAAAGATGAGAGCCTACTCTATGATTCCATTTATGTGAAATTCTAGAACCAGCAAAGTTAACCTATAGTGATGGACATCAGGACAATGGCTGCCTATGGTGGATTGGGTATCTGGGGTGATATAAATATTCCACGTCTTGGGAATAGAGATACACCTCTCAGAAACCATTCAGAGATATTTGTCCTGACCAACTGTAGATAGCAGAGTTAACTGACAGCCCCAGCTCCCATCTCTGTTCAATATGAGAATAATCCAATGAGCAATCTTTGCTCAGAGACTCTCCATTAGAAACATTCTCAAACCTCTGCTATGGTATGAAACAGCCACTCAATTCTTTCTTGCTCTCTCCTTTAATCAGTGTCAGGCTATTCCTGCCTACTTCTTCCCTCTTCCTCTTTATAGTTCACAGGTGTTTCCCTCAATAAATCTCTTGCTCATTTAATCCCACTGACATCTGCTTCTCAGATGATACATGGGATTTCGGGTTACACAGTTATACATTTGTCAAAACTCATAGAACTATATACACTTGACATCTGTGTAGAGTATGAGAATTTTACATCTAAAAATAAAAACCTGCATTGCCTTTTTATCTTGAAATCTGCTTGTACGCTCATGAAATATGTCAGTACTAGGTAAGTAATACTTGGCACTATTTCTGGGATAATATTTCAGTGATAGAAACACACAGCTATAGAAAAACAAGTTCATAGTATTCTTAGTTAGTTAGGAAGCAGGCCCATACCGTGACAACACGAGACATCTCAGTTGAAATACTATTTGGTAAGCTAGCTTCACTCACTGGTAGGTGAACTTCCTGGACAGACGCCTACTATCACACAATTTAATCTTTAGCATAGCTTCATAGGTTACAAATTATTACAAATCTTGAAATCCCAGAGTTTCAAGTTGAACTGAGTCTCAAATTGTCACAGTGAAAAGGATACTCAACAAGCTTGATTAAATGTTCCACTGTGTCAGCCAACTAGTCTTCATTTTCCAGTCCTCTTCCCTTTCTTCATGGATAGAGAAAGCAATGCATTACCCTTGTGTTCTAACTCTAAATTCGCTCCTACTTTTAGGGTTATATTTGCATAAACCACATCTGTTTCCTAAAGTTTGCTCTCCCATTGCTTTTGTATAATTTTCCAGAAATTAGATTTCTGGAAAGCTCTTTCACTCTTTCTCATACCTATTGCACATTTGTCCTTTTTTGATGCCTTACTCCCCTATCATGAGTCCTTTTTATGCATATGCCAACATACGTGAATCTGACATTAACGAATGATATGTCTGAGGGTTATTTCCTGTATAACAATTAGCTGGAAATGACAGAGATTTTAGTAAATAGCTTCATTTGCCATTTTTAGTATATAGGTGAAGTAAGCTTTTCCGCACTCATTTCAGGAGAAGGTGCAGATGGGTAGGCTGAGCCTGGTTCAGGGGCTAAAATGACACTGACAGAGAGAAGAAGCAGGTTGTTTTTTTCTTCCTCTAGTAAAAGAAAAAAGTGAAAACATATAGCAAACTCTGACTTAATAATCGTCAAAGATTTATTTATCACCTAGTATGTGCCAGGCACTGTACTAAGTACAGACGGGAATACATAAACAAGACATTTCCTTGACCCTCAAGGAACTCACAGTCTAATGGAGATGACAGACAAAAAACCCAACAGTTACAATAAAATGTAAATGCTCTGAAGAACTCACTGACAGAGCCCCAAGTTGCCCACTGTGAAAGACAAAATGTCCAGGACAACTAAGGAGGTGATAGTTTTCATACTACCGCAAAAGAGAATGTTCAATGAGGAATGTCTCAAAACAGATAAAGTCTGAGATTTTTTTAAAAATTAAAGAGTCAAGAGAAAGGAGTAAGATATGTCTTATCTTTGAAAACACAGAAGGGTGGAGGAGTTACTCTACCACTGCTGCTATCTGGAAACACAGGCCTCAGATAAACTTCAACATTCACACACTTTTGAATGTCTTACAACTTTATCTCCTTTTGATGCCCCATTCCTCTAGGAAACCTAGGGGAGAAGAATCTGGCAGTGTGTTTGTGCTTTGGGAGAATGGAGATAAAGAGCTTCCAAGGAAATCACCCTTGACCTGAGCCTCAGAAAGGAAACAAGCGTGCACTCCCATAAAAAACAGGAAAGGAATATTTCAGGAATATATATATATATATATATATATATATATATATATATATATATATATATATATATATATATATTTTAAGCCAGAAAAATATGGCCAGTGTCATTTAATTTGGAATGGCAGAATTATAGAGTCTGATTCAAGGCATGGCAGAAACTGAGAACCAAAAAGTGCACAAGAACAGAATTAAGGAAAAAAAAAACATTTAAAGGAGTTTGGATTATAAACTGAAGTCATTGAGAAATTATTGGACTCCTAAAGGGGGATGTAATGTGATCACTTTTTTGTATCGCAAGATTACTTAGAAAAAGATGGATAGTGTGAAATAGATAGTGGAATGTCATACCTAAAGACAGAGAGATGAGAAAGGAGACTATCTTAAAAATATGTAGCACGATTGTTGAAAGTCTGAACAAAGATTACACCAGGGAGCACTCCTGACGGACCCTTAACACTTATGTGACAGAATCTCATGATGAATTGTTATTAGAGGGCGGTACACATATATTTTGTGTTTGCTATTTACCTGTTTACCTAGATGAACTAACTACTTGGCCGCTCCTCTAAAACCAGATGTTAACAGTCGTCATGGTATGGATTTTCCTAGAAACTCGATGCAATACTAAGTGCACATTTACATTCTCCCTTCCAATTTTCGTTTTTCTATGCTTTAGTTCTATATTTATCTTCTATTTACCTTTATCTCCTCCTACCCTCACAAACTCCGACTGTCAGCTAGTTTAACGAGCGAATCATCCTGCAAATTACCATATGCACCTGGGTCAGCATTTTCACCTTTCCTGTACTCAGTAAATGGTTAATTAAGAAGCATATGCATACATCATTCTGATTGGTAACCTTGGGTCAGGAAATCAGTGTATCTTAACGACTGACATTCAGAATCTAACATGTAAATTATCTCAATTTACCTTTAAATATGAATATGTGTTGCATATTTAAATATATTTACATAATGAATATTTAATATATTTACATTGAAATTCAGTTGGGAGTGAAATCTGAATGCATAAGTTGCTGACTATTTTATTTTCCTGGCTTGCCTGTCTTTTGAGAATGCTCTATGTCAGTAAAAGTCATTGTAGAAAAATGGCCATCTCTGCAGAAGTTGCAGCATGCTTAACTGGAAAGTGTTCTTATTAAGATCATAGCTATAACTTCCTATTATTGCAAATGTACACATATTTTAGTAAAGAATAAAATAAATTACAATATCAATCATCTTGTAATTCAGTCTGGAGGCAAGAGGCTCAGAAAATGTTACCTGTAACCTCTGCGGACAGATTCCATCATTAGATTAACAATCGCTGAAGCAACCACACATCATTAAAACAGACAAGTGGTGCACCAGGGATGCAGGAATAATAAGCAGAAAAACTTGTAGTGTCACTTCATATAGGAAAACTGTGGACATCTTGTAGATGTGAGATTCTTGTTTGCTTTGGATAAAATATAATCACCACCTCTAGAGATATGATAAGATAAAAGATGAAACAAAGCTATACCCAAAGGATACATCTTCATTTATTTGGTTTGTCTGTACTGAAGGCACAGAATGAACAATGAATGCATTGAAGTTAGTGACTAGACTCTTCATAGGCAGTGGTGCAGAACTGATTTTTTTCACTCATTTGATATAAACATTATGCTGTTATCAACCTCAAAGAGCGTTTGTTTATAAACCTGATTTCCATTGTAGAAAGAAATAGACTGGGCTAAATAATTTGGATTATTTGCAATACATATTTTTCCTTCCCTTTATTACATTTCCATTTCTAAATGGGGATTGCAACACAGATAATGGCATGCTCTCCTATGTAAGCTCAAAAAGTTTTAATTCTCACAGAATTGTTTTGAAAACAACATGCATTTATCTCTAAAGTACTGTGGGGATGTTGCCACTCATTGGATGTGCATTATAGGGAATTAGAATGCACATAATCAGGCTGTTTGAAGCAGAGCACTTTTGAGGTTATCAGAATTTGTCACTTCTAAGGTCTTTCACTCAATTCTCCAATTCACCTAGCCATTCAGAACATGGCTAAATTCTATGAGCATCAAATTATAAAACTGACCAAGTCATATTTTGAAAGGAAAACTTAACATTTTAAATACTCTACTATAAAGTGATACATCACAATAATTGATAAACAGTTGATGATGGCTGGATGTCAGAAAAACCTAGTTTTCATACAAAACTCTGCTACACACCCCGTAACTTAAGCAAATGATTTAACCGTTCTTTTCCTCAATGTCTTTGAAATAAATGTTCCCGACTGGATTGCTAACCTTATTGAAGGTGTCTGCCTTTATGACACTGATGAACATGTTGAAGGGTAGTAATTATGTTGCTTAATACAAGTTTAGAGAGAAGGAACAAAATAAAAATCTAAACAAAATTATTAGTTTGTTATTTTTGACTTTTCAGTTTCCATAAAGCATCTTGATTTTTTAATTTGAAATTCAGTGGCTTAGATTGTTAACTGTTAAGCCAAAATTTCAACTAAAAAACTAAAATGGAGATTATACTTAGTCCTAGTCCTAATTCCAATTCTTTCCTAAATAATTTCATTTCATTTGCATCCTTTTAAACTGGAAAAGAAATTGAGCAGGTTTTTAATAAGAATCAAATTAATTAAAAATTTTTGTTCAAGTGAAGACCAAAGACCAGATAAATGTATGTGAAGTGCAATGTAAATGAAGCAAAGTAGATTTATTTCGAATTTATATTCCAATTATTCATGCTTAAATTAACATTTTGGCTATTCATTTTGCATCTAAAATCTAACTTTACCAAATAATGATTATAATTACATTTTACATTTTTATGGAGAATTCTAAATGCTAATTTTCCATAATAATGCACTCATTAAATGTGTTTTGTTTATAAACACATTTAGGTGCTGTCAGTTTTAATTTGTAAAAAGAAGAAATCTTAGTCATAACACTTAAAAATTCAAATCATAATTCTAGCTTGGCAAATTAAACTGAAGCTTCACATTCAGAGAACATGAAATAAGTATGCTTTTGAAAAGCATATACTACTCATATTTCAGTTATTTCAGTTATGTAAGGTCAGTTATGTGAGGTCTAAATTATGAGGCCATTTTCCTAGAGAGTTTTTCAACCTAAATTTCTACTTGTATGTAGCTTAACAATAGCAATTATTAATTGCCATTAGTTTTGACATCATACAGCACAATTTCAATTCTCAGCAAAGGAATTCAAAGGTTAGAACACAAAAACACAATAAAGTAAAATAACTACACTTTCTAAATATGTCACCTCAAATCATTTGCAAAATACATACAGTTTTCTTTAATAGTCTGAATTTAGTAGAATATCTATCTGCCTTGTTACTTGATTAATGCCTTATTAATATTGTAATTGTTCATATACCAAAAAGGACTGGTAATAATATTCTATTTAAAAATTATGCCCACATATAGAACTAATAATCTTCGGAGTATAGGAAGGTATATGGAATATTCTGGGTTGTCAATAAACTTTTTGAATAAACAAATACACCCACAAATAAATGAATTAATTGACAAAAGGTATGTGTATTCTTCTGTAGTGTCCTTACCATTGTAAAATTAGTTTGCTCTCATGACCAATAAGTTATAGTTTCTTTTATACATATTTTTTCACTTTTGTGTTTGTAATTCTGAGGGATATAATAGCTTCTCAAGTGCTGGTAAATGGTAAAAACAGGAGAGAGGAAACACAGGAAGAAAAAAGCAGATAGAGAGAAATGGAGAAATAAGGGAAAATACAGAAGAAGAAGAAAAAAGAAAGGAAGAAAAATGTATCTAGATGAAATAGTTAAATTACATATTTGATATTGATATTCTGCATTATAATGGTAACTCTCATTTTTATTTTCTAGTTAAAAATAAAGTGTTTCCAAATAGAAAAAGAAAATATTTCTGGTACATAATTATTTAAAGAAGTTTAGAAGTTTGATAACTATCTTGGTTACCAAACAGATAGAGATAAGTTCAAATTTTATTTATTACATATATGTATTCCTCTATTATATTAATTTCAAATCAAAATAAAATCATAAATAGAATAAAACTGGATCACTGAATATTCCTCTCTCAATTTCTGATAAAATGTATTTAAAAATACTAAAATAAGTAGTCAAAAATACAACTGGATCCAAACAAGGAAAAGTGATAGCTAAGAGAAGACTTGAGAATGAAGTAGCCTCTAGTTTTCCCTCTATCCCTACTCCACAGAGAAATAGATGGAAGCATATGAGTAGTAAAAATTTTGAATGTTACTAATGATCACTATATTTAGAGAGAACTACATGAAGGACACAGTAGGCAGTACAAAGGAAAAATGTGGTGGGTGGGAGTGGAGCCTACTGAGAAGAGGAGCAGTGGGGAGGGCAGAAATGCAAACATGGAATCCCTACCCTCTAGCTGTCAATTAAACACTCAGTGAAGGCCGGGCACAGTGGCTCACACCTGTAATCCTAGCACTTTGGGAGGCCAAGGTGGGTAGATTGCTTGAGTCCAAGAGTTTGAGACCAGCCTGGGCAACATGGCAAAATTCCATCTCCACGACAATAAATAAATAAATAAATAAATAAATAAATAGATTAATTAATTATCAATCAAGTTGGAACCAAACACCAATGCTCAATGTCTTGAATATCTTAATTGTGCAGAAAGCCAAAAAAGAAAGCAGAATACTCGTAGTATCAGAACTATCACTCCCCAGCAATAAGTCATTTTACTGTTTAAAAAAAAACAAACAAAAAAACCTACACATAAGAGCCTCTGAAGGAGCAGAAATCTCAGGGAAAAGTGACCATGTAAGCCCCACTTGAAGTCTCCTCTACTTTATCTTCCCCATGGAACCAAGTAACATCAAAACCCATGCATTATTCATCAAGTTTTTCCAGTCCCTGCTAATTCCCAAAAGAAAAAGGTGGATGTGATAAACGCATAAACTAGTCTGGCTTTCAACTCAGCAAGGCTTCTACTTCCAGGCAGAATTGGAGCAATGGTCTAATGCTCCAGAATATTACCTTAGAAGGGCAGGTACGGTCCTGGAGCCAAATGGAGTAAGTCCTGGAACATTTAACAGAAGTAGCAGCAGCAACCACGACCTCCTAAAGGCTAAACCTTCTCCACGCTAGTCCTCAGGCTACAGAAAATAAAATAGAAGGAAACTCTTAGTTTCCACGTTGTAGCTATGAAATGACTTGTCGGAAGAAATACTTCTTTTATTGCTATGGTTTCACTGTGTCTGCCAAACTGTAACAGTGTTAAGCAATTTGTTTCTTGGGGAAGTGTTTAGGTCATACAGGCTACGCCCTCATTATTAATGCTACTATGAAAAGGGCTTGCTAGAATGCATTCTCTCTCTTCTGTTCTGCCGTGCAAGGGCATGCAGTGTTCAAGACACCACCTTGAAAGACAGACTGGATCCTCATCAGAAAACCGAACCTGCCAGCACCTTGATCTTGAATTTCCCAGCCTTCAGAATTTCGATAAAATAAATTTCTTTTCTTTGTAAGTTATCCAGTCTGTGGTATTGTGTTATAGCAGCACAAGTGGACTAAGATGCATGTCCAATATCAGAATACATTAGAAATTTGGCTATATCAGTCCTCCTGTACTAGTTTTTGCTATAGAAACAATCTCCAAACTCAGTTGCTTACAGTAAATATATATTTTTTCTAACTCATGTTGCAGGAGGCTTTTAGGCTGAACTCCACTGGACTCACTTCTGTTTCTTATTTCTTGTTATTATGGAACCCAGGCTAAAACAACAGCACCACCTAATGTGGGAGGAGTGAGGAGGTAAACCACAGAAGTCATTTAAAATATCTGCTAATAGGTGGCAAATGTCACACCTGCTCATATGCCATTGGCAATGTCACATGCTAAACCCCAAGCAAGTCATATGCTCAATCCCAAAATTAACATGATGGGAAAGTATACTCTACTTACAAGGAGGGCACAAGACAGTAAAATGGCAAAGAGCATGTGACTTCATCACAGGGAGGAGGCAAATAATCAGGAAAAATAATTCAATCTGGTGTGCCGCGTTAATGATGAGAAAAATAAAGAGTTAACAGGACAACTATGCAAATATATACCGCAAGAGAAGAAACAAAATAAAACATAACCAAAGTGATGATGATAATTCCAAAAGAAAATACAGTCCAGACATTTTTAGAAAATTACTTCAAGTGTTTTATATTTTAGAATAATTTAATAAAAATAATAATGGATAAGGTGAGATCGCAAAACAATTGAATAAGCAATAATTTAAAAGATGGTTGAAAAGGTAAAGAAATTGATAAAAAATAAACAACACTATCACAAAAATAATAGCTAACAGATCACTATTAAAGATACACTAGAAAATTGTCCTCAAATGAAGAAAGTTTATGTAGTCCCAGCCCTTTGGGAGGCCAAGGTGGGTGGATCACTTGAGGTCAGGAGATTTGAGACCAGCCTGGCCAAAATGATGAAACCCGTCTCTACTAAAAATGCAAAAATTAGCATGGTAGCACATGCCTATAATCCCAGCTACTCCAGAGGCTGAGGTACCAGAATCATTTGAACCCAGGGGGTGGAGGTTGCAGTGAGCCAAGTTTGCACCACTGCACTTGGTCTCAAAAAACAAAACAAACAAAAAAAAAAAAAAAAGAAGAAAGCTTTAATCATGAAATTCTAAAGGGCATAACTTTTCCACGTCAGATAGAATAGGATTATCACTAAAATTTATGGTGTTTAAATTTATTCATCAATTATTTATTTAGTCATTCAATAAATATTTATCAATTGCCAGCTATTTGCCAGTGATTATTCTAGGTACAGGGAAACACAACCTCACCAAACAAAATGATTTCTGAATTATAATCAGAAAAGACATTAAAACTGAAGTATAAAGAGAGAATTATTTGGACATTTATAAGAAAAAGCAAACAATTTACTTAAGTGAAAGAATTAGGCTATATTCTGATTTCTTAAAGCATCATTTTCTGCATGAATTATAAAGAAAATTATTCTTATGTATGAAAATATCACAGTCTTTCTATAATTTGCTTAAAAATAATTAGTCTAATTTTTCTCAGATGTTCTGCCCTTTAAATGTTATTAATAATCATAAGGCATACATTAGTCAAAACTGCTTCTTTTAAAAAATTCTTACACAGCCAGGTATGGTTGTTCAGGTCTATAATAACATCACTTGGGAGGCCAAGCCAGGAAGATCACGGGGCCAGGAGTTCGAGACCAATCTGGGCAATATAGGGAGATCTTGACTATACAAAATTAAAATTGAAAACAATCAGCCAGGGGTGCCTGTAGTCCCAGCTACTTGGGAGGATGAGGCAGGAAGATCACTTGAACCCAGGAGTTTGAGGCTGCAGTGAGCTATGATTGCACCATTGTACTCTAGCCTATGCTACAGAGCAAGATCCTGTCTCAAAATAAAATAAAATAAAATAACTTACACTTAAATTCTTGTAATTATCCTGAAGTCATTATATCCTCTCTCACCCCCAAGGCGACTTCACCTCTTTTTATTTTAATCTTCTAGGTTATTCCATGACATGGCATTAACATCTCTTGTGAAAAGATTTGTCTTTAATTTAGTGAAAGTTAACCGTCAAGACAGCAAGTACTATGAAAGCATTTTTGAAGTTATAAATCATAATTTTATGTTTTATATAATCACATAGAATTTATAACAAATTCATACAGACCCTATTTGCACTTTCAGATTTAGATTACCTCATTCTTGATGATTACCTTATTATTTAAGTGCCATTAAGTGGTAAAAGTTATCTAATTTCCTTAAAAATTAGAAAGATAACATACAAATGTATAATGAATTTATAATATGTTATAAAATGATCAGTGATATACCTAAAAAATAAAGCTGGTTAAAAGGAATAGGGAGGGTGGAGGAATTGGACTAGGGCAGTGTGGACACTAAACACTGCACTCCAATGGAAGGAAAACATGACACTGCAGCTCACCTTGAGAAACACTGAGTTTCGTAGGGGTGGAGGTGGACCAGGCAGCTGCCTGATCAGGCTGTACCTAGGAAAACTCTAATCTGTGTTCTAAGCCATTATTTTTTTTCCTCTTTCCCTTTAAAGTACATGTGCTGGGGGTTGTTTGCAGTTGAACTTACCCTAGAACCTCAGACAGGACCCCCCAATTTAATTTGGAGGCAATGCTCCTTCAGGGTGACCCCTTTCTATAGGATCTCACAGGGTGGGGGGACAGGACTAAGGAACACTATAGTGTTAGGATCCTTCTGGTGGCAATGAGGACATCTGATCCTTCCAGTCTAATAGCAACATTATGAAATATGTCAAGTTTGTACAAGACATGATCTGCCTCCCTGGACTGAAGGATGGGAATGGAAAGATCAAAGTCAAGCTACAAGGGCCAACAAGGGCAATGCGTGCCCACAAATGTAGTATAGTAGCCTTGGGTCTGGGACAGACAGGACTGGGTCATTACAGCAAGTCAGCCTATTTTCTATCTGATATGTAGGAAACTCCTGAGACCCCAGGAGGGATATGGGGTGAGGAACTAACCTGTCAGTCTGCTGTTTTCCCACAAGAACATGGCAATAAAGACCCAAAATCATAATGCCTTAATTAGGCTCTCCCAAGCTGTGGCCACTGCGGACAAACTGACAAAGTGTTGGATCTGCTATCCCCGACCTCAATCTGTCACAGACCACAACGACCCTCTCATTCTGCCAGCAGCAAAGGACACCAGCATCTCTAAGGCCAGAGGGTATATCACCAGAACCCGAGCCCTGGATTATCAGGTGAGGATCTGGCACCCACCACATGGCAGGGAGCTGCAGGTGCCCCATTTTAATTTAATTGACTCTACGGCAAAATGCCCACAACTAAGATTACCACAAGTAACTAAACCTTGTTGGCCTAGTACTTTGATGCAGCATATTCCTTTGATTACTTGAAAAACAAGTGCTCCAGTGGCAATGACAAAAACAAGCACTAAACTAGTGCTGATCCTGTGTAGGGGGTTCATGAATAATATTGCATGGGGAAAACAGAGCCTGTGCAACTGTGTCAACAGTAAGACTGTTGGCAAAAGCCAGTGCCACACCCATGAATGACATTGAATAAGAAAACAGGTGAAGGGGTGCTGTGTGTACCCAAGGACTACAACTTCTCTGTGGACAGTACAAGGGTGACCCAAATACAAGATGGGCAATATCATCCCTGGAAAGCTGGCAGATGGTGGGATCCTGCACATTGGGAGTCCTGGGGGTGTGCCTCGATATCACTATGGGAATGGGGTGCACGAGTAAGCCTGCAGCCTAAAGCTATACACCAGGCTTACTAGGGATGTGCCAGGAGGTTTGACTGAATCTGAATTTGTTTTCTTTTCAAGATATTTTGTAGTATACATAGTAGTCGGTGCTCATGAAACATGATGAGAACCCTGACCCTGACCATGGCAGATGTTGCCTCCTCCACTGCTACTTCCCTGGCAGCCCAGAAGACATCACTCAACTCTCTCAGGAAGGTTGCTTCAGACAACAGAACTGCTCTAGACTTTCTTTCAGCCTAACTCGGAGGAGCGTGTGATTGACAACACCTTCCGCTCTACCTGGATAAATACCTCAGGTATTGTTGAAACACGAGTAGAGGTAATCTGAAAGCAGGCCTGCAGGCTGCAAAATGTGGGACCCTCTGACAGATCTTTCTTTCCCCTTTAGCTGTCTTTTTCAAACATACTTCCTGCTACAATTTGACCATTTTTGTTTCTTATCAAGCCAACTCTCAAACCACACCCTCATTATATACTTTTCAGACAAGGTTTAGATAACTAGTGATCATATGAGTCTGTTGAATTCACCATATATAGAAATTCTCCTGCAAAATTATTGAGTAGTGAGTTCAATAATGCATTCCTAACCTCCTGTACCTGTGAGTGACGTTATTGAAAATGGGGTCTTTCAGATGTGATTAAGTTAAGGATCTCAGAAGGAAAGCCTCCTGTATTTAGGGTAAATCCTAAGTCCAGTGACTGGACTTGTAAGAGAAAGAAGTGGAAGACTTGACTCACAGTGACACAGAGGAAAATCATGTGAAAATGGAGGTAGAGATTGGGGTGATACGTGTATAAGCTAAGAGACACCAAGGTTTGCCAGAAACTAAGAGAGAAACATGGAACAAATCGTTTCTCAGAGTCTCCTGAAGGAACCAATCCTGCTGACACCTTGATTTTAGAACTCTGGCTGAAATATGAGAGAATAAATTCTTTGTTTGCCCTTCCATATGCACTCTCCCCCGTTGTCCATACCTCTCTGGGCATCAGGACACTGACTTATATAAATCGCTGCAGATTCTTGCCCTCTGACCTAGGTGGAATGACAGCAGGATATACCAGGCTAAAAAGATAATAAGATCACATTCATTTCCCTGGATCTTCGTTGGGGAGAGTCGGGGAGGGCTCTGTAGGTGAGTTATATCCTTCTACCACAAACCACAATTTATTTAAGGCTGTTCATTTTGTTTAAATCAAAACCTCCATAGGGTACAAGCAACATAAAAGGAACATCCTCTTACCAACTACCACCACTATTCACTCAGCCACAATTTGTGGAGGTAATTCTTTTTTCCTCATTTAATCAAATCTTCTGCAGAGCCTATTGTTTTATTAGTTCCTCTCAGATAATGAAAAGCTGTCTAGTCATTCTGAGTGAAAAAAAGATATCATTTTAATAATTGAAGTCTCAATCTTGTATTAAGCATAATTTCTAAAATGGACCCCCATTTTAGATTTAGATTCCCACATAAATCTTGGAGACACTTGAAAATGATATCACTTCTGTATTTGTGTTATGTGATATGGCAGAGTTGACTTTAAGATAGGGAGATAATCAGGTTATTCCTGAACTAATCACATGAGCCCTTAAATCAAAGACTGTCCCAGGCTGAGGCAGAAGAGAAAGTCAGAGAAGGACTCATTGCTCTCTTGCTAGCTTTAAACATGGAGTGAGCCATATGAGAAGAAGTTGGTTGCTCTTAAGGAGATGAGTGAGGTCCCTGGCACACAGCCAGCAAGGAAATGGGGATTAAATTCTGCAACAACAAGGAACTGTACTCTGCCAAAAACAGGCATAAGCTTGGAAGAGGACTGCAAGTTCCAAATGCAATGTAGCTCTGGTCAGCACCTTGATTTTGGCCTTATGAGACTCTAAGGAGATAACCCAGTTAAGCAATGCTGAACTTCTAACATGGAAAACTGTGGTCTACTTAATTTATATTGTTTTAAGCCACTATGTTTGTGGTGATTTCTAATACTGTCATAGACAACTAATACAAACACAATATAATTAATGTTTGAAACCTAAATTTAAACCTGCTCTCCTCTCTTAGTGAGCATCTCTGAAAGACTACAAAGCAAAAATAAGGAATGGGGTGTTCTGTCTTCCTCCCTACTTCCCTACTTTGCACTGTTTCTTCACTACCTCTTTCTAGGCATGGTGTGTCATGCCTAGGGAAGAAGTACTGAAAGAAACAGAGGCAAGAAAGTTTTTACTTGACTAGTGCTGTCATTATCTGGTGGGGGATCTCTCTGAGCTTACGGATCCTTTAAAACTGATATTTCCTGGGCTTCATTGATGTTTAGTGTTGACTACTCTTTTTGAAAGCATGCCTATGGGTTTTGTTTTGTGCCATCTTGTTTGGTTTGGTTTGACTGAAACTTTATAATAGCCCTTTTTACTGACAGGTCCATGATGCAGACAGCGAACTCTCAACCAACCATCACATCCTACTCTCCTACTCCCCTAGAAATATCCTAAATGGTTTATACCCCAGAGACTCTTCCTTCTGGGTTACTTTGATTTAGCAGGCTTCCCATTGGGGCAGGGGTTTTCCTAAATGGTGTCAGCCTGGTTACATTCTGGGATGCTCATGTGGCCCAAAGGAAAGTCACACGGCCTGATCAGGCAGAATGGTGGGAATGAATCTGCTCCCGTGGAGTGCATCTTGCTTCTGCTTGGCCATCACAGAGAGGTACAGACAGACTTCTGCTTAGCGACATTTTCAAGTGTGAGTCACTTGCTGGTCTAGACTCTGGTAAATATCGAGCTCTCAAGTGGTCTTGTTGAAGAAGATGGGAGGGAGAAGAGTAGAGCCTTCCCATGAGAGATGGTGGTGGGATTCACAGAATACAGATGACTATCTTTAAATCAATTCTAGCATTCCTTCTGCTGTAGATTGAATGTTGGTATTCCCCCTCCCCCAAATTCATGTGTTGAAACCTGATACCCAAAGTGATGATATTTGGATGTGGGGCCTTTGGGAAGTAATTAAGTCATGAGGGTAGAACCCCCATGAATGGGATTAGTGTCCTTGTGAAAGAGACCCCAGAGAGCTCCCTTCCCCTTTCTGCCATGTGAAGACACAGTGAGAAGATGCTCATCATCTTAAAGACAGAGATTATGTTATTTTTAAAAGTAGGCACTGTTCATTAATCATCTTCCATGTGTCAGGCACTATGTAGAGATAGAATCTTTCTACCAGTACTGTGCAGTAGATATCATTATTCCTATTCAAAAGATAATAAAAACTGGAACATCAAAGTTAAGTAAATGCAGAAGACCACACATATTTTAAAATATTATAGCATTATAGCATCTGAATTCAGATTTATATCTGTCTTAACACTACAACCTATTTACTTTCTGTTAGGATAATTGCCTTATAAAAAGACATAATTAATGGATCCACCTTATAAATGTTTCAAATATTTTAATTGCAGCATTCTGTACTTTTGTAGTGTTCAGTTTTATTCCTATGATACTTTCACATTCATTACAGACAACTTCACCATAAACATGCAGAGTGTGAATTCTCCAGTACCTGCAATATTATATTTGCACTTTCTTCAACTGAAACATAGCAGCAGGACCACAATTTGTATTACCCTAAAGCTGCTGCTTCTACTTTATTGTCCCTCTCTAGTTGTCAAATATTAAAGACACGTATAAAATGTATGGTTGAAATTGCTCTGATAGTTTGTACACTGAAGACAATGACTACCTCTAGAACTATCTCTTAAGCCGCAAACACTACTCTCTCTCTCTGTCTCTCTGTCACACACACACACACACACACACACACACACTCCTTTTTTGTCACTTTCTTCTTAGAAAACTAAAGAGAACCCTTGAATGTTTTACTTCAAAATGAGATCAAATTATCTTAATAGACAAATAAATGAAAGAGAGAAAAATATTGATGTTCCTACTTTGACTGTAGCCACCACATAATTTTGTCAGTGACTAGTGAATCTTTTTGAAGTAGTGAGAGCTATTTGGAAGGATGATCCTATCTTATATAAATGCATTCAGCTTTCTTTTTATTCTTTTCAAAGCCTCAGATTGAAATCAACTCTGAATGAAGGTTAAAGGCCTTAGCTGTGATTTCAGACAGTCATAGTTGTTTACCTCCTAGCAGGTCCACTTATGAGCTACATAATTTGGTACAAATTACTTAGCTCTTCTTACTGAAAGTTAGAACAGTTAAGTAATTTGTAATAATTTCCTCTGTAATAAAGGAGGATTTAAATAAAAAAATCTCTTAAATCTTTCATTATCACAAAGAGATGTAAAGAGATAATGTAAGAAAATAAGAAAAAGTACACTAAACACTCAGCATGGTAGTTAATGCTAAGCACTTAAAAAATTGTAACTGTTATCATCATCATCATTATCATTATCATCATTGTATTAAAGAAAGAGGATGTCAAAGAAGGGGCATAGACTTTGGAATCAGAGTTGAAATGAGTTGGAATCCTGGCTGTGACAAAGTCTGACTTTGAACATGTTCTAACATTTACAATCTTTAGTTTCTGCCTTGTTAAATGATTTTGATGGTAGTATTTACTTTACCAGATTGTTGTGAGGATTAAAGATAATCTGTTTTAAGTGCCCAGCATGGCAACTTTGTAAAGTCTAACATATTACTCTCTTCAGTTCTGTAAGAAAAAATCCTGTTCAATACTTGGGCATACAAATGCATGAACATGCCTCTTAGAAGTTCAATAAAAGATTTTTTATTGAAAGGTTTCTTCAAGCAACTCATGGATAATTTGAATACCGATAAAATTATAGTATTGATTGTCATCAGGAGATTTTAGGTATGTGGCTTCAACACTACCTGTAAGAAAATGGCCAAACAAAATTTTACAGTATATTTTGTCTTTGACATTGCTGTGCTATATGACCAAATTGTTGTTATATGCAAAACTAACTAGAGGGTTACTCAATAATTCTCAATAGTTTTTCTTTTGTATTAGAAATATCTACTAACCATCACAATTGTTTAAAGAATCCAAAACAACCCCAAAAACTTAAATTTTAAAGTATTTATTATACAAATTAAACCTAGTAATTCACCGTTTTTTTTAAAAACCTTTAAACATGCTTAATTCACTCTTTTTGTTTTTAATTTTAAAACAAAATCACAAAATGTCCTACAGAAAGTCTGTGGTCCAGATCCATACAGAACAAAGCTATGTTTTGGGGTTAGTCTTAAATTTGCAATCTCTATGGTCCTATTAAAATATGAAAGATTGTATCATGATTCATATAGAGAGAATCAATTATAATTCTCATATACTCCTTCTTCCCACCTTTACCTTTATATCCATTTTTAATGTTCTATATATCTAGCTATTATATTAATATCTTAGCCAAGAGGTCAGATGTAGTTGAAAGATGTCAATATGAAAAATAAAATGAAAATCAGAAACATTTATCTTTTTACCATGTTAATCTAAATGTGATGTTTTACAGTTGTATAATGAGTTTATAGAAAAATTTTTAAAAACTAGCAACATATTTCATTTATGTCAAACAAATTAAAATCTTCATGACTTTTTTTTGCTTAAAAGAATCTTATGTGAGGTATTTTGCCAGATATGTTTTAAAAATCACAGATTAAAAAATTAAGTCACAAAACATTTGAAAACATTAAGATAATATAAACAACCTAAGTCAACAAGCTATTATGAAAATAAAGGTGAAGGGGAAAAGTAAAGACAATGTAAAATAAATTAAAGCTTTTAGAAAATTATTAGAAAACCAAACCTCAAATTCTTTATGACTAAAGCTATAGGTGGGCATTTCCTAATTCTTAAACATATAGAAAGACATATGAAATACTTCATTTTAAGCAAAAAGCATATTTTTCATAATGGAGCTAATGTCCCACTAAATGACTTTATTAGTGAAATAGCCTTTCCAAGGAAACATTAATTAACGTTATTAGTATGTTCTTTTCTGCATGTAAATCATGTGGGTATGAGAGAAATATATATCCTGAAGATGTTTTATATTCCTGTGTCCCCAAGTGAGGGCTTTGCCATGTAATGCTATTTCCCCAACACAGTAAATCTGATTTTCCAGTTACAATTTGAAATTACACCCAATTTTGTAAACAGATTCTTACATACTATTTTCAATAAAGATTCATTTTCTACCTTTCATAATTCAATAAGAAACAGTGGATTTGCCAAGAATTTTCTTTACATTTGGAAAGAAACCAACACTAGAAAAGGTTTAGCAGCTGGCACTAATGAAATGAAATTGAATCAACTCAATGAAATTGAATATATTCAATGAAAATAGGGCCACACAATAACATCAGGTGGTCTTCTTACAGAATTAATGTAATTTTGAAAATATGTTCCAGTGTTTATTATGTTTTGTTATTCTCACAATACCAAATGCCACTGAAAATTGGCATTCTTACTTTTTTCAGAGAAAATAAACCTTGGGACAATAGAACATAGCTCCTAGATTCAGGAATACTCTTAAGTCGTGGACTGGCTTATGCTTTCATTTCATGTCATTTTATTGAAATGCTCTTCAATACATTTGGCATGCAGTACCTGTCAGGCAGTAGGTGATAACTGATGGATAATATTATCTTTATTCCAGATACCAGCTAGGTAATTGTCCAGTTCATTATGGCTAAGCTGTTTTATACCAAAGAGTTCATAGTTGAAACACTCTTTTCAGGAAGGGTTTTTTTTTTTCTCAAGATCAAGAGACATACTGAAGGGCTGGCCTGCCCCTCCACACCTGTGGGTGTTTCTCATCAGGTGGGACGAGAGACTGAGAAAAGAAAGAGACACAGAGACAAAGTATAGAGAAAGAAAAGTGGGCCCGGGGGACCTGCGCTCAGCATACAGAGGACCTGTGCCAGCACAAGTCTCTTGAGTTCCCTCTGTATTTATTGATCATTATCTCTACCATCTCTGAGAGGGGGATGTGGCAGGACAATAGGGTAATAATGGGGAGAGGGTCAGCAGGAAAACATATGAACGAATGTCTCTGTATCATAAACAAGGTTAAGAAAAAAGTGCTGTGCTTTGATGTGCACATACATAAACATCTCAATGCATTAAAGAGCAGTATTGCCGCCAGCATGTCTCACCTCCAGCCCTAAGGCAGTTTTCTCCTATCTCAATAGATGGAATATACAATCGGGTTTTACACTGAGACATTCCATTGCCCAGGGACAAGCAGGAGACAGATGCCTTCCTCTTACCTCAACTGCAAAGAGGCCTTCCTCTTTTACTAATCCTCCTCAGCACAGACCCTTTACAGGTGTCAGGCTGGGGGACGGTCAGGTCTTTCCCTTCCCACAAGGCCATATTTCAGACTATCACATGGGAAGAAACCTTGGACAATACCTGGCTTTGCTAGGCAGAGGTCCCTGTGGACTTCCACAGTGTTTTGTGTCCCTGGGTACTTGAGATTAGGGAGTGGTAATGACTTTTAACAAGCATGCTGCCTTCAAGCATTTGTTTAACAAAGCACATCCTGCATAGCCCTAAATCCATTAAACCTTGATTCCACACAGCACATGTTTCTGAGAGCACAGGGTTGGGGGTAGGGTAACAGATAAACAGCATCTCAAGGCAGAAGAATTTTTCTTAGTACAGAACAAAATGGAGTCTCTTATGTCTACTTTTTTCTACATAGACACAGTAACAGTCTGATCTCTCTTTTCCCCACAACATACACTGGCAATATTAAGATATTTAAAAATTGTAAAATGAGATTCAGGTTTTTACTATCATTCAAGACTGCATTGGAAGCACTACATCTAAAGTAAACAAACATTATATCCATGGTCTCTGAAGAAGTGAAGATAATTTAACCTAGAAATCATCACGGACAAACCCTAGGAAGAGGATTTGTTTTCCCAAAAGGTAGAACAAAATAAACACCTCACATACATAATAATTTTACCTAGAGCCTATTTTCTCTATTTTTTCCCATTGTTAATGAATCTTTGTCGGGCCTCTGAGCCCAAGCTAAGCCATCATATCCCCTGTGACCTGCACATACACATCCAGATGGCCTGTTCCTGCCTTAACTGATGACATTGTCTTATGAAATTCCTTTTCCTGGCTCATCCTGGCTCAAAAAGCTCCCCTACTGAGCACCCTGTGACCCCCACTCCTGCCCACCAGAGAACACGCCCACTTTTTCCTTTACCTACCCAAATCCTATAAAACGGCCCCACCCCTATCTCCCTTCGCTGACATTCTTTTTGGACTCAGCCCGCCTGCACCCAGGTGAAATAAACAGCTTTATTGCTCACACAAAGCCTGTTCGGTGGTCTGTTCACACAGACGCACATGAAATTTGGTGCCATGACTCGGATCGGGGGACCTCCCTTGGGAGATCAATCCCCTGTCCTCCTGCTCTTTGCTCCATGAGAAAGGTCCACTTACGACCTCAGGTCCTCAGACTGACCAGCCCAAGAAACATCTCACCAATTTCAAATCCAGTAAGCGGCCTCTTTTTACTCTCTTCTCCAACCTCCCTCACTATCCCTCAACCTCTTTCTCCTTTCAATCTTGGCGCCACACTTCAATCTCTCCCTTCTCTTAATTTCAATTCCTTTCATTTTCTGGTAGAGACAAAGGAGACACGTTTTATCCGTGGACCCAAAACTCTGGCGCTGGTCACAGACTGGGAAGGCAGCCTTCCCTTGGTGTTTAATCATCGCAGGGACGCCTGTCTGATTATTCACCCACGTTTCAGAGGTGTCAGACCACGCAGGGACGCCTGCCTTGGTCCTTCATCCTTAGCAAGTCCTGCTTTTCTGGGGGAGGGGCAAGTACCCCAACCCCTTCTCTCCATGTCTCTACCCCTTCTCTGCTTTTCTAGGGGAAGGGCAAGAACCCCTCAACCCCTTCTCCTTCACCCTCAGCGGCAAGTCCTGCTTTTCTGGTGGAGGGACAAGTACCCCAACCTCATATCTCTGTGCCCCAATCCCTTATTTCCATGCCCCAACCTCGTTATTTCTGCGCCGCAACCCCTTTCCTGCTTTTCTGGAGGGTAAGAACCCCTGAACCACTTCCCTCCATGTCTGTACTCTCCCTTTTCTTTAAACTTGCCTCCTTCACTATAGGCAACCTTCCACCCTCCATTCCTCCTTCTTCTCCCTTAGCCTGTGCTCTCAAGAACTTAAAACCTCTTTAACTCACACCTGACCTAAAACCGAAATGCCTTATTTTATTCTGCAATGCCACTTGACCCCAATACAAACTCGACAGTGGTTCCAAATAGCCAGAAAACGGCCCTTTCAATTTCTCCGTCCTGCAAGATCTTAATAATTCTTGTCGTAAAATAGGCAAACAGTCTGAGGTGCCTGACGTCCAGGCATTCTTTTACACATCAGTCCCTCCCTAGTCTCTGTGCCCAATGCAACTCATCCCAAATCTTCCCTTCTTTCCCTCCCGCCTGTACCCTCAGTCCCAACCCAAAGCATCGCTGAGTCTTTCTAATCTTCCTTTTCTACAGACCCATCTGACCTCCCCCCTCCTCCCCAGGCTGCTCCTTACCAGGCCAAGCTAAGTCCCAATTCTTCCTCAGCCTCTGCACCTCAAGCCTATAATCTTTTTATCACCTCCCCTCCTCACACCCAGTCCGGCTTACGGTTTCGTTCTGTGAATAGCCCTCCCCACCTGCCCAGCAATTTCCTCTTAAAAAGGTGGCTGAAGCTAAAGGCATAGTCAAGGTTAATGCTCCTTTTTCTTTATCCAACCTCTCGCAAATCAGTGAGCATTTAGGCTCTTTCAACAAATATGAAAAACCCAGCCCAGTTCATGGCTCATTCAGCAGCAACCCTGAAACGCTTTACAGCCCTAGACCCTAAAAGGTCAAAAGGCCATCTTATTCTCAATATACGTTTTATTACCCAATCCGCTCCTGACATTAAATAAAACTCCAAAAATTAAATTCCGGCCCTCAAACCCCACAACAGCACTTAATTAACCTCACCTTCAAGGTGTACAATAATAGAGTAGAGGCAGCCAAGTAGCGACGTATCTCTGAGTTGCAATTCCTTGCTTCCACTGTGAGACAAACCCCAGCCACATCTCCAGCACACAAGAACTCCAAACGCCTGAACCACAGCTGCCAGGAGTTCCTCCAGAACCTCCTCCCCTAGGAGCTTGCTACAAGTGTTAGAAATCTGGCCACTAGGCCAAGGAATGCCCACAGCCCAGGATTCCTCCTAAGCCTTATCCCATCTGTGTGGGACCCCACTGAAAATCAGACTGTTCAACTCACCTGGCAGCCACTCCCAGAGCCCCTGGAACTCTGGCCCAAGGCTCTCTGACTGACTGCTACCCAGATCTTCTTGGCTTAGCAGCTGAAGACTGACACTGCCCGATCACCTTGGAAGCCTACAGGACCATTACAGATGCTCTAGGTAACTCTCACAGTGGAAAGTAAGTCCGTCCCCTTCTTAATCAATACAGAGGCTACCCACCCCACATTACCTTCTTTTCAAAGGCCTGTTTCCCTTGCTTCCATAACTGTTGTGGGTATTGATGGTCAGGCTTCTAAAGCTCTTAAAACTCCCCAACTCTGGTGCCAACTTAGACAATACTCTTTTAAGCACTCCTTTTTAGTTATCCCCACCTGCCCAGCTCCCTTATTAGGCCAAGACATTTTAACTAAATTATCTGCTTCCCTGACTGTTCCTAAACTACAGCCACACCTCATTGCTGCCCTTTTCCCTAGTTCAAAGCCTCCTTCGCATCCTCCTCTCATATCCCCCCACCTTAACCCACAAGTATAAGATACCTCTATTCCCTCCTTGGCAACCGATCATGCACCCCTTACAATCTCATTAAAACCTAATCACCCTTACCCCCCTCAATGCCAATATCCCATCCCACAGCATGCTTTAAAAAGATTAAAGCCTGTTATCACTCGACTGCTACAGCATGGCCTTTTACAGCCTATAAACTCCCCTTACAATTCCCCCTTTCACCTGTCCTAAAACCAGCCAAGGCTTACAGGTTAGATCAGAATCTGCACCTTATCAACCAAATTGTTTTGCCTATCCACCCCATGGTGCCAAACCCATATACTCTCCTATCCTCAGTACCTCCCTCTACAACCCATTATTCTGTTCTGGATCTCAAACATGCTTTCTTTACTATTCCTTTGCACCCTTCATCCCAGCCTCTCTTCGTTTTCACTTAGACTGACCCTGACACCCATTAGGCTCAGCAAATTACCCGGGCTGTACTGCCGCAAGGCTTCACAGACAGCCCCCATTACTTCAGTCAAGCCCAAATTTCATCCTCATCTGTTACCTATCTTGGCATAATTCTCATAAAAACACTCGTGCTCTCCCTGCTGATTGTGTCCCATTAATCTCCCAAACCTCAATCCCTTACAAAACAACAACTCCTTTCCTTCCTAGGCATGGTTAGTGTGGTCAGAATTCTTACACAAGAGCCAGGACCACACCCTGTAGCCTTTCTGTCCAAACAACTTGACCTTACTGTTTTAGCCTAGCCTTCATGTCTGCATGCAGCTGCTGCCACTGCTTTAATACTTTTAGAGGCCTTAAAAATCACAAACTATGCTCAACTCACGCTCTACATTTCTCATAACTTCCAAAATCTATTTTCTTCCTCACACCTGACGTATATACTTTCTGCTCCCTGGCTCCTTCAGCTGTACTCACTCTTTGTTAAGTCCCACAATTACCACTGTTCCTGGCCCGGACTTCAATCCGGCTTCCCACATTATTCCTGATACCACACCTGACCCCCATGACTGTATCTCTCTGATCCACCTGACATTCACCCAATTTCCCCGTATTTCCTTCTTTCCTGTTCCTCACACTGATCACGCTTGATTTATTGATGGCAGTTCCACCAGGCCTAATGGCCACACACCAGCAAAGGCAGGCTATGCTATAGTACAAGCCACTAGGCCACCTCTTAGAACCTCTCATTTTCTTTCCATTGTAGAAATCTATCCTCAAGGAAATCACTTCTCAGTGTTCCATCTGCTATTCTACTACTCCTCAAGGATTATTCAGGCCCCCTTCCTTCCCTACACATCAAGCTGGAGGATTTGCCCCCACCCAGGACTGGCAAATTAGCTTTACTCAACATGCCCTGAGTCAGATAACTAAAATACCTCTTGGTCAAGGTAGACACTTTCACTGGATAGGTAGAGGCCTTTCCTACAGGGTCTGAGAAGGCCACCGCAGTCATTTCTTCCCTTCTGTCAGACATAATTCCTCAGTTTAGCCTTCCCACCACTATACAGTCTGATAACAGACCAGCCTTTATTAGTCAAATCAGCCAAGCAGTTTTTCAGGCTCTTAGTATTCAGTGAAACCTTTATATCCCTTACGGTCCTCCATCTTCAGAAAAAGTAGAATAGACTAAAGGTCTTTTAAAAACACACCTCACCAAGCTCAGCCACCAACTTGAAAAGGACTGGACAATACTTTTACCACTTTCCCTTCTCAGAACTCAGACCTGTCCTCAGGTTGCTACAGGGTACAGCCCATTTGAGTTCTTGTATAGACGCTCCTTTTTATTAGGCCCCAGTCTCATTCCAGACACCAGACCAACTTGGACTGTGCCCCGAAAAATTTGCCATCCCTACTATCTTCTCTCTAGTCATACTCCTATTCACTGTTCTCAACTATTCATATATGCCCTGCTCTTGTTTACACTGCCAGTTTATACTGTTTCTCCAAGCTATCACAGATGATATCTCCTGGTGCTATCCCCAAACCGCCACTCTTAACTCTTATAGTAAATAAATAATCTTTGCTGGCAAGGCTATGCTGAACCTCCTTAGGCACTCTCTAATTAGATGTCCTAGGTCCTCCCAATTCTTAGTCCTTTAATACCTGTTTTTCTCCTTCTCTTATTCCGTTTAGTTTTTCAATTCATACAAAACTGTATCCAGGCCATCACCAATAATTCTAAATGACAATTGTTTCTTCTAACAACCCCACAATATCACCCTTACCACGAAATCTTCCTTCAGCTTAATCTCTCCCACTTTAGGTTCCCACGCTGCCCCTAATCCCGCTGGAAGCAGCCCTGAGAAACATCGCCTATTATCTCTCCATACCACCCCCCAAAATTTTCGCCGTCCCAACACTTTACCACTATTTCATTTTATTTTTCTCATTAATATAAGAAGACAGGAATGTCAGGCCTCTGAGCCCAAGCTAAGCCATTGTATCCCCTGTGACCTGCACGTACACATCCAGATGGCCGGTTCCTGCCTTAACTGATGACATTCCACCACAAAAGAAGTGAAAATGGCCTGTTCCTGCCTTAACTGATGACATTGTCTTGTGAAATTCCTTTTCCTGGCTCATCCTGGCTCAAAAAGCTCCCCTACTGAGCACCTTGTGGCCCCCACTCCTGCCCACCAGAGAACAACCCCCCTTTTTCCTTTACCTACCCATATCCTATAAAATGGCCTCACCCCTATCTCCTTTCACTGACTCTCTTTTCGGACTCAGCCCGCCTGCACCCAGGTGAAATAAACAGCTTTATTGCTCACAGAAAGCCTGTTTGGTGGTCTCTTCACACGGACGTGCATGAAAATCTTCAAATAATTTTCAGATCTCAGAAAATCCTGATAGCCCAGCCACATGACAAAATGTTCCCAAAACATAGTAATTTGAAATAGCAAAATCATTTCTTTTTATCACAACTCTGAAATTTGGGAAGGTTTGACAGGGACAACTCTTCTGTGCTCCCATACAGGGTCCACTGGGGGTGACTCAAAAAGGGGCTGGAGGATCCACTTTCAAGTTGAAATACTTATAGCTGATGATACTTATGCTGCTTGGCAGGGAAGATTCAGACGGGGCCACTAACCTCAGTTCTTCTCCACCTGGGCCTCTCCTTGAGCTGCTGTGCTTTCCTGGGACATGGTGGTCATGTTCCTAAAGTGTCCCAAAAGAACCAGGCAGAAACAAATCACGTTTCATGGTTTGGCCTCTGAAGTCACAAAGTGCCACTTTCATCACAGTATAACAGCCCGTCCAAATCCAAGGAAAAGGAACATGTACCAAGATTTTAAATAAATAAGTACCACATTTACCCTGTATTCAGATCATGTGGGATGGGAGATGTTTTGGCAGCCATTTTCAGAAAAGAGTATGTCACAGTTTATCTCCTGACCACAAAAATTTAGGTCCCTCCCATGTGTAGAATATATTCTCCTTTCCCATGAGGTCTATCCCATTACAACATCAGACTGAAGTCTACAATCTGTCATTTAATCAAGTACAGATGGGGATCAAGCTTTTGTGGACCTTTTACCCAGATACAGCTTTTCAAATACCATTTATCTTGACCTGAATAACAGAGAATTCAAAAAGATAAATTATTTACCCCACCACACATATACAGTGCCAGGATAGGCCTCAGGGATAGGATAACTGTTATAAGCTCTATATTCAAAGAGAAGGAAATTTGAAGAACACAACAGTTATCAGTATATTAAAAATATGAAATAAAGACAGGCACATATTGCCAGTTACTTGATTAAGACTTGAGTTTATTTCCTCTGAATTGTTCTCTATAGCTCTTTTCTCCACGGAGTCCAAAGCAACTTTTTATTTTGTACTGTCTCTGGTATTTCCAAGTCTCTTTGATAAGTTCAAGCTGTTGCAATTTCTTCAAATACTTTTGGGATTTTTGCCTATTGGTTTATAACCCACTCTGTTAGATAAAACCTACATCCATACTTTAAGGTAAGTCCTTTTCTACCTTGTTATCTACATTAACTTTCTGTGGGGCAATGGCATGAAGGTTCCTAGAAGGCTTGTTGTTTAATAGACAGAGTTTGCAAGACATGCTCATAAATCTCTGTGAGGGGCCATATTAGTCTGTTCTCACACTGCTAATAAAGACATACCCAAGACTGAATAATTTATAAAGGAAAGGAGGTTTAATGGACTCACAGTTCCACATGGCTGGGGAGGCCTCACAATCATGGCGAAAGGTGAAGGAGGAGCCTTCATAAGTATATAAAGACCCAAAGTAGTGGGTAAATCTGTGTGTTTTTGTGATAGTTGTGATGAAAAGTGGATAGTCATGTGGAAGTATGGCTTGATAAAAAACTATAATTTAATGGTAATAAAATGGAGGAAATATAGATCTGTTAGTTCAGATTCTTCTCTATGACCCAGTGTCTTCAGAAATAAATATGTTCTTTTCCTTGAGGGGTAGAGGGAACTTCTTACATTAAAGTCTTATAAACTGCTTCAGGAAAAGGTCATAAAATCTTTCCTAGGTTTTATGACCTGCTTCAGGGGAGAAAGGCATGGTCAAGTTGAGGATGACCTTACTGCTTCTACTGTTTTCTCAAACATCAGGATGTCATATTTTGAGGTACCATGTCCTGAACTTCACTACCTACATATATTTTTATATACTGACACACATGTATATATGTATATATACAGTTGACTGAAACAATTCCTCATGCAGTAGAAAATCTACCTATAACTTAACTTTCCCAAAATGTAACTACTTATAACTGACTATAGATTGCAAGCTTTACTGGTAACATAGTCAATTACGAATATTTCATATGTTGTATGTATTACATAAAATATTTTTACTATATATTAAGCTAGAGAAAATGAAAATGCTATTAAGATAATCATGAGGAAGAGAAAAATACATTTACTATTCATTAAGTGGAAGTTGATCTTCATAAACATCTTCATTCTTGATTTTCACATTGACCAGGCTAAGAAGAAGAAAGTAGAGGATTGGTCTGACTGCCTCAGGAAATGGCAAAAAGTGAAGAAAATCTGTATATAAGTGGACTTGCCCAGTTCAAACCCATGTTGTTGAAGGATCAACTGTATACATATATCAACTGTTGTGTATGTATATATTCTTGTGTATATTCTACTTGGATATACACAGACTACTTAAAAAATATTACCCATATGGAAATATAATAATCTTTGCCTTTGTGAATAAGAGTAGGGGTCTGGGTACAAGGGAAAGTTACTTTTAATTTCATAAATTTGGGCTGTTAGATTATTTTACTGTATGCACGCATCATTCTTTCTTCATAAAATGCCAATTACAATGAATGTACTGTAATATATTAATTTTATAATAATACAAGTAATTCTGTATGACTCTAAAACCCTCCTTGTTTCCATTGCTCCACAATGTGAACTGAAAGCTGCAAGCCTTAATCCTTTACCCTGATTCCTCAGGATTCACCATTAGGAAATATTATAAAAGTTGGGAAGAGCCAAAATCCTAGAGAGTAGAATCCAATCTCATAGTTTTTTAGCCTACCTATTGTTTCTGTATACCTAGTAGATATCCAAGAATAATTTGGTAATGCAATAAAACAATAACAGTAAGTGAAATAAATACAGAATAGTAGAATGTTGCCATTTGTATGGTTGAAATACTTTTATTTAAAGAAAATATTACTTTTTGCCTGAAAAACAAAGCTTCCCTAAAAATCAATTGCTTTGATACATGGTAGTAATATAAATATTTTTCTAATAGCTACAATTACCTTTGCTTTTCCAGTTCTATAGGCTAAATATAGTTTGATTTTTGTGTATGTGACATTTTTGTGGGCTAGTTAAGTTCCCTGGAGGGACATTGTCTCTTTCCAGAGATTTATGTGGTCTGAATGGTAGGGATGATAAGCACTTGCTGTTCAATAGTGTAGTTAATACACAGCCTCAGGATAAGAGAGCACTGAAGCACCCCATACTCTGAGGTACAGTGGCTCTGCAGCAATCAACAGCACTGTTGCTTTTTCTGAGGAAATTTGCATCAAAATGCTTAGTCCACAGGGAGTTCAACATTCACTCACTGCTCACTGCCTAAAGAAAACAGCTATTATGGTCATTTCCCAGTGTTTCAAGACAGAACAAAAAGCAAAGCAAAGAAAAGAAAACGAAACATTATTGTAAAAAGAATGGCAAGAGAAACAGAGCTGTCTTAATAGAAACATAATTCTGCCTTTAAGGTACACCTTAATAATCTACCAATTATGAGTTATTACTTTTCTCATAATGTACCATATTCATGGTAATGCAATGGAGGAGACAGATCTATCTTTAATATTGAAAATTAATATTAATATGAAACCTTTCTTTTATATTACTTACCTCATAAAGGATCTTATTTTCCTGCCTTTTTCCTATTTGTTTTCACTTATATTCAATAAAGGATATTTGAGGAGTTTTAGGGTCTGTTATAAGAAAATAAATGAATAAATGAAGAGAGGAAGGAGAGAAAAGGAGGAATTAGTGAAAGTTGATTTGGACTTTGTTTACACACACGTTTAGGTTAGTGCTCAAATTGCACTGTCCTATTTGTGTTTAAATATCTCAGAAGTATTTTTTTCAATTTTTGCTACAGACGCAGAATATTTTTCTGACCAAATAGTAGTCAGGTACCTCTGAATCCTCTTGCCAACTAGGCCTTAGACTTTTGGCATGTCTTTGCATCACCTAATTTTGGAAGAATCCTGCTAAGTTAGTTTAGCAAGAATTCTGCTAAGTTTTATATATATATATATATTTATATATATATTCATATATATATTTATATATTTTTTTATATATTTAATATTTTATATTAAATATATAAAAATATATATATAAATTTATATATAAATATACAAACATATATATAAAATGTATATATTTTTATATATAAATATATATAATTTATATATTTTTATATATAAATATATATAATTTATACATATAAAATCTATAAATATATATAAATATATAATATATATAATATATAAATATATATAAATATATATAATATATAAATATATATAAATATATATAATATATAATATATATAAATATATATTATATATTATATATATATAATATATATAATATATAAATATATATAATATATATAATATATAATATATATAAATATATATAATATATATAATATATAATATATATAAATATATATAATATATATAATATATAAATATATTTAAATATATAAATATATATAATATATAAATATATATAATATATATAATATATAAATATATATAATATATATAATATATAAATATATATAATATATATAATATATAAATATATATAAATATATAATATATATAATATATAAATATATATAATATATCTAATATATAAATATATATAAATATATAATATATAATATATAAATATATATAATATATAAATATATATAAATGTATAATATATATAATATATAAATATATATAAATATATAATATATATAATATATATAAATATATATAATATATAATATAGATAATATATATAAATATATATAATATATATAATATATATAATATATATAATATATAATATATATAATATATATAAATATATATAAATATATATAATATATATAAATATATATAATATATATAATATATATAAAATATATAAATATATATAATATATAATATATATAAATATATATAATATATAATATATATAAATATATATAAATATATATAAAATATATATAAATATATAAATATATAAATATATATAAAAATATATATAAATATATATAAATATATAAAAATATATATATAAATATATATAAATATAAATAAAATATATAAATATATAAAAAATATATTTACTTATATATAATATTTATATATAAATATATAAAAAATATATATATAAATATTATATATAAATATATAAAAATATATATATTTATATATAATATTATATATATATATAAAAATATATATATTTATATATAATATTATATATAAACAAATGGTGTGTATATATAAATATATATAAATATATATATAAATGAATGAATTTATATATATAAATTCTGCTAGATTATATATATATAAATGAATTATAATATATATATGTACATCCCACCCTCATATTTGGTCACCTTCAATATCTGGTCAGGGCTCTTATCCTCCACCATAGCCCAGGTGATGTCTGATTACTGTGGCCTGACTTCAGCAAGAATCCTGTTAGGGCGATTTAACCAGAATCTCCTCTTACCCCTGATGTTTCCTCTTGGTGCTTTTCATTCACCCACCCCTGCTCCTCGGCTATAAATTCCTACCATTCCTTGTTGTATTCAGAGTTGAGCCTAATCTTACCCCTTTACTGTAAATCCCACTCCAGTAGTCCCTATACCTATTATGATAGTCCCCTGCCTTACGGTTTTAATAAATAGTATAAATAAAACCTGCCTTACTGTTTTAATGTATCATGAATTTTTTTTAACAATGCAATGCAATTTCTTCTTTCAAACAAAAAAAAGTCAACAAGAATTAAAATAAGAAAAACTAACGTTTAGTTTAACTAGATAGAGTTCCAAAAGAATGCTACAATCCAAAGACAGCATTTATTAATAACAGTAAAGATAAGGTGAGGTAAAATAAGGTTGTCTATAACAGATGCTGCAGACACTAAGTAAAGCCCTTGTCCCCAGGTAGTTTGCATGTCCAGAAGACTCAAACAAGCATGCTGCCTCATGCTGCTGAGTGCAAGAGGAATGAGGTAGAACCAGGAAACTTCCAGACATGTCAAGTGTGAAAGAATAAGACTTTCTTTTTGCAGGATAAAAGGGAAAATGTGGGCAACAAAGAAGCTCTGCAATTGATTTAGGATGGCTTAAGAGTCTACCTGATACATGAATATGAAGCTTCCCTGCTAGTTGAACCTTAATTCCTACCAGCCTCGGGGAGAAACATGCAAAAGCAGAGTGTGGGTGAGAATGGGCTGTGCCACAGACTACAACCCAAGTCCCTGCTGACCAGGCTCTGCTTCACATGCTTCTCCCCTCACACATTCAATCATTTGTTGGATTATTATGTTATAAGTATGAACCTACAGGAAACCAATATTAGTACTACATTCAGATGGGAGAAAGAGAGGCAAGTATGTAAATTATAAGAAGAAACATAACAAATATATAAACCACAAAGAAATTAAAAAATATGCCACTACTCAATTATGTTATAGTACTGAAAGAAAATATATTATCTCTAAAGGAAGATCTCAAAGAAAAGAGAAAAGGGCTCCAAAAAGATATAGCAAAACAACAGAAAGAGTGAAATGGTTTAGTAATGCCAAGGAAGCAATAGTAGAAAAACTAATAGGGAATTACAACTATAGCAAAAAAGATAATAGATGCGGCCAAATTTGAGAGTAATCCTGTTGTATAAATATTCTAGAGACCCTCTCACAATAAAACATTTTCAAATAATATCTGAGATATTTTATTTTTAATTTTTTTTCAGGTTTCTCAAGATATAATTGATAAATGGAAATTGTACATATTTAAGAGGTATGACTTAGTGTTTTAATACATGTATGCATGGTGAAATGATCACCACCATCATGCTAATTGACATAATCATAACCTCACATTATTACTATTTTCTTTGTGTGTGCATGTGTGTGTGTATGTGTGTATGGTGAGAATATTAAGACATGTCCTCTTAGCAAATTTCAAATACATAGTACAGTATTGTTATTACTATACTCACCATGCTCTACGTTAGATCTCCAGAAGTCATTCATCTTACATAACTGACACTTTGTTCCCTTGACCAACTTCTCACTCTCCTCTGCCCCCTGGCAACCATCATCTAACCATTCTACTCTTTGTTTCTATAAGTTTGACTATTTTAGATTCCACATGTAAGTAAGAGTATGCTCTGTTTGTCTGTGTCTGGTTTATTTCACATAGCATAATATCTTCAAGGTACATTTATGTTGTTACAAATGGCAGAATTTCCTTCCTTTTTTGAAACAGAATAATATTTCATTGTATATATGCAACATTTTCTTTATCCTTTTGTCCTTTTTTGCTTCAATAAATGGTTTAAGGTAAACTGGGTATTCACATTCAGAAGAATAAAAATGGACCCTTATCTCACACCATATACAAAAATGAACCCAAAATGAATAACAGATTAAAGACTAGGACCTGAAACTGTAAAATTACCAAAAAATAAAATGAAATAAGGAGAAACCTTCTTGGCATTGGTCTTGGCAATAATTTTTTCAGTTGCAAAACCAAAAGCACAGGCAACAGAAACAAAAATAGACAAGTTGGATTTCATCAAACTAAAAAGCTTCTGCGCAGCAGTAAAAACAATAAGCAGAGTGAAAAGGCAACCTATAGAATAAAAGAGAATGTTTGCAAATCATTTATCTGATAAGAGGTTAATATCTAAAATATATAAGAAACTCATACAACTCAATAGCAAAAACACAAATAACTAGAATTTAAAAGTGGGCAAGTGACCTGAATACATATTTCTCAAAAGAAGACATGCAAATTTCAAAATGGTACATGAAAAGATGCTCTACATCCATATTAGTCGTTTTTATGCTTTTGATAAAGACATACTTGAGACTGGGCAATTTACTAAAGAAAGAGGTTTAATTGGACTTACAGTTCCACGTGGCTGGGGAAGCCTCACAATCATGGTGGAAGGCAAGGAGGAGCAAGTCATGTCTCACATGGATGGCAGCAGGCAAAGAGAGAGAGCTTGTAGAGGGGAACTCCTCTTTTTAAACCTGTCAGATCTTGTGAGACTTATTCACTATCACAAAAGAGTGAGCACAGGAAAGACTTGCCCCCATGATTCAATTACCTCCCACTGGGTCCCTCCCACAAGAGCCAAACCATATCAATGTCACTAACCATTAGTGAAGAGCAAATCAAAACCAAGATGAGATAATACCTTACTCCTGTTAGAATGGCTATTATCAAATAGCTAATATAGTTTAAGTGCATTAACTGAACTTAAAAACAGAAAATTTAAAATTCACACATCATAAAAAATAAGCATGATCAGTCATGACTCTAGGTAGTAAGCCAATGATAAACCCTCAGGGTTTGTGCTATGCCTGGTGATATGGTTTGTAACTGTGTCCCCACCAAATCTCATTTCGAATTATAATCCTCACCAAATCTCATTTCGAATTATAATCCCCATTGTTGGAGGTGGGGCCTAGTGGGAGTTGATTGGATCATGGGGAAGGAGTTTTCATGAATGATTTAGCACCATCCTCTTCGTGCTATTCTCCTGATAGTAAGTGAATGAGTTATCGGGAGGTCTGGATGTTTTAAAAGTGTATAGCACCTCCCCCCTCTCTCTATCTTCCTCCTGCTCCAGCCTTGTGAGAAACCTCGCTCCCCTTTGCCTTCCACCGTGATTACAAGTTTCCTGAGCACCCCCAGAAGCTGATTCCTCCATGCCTGTAGAACCATGAGCCAATTGAACCTATTTTCTTTATAAATTATGTAGGCTCAGGTATTTCTTTATAGCAATGCAAGAATAAACTAATACACCTGATAACCCAGAGCTTTGGGTTTTAATAGCTACACAGGGTATAGATAAAATGGGAAACTAGAACTAAGTCTCCAGATAAAGTTGAAATTCAATGTACTACAACATACAGAATTTTAAATCTTCCAACAGTAATATTTTTAGTTTATATCTAGACAAAAGGATGAAAGTCAAGGATTATTAGAAAGAGAAAATAATGTTTTAAATTCCTTAAATGACACTTAAGGAAGCCATGAGTTCATATAAATGATACTACTTGAAGAGAACATGTGGTAGAATTATACCAGTGATTTGGAGAAATCTAAAATACTGTGGATAATGGCATATTTTTTAAAGTATAGCATAGCAGAGTCTTCAAGGCCCCCAGTCAGCCATTTAACATGTTGAAAAACAGTAATGCAGCATGTTTTGAATGGACCTATCTATCCAAGTTGCATAAGTATTGCAGTATAGTCTAAATGTCCAGTGTATCACAACTGGGAAAGCACTGCACATAGAAGTGCTGAGAGGACCAGAAGACGAATCAAGGTCTGTGACCATGATAAAAAAAGAGCTCAGTTTTTAAAGACTTCACAGCCAAGAGCACCCTGCCAAGATGCTCAGTTTTTAGCATGATGCCATGAAGAACCTGGCAAGCTGCATTGATCATCCATGGTCCAGTGCAAAAGCCTCAGCTTTCAAATCTCACTATTTTCTTACAGTCAAAACTACCAAGGACACATAGAACACATAAATCCACAAACACAGTCAACAATCTATTCCTCATTCAAGTGAAATGGCAGAAACCTTACACTACAACCAGACACTCTTTGCAAAAAGAAGGGTGAAGAAAAACCTTGACAAACAAACTCAGTAGAGTTTAGAGACTGATAAGTTGAGACAGATACTTTTAAGTTCAAGAATATTTTACCCTGAAATTAAGTGGGATGGGTTTCAAGAGTAAAATTGTAGATAATTATGTGAAAATTATAAAAATTAATTAAACTAAAGAGCAAAGTATTTTTACATCACATAATTTGTGGTATAACAATTTTCCCTGCTATACACCGATATTCTTTCTTTGGTACATTTGCCTAAGCTCCCCACAAAGTCAGACTTTTTAAAGTAATCCTGACCTTGTGGTCATGTTCTTTCTCTGCGTCTCATTGTCTTAAAGTCCTAAATTCTTAACATGGCTTATACAGCCCCTACTTAATATCTTGAATGCTGTGGTTTAAATGTATGTGTCCCTCCAAAATTCTTACGTGGAATTTACCTGCCAAGGTGATGATATCAAAAGATGGCACCCATGAGAGGTGATTAGATAATGTGAGACATTAATTCCCTTGTAAAAGCAGCTTAACACAATTGCCTCCCTCTTCCATCTCTTTCATCATGTGAGTGCATAACGTTTCTCATGTCTGGGGTACATAGAAACAAGGAGCCTTCTCGGAAAAAGAGACCAGGCCCTCCTTATACACTGAACCTTCTTGCACCTTAATCATGGACTTCTCAGTCTCCAGAGCTGTGGGAAATAAATTCCTGTGATGTATTTTGTTATAGTACCACAAGTAGACTAAGACACCCAACTTACACCATAGCCCACTGGTGTCCTGTTTTGCTTTTTTTTTAATTCTTCCAAGAAACCATGATGCTTCCAAATTAAAAACCTTGGCACACAGTTTTCTATTTGCTTGGATCCTTTTCTCCTTCCTCTACTCATAATTAACTCCTGATCTTTACTAAGAGATCAGCTGAGTTGTCATTTCCTCCAGGTAGACTCCTCTCATAAACTCTGACTAGGGGTTGTTCTTTAATGCATTCTCATGGATAGATCTCTATTTCCTTGATAGTGTTTATCACAATTGCAATAAAAAATACCTCCAAAATTCATTATTTAAAATTGCTCTTCTCACTAAAATGAGGTTTAGAAACTTTGAGTTAGTTGTTCACCACAGTATCCCTTGTGCCTCTACATGATATCTTATAGTAAGGAATATTTATGAAGGAATATGTATGAATAAATGAATAACATGAGTTAATACATGCTATATCCCTACCTCTGTCATCTTCAGTATTCAACGTGTTTCAATGTTCTGTTTCTAATCATCTACCAAATCTGCTCTCATTAACGTCACTGTTATCTCCTTGTTGCTGCATATAAGATTTTGTAGCCCTCATGTTAGTAAACCCTCTGATGTATGTTCTGGAGACCACAATCTCCTTGAAAACCTTATGTGGAACCATTGTATATAAGGAAAAATAACCCAATGAGAAACAAAGTACCACATGACTAATAGACAAAAAAAAAAAAAAAAATCACTCACACAATCCAGGTCTTACTTGTAAAAAATTGTATTTGAAAACACTACTAAGACCTGGAAACTGAAGTAAATCCCTCTGAATTTACAGTATTTCAATGTGAAAAACAAGCTGAAGCATAAGTTTTATCTACCTAGTATCCACATAGAGTTACAGAAATAGAAGCAATAAAGCACAAAGTTAGGCAGCCTTCTAACATGATCCCCTGTGTAATCCATTGTCCTGGGGATGGGCTGGATCTAGTGAGTAGCTTCCAACAAATACGGTACAAATCGAATACAGCAAAAGTGGTCATGTCATTTCCTCGATTAAGTTACAAGAAACTGTATCTTCCTTTTTACTGAAACTCACTCTGTCTCTCTTGTTCACTTTGATAAACCCAGCTGCCATGTGGTAAGCGGCTATGGAGAGATCCACATGGCAAGGAACTAAGGGTGGACTTCGGCCAACAGCCAGTGATGTACTGAGGCTCTCAGTTCAATTGCCCATAAGTAACTGAATCTTGCCAACAACCACTGAATGAGTTTGGAAACAAACCCTGCCTCAGGCAAATCCTGAGTAGACTGTACCAACAGCTGATGCCTTGATTAAGGACTTGTGAGAGGCCCTAAGCTATGCCAACATTTATTCCTGCCCCACAGAAACTGTGAAATGCTAAATATGTACTTTTTAAGCTGCTAATATTTGAGGACAATTTGTTACACATACACACACACACACACACACACACACACACACAGGCTAGTCCATGGAGGCAGGTCCTACTATTCAAAATATAGAAGCCAGAAATGGGAAAAGTGGGCATCATGCATGGATGCTGACCTTTTAAAGTACAGCACATCATCCCTTTTATATTCATTCCTCTCACATTTTTAGCCCACCAAATACCCAACTATAAACAATCAAGTAAATAACTCCTATATTGTCCAGCATAATTCATGGAGATTTTACGGTAGACGTACTAATAAGATAATAAATGCTCAAAACTTAAAACCATTTCTCATTATTAAACTCCCAAAGTGACATTAAAACCCACAAATAAAGTCACATTCCTTTATAGAATTTAATGACAAAATAAATTACACTACAGCATGTTTTTCCCCTAAAATTTTATATTTTGTTCAGTTTAAGCCAAAATGAGCAATATTCTGATGTCTGGGTAGAAGTGTGGTTCTTTACTCAGCAGTGAAACTTGACATATTCTTTACTGAAGTAAAAGGTACTTCTTCCACCTCTCCAAAGTTAAGTCTCTCCTCATATGTCTCTACATGTTAGCATTAGTTTGCTAGGGCTGCCATGACAAAATACCACAGCCTGGGTAGCTTAGTGACAGAAACTTATTTTCTTGCATTTCCAGAGGCTAAAATCTGAGATCAATGTGTCAATAGTTTGTTGTTGTTGTTTGTTTGTCTGTTTTCTTCCTGAGGCCTCTCTTTCTGGTTTACAAATGGTTATCTTCTCCCTGTGTTTTCACATGGTATTTCCTTTGTCTGTGTCTGTGTCTTAATCTCCTCTGGACATAAGGGCACCTGTCACATTGGGTTGGGGTGCACCATATGACCTCATTTTACCTTAATTACCTTTTGAAATGTCCTATCTCTATATGTAGCTACATTCTGAGGTACTTGGGGTTACAACTTCGATATGGATTCTGAGGGAGCACAATTCTGCCCATAACAGTGACCATCAATTCCATGCATCAAAATGGATAATAGAATATGTAAATTTAATACCAGCCTCAATCACTATAAAATATAAAACCAAACGTAACCACTGCAGCAAAAAATATATTTGTTTCATTTTTATTTACTTACGTATTTATTTTGAGACAGGATCTCACTCTGTCCCCCAGGCTGTAGAGTAGTGGCATGATCATATTTCATTGCAGCCTCTAACTCCTGGGCTCAAGAGTTTCTCCTGCCTCAGCCTCCTGAGGTAAGACTACAGGCACATGCCTCCGTGCCTAGGTATTTTTAAGAAATATTGTTTGTAGAGACACAGTCTGTCTATGTTGCCCAGCTGGTCTCAAACTCCTGAGCTCAAGCAATCCTCCTGCCTCAGCCTCCCAAAGTGCTAGGATTATAGGCTTGAGCCACATGCCCAGCCAGAGCAATAACATTTTTTAAGAAAATAAATTTTGGTTATTTCCACTAATGGGACATAGAAAGGATTTTAAAACAGCTGGACTAAAGAAGGTTTAGACTAGACAGATAAAGTAAAAATAAAAATAAAATTATATACATATTCATTTTAGTCTTACTGAAATGTCAATCATCTTGTTGCCAATCTTCTTTTCCATTGGTTATTAACTTAAGTTCAACCAGAAGAAATCGCTTACCAAGGCCCTAATTTTGCCTGCTATTTTCCACAGTGTTGCAGAAAATCAAAGGCTTTCCTGCCCCTGTGCTTCCATTCTTGACTCTCTCTGATCGTATTCCCTCAGTGCCCTAATAAAACGCACTGAGGGAATAACTGTCACAATGTGCTTTATCCATTTCTTATCTTCCTCTTGCTATTTACATCCTTGGGGCTTGGTTTAGCTTTATTAATCCCCTGAAACTACACATATTTCTTCCCACAAACTGCTTTTCTGAAACAGCAAGACTTGACTTGCCCTAAAGAAGCCAAAGAGACCATAGCACCAGGCATGAAAACAGAAAATGAAGAAGTTAATTTTTTAAATTCTGATAAAACTTCTTTTGAAGTGACCTTTCCATGGATTGAACAAGAGCTCTCCTTCTTCATCTTGACATATGAACTTAGGGAGAATCAAAACTGTCCATTGCAGTCAAAGCTTTCAGAAGTTCTCCTTTTTTCTAGAAGTAAACTTTTAGTCACAACTAAGACTAGGTGCTTGTTGAGTGTGAGATCCTGAACCCCAAATATGCTTACTTTCTTGATTGCAATAGTTGTTTCCAATTATATCTGTTCACACTGGCTACACAGACAAAAAGATTCAATCTCCACATGTAGAATTTTGTTCCACAATGTAAGTTCTTCCTCCACCATGAAGCAAAATGACAGATTATTTACATTTGAGTCTGAACCAATTTAATTGCAACATTGCAGTGACAAGATGGTAAAACAGAAAGAAAGTAAACAGGCAAGCATACGTAGGTATGGCACTCATAGCTTCTAAAATTAAAAACACCACCCAAGACAATAGAAAGTGTAAGCTAATGATTATGCTGGACTGTGTCTTGAGTAGGCTTTCCTCTTTTCTTGGATCCAACTGATGAAGCTTGATAGAAGGGTAGACAGAGTGACAGCCCCATGGGGGAGATGCTAAAACTTGGGGCAAGAAGATAAAAATGCCCCCACTCCTCCCTACTTGCGCAGAAGTAGAAGCACAGGGAAAGAACAGGTGAGTTCCTCTAAACCAGTACTTTTTACAGTGTGGTCCACAGCCAGTGCAAGTTCTGCCAATGTGACTAATAAATTAAATGAGTTCAGGAATATGGAGGTAACCATTTAGACTTTTATAGGAACCTGAAAGAGTGGACTTTTGTCTGATGAATTTAATTTTAAAAATATGACCTTGCATATTGCTTATTTGTTTTCTATCTCAGTTTTCAAGTATTTCATTTTAATTATGATTTACTAAATTATTGATCAATAATAAGCTGGAAATAAAAAGGTCTGGTCCTTTCCTGCATACAGCACTCCTCCACATTCTAATACAATTGTTCTTTCAAGCATTGGACATGGGTGCCCTTTCACCTTTACAAAGAAGCTCCAGGAAACTTGTTATCTTTAACAAACCTTCAAGAGTAGAAGTTAAGAAATACTTATTCTCTCTTGTAATTTGCCAGTGTCTGCTCTGCAAATCTGTTTCCTGATGTAATTAACAAACTCACTGTCTTCTCTATGTAACTGTTCTTTCTTTTAGATTTGGCTTCATTCAGTTCACTTTTACCAAATACACACCTAACAATTGACAGATACTATATTGCCCAGATCAAATATAAGATAGAATCTCTAACTGGTCTTCATAAGGCCTGTGTTTCTTTGTGTGGCGATTTTACACTGGGCCACATTCTAATGGGAAGATTAGCTAAGGTGCTAGCTATTCTTGAGTCAGATACTACCAATTTTAACAACTGTGGTAGAGAAGGGGCTGTAGTATTGCAAAGTACAGAGCAAGCATACCACCATGTAAGGAATTATTAGGATGTGACAAACATAGACATTTTAACTTAGTTACAGGTAACATGATATTGTGAGAACATAAATAAATACAAATAAAACTTGGATACACAGATATCACAACCTTCTTCATCTATGGATATTGCACCAAGTGAATTATTTCTGAATAAGATAAATCAAATAATTTCTTCTTCTAGAAAAGTGGTAGCTTGAAACAACCTCCAGGTATAATCCAATTAAAAATGCTGATTATCATTATTTTTAATCCTTTAAAGCGAATGAAAATACATTACTATGGAGAACTAAGTAGGAGCTGAAGCTGGAACCACCAGTAATACATGGTGGCTCAAGGCTTTGACTCAAATCCACCACACAAAAGGGCACACAGAAGACAAGGCCTAGTATCCTAGACCAAGCTTGGTTAGTGACTCCCAGGAAAAGTAGTTCTCAAGGTGATAACTGCAGTTGGGTGAACTAGAAAGTAAAATGCCTCCAAAACATGCATGGGAGAAAAAGAAACAGATACAGAGAGAAAGTAAACAAGTCTAAGAATTTCTTAAACAAGAGAAATAGTTCACGGAAGAGAAAACACAAATATGAAAAGTGATTAGTAAGTGGGAGAAAATAAAATTATGAGGTAAAAATTCTACACTCAGATACCAAGAATTAAAATGTCATGGAAAAATTCTTAGCGTGTGTGTGGAATAACTGAAATACATCAATTGTTAGTGGATGAAGTTATTTATGTAACCATAATGAGAAACAACCTCGCATTATTTAGCAAATCTACAGATGTGAATATCATGTGGCCCAGCAATTCCATTCTTAGCTGTTTGCCCTGAAGAAAAGCGCAAGAGGATTCATGGCAGCACCATTTGGAAGGGCCAGCCTTTGAAATAATCCAATTCTCTTTGACAGGAGAATAGATACATAAAATGTAGTAGCATTCATAATGGGATAGCAAACAGCAATACAACTTAGATAAACACCTCATCCGTCAGTAACAATAGAAAACACAATATTAAATAAAAGAAACATAACACAGAATAATACACAGAATACAATTCTACTTCTGTAAAGTTTATGAAGTATGCAAATTAGCAGTGTAGTGTTAGGGATGCATTGATACACAATAACACTATAAAGAAAAGCAAGAGAATGATAAACACAAAATTCAGAAACTGGGAGTCAGAAATGCAGACAAAATTGGAGAGAGGTAAATAGAAGGCTTTAAAGATATATATACTGCACTTCTATAAGCTGGGTGGTGAGCGTGAAAATTTTTTATTATTTTGAAACATACACATATAATATTTATATTTTTGTATGTATGATATGATTTACAACAATTTAAAACTATCGAAGATGTGCACATTTAAAGAAACTAGAATACATATATATAAGAAAATTTATTTGTAACGTGAACACAACTTCAGAGTTCTGCCTTAAAACAAAGTTCTTGCCTTATCTTTGCAAAACAGCACCAAGAAAATAACTTGTTAAACTATGTTGTATAATTAAAATCTCTGCATTGGATTATCATGAAAATGTTTAAAGAGTTATAGAATTAGATGAATTAAACCATTCACATTTGCATGTAAATCTACAATGCTGCTTTTTAGAAGTAGTTACTAATTTTCCATTCTAATGATATCTAACTTGGTGATAATTCTATACTTAGCCAACTTTCACTCAGTTTTTGTTAATCACCTTTCCATGTGTTTGAATACTGTATTTGATGAGAACAGGAAAGAAGCAAGCAGTATTAAACAGAAAGAATGAAAAGTTGATGACTGAATAGAAGCTTGTTTGAATGCTACAAATAATTGAAAACATATTCAAGAAGATGAAATTTGTTAAACAATAGTACTGGATTCTTCCATTGAACATATTTGATTATATAACAATAAATGTTTTTCTAACTGGAATTTTGTTTTTATACTTTTTTATATTTGATTTTCTGTTTGACACTGTGGAAAACATGATTATTTGTTTGAATGTATCTTGTTTTTCTCTGTTTCATGAATGGATATAGCTCTGTGAGATCCTTAGAAAGGGGAGAATATCAATGTAATAAGTATTTTGCATCTACATCATAGATACAAACAATTTTTATATAATACATACATTAAAATTGCATTATTCTGAATTATAAAAGAGTAGGTCGACATGGAGGTTATGATATTAAAGTGTTATAGAAATAAGAATATTGGAGAATAATTAGATGCTTAGGCAGCACAGTTAAAAGTAGAATTTTGTGGGATTTTTTTTCTTATTTTAGGATACATACCAACTTGTCAATTGCTAATGTAATTATAAGATTCATACATTTTACCTTTCAAAATCTAAAAATGATTGTCAAGGTGAATTTTCTTCATCACATGAGATAATTTACAAAAATTAAGTAAATTCCAGGTTTATCATTTTGGAAGATGTCACTGATTAAATAGTTCAATGTTCTCATTTTTAAACAGGAACCATCTAAAACCTAAAGAACTCAGTTCAATTTTCTGATAGCATGACTGGGTTTCGTTTCACATGTCCTGCCATCTAGTTCACAGCTCTTTGATCAATATTACATTCTGTCTTTATTTGGCCATAAGTTTTTCAGTCATGTGGTTCGGTATACCTTATAATGCTCATTGCTATAATCAGCAGTGACAGTAATGTTTTGATGGAAGGTTTTCCATATCTTCCTAACAAGAATTCCACAACTTCTAGAAATAAATGTGTACTCATTTTGTAAAGTCCAGAACAACAGTTGTTTACAATTTAAGCTAAATAATTTCATTAAATTTAAGATACAATTAAAGTAACAATACAAAATAGATTTAGTGAATGAAAAACACTGCTGCTATAGCAAAAATGATCATTATATAATTCAAAATTTCAAGAGCACCATGTTAGATAAACATAAAAAGGTGTTCTGTGATTGATATAAATTTAGTAGTTTTAAATATGCATATGGTTACATATTTACCTGTACCCTTCCAGAAACCATAAATTAAGCCAATATTTTTAGAAAATTACTGTATAGTCAAAATCACTGATTTATTTGTTCTGATCTAATAAATATTTACATTTTTAATTTTATTATAATTTTAATTTCATTTAATTTTTTTTAGACAGGATCCTGTTCTGTCACCCAGATAGCTCTACACTTGTGTAGAGATATCTAGGAAACAGATATTTTGTTCATCTCAGGGCCACATTAAAATCAGTTTTCAAGTAGAACTATTAATAAGATATATTTTGGGGTAAGATACTTTGATTTCATACAGGGCCTGCTATCTGTCACGTGATGCTATACTAGAGTCAGGTTGGAATGTGATATCTTATTGCTACAAAAAGTCCATTTTGTCATTCTTAAGATCCCTGTTTTAATATTAATGCTGGAAATTTGTGCCTGAATTCCAAAGGGAGGAAAGTATAATAAAGCATGTCCAATCCTCCTTTCTATCATGGCCTGAACTAGGTTTCTCCTGTTAATCTGTCTTATGTCAATTTAACCGAACTGGAGACCCTGAGAGAGTAGAGGTCAAGATTTGCCTCTCCTACACTTGCATGCTAAATATGTTTTATTTTTTCTATTTATAATAAATGACATGCTATCTTTTAAGTATTATTGTTTAGTGGTTTAATAGTAAATGTGTAAATAATAGAGCGACTATAGGCAATTTTATTATTGTTTCAGAACATTTACTCTCCCTCCCAGTAAGAGGATTATATAACCCCACCAGTTGCCACATGACATTTAGGGCCCCCTCTGAAGTTACAAGTCCTCGCCCCCACTGCTTCAGTCCATAGCATTGTAGAGAATGTGACACACACCACAACTTTAGAGAATCTTAATAACCTTAATAACCACTGTGCATTTCCACCCGTTCCTTTGCTGTTATTTCTTGCCATGAAAGCAAGCATGGATTCTATACTAAGACGTGAGGAATAGAATCACAACATATTCACAGCAACCAATTGCTAACATGAGAAATAAATTATTGTCTTGTAGGCTAATGAGATTCGGAGGATTTGTTAATGCAGCCTTATCCAGTAGAAGCTGGCAACTACAGCTACATATAGATTTCTCTGTTATAACATATTTGGTATAAACACAAAAACAACTTAAGTGCAATTTTGTGCATCTCTAGAATCCAAAAGAACAACCTGTTTAGTAAGTAATGTAATGGCCCAATGGGTTCACCTTGCCCCTCCCTAGACAAAGCCAATTTATCAAGGCAAGGGAATTGCAACAGAGAAAGAGTAATTCATGCAAAAGCCAGCTGTGTGGGAGATTGGAGTTATATTATTACTCAAATCAGTCTCTCTAAAAACTCAGGGATTGGAGTTTTTAAGGTTAATTTGGCAGGTAGGGTCAAGGGAAGTGGGGATTGTTTGGTCAGGTTGGAGATGGAATCACAGGGGGTGGAAGTGTGTTCTTCTTGCTGTCTTCTGTTCATGGGTAAGATTGCAAAACTGGTTGAGCCAGATTACCGGTCTGGGCAGTGTTAACTGGTGTGTTGGAACACAGGGTTTGCAAAATGTCTCAAGCACTACACCTAAATTTTATAACAGTGATGTTATTCCCAAGAACAATTGGGAGGCTCACACTCTTGCAGCCCGAGGCTACATGGCACCTAAACTGTAATTTCTAATCTTGTAGCTAATTTGTTAGTACTACAAAGACAGACTGGTCTCCAGGCAAGAAGGTTTGTTTTGTTTTGTTTTGTTTTGTTTTCTGGGAAAGGGCTATTACCAATTTTGTTTAAAAGTTAAACTGTAAACTAAATTCCTTCCCAAGGTTAGTTTGGCCTATGCCAGGAATAAACAAGTAGAGCTTATAGGTTAGAAGCAAGATGGGGTCTGTTAGGTCTGATCTTTTTTACTGTCATAATTTTCTCAGTTATAATTTTTGCAAAGGTGTTTTCACTAATAGGAATGTGCAAAAGGCTAGAAAAAGTAGTCTGAGTCATAAATTTTAAAGGAAAGAGCATCTTTTATATTTTAAAATCTTATGATTATGTTAACATAAATACTATGATTTCAAAAGTATAACATCATTCTTGATATTGAGACATTATATTTCAAAATGCCTCAGATGCTAAAAACAAAATAACAAATTCAAAGGAAGAGTCATAGAAAGTAGTATCCTTCATGGTGTCTAGCAATGCTTGGAGCAAATGCAGCAACACCCAGTACTGGTTAAGAATGGGGCTTTTTGAGGCATTTTGTGGGCCAAGGGTTAGCAAGGAAAGGTACAGTGCCCTAATCTCTTATATTCTCTCAAGGGCCATAGAGACCAAGAGTGTGGTTTATTTTTGAGGAAAGGGGCATTACCTTACAAAAAAAAAAAAAAAAACAGAGTAGCAAATATGCAAGCATTAAAAAGAATAATTTTCTATCGGAAAAGTGCAGGTTTATTGGTGAGCATGGATTTAGGTTCCTGCTATTTGCTTATAGGAATTGCCTCAGAAAACCAGATGTCTCATGAGGATCTTGGGCCCCATAATTTGTGGAACTTGGGTGCCACATCTTCTTCTGGGAGAAATAGCCTTGGTTCCCAAATGGGTCATTGTCCAGGCAACTTAGAATGGTTTCCCAAGGTCACCATTAGACACATCTCCACAAAAATCAAGATGAGGGAGTGGGAGTTAGGGAAAATGTGGGGAGGTAGGAAATTTTCAGGATTTTAACCTTACGCAGAGTCAAATCATTTTAGTAATAATTTTGTTTTTATGATTATATTTTGTAATAATAATACATGCAATCAAAACTAACATTTATTAAGAATTTGCTGTGCTCAGTGTTAAGCACATTGCAGGGTTTAGCTCATTTAATCATTCATTATTAGATTACATGGATATAAGTGGTTTTAGCATCTTTATGATGCAAATGGTAAATCTGAAACTTATAAAGCTTAAACACATTTTGCAGGATCATGTTACTGGCATAGCTAGAACTCAAAGTCATGCCTGTTAGAGTTCCAAAGTGAGGTATAAAAATTACCCTGTAATGTCATTTACCTTTAAAATGAGTGGGACAAATATTTGGCAATTATTACTGACTCACAAAGTAAAAAATATTGCTAAATTTCTGAAAGAATATGAACGCTACTCAATGGTGCAAGACATTATTGAATATCATAGCAATTTCTGAACACATTTATTTTTCTGATTTTAATTTCAGAAAAAAATAAAACCCCCAACTTCTAAAATTAGACAATCGTAATAAAATATATATCAATTCTCTAGGTATTGGTTTTGATTCATAAAATACTTCTGTAAGTTCTTCATAAAACATTTTCTAGGACAGAAAATATGTTCGTGGACTTTTGTTGTTGTAGTTGTTGAGATGGAGCTTTGCTCTTGTTGCCCAGGCTGGAGTGCAATGGCGTGATCTCAGCTCACTGCAACCTCCACCTCCTGCCTCAGCCTCTCAATTCTCGTGCCTCAGCCTCTCAAGCAGCCGGGATTACAGGCATGCACCACCATGCCCAGCTGATTTTTGTATTATTAGTAGAGATGGGGTTTCTCAATGTTGGTCAGGTTGGTCTCGAACTCCCAACCTCAGGTGATCCGCCCGCCTCAGCCTCAGAAAGTGCTAGGATTACAGATGTGAGCCACAGTGCCCTGCCATGTTCATGGACTTTTAGGCCATTGATAGGTTTAAAGTAACCTGAATGGCATTTTGGAGAAACACTGAGAATTAACATGTGCAACAAATTTATCTTAGCGCCAAAAGAGAAAAATAATAAATGAAAAGAGTATGCTGGCAGACATGTCTCTAAAATCATTTTAAAAATCTGTTTTCTAAACCCATTTCTAGTATTGCATAATCAATATTTACTTGATGCTCAAATTGGCTTCAGGCTTTTCACCCAAAACCATTTCCATAGTTTTTCAGGAATTATAATTTATTTTTAGAGTCAATAGATTGAATATTTGTTAAATTTGAAAACCAAACTTCATAAATGGACTTATTGCTGCCTCCTACATTGTTTTTAATTGAAAAAAATGTATGGGAATTGAAAGTAATAGTTTATCCCAGCTGTTTGGAAAAGGTTTTATTTTTGGGTAGGAAGACTATCATTAATAATATTACTTCTAGGAAACATGCACACACACACACTATAATTTTCACAGTTATGAGGAAGGAATTAGGCATCTGTGAATTGCTTGGCTGTCAGAGACTTCCAATAGAATCCTCTTCATTTGATTAGTGAAAACAAATTTAGTGAAAATCATGTGAGTGTTGCAAGCAGACAGACCTTTTATTTCAGAACCTTACTTTATTAACTGTGGAGAATTTGGCCAGGTAACACCTTAAGTTTCTTATGATATAGGCAATGATTCCTTTATGTTGAAAGAGCATAATAATAGTTTCTTCAGAGTAATTGTGAATGTTAGAGTAAAATATTTAAAACACAATTTCTAGCATGTAGTAAACTCTTCAGAAAACTGTACCTCTCTTATATATTACATTAGAGCATTTCAAATGTTATTTACCTTGCTCTTCTATTTCTGTCTACTTTGATTTTTAATGCTGTTTCACCACAAAACATTTTTATGTACCTGATATGGTTTGGATCTGTCCTCAGCCAAATCTCATCTACAATTGTAATTCTCAGTTTTAGAAGTGGGGCCTGGTGGCAGGTGATTGGATCATGGGGATGGTTTCTCATGGTCTAACACCATCTTCCTTGGTGCTGTCTTTACGATAATAAGTTCTCCTGAGATTCACTTGTTTAAAAATGTGTGGCACTTCCCCACCCACCTCACTCTGCCTCCTGCTCTGGCCATGTGAAGTGCTGGCTCCCTTTTCGCATTCCCCAGTGACTGTAAGTTTCCTGAGGCTTCCCCAGAAGCAGAAGCTCCTACACTTCCTGTACAGCCTGCAAATCCATGAGCCAATTAAACCTCTTTTCTTTATAAATTACTCAGTCTCAAGTATTTCTTTATAGCAATGCAAGAATGGTCTAATATCATATTTAAAAAATAGTTCTCATAGAAAAGAAATAATACCTACCCTTTATGGAGTACTCACTTTGTACTAGTCAGCGTGATATGCATTTACATTTATTCCTTCATTTACTCCTTATAGCAATGGAATAATATAGATGCTGTTGTGCCCATTTTATAGATGAGAAATGTGGCTCACCATATTGACTTTTATAAGATCAAACTATTATTCAGTGGGCAAGCCATAATTCAAATTCCATTTTTCCTGAGTCCAGTTTTTTTCACAAAGATATCTCACTTCTGATCAAATTATGAATCATAAAGAGTTCTGAATATACGTTATTGTCATAAGGAAATTCTATTACAATATGGAACCCAGCAACAGTGCTATAAACAAACAACATTCAATGCAAACAATGGCAAAGATAAAAAAGGGGAAAGAGTTAAAATATAATTGCTGTCTTTACAACCTTTTGCATTTATTTAGAATCGCATTGTGTTGAAGTGTTTTATAATATTTGTAATGAAACACACCATAAATATCAATGATATCTGAAATTCTGAAGGGAAGAAGGAGTGTCTTGTTAAGACCTTGTATTATGGCTTCAGTAGGTGCAAAGATATGTATGAAATTGATTTATATTTTTTTTTATCTATAAGGCAAGATATTCCCAGATTACCCCAAAGAGCAATCTTGGAGAAAGAATTACTGCTACTATTGGCCAGGTCAGAGAGGAAGACCATTGCCAATGGGTTAAGCATCTAAAAAATGTCCAGTCGAGGGCAGAGAATCCAGTCAACATGACACGTCACAGCTGGATTCTTTATTAGACACATTCTGGTTAAGGGATGAAAGGCAGCCACATTCCACTGAGCTCCATCACATGTAATGGTAGCAATAATGTATCAAAAGGATATCGGCTTTCATTGCTACTCACTCAGGGGAGCTCCAGGAGTTCCTCAGGTTGTCAAGTGGTCTAGGAAGCAGTTTACGTCCTCCAGCACTATAGCATTACTGTAGTTTGGATGTTTTACCTTTCCAAACCTCACATTGAAATTTGATCCACAAAGTTGGAGGTTGGGCCTAATGGGATGTGATTGGGTCATGGAGGTGATTTCCTTATAAATGGCTTGGTGTTGTCCTCACAGTAATAAGTGAGTTAGTTCTCACTCTATTAGTTCCCATGAGAGCTGATTGGTGAAAATAACATGGCACATCCCTTCTCTCTCTCTTGCTTCCACTCTCACATTTCTCTCTCTGATTTCTGTGCATGCCAGCTCCACTTTGCCTTTTGCCATGAGTGGAAGCAGCCTGAAGACCTCACCAGAGGCAGATGCAGGTGCCATGCTTCCTGTGAAGCCCAGAACTATGAACCAAATAAACCTCTTTTCTTTAAATTATTCAGCCTCAGGTATTCCTTTATAGCAACACAAAAGGACTAAGACAGGTATCAAGCAAAGGACTGAGGTCAAGAGAAACTATACCTTTCTGGAAGTGAGACATACCAAAGGGCCCAAGTTTGGCTTTATCCTGCAGCAAAAAGGTCTTTATAGCCCTGCTAAACATGTGGGGGTGTTGCTTTCATAACCCAAAGCATAAGGGGCAGGCACACACAAAAGGACAAGGGCTCGAGGTGCATGAAAGATTCTGTTTACAAGATGTTCCAATATTGAACAATAATTGCTGCTCTAATGGTAATAATACAAGGCCAAAGAAGTGATTTTCTTTTTAGAAACCCATCCTGTAAGCAACCTACAGGAATCACGGATGGTCTAGGGACTCAAGAAAGCATGAGAGAAAGTTGCTAACACCTATATAGCAAAGGAGTCCCTCAGAACACTAATAAGAGCATTTGTTTTATGGCTATCTGGAAAGATTCTCAAGTCTTTTGTTGAAAAAGGTCTCATTCAAGGTGGGTCAGTTTGCAAATAGTAGCATAAATTATTTTAAGTAAAATGTATTAATTAGTAATATGTTGGTTCCAGAAGCCAAAAGGCCTAAGAGGTTTGGGACTTGTTTTAACACCATGAATGCTGAGAGAGTTAATAGCTCTTTTCTAGCATTGTCATAAGTGAAACAGCCCTTGGGCTATCAAATAATATTCAAGATTTTAAATGAAGTGGAGGGCTTTGCACTGTGTGTATGGCAATGACCCGTCCTTTTTTCATGAGTTCCTTTATAAGTCCTGAATCAGTGTGTCAAATACATGAACTTGGAGGAGGATGTCATCAATACAATGTCATACCATGTTCCCAGATAAAGTAGGAAACAATTTAGATCCAGTCTACAAAGAGTTCTGAGGATGGCAAAGCTGTTAAGGTATTCCATGATTATCCAGATGAAAGTATTTGGTTTTGCAAAGGTTAAGGTAAACCGTGGCTGAGAGACTGTTGAAATAGGCACTGAACAGAACATATTAGACAAATCTATAACAGCAAAATATTTATTGGATGTTTATTGGAGTCAGTAATTTAATTAATATTAGGTATGGTAGCCCTAAGAGGTATCTAGGTGCAATAATCCACTACGAGGTATCATTCATTCCAAGCTCAAGACTAGGTCAAATTAATTGTTATTTCAAATTATGTAACAGGTTGTTAAATGGAGAAGTAGTGGGGATAATCATCCCCTCACTAAATAGGTCTTGTATAATGGATTTGTGACTTATATTGGGCTGTATTAAAAATTGTAATGAGTTGAGGCAAAACTATAGATTTCCATTTGGTGAGACCAAAAGCCATGGCCAGTCTTAAATCTATATTAATTTATCATTCACTGGATCAGAGTGCCCATGCTCACTATGGAATATTTTAGGGCAACGAATACTATGAACATGGGGAATTTAGGCAAGGAATATTCCTGTGATTAAGGTGAGACATACCCATTTATCTTCTATTTTATGTTTATTAACACTATTTTTTACATTGAAAATTATAATATGCTATTGAAATAAATTAAGAAAAACCTAAATAAATGAAAAGGCATTCTGTGTTTATGGATTATAACTCTTAATATTTTTAAATGGCAATAGTTACCAAATCACTCTACCAACTTAACCAATCATTTACTTCCCAATTTACTTACTAAAAAGGTACACTAATCAAATAGTGTTGTACTGGCATAAAGATAAATATTTAGATCATGGAATATAGTTCAGAGTCCAGAAATAGGTCTTTACATTTATAGTTAATTGAGTTTCAAAAGGGATACATCTAAGATTTTCTCTTTGTCTGTGATCCTCAACATTTTATGATATGGCTGGTTGTAGGTCAATGTATAGCTATCTCACTTGGAGTTCATTGTGCTTTTTGGATGTGTAGATTATTATCTTTCATCAAATTTTGGAAGTTTTCTGCCATTATTTCTTTGAAGTTTTTCCTGCTTCTTTCTCTTTCCCCTCTACTTCTAGTACTCTTGGGGATAAGTTGATGCACTCAATGGCCTCCCACGTCTCTGAGGCTCTGTTCATTTATCCTCATTATTTTACCTCTTTGTTACTCAGATTTTATAATCTCTATTGACTTACCTTCAAGTTAACTGATTCTTCTGCCAGCTCAAACCTACTGTAAAACCTGTTGAGTAAATGTTTCATTTCAGTTATTGTACATTTGCACTTCAGATTTTCCATTTGGTTCTTTTTTATAATATGTATATCTTTATTGATATTCTATATTTGAGGAGCTTCTCTCATCAGATCTGTCATTACTTCTCTAAATTTTATTTCCTTTGGATAAAAGATCATATTTCTAATAGGTGCTTTGAAGTCCCTGTCTGCTAAGACCAGCATCTGGACCCTCCAAAGTCAGTTTTATTACCTATTTATCATTTATGGTTCACACTTTCCTGTTTCTTTTCATTTCCCATCATATTTTGTGAAAAACTGGACATTTTAATAAATATATTGTAACAATTTGTGTACTAATATCTCCCACCTCTGATCTTGCTATTATTACTGTTTGCTTATTAACTTGCTTAGTAACCTGGCTGGACTACTCAGTGAATCTACTCTCCTCACAGCGTGCAGCCTCTGACATCGCTCATCAAATGTCACAGCCTTGGGCATGCACACAGTCTTTCTGACCATCAGAGATGATTGTGGTGTTAACTGTGCTAATTTTGAGTGTCTCCTTTCTTGATCTCTTCTTTAGGTTCTGACTGGTCTCCTTTTATTAGTATCAAACATAGCTGTTAGCCTTTATTGTTTTTAACAACTCCTTAGAACATAAATTCTTCCAGGGTTACCTTACCCTGGGCAAAACCTCTGCACAATGGAGCAGAACTAATGACAAAAGATGAAAAATTGCTCTTCACTGGCTTCCTACCAGGAACCTTCCTATGGAGTAGGAACTGCCATGAGAGGCGAGGAGTGTGAGGATCCTCATAAGGATCCCTCACGAGGATGGAAACCGCATGAGAGTGGGAATTTGTGCCACCGTCTGACTGCTACTACCTAGTATAAACTTTCTGTAGCCCAGTGTCAAGGAGGATAGGATTATCTAATATTCATTGGCTGCCAAATTAACCTCAAATAGGTCTTCTACCTATTTTGGATAACTGGGGGCTGTCACTTGGCTGAACCCACTGAAGCAACTTTTCTGAATTTCAGAATTCTGCCTGGAAGATGGGCTGTACACTTTACCAGCTACTTCACCATGATGCTCCATATGTAGCAGGAGCTAGGGATGGGAAAAGAGAAACCATCACCTGGTTGCCACCATCCACTCAAATTAGGCCTGCCATGACATGTATGTTTTGGAAAATGAGATATTTCAGGCTGCAGAAACATCTCTGAATACATGTTCAACCCTAGGAAGCTGTGGTAGATGGTAACAATCATTCGGCTGCTGAGTCAGTTGTAACAGAAAATCCTATACACAGATCTAAGAGGATACAGGTGAAGTTCTATCTTCTATTCATGGCCTACCACTGTTTATCTAAGATCCAAAAAAATTGATTTTGTTGAATAAATTTTCAATGTGTTATAAGTTCATTGGACAATATCCAAAGATTGAGTAATTGTCTTTGCTAATTTTGACCACCTTAATATATGCTCCATTAGGGAACAAATTTTCTGAGTTCCTGATATCATCTTTCTGATAGTCTTTCCCTGGTTTTTTTTTAATGCTTCTTTTTCCCTGATGTCTGGGAAACCAGAGGATTATTGCAGTTGATCAAGTATTTCTAATTATTCATATCATTTGACAAAATGTTACCAGTATGCATGATTAGATTTTTGGAATCCTGCATTCATTTAAAAAACTGTTTCCAGGGAATTTATGTTAGGTATTCCTCTCAAGAATTATTTTACTTTTCTCAATTATATTAAGACACTGTACATTCAATAGTAATAACAACGATGAAAGTAATTTCTATAGGAATATCGTGTTGACATTTCTATCTCTCCTGCCAAAAAGCTTACCAATTAAACAAATGGTATGTAATCAGATAAACATGAATTATTAAAACAAGAAGATCAATAATAAAGTAGGTAAGGATTCTTGCCATTGTTTTGTATTTTTAGGATATACTTTGGCTATTTATTGAATAGATTCAGTTTTATATGTAATAGAATTTAGGAAGTAAACAAATAAGGAGACTTTAGTAGGTGTTTTGGTTTCCAGGAAACTTTAGGAGAAAAATATTTGGAAATACTATGTATATTATTTTTATATATATAATAGTATATAGATATGTCTATATATCCATATATCTGTATATATAGACATGTCTATATATCCATATATCTGTATATATAGACATGCCTATATATCCATATATCTGTATATATAGATATGCCTATATATCCATATATCTGTATATATAGATATGCCTATATATCCATATATCTGTATATATAGATATGCCTATATATCCATATATCTGTATATATAGATATGCCTATATATCCATATATCTGTATATATAGATATGCCTATATATCCATATATCTGTATATACAGATATGCCTATATATCCATATATCTGTATATATAGATTTATAAATATATCACAGAGTTTGAAACAAGAAGGAAGAAAATCTCCAGGGGGCAAATATGAAGAAAGAACTAGAAAGGAGGAGAATAACACTATGAAATAATATTTCTATAGCTTCTCTTTTTGATATTTGTGGACCTAATGTATCCATTTCCCAGCAAGACGTGTATATACACCCCAAAAAACTGCTGCATAAGACAATTAGGAAGTTAAAACAAAACATTGAACTACCTATTTTCATTCATTTTAAATATCACTTTTTAATTTTTTAATTGTGTAGGTTTCAATACATGAATATAGCAGCATATGATTATAATTTAGAATTAAATATTGCATAGTTTGTGGCACATCTAAGATTTTTTAATAGAAAAGAATGTAGTATGTAAAAAGTTTGGAGATCACTGATCTAGGGGCTTTAGTTGTAAGGAAAGGAGAAAATGGCTTGATCTTGTTCTGGGATGCTTGAAGGGTTACACTATTTAAGTAAATAAAGATTAGAATAAAATATTTCCTCAAGGCAAACAAATAATAACAAGGCTTATCTACATCAGATAATGAAGTATAAGAAAGGCAGAAACAAATAGATATGTTTGAATAAATAACAGAACTGAAAAGAGAGAACAAATAGATACTACAAAATCAAATGTCTGAAATGAACTTGAATACATTAGTGAAGCAACAAATATAAATAGATAACATTTGCCATTTATGGTGTAAAGATTGGCTAAAATGCAAAATTGAGTCATATGTCTTTTATAACATATATGTATAAAACATAAGGGAGAGAATTATTGAAGCCAAGTGACAGAAAAATTCACACCAAGTACAACAATAATAATGACAAAAGCCATATCACAGTGAGATAAGGTAGGCATTTTGTTAAAGACGTTATTTAGGCTTGAAGGTAATATAATATAAATGCAATTATTAAATATGTAACAATAATATATGTATTTTTCTAATATTCTGTCACCATTTATAAAGCAAAAACTGACAGAAGTAGAAGAAAAAAATTAAAAATTGCCATCTAAAATAGTGTAGATGTTTGTCTCCTCCAAATCTTATGGTGAAATGTGTTTCCCAAGGTTGGAGGTTGGGCCTAGTGGGAGGTGATTGGATCATGGGGGCTGATCCCTGATGAGTGATTTTGTAGCATCTCCCTGATGATAAGTGAGTTACTGCTGCTCAGTCAGTTTATGGGAGATCTGGTTGCTTTAAAGTGTGTGGCATGCCTCTCCCCTACCCCGTGGCTTCCACACTCACCATATGACATTCTGACTCCTCCTTTGCCTTCTGCCACGATTGTAAGCTTCACCTCACCAGAATGAGATGCTTGCACCGCACATCCCCTACAGCCTGAGGAATAATGAGCCAATTAAACCTCTTTTCTTTTTAAAGTACCCAGCCTCAGGTATTTCTTTACAGCATTGTAAGTATGGTCTAATATGACATCATTCCAGGAAAACCAAAACACATGTTTCTCAATAACCTATAAAGCAAATGAAATAAAAAATTGAAAGAAGAGAGATTTTAATACACATTAGCAAATTTGATCCACCGTACATATAAAAACCCATAAAATTCACGATTAGAAATTTATCTTTTTGATTAAGCAGCCACGACTCCTTTTAAAACAGCACTGATATAAAGTGATGAGGGTGGGGACAGTCTCCTATTAATTCCTATACTTATCATCTGGCTTAGAATCTTAAGTTTTCCCATGTTTCCAGAAACATCCACAATTTTGGAAGAGCATAGGAATATCTTTCTTATGACCCTAGTTTCCAGAGAAAGGGAAACTGGCAGGGTCAAGTTCATGGGCTGCTTCCAAACTAGGTATAAGTTTATAGGTTACTGACTGGAAAGTTGTACTTTTGATCATTAATTTGATGCCCCCATGGTAAATGGGGGGAGGGCATATCTACACAAGGAATCTACACAGGCTGCATGCAACTAAAAGTCCTATCTATCTATAGCCCAACAAATGAAATCATTGGCCTCCTAGAAGCCAGTTCCCAGGGAATTCCAGCCACTACTACTACTACACGTTCTCCTAAGAAGCACTGAGATAATACAATCTGGGCCAAATGCAGGGCTGTGCTCTAAATCCTTAAATATCAACACCAAATCCCAAGAGTTCTAACCCATGCTGTATTAGTTCATTTTCACACTGCTATGAGGAACTACCTGAGACTGGGTAATTTATGAAGAAAAGAGATTTAATTGACTGACAATTCTGCAGGCATAACAGGAAGCATGACAGGGAGGCCTCAGGAAACTTGTAATCATGGTGGAAGGAGAAGGGAAAGCAAGCCTTTCTTATCATGGCAGTATAGGAGAGAGAGTGAAGTAGAAAGCCCCATGATACAATCACCTCCCACCAGGCCTTCATCTAATTTGACATGAGATTTGGATGGGGACACAAATCCAAACCATATCATTCTACCTCTGGCCCCTCCCAAATCTCATGTGCTTCTTACATTGCTAACTACAATTATTCCATCTCAACAGTCCCCAAGTTTTAACTCATTTCAGCATTAACTCAGAAGTCCACAGTCCAGTCTCATCTAAGACAAGTTAAGTCCCTTCCACCTGTGATCCTGTAAAATCAAAAACAAGTTAGTTACTTCTAAGATACAATGGGTGTACAGGAATTGGGTAAATGTCCCCATTCCAAATGGGAGAAATTGGACAAAACAAAGGGGCTACAGACCCCATGCAAGTTTAAAAATCAGCATTGTGGTCATTAAATCTTAAAGCTCCAAAATAACCTACTCTGACTCCATGTCTCACATCCAGGGCATGATGATACAAGGGGTGGGCTCCCAAAGCTTTGGAGAGCTCTGCCCCTGTGTCTCTGTAGGGTACAGCCCCTGTGGCTGCTTTCATAGGCTGGCATTGAGTGCCTGCAGCTTTTCCAGATGCACAGTGCAAGCTGTGGACTCAGTACAGGTTGTCTGCAGTACCAACTTGTTTGAGATAAGATTCCTTAAGACAACTCTCCAGTCTTTCCACCTCTGTAGGAATTGGTTCTGGAGTGCGTTGTTTGTTTTGAATTTGTGTGTGTTTGTGTTACTTTGTTTCCTCTCCCGAAAATGGATGGCTCAGTTTCTATTCTATCTAAGAGGACTTTGGGTTGTATTTTGGTTTATTGGAAAGCTTATAGCTATGAACCCATGAAAAAAAAAGAAAATAAATTTTTATTGCAACACTGTCTGGCTTATGTATGTGTTACAATCTGAAGACTGATGGCAGTGAATGAGTCTTTACATTACTATACTATATACTATTACAATTTATATTGTTTTTCCAAGGGTCTGGAAAATGGGATAAAATACCATATGTTTGAGCCTTTATATTACATGACAAAGACTTGGTTCATGACAGGGCCTAAGTTAATGATGTAGAGAAGCCAAAATAAAAATCCCTTCCTAGCTAGTAAAACCCAAGAAAAAAGGATAATGATAATACACGTCCCATAAATGTTTTAAATTCCCTTCTCCCTGTGGCACTGGGAGCAATGTCTCCCCAAGAGCCACCAAACATAGCCCAGGACTCAGAGGGTGTTGGAGTGTCAGCTATACCTCAACATAATTACGGTATATGAATGGTCTCCCCATCTAAGACTCAGTAGGGTACACAATTTGGCCAGAGGACTACCATGCCTAAGGAAGGGCAATTTCTTTTAAGACAATATCCTGTCAGTGGATTAAATCATTAGGGACAACCAGACAGATACTACTAAACTTCCCACCTGTTTTCAACATCTAATCTATTAAATTGAAAAAGCACCAATCCCCCTTATATACATGGCCCACAGAAAATGGACAATCTTTTTACTTCTATTTTTGCAACTCATCAACCTACATACATAGATATACAAGCCCTCCTAAATATTCTCCTGACTACAGATGAGAGAAGGCTAGTACTGGATAAAGCCAATAAGGAGACATGGTGCCTCCATCAAGAAGAACCAAATAGAACCCTCAATCCTCCAGGGCTGTTCCATTTGTGGACCTTAATTGGGACCCCAGTAATGGAGGGATGGCCTGATTAGACCATAAATAAATGTGTCTTACTGGGGCTGAAAAAAAAGGGGGTGCCCAAACAGAAAAGCCTAGATAAGGTCCAAGAAATTCTCCAAAATGCAAATGAGGACCCCTCTGAATTTCTGGAGTTCATTTATCAGGCTTACTACAAATATACATATGCTGATACAGAAGCCCTTGAGAACATAAGAATGGTAAATATGACTTTTATTCAGCAATTTCCTCCTGATATCTTAAAAATTTACAAAAACTAAATGGGGCAGTTGGCATGAATCTCTCCAAATTTGTGGATATAGCCTTCAGAGTACATAATGACAGGGAGGCCAGAAAATTGAAACAAGCCACCATATGTATAGAAACAATGGAAAACAGTTTATTTCCAAGAAGAAGAAACCAGGCACAGGGAAATAACAAAAAGGGATCTCTCTCTAAAAATCAATGTGCTTATAGCAAGGAAGAAGGTCACTGGAGATCTGAGTGCACAAAATTAAAAAGAAAAAACAGAATCCAAGAAAAAGAATATTAAAAAAAGAGAATACACACAAACAGAAAACAGAATAAGACTGTGATACAGACAATAAATGAAGAGGCCTAGGAGTCCCCCTCAACTCTACAGAGCTAATTGTAATTTCTCCACAGGAGTCCCAGTTACAATTGACAGTGAACAAATTAGTTGACTTTCTAATAGATACTGGTGTGACTTACTTGTTTTTAAACACCAGAGTAAAAAATTAAAAAGAAAACAATGCCCACTACAGGAGTTATAGAAAGTCCAACAAAAAACCTTTTGTCCAGCTATTGGAATGTCAATTGGAAGATGAAAAACTGCAGCATAATTTTCTTTATATGCCAGAAAGTTTGATTCCATTGTTAAGATGGGATCTGCTCTGCACACTAAATGCTCAAGTGACCTTTACCCATAAGAAGTAGATTCATGTTTAAGTGCCACCAGAATAGGCACTGTCACTGCAGAGGTTGGTTTTTGCTTGTCCATCCATCACAATTAAAATAATTACTTCTTCCAGAGATCTATTGAAAGTGTGAGTAAAATGGTCTGGGTGGATGAAAAGCCCAGGTAAGCTCTGAATGTACAACCACTGGTTATAGAAGTAAAGAAAGGGGCAGAAATGCCTCATAATAAACAATATCCCAGCCAGGCACAGTGGCTCAAGCCTGCAATCCCAACACTTTGGGAGGCCGAGGTGGGTGGATAGCTTGAGGTCAGGAGTTTGAGACCAGCTTGGCCAACATGGTAAAACCATAAAGGAAAGAAAGAAGGAAAGGAAGGAAGGAAGGAAAGAAGGAAGGAAGGGAGGGAGGGAGGGAGGGAGGGAGGGAGGAAGGAAGGAAGGAAGGAAGGAAGGGAAAGGAAGGAAGGAAGGAAGGAATATTCCTTAAAAAAGGAAGGATTAGAAGAAATACATCCTGTACTGCACAGGTTTTTGGACTATGGATTAATTTGGCCTTGTAGGTCCTCTTACAGCATGCCCATCCTACCAATTAAGAAACCATATTCAAAGGAATATCACTTCATTCAAGACTTGAGGGCAGCTAATAACATCGTTCAGGGTATTCACCCGACAGTGCCAAATCCATACATTCTTTTGATGGCTAAACTGGGTGATTATAATTGGTTTCAGTTCAGGATGTAAAAGACACTTTCATTTGTATTCTAATAGAATAGAAGGCTCAACTATTATTTGCCTTGGAATGGCAGGATCCAGAGACAAAAATCACCCTTCAGTATTGTTGAACTGTTTTTGTCACAAGGATTTAAAAATTCTTCGACCATTTTCAATGAAATCCTATCCAAAGATTTAAGACATTTGCAATTGATTAATAAAATTTTATTACAATGCTTCATGAACTGTTAATAGCTAGTACAATTTATAAGTATCTGACAAACACCATCTAAGTATGAAATTATTTAGCACATGGTGGATATGAAGTGTCCCTACAAAAGGCTCAAATTTGCAAAGAACAAGTGACTTACCTTGGGTTCCAATTAAAACCAGGAACTCAAAGCCTAATGGCTGATGTGAAAAATACTATTGTGTTCTTGAAGAGACCAGGAAACAGGAGACTGTTACAGGGTTTCCTAGGGATGACAGGCTATTGTTGAATTTGAATTCCGAATTTCAATTAATGGAAAATTGCTCTATGAGGCTTTGAAGTGGTCCAATATTGAACTCCTCCTTTGGACAACTAAATGTGAACAGGCTTTTGACACGATCAAAGAAATTTGATGATGGATCTAGTTTTGGGCCTCCTGAACTCTTAGAAACCTTTAAAATTGTATGTACATGGAGAACAGGGCATAGGGCTGGGAATGCTTGTTCAGATGCTCAGAAGTATCCCCCAGGCCACAGCCTATTTCAACAAGCAACTAGAACACACTACAAAAGGATGACTCCCCATGCCTCCAAGCAGTGGCAGCTACCTGCGACATTCTAAAAGCTGAAAAACTCACTGTGGGGCAATCCATAACTATTTTCATGTGACATCAAGTACTGACTTTGTTCAAAAAAAAAAGAGACTATTGGCTTACAGGGGGGCACATGGACAACTACCAAGGCATATTATTAGATAATCCTAATGTCAAGTTGCAAACCACTGTAATACTTAAACTGGTCACCCTACTCTCAATATCTGAGAATGATACAGGGATCAAACATAATTATGTAGAGATCCTTGACTCAGTTTATTCAAGCAGACTTGGCCTGATAGACCACCTCTTATTACAACTGGACTGGAAAATATTTAAGGATGGCAGCAGCTTTATGGGAAATGGACAGCATTGAGCTTGGTATGCTGTAGTAACCTTAAATGAAGTAATAGAAGCCCATGTCCTTCCTACCTCACCTCAGCCCAGAAGGCTGTGCTGATCCTCCTCACACAGGCATTAGAACTCTAAAAAGGCAAGAAAACTAACATCTATACAGACTCCAAATATGCCTTTATGATAGTTTGTGCACACAGAGCTATTTGGAGAGACAGAGAGAGAGAGAGCTATTTACCTCCAATAATAAAAACAGCAAATACTGGAAAGAAATCCTCACCTTGTTACAGGTAGTAGCACTTCCAACTGAGGATGCTATTATGCCTTCTAGGGGTTCTAATATCTTATTTGTACTCATCTGAGTTTAAACCCCATTATACTAAGCAAGACAAAAAACAAACAGGAGAATGGCATTTCACTAATACTGATTCTGATGTCCTATGGAAAAGTAATGATCATAGGAGGATATTACCCCCTGAGGCTTTAGTGTGTCCAGTCCTTAAACATTTGATAAAGGGCCTATCTTAAAGGGTCCCACCTACAGAAAACCATTCGAAATATTACTCAAAGCTGTTAGCTCTGTAACAAAAATAACCCAAAGACCAGTTGACATTCTCCCAAGAAAGAGAATGTGACCATTTGAAGACTGGAAAGTTGACTTCACTCAGATGCCTAGAAAAGCTGGAAATTATAAATTCCTGTTAGTATTTGTAGCTAACTTTTCCAGATGGGTTGAAGCTTATCCAACCAGATCCAGAAAAAAAGCCACTGAAGTGGCCAAAGCTCTGTTAAAGAAAATAATCCCTCATTTTGGGCCCCCCTGCTCTATACAGAGTGATAATGAATCTTCTTTTGTTTCTGAGATTATATAAAAAGTAAGTGAAACATTACAGATTGATTGGAAGCTAACACTCATTATGAAGACCACAATCAGCAGGGAAAACAGAAAAGATGAATCACATGCAAAAAAAGACCTTGGCAAAACTCTGCCAAGAAACACATTTAAAGTGGGATACCTCAGATCAGAGTAGCACCCTGAAATGGGCTTAGGTTGAGTCCTTTTGAAGTTGTATATGGGATATCTTTCCAAACTTCCCCGCCAGGAATCCCACCCTTAGATTTAAGAAATGAGTAAAAAATTAAACAATATATACAACATTTAGGACAAGTATTAACAATTATACATCACTTTGCTCTTTCCAGGCAGGATACATTTGCCTGGAATGTATTTCCCTTGTAAAAAGAGCCCCTGCCAGAAAAAGAAACAAGCACCGCAGAGGACCCAGCTTCAGGCGGCACCTGGAATTGTGAACCTTTAGAAGACCTAAAACATTTATTTATAAGAGCAGATAAGTAGCACCATTTACACTTTTTCTACTATTATTCAATATCCCACCCATAACTGCATGGCAAAATAATGTTTTATCATGAATTACCCAAGATACAGCTGCATCAATCAGTAAGACAGAATGTTGGGTCTGGCACCCAAAGCCACAATCCACACAAGATTACGGAGACCCTTTTGTACTTACAGTGTATGGCTTTAACTAGGTCCCTCCTTGTCAACTGAGGGATTCAAATCAGGCTTTTCAAGTTGTATATTGAATGAGGATTATAAATTTGGCTTATGAGAATTGGCTGGCCCTATGAGAACTGGCCGGCCCCATGTTTAGCCATCCCCATACAGCCTATTATGGTGTCACACTTTCCTACTTATAACTACCTGACAGCTTCTGTGAATACAATTTTGCCTGTATGTAATCAGACAGCATATGAAAAGAAGGTAATGCTAATCTAACACGGCTAAGAAAAATTGCTTTACTAATTAGTAGAAGATTTTCCCATAAAATGGAATGTTCCCCTGAGGAGTACGTATTTGTTTGCAGGCAAAAAGGGCTAGTCTTAGGCATTTCATTGTTTATGGAATGACATCCAAGTAGGTCAACGCTTGTTAGGTTCCCTCATAATTCCATTAACCTTACATCCTGCAAATGATACAAAACTCTGGACTAGCTCATTAAAGCTTTTCACTGGAGTTGTTCATGATTTATCTGGGGGAACCACAGACAAGGATGAATATTTCTTTAGATTCTCTTTACTTCCATGGTAGTGGTTCAACAACATGTATTAAGAAACCTTTCCAAAGCCCTTATTGTAATAGCTAATGAGACTACCAGCTTGCTTCCAGAATAGCAAAAATCACCTTAGCAAGAGTAATTCTAGATAATATAATAGCTTTGGATTCTATTTTAGCTGAGCAAGGAGGCATTTGTGTAGCAATTAATTCCTAGTTTTGCTCTTATATCAACACTTCCTCACAAGTAGAAACCAGCATTGACCAGATTAGACAACAAGCCACAAAGCTTCAGCAAATCTTATATCATTATGCCCTCTGCTTCAGGAAGCAGAGGAGTGATTTTCTAGCCTGTTTTCCTGGGTACCTTCTGGAATCGAATCTCTACTAACAGGAATAATAAAATTAGGGTTATCTATACTAATTATCCTTGAAATCTACCACTGGTTCAAACTAGTCATGATCTGTATTCAGAAAACATAAACAAATTTCAAAAACCACTTATAAACAATTGCCCTTAATCCCTCCACTCCTCAAAAGGGGGACTCAAAGTTATGTGCTCCATTATGCCAAGCTTTTTCATTCCAAAGTCTTCAATCAATACCTCATTCAGCAGGAAGCAGCCAGACTAGAGTTGACATCCCTTTCTCCATAGAAACGGAATAAAAAATTAATAGTGGGGAATTTGTAACCAAAGCAGTCACTTCATTTTGGAACCAAATAGCCATTCTGTCTTTTACAATGCCTAACTGTGTGCTTGCTTAGAAATTCCAGGAACTTACCTCAAGATGAAACCAAAGTTGTGAAAAGACCCCTTGGAAAAAATGCTGAGCAGTTAATCTTCAATCCTATGCAGTTTAGATGACACCAGCCAGACACTGGACTGCCCATTACTCAAGATAATCATTGGAACAAGACATGCTGAACTGTGTGTATCTAACTCCTACACATAGATTCCCAAGCTTCTTGCGCTTTAAAATACCTTCTGCCAGGCTGAGAAACTTGAGATGGTCTTTGTGACATTAGTCTGCCATCCTCTTGGGTTGTCAGTGCTTATCATGCTTTTCGTCTCACCAACCTTTTTCTATCCAGTCTGGCTTTTGAGCAGTGAGCAGCCCAACCTGAGTTTTGCTGCATTGTTAAAGTTACCATTTATAATAGTATTATAATTATGATATCGATAGGACCCAGATGATCTTATCATCTCAGATGATGGTTTAATATGTTATATTTATATAATATATAAATTATATATATACATATACATACAAACATATGTATTCACATATAATCAGTAATATTGAGAGCCAAGTATCTATAAAAAACTTCTCCCTAAAAATTATTTCTTAAATGTATTGCATAAAATATATTTGAAGATAAAAACTTCATGGAAGCCTCATGAAGAAAACAAATGGTAGAGAAATATCAAGTAAAATCTTCATGAAAGTGGAAATCCAAAAACTTAAGCATAGTACTAGAGGGCTTTTGCCCTAGGGACATTTGCTAAATCGTGGGAACTGATATGTGATTTTTATAGATTCGCGAAAAACAAGACACAATAAAGCAATTGCCCAGGTCTGCTCAAGATTGAAATATAAGAGGCCTTACCTACCCTCCTGCCCTCAAATACAGCCTGGAACCCAAAGGGCTACATTCTCATACAGATAAGCTCAAAATAAATGTCATTATGCTAAGTGAAATAAGACAGAGAAAAACAAATAAATACTGCATGATACCACTTATGTGTAGAATCTAAAATATTCAAACTCATGGAAGCAGAGTAGAATAGCGGTTTTCAGGAGCTAGCAGGAGGGAGAATGATGAGGTGACTGTCAAATGGTACAAAGTTTCAGTAGTGTAAGATAAATTAGTCCTGGAGATCTACTGTGTAGCATAGTGCCTTTAGCTGACAGTTCTATATTGTGTACAGAAAACTGGTAAGCTCTTACATTAAGTGTTCTTACCACATACACATAAAATAACAATAATGATAATAAGTCCAAATTTATGCTATTAGGGAGAAGCTACAAAACAATATCAGACTGTGAATTTAGTCTAAATTGATCCCGATTTCTACGTAACTAGGCATTTAACACAACCAAGTTCAAAACTCTGGAAAAACAATGTGTTCAACAAATTTCATACAAACTAGCGGGGGATAAAACTGTGAGAAGATACATCAGAGCAAAAGAAAAATGGCTTATATTCTAAAAGGCCAACAGAGTGAGAGGTGATGATGACTCAATAGTAACACTAGTAAGTGTCAGTATTGAAAATTCTCCCAAAGGAAAATGTTATTCAAGGATGAAGATAAGATCAGTTTGAGGCATATTGGTGCTAGTAAAGGCATAGTTGCTTAATTTTCCTGAATTTCATTTGTTTAAGAAAAACAGAAAAGCAATGAGGATAACAACAGAAAACTCTTGGACAATAACTTCAGCAATATTGCAGCAAAACAAAATGCCAAGCCTGAACAGGCTGTATACAAAGGTGAATATTCAATGACCAAGAAACATAAGGAAATATGCTTACAGGGAAGTACAAATTAAAACTACTACATTCCAATAAGAATTACTAGAATGAAGGAAAAATACCAAATATTGGTGATCATGTGAAGTGGCAGGAATGCTCCTTTGCTGCTATTAGAAAGGTAAATTTGTGCAATCTCTTTGAAAAACTGTGTGACAGTAACAACCAAAGCTGAACACAACATTTAACTCATCATTGTGTACATACACAAAACAAAAGCAATAAAACAGAAACAATGCTTACATATATTCACCAAAAGACATATTCAAAAAATAAAGCCAAAAATTGGGAATTGTACAAATGTTCATCTTTGGTAGAATGGATAAACTGTCATACATTTCAAATATAATCCTATAGAGCAATGCAAATGAACACAGTATAAATGCAAATGTGGAAGACATGATGTTAATCAAAATAAGTCAGACATCATGAGTACCTCGTTCATGATTTTACTTAAATAAAGTTTAAAAACAGTCAAAAAACTAATTTATGATGTTAGAAATCAGCTCGTTTCCTTTTGTAGAATTAGGGAAATATCTGGCTGCTGATTCTTAGTCTGAGTATTGATTTTGTAGATTTGTTCTGTTGGTAAACATTCATTACATTTGTGAGTTGCACTGCATTTTTTGTTTGTATGTGTGATTCAATAAAATTTTAAAATAGTTAGATAGCAAGTTGACACTTTGAACTCTGAAATATAATTTCATGGAGCCAAAACACCAGGAGCAAGAAGATTTAGAAAATAATTTTAAAGATAACATTTATAATAGGCTCAAGTTAAATTAAGTAATCAGCAATAAAGCTAAAATGTATATATATATATAAGACTTCCATAAAATAATTATAAAACTTCATATAAAGACATTAAGAAACTACATAAATAAAGCTATAAGAAAATATTCATGGATCGGAAGACACACTTATAAACATGTAAATTATCCTTAAAACAATCTAAAGATTTTACAGTATCTCAAAAATATCCCATATTTTTAACAGTAGAGTTTGACAAATTCTAAAATTTAATTGGACACAAAAATGTCTAAGGATAGGTAGGATGGTCTTGGAAGAAGAAAAAGTCCTTAACTTTCTCTACTATGTAACACAATTATATTAATATCACTAATTACTATTATTACAAAAACAAGAAAAATCAATGGGACAGAATAAGTAGTCCAAAGATATATATATATATACACAAAACTGGAATTTCAGTAACAGAAACAAAGAAAAGGTTTTCAATAAATAGTATTGGAAAAGTTAAGGTGTCATAAGTGAAACAAAATGAATGTAAATTATCAAACCATATGAAAGAAACAAAATGGATTAAAACCCTAAAATGTGACCAAAGAAAACATATTGAAAAAAATAATAGGAGAAAACCTTCATGGCACTGAGGTTGCAAAAGATTTCTTAAACAACATAGAAGTATAAATGCAAATTTGGTTCAAAATAAAAGATTCTTTTGAGTAAACTAATGAACATTTATATTTAATTTTATTTTAAACTGGCTTAAAAAATAATTTCAACTGTAGTTTAAATCTTAAATTCAAGATACAGTATTTTTAAAAGCTTTGAATAAAATAATCTGAAAAAGACAATGAATTTTTTCAACACCACTCTTCTCATTTTTGTTCAATGATTATTTTATTGAAATTGAATTTTAAAATTATTTTGCAATGGAACTTGCTGTCATATGGGAAGGGGAAAAGCTATGTATAAATCATATGCAGTTGATATTGGGAAAAGTGCCATTCTAAATATGAAGTGAATACAGAATCATCTTCCCTTATATCTGGATATTCTAAACTTGGGAAATCAATATTGTTGATTGACCAATTTCTCAGATTGAATTTACTGAATATGTCTTAAATCCACTTAAAATTTGGAAAATAAAATAATTTTAAGCATTAGTCATCACATTACATACAAATGAGGGAAATATTTAAAATATTAATACAAAAATAAAAAACACGTTTAATTCAACCAAAGAAATTGATCTTATCTATTTTGATCTGATTTTACATAACATAGATATTATTATATATAGCATTCATTGTCACCTTTTTATCCCATCAACATCAGAATATTAAGCCAAAGAAGTCAGTTATGGAAGAATATATACAGTATGATCTGGTCATATGATTTCAAAACTAGACAAAAGTAAACAATACACAGCATATACCCACACATACACTTTCTCAGGTCATTTCAAATTCTTCTTAAACATTTTTGAGATCTACCTAAGATCTAATTAAATTAATACGCTAACTCTTGTTTTGCCACTTGCCTATTATTTCTTACTTTATAAACTATTTCTACAGTGAGCATATACATTTTTGTTCATAGCTATAACTTCTCAAGAAATGACATATAGAAAAAGAGAGTGTGTGTTTTTATTTTTACATTAATGATAACTTTTTGGTCACATTCTGGGGGTCACAAAATATTAAAGTTAGATCTCTGAAGATAGTGTTTTTTAATATCTGTATAGTTTTGCAAACAGGTCTTAGGAAAACCTCATATTTGAGCTCTGTGGCTACCCATTTTTTTCACTCTAACTGCTTCCAATTTCACAAAAATGTAAAATTTCTGTCTAATAGAGTTTTTTTTATAAAGGTACCTTTAGACAAAATACACATTCTGAATTTTCAAAATAAGATATTTGTTGTTTTTTAAGAGAAACATTCTAGGGTTCTTTTTTTTTTTTTTTTTTTGAGACGGAGTCCTGCTCTGTCGCCCAGCCTGGGGTGCAGTGGCGCTATCTCGGCTCACTGCAAGCTCCGCCTGCCGGTTTCACGCCATTCTCCTGCCTCAGCCTCCCGAGTAGCTGGGACTACAGGGACCCGCCACCACGCCTGGCTAATTTTTTGTATTTTTAGTAGAGATGGGGTTTCATCTATGGTTCTTTTATTCAAATTTATCTCTTCTGTTCTATCTCTCTGTAATTCCTTTAACAACATTGGTGGGAATTATTGTGTTTTCTGTGTCTTATATTTTCCTCATCACTTTTCTCTGAAGTCTGGTACATTTTTCTGGTCTGTCTGCATATAACTTAGCCAAGTTTCTGAAATATCCAGTTGGCACGTACTGCCTCTATTAGTTATTAACTTAACCACTACCATTTTTCTCTCTTTGTTCTTATTTGTTTTCACATATTACTTACCAATCTTAGCTCATCCTAGATTCATAAATGCACATTCTCTAATTTGGTAAAATAATTTACAAATTTTCTAAAATAGTTTTTCTGTCCATTTGAAACTAATTTTTCTGTATGTTTCTTCAGTTACTTTTTTCAAGGGAAATAATTAATCTGATTTCTATTCTTTTAAAATTATAGTATCTTTTAAAAAATCTACCAGTAGGGGTTGTTTATCTTCTTATTTTCTCATTCTTACAGGATAGCAGCTGTTTCCTGAATTTTGGCTTATAATCAGAAGTTCTATTAAGAAATTGGATTTCTGTCCAATTATTTCATTTAGTTCAGGAAGAACTGAATATTTTATACTTACTGTAAATTTGCACTATCAGTTCAGATATCTATCAGCCAGGAAGGAAGAGGATGGTGGAGAACAAAAGATTTCAACTCAATAGAAAGTTTTATTCTCCCACTGCACAACACAATTGCAAGTTGGAAAAATAAGTGCACTTTTATACATAATGGTACTGACCATGAGTCTGCAGTATTGAAGCTTTTCTCTATTTACGTATTATTTTGCCCATTTTTTTCTAGCAATTTGAAAGTTGGGGGAAAAAGACTTTATTTTCACTTAGACTGGTTTCAGTTATACACAAAATTGCACTAGCTGAATATTTCCAAAAATGTTCATTAAAATTGATACCAATTACCAATTTGAAGGTATACATCAACTTTAACAATAGATAAATAAGAATAAATATTTTAGTCATATTTTGCCAACATTTATATAATTTGAGGCGGCCTGATGCTTTTCAATGAATCAGTAATTTATGTGATTTTAATTTCAAATAAATTGTACAGAAGACTTTTCCAAAAAAAAATAGCCTTTAGTACATCACAAAACTCAAAGTTCTATTGTAAAATACAATAACTTTAGCAATATTCAGCAGTAAGAAATATGATATTTGTTTAATTTACACTGTATGGCAAATATGCTCAGTGGATTTCACACATGATTTCTAATTATCCCAACAACTGTGGGAATGTTAACTTTTTAACACTGGTACAGTGAGGTGAGATAATGATATACTTGCTTTTAAAGTGCACTCTCATAACTGGTATGAGAAAAGCATCCAATTTCATTTTACTGCCTCACTTCATCTTTGATCCATATTCCCTTTTCTCTCTACATAGCATTTCTTTTAATGTGTTTCATCCATCACCTTAGATAGGTATTGCTTTTGTTAATATATAGTACTATTTTGTATGCATGTGTTTTTAATTTGCATAAGTAATATTGGATCATAGATTTCATTCTGTTTCTTACTTTTGAGAGATAGGAAAATTAAGGTTCAAAGAGGCCAAGTAGCTTCCACAGGAGTACATAACCTGCATATTTATACTTGAGTTCCACACTACAATGTGTTTAACTCTGAAAGCCCTTGCTATTTTCAGTGCATCACACAATTGATTCCTAATATAAGTGAACCCGTGGCATAGGGAAACATTATTTTATAGGAGTTTCATTGTATTTAACTCTGCATATATTGAAGAAAAAAGTTAAACCTTTTGAGATTATAGCAATAAATACTATGCCATTTGATCACTTTCTATTTGTACTTAAATATGTACTCATTGTAACTCAATATAACTTTAAAATAATGGCAATATATGCAGTTTCCATATTGTATTCATTTCTATAAATGCAGTTAACCTAAGTTTATAAAGTTTGAAAATTACGTCTTGTGGAACAAGAACTAGACAAAATACATGTCTGAATGGTAAAGTATATTCATTATAAAACTGAGTCTGCTACATCACTTTCAGGAAACTTCAGCCTGGTGGATTGTTTATAGTTTGCAACAACAACCCTTTTCATGCAGTTTTTGCCCTCCTTTTGACCAAAAAAAAAAAAACATTTCCATAGGATGATAATTTGTGCCTTATTTTCTTTTAGGAATAAATAAATAACTTATAAAATAAAGTTTGAATTATTTCATGGGCCATGTGCCTTCTAAACATTGGTGACTTAATAAACCATTTTCCAAAAGAACTAAGAAGAAATAAGTTGTAGTCAAGACAAGAAAAACATCAACAGCAACTTTTTCTAAGCATGTACACAGCCAACTTGCCAAGGGCTCTGTGACCACCCACCTGATTCCTCATCAAGGCAGTTGCCTGGTTTCCTTGCAGCAGTGTGTTTCCCAAGGTGCCAGGCATCTTCAATCTGGAGATGCAGGTGATGTAATGACTTGCTGTAAGCTAGGTGCTCTTTCCTGCTACTGCAATAAAAGGCCTTGGAGCTAAGGGGCTCTGTGACAGTTAGTGAGGTTAAGGTGCAGCTTGTCTAAAATGAACATCCTAACTCTAGATAACAAGGTGTAGGAGAGTATAAGAAGACCAGGCTTATAAAGGATAGGGACCTATGCTAATCAGTGGAAAGTTTCAGCATTAACAGGTATTCTTGGACCTAGGGATTTTTGTTCTCTGAGAATATTCTGATTATACTTGATAGCCAGGCGAGAGGGAGCTCTCATATGCATTAAGTTATGTTTGTTATGTGCTATAAGAGGATGACTATAATGCATGAATATTTTATGACAAAAATTAGTTTATTTATTCATATAGAAGTCAAAATGTGTCCAATTTCCAAGCTGTATTTCAAATACAAGCACTCTTTTATTTCTATTTAATTTTTCCCTTATATATTTTTGCATTTCCTGTGTCACTACATTATTATCAATAGACAATAATAAATTGAAAGAGTTTTCCAAAAGAGAAAAAATTTCCCCATCTTAAATATGTCCTTGAAATATGGCTATGCAAGATATATTTAATCCAATAGTATGCAAACTTCCTTTGGCCATTAGGAGAGTTTACCAAAATAGCATTTCTTTTGGCATGACTGATCACATCAACATGAAATAACCTTGAGCCTTTATTAAATTTTCCAAGGCAGGCAAATTCCATTAGCATCTGTCAGAGTTCACTGGTTACTACAGGTAGAAAGGTCAAGGAATGTTTGATGCCATAATTCATTTCTCCTATACCCAATATGCATCAAACAACATATTCCCAATTGTGTAATACGGAGTCACAGACTGACTGCAGTAGTTAGAAATGTACTGCTAAAGACGAAAATTGAGAAGACTGCATATAAGGGAGAAAAAGATATAACAATTGTTGAATACTTTTTGTGAACCAGGTATGCAAAGTGATTCACATATGCCTTCCAAGTAAGTTTCCCCAAAAAGTGTATGACACAGATGTAATTATCCCCATTTACTGATGACAAACGTGGCTCAGAAAGCTAAGTGAATAATTCTTAAAATCAGTGGGACAGAGCCTGAACTGGAACACAGAGTTGTTAGACCAACAGTTTGTGTATTTTTTAGTACTAAAAATACTAAATGAGGCAAATAAAGGGTCAGAAAACAGGTAAGAAAGCAGGAATTAAGGAGACTAATATTAAAGATGAGCTAAAGTCTAAAATAATGAAAGCAAATTTTTTTCCTCAAAAATCTTTGGAGAAATTTAAAAGTCATTGTGGTGAAAATGGAACACTTTTACATGGTTGGTGGGAATGTAAATTAGTACAACCTCTATGGAAAGGAGGTTGGAGTATGGAGATTCCTTAAAGAACTGGAAGTAGCTCTGCCATTCAATCCAGCAACCCAACTACTGGGTATCTACTCAAAGGAAAAGCAGTCATTATATGAAAAAGACACATGCACACACATGTTTGTAACAACACAATTCCCAATTGCAAGGATATGGAACCAATGTAAGTGCCCATCGACCAACAAGTGGATAAAGAAAAGTTGGTCTATATACAACATGAAATACTACTCAGCCAAAAACAGGAATGAAATAATGTATTTTGCAGCAACCTGTATGTAGCTGGAGGCCATTATTCCAAGTGAAATAATTTAGGAATGGAAAATCGAATGCTGTATGTTCTCACTTATAAGTGGGAGCTAAGCTATAAGGAAACAAAAACATACACAACAATATAATAGACGGTGGGGACCCGGCGCAGAGCAGGTTGGGAGAGTGGTGAGGGACAAAAGACTACATATTGGGTACAGTGAACACTGCTTGGGTAACAGGTGCTCTGAAATCTCAGAATTCACCACTAAAGAACTAATCCATGTAATGAAAACCATGTGTACTCCCCTAACTACTGAAATTTTTAAAAAGTCCCTTGGAGATAGTCATAGGGTGAAGCCAAACAATCGACAACCTGGAGACACATCAGAAATAAGGGAAGAACATGGGCCAGACAAAAAGCTGACAAAAGGCTTGGTACCTGACAAAGAGGCAGCTTGTAATTCTGACTGCAGTTACTTTCAAATCTAATGAGAGTTAGTAAATAAAAAAAAGTCTGGATACAGTTATTAAGGCAAGAATTCAACAACCAATGTATCACAGATGTGTCCAAAACTTGCCTCTCAAAAAGTCAGGTAAACACAAATGAGCAGTTGCAGATGAAGAAAACTAAAACAGAATGGGAGAGTGGGGGCGTGAAGAGGGAGACAGGGGGAGAGAGACAGACAAAGAGAGAGAGAAGAAATAGAGACTGAGAGAGACAAAATAAACAGGGACCTAAACTAAAGCTGCTTTGTGAATGAGAATTCAAAGAACAGAGTTGTGTTGAGGAGAACATGGTTAGGGACGGTTAACCAGGAAGGAGGGGTAAGGCATGTCAGGGACAAGAAGAATGTAAGTTGAACTGAAGTAAGGTAAAATAAAATACCAATTTCTGAGATAGAAATGCAGGACAATTACTATAGCATGAAAGCATTCACAAAGTTTTTGAAAACTTGTGTTTTTGAAAATAACCACTATCATAATATTTTCAAAAACATTAAAAATTTTTAATTTCCTATTTTTAAAAGCTTGCTGAGATTCCATTTTGTTTATACTGTTAGATATGTGTTTAGAACAAGAAGAGAATAATGAATGCTCATTGAACTGAAACATTTTGTGTAGAATTCGAGAGTTATTTTCCAATGAAAGAGTCATTAGAAAGAATGAGTCAATATGTAAAATTTCAATGTTATATAAATTTAATAGCAAAAAAAAAAATACGTATTAAAGAAACCAAAATGAAGGAGGGTATTTTTTAGAGTAGATTGAAGCATAATTGTTTATATTCTATTTATCAGAGACTAAAATGTCAATTATTTATTTGATGATGAAATATATAATAGGCACGTTAGATTCATAAGCTGCTACTATCTCATTACAAATTGAAAGTTTATACTTTTAAAATGGAATTTACTGTTTCGTTTTAGAAAATTATGTAGAGTTTTTGTGTCAAGTAAGCTGAAAATAAGAAATAAAAACTTAATATGATAGCCTGAGAATTCTGTATTTTTTAGATAGCATAGAATTTATTTTTTAAATTATGCATAAATTAGAAATGATAACTATATTTGCGCTTATGACATTCTAGGTTTATAACTCATAGAAAAGTTTCCAAAATTTTTCTCAATAACATCAGTAAGTGAATTGGTGCAAGAAGGAACAGGAAACAAAAATTACAGCTAAAAAATATTGTGATTACTTAAAAGAAAGGATGGAAGATGCCATCCTATTAGTAGGAATCAGTACCAAAAAAAAAAAATGAATATAATATGACTTGCAGGAGAAAAAAACACTGAGAAAGCATCAGGAAGCATATATTCCTTATTTTTTTCTAGTATTATATTCAAATGTCTTACTCTTATGGAGTTCAGTCTGTGTCTTTTATATTTTACTAGAAATTTTAAAGAATAAATTTACCTGACCTCTTACAGATAAATCTGTAGTTTATCTTACAGATTTCTTATAGATTTTCATTTTATAGTAGTTCATAAAATATGCCTTTATAATTTTACTGACTTCCATATTCATGGCTGTGTCTTCTTTTTCATTCCTAATATTTGGGATTTTTTATTTTCTTTTCTCATATTTTCTTCACATATTTGCCAAAATATTATATATTCCATGAACCTTTACAAAAACATGTGTTGATTTTATTTCCTTCTTTTTCGTTCTTATTTCACGTTTGATATTTATTAATTTTTCTTCTATTTTCAAATTTATTCTGTAGCTGTTTTCCTAGTTTTTAAGTTAAATTTGCATACATTTTATTTTCAAAGTTGGTAATAAGGGCTGCAAATGTGGCCCCAGTGCAAACCAAGATCCTCTAACTTCTTTGTTGTAAATTGAATAGATACTGCAGGACACCTCACTCAGGAAGAAGAGGAATTTCGTGAAAGTTAACAAATTTCTAACAAATGGAAACATGAGTAGAAAGATATAAAGCATAATTATAAATATCTCACAAGGAGCCTCCATTCTATACAGCAGTTTTTTCAACATCTAATGATGTCAAGGACCTCTTGAAATGCTCACTTTTGAGCCCAGAACATTTTGTAACAGATGTGTATGCCTTTTAATGATGCCTCTTCTTTATGAAATTCTTTTTAGTTTACGAAGTTTCTCTGAATACATGGTCTTAATTGACATTCAAAAAATATAAATGACATAGGAAGGACACTGTGATGGTTAATTGCTTATGTCAACTTGACTTGGCTAAGGAATGCCCAGATAGCTGGTTAAACACTATTTCTGGCTGTGTTTAAGATGGTGTTTCCAGAAAAGATTAGTATTTGATTCCGTAAACTGACTAAAGAATATCTCCCTCACCAGTGCGGGCAGGCATCATCCAATCTGCTAGGGGCCTGAATCCAACAAAAAAGGTGAAGGAAGGGCAAATTTTCTCTCTGCTTAAGCTGGGACATCAATCTTCTCCTGCCCTCAGACATTGGCACTGCTGATCTCAGGCCTTTGGGTTTGGACTAGAACTACACACTGACTCTCCTGGGCCTCCACCTTGCAGCCTGCAAATTTGGCTTCTTACTCTCCATAATCATATGAACCAATGCTTCATAATAAGGATTCTGTATCCTTCTATATACAGATAATGTATATCTATAGAAATATAAATATATTTATATTACATACATCTATAAATTTTATAGCTATAATAATTATAGATATAGCTTATATCAATAAAAATATATATCTAAATATTCTATAGATATCTATATCTAGATATATAGATATATCTATATATGAGATATATAAAGAAAAAATATGTAAATATATACATTTATATACATAACTATAAAGAAAAAAAAATATATATATATATATATATATATATAAAATCTCTCTCCTTGGTTCTTTTCTCTGGAGAACAACTTTCTTTTCTTTTGTTTTTTCTTCTTCTATTTGTAAGTTTCAGGATACTAAGTTTCGAAGAGAAATTTTCTCAAGGCCATTTGACCAAAGAGGATTATTACACCAGGACATGTGTTTTCTAAGCTCCAGACCATTCCTTGTGTTTTGCATACTTGCACATACACCAAAAACCTGATGGAAGATAAACATGACATAATTGAAATAAAAAAGTTATTTCATTTTACTATTTCAATATAATTCACTGGAAGAACCCATTCAGATTATAAAAGAGCGAAACAAATATGAAATTTTAGCATTATTTTTCTTAATAGCATTAATATTATAAATGGCTTGTGATCACTTTATTAATACAACTTTAGAAAGCCAAAACAAACACTTTTAAAAATGCTGCAAAGAAATTGAAAGACAGTTGTAAATAAATGAATCATATAAATTATTTAACATAGTTATATCCCTACACATAAATACTTTAAAAATCATAATCCTTAGTTTTAGTTAGACATGTTGTAACTTTATTGCTTTTTAAAGTAATAAAATACATTATAACCAGGGATGTGCAAAGAATATATAAATGAGGCCGTATTTTGTAATTTTTCACTGTGTTAAATCTGTTCTTAAGGTTATCAAGTATAGCTACTGACTTAATTTTACTGGGAAACATTTTATCGAACTAAAACTAAATTTAACTGGCATTTTAATTTCAAATTAAATAAAGTTTCTAAGAGTTTTTATATATGAAAAATAAGTTTCCTCTTTTCCATGAAAATCTATTAAATCATCAGTTTTAGTCCATATTAAAAGATGTTTATCTTAATAAAATGAACCTTCCACTTCCATTGCAAAACTAAATTTTTAACTAAATGTGTTGTTTCAGTTTTTTTTCCCTCTCATTAAATAGTCATGGAAGTAAATCTTCTACATTCTAATAAGTATTAAATAAAAATTTAGGGCAATTCTAAGCTCATGGCTATAAAGCAATAAAATGGATCCCTCTAGAGGACATTCTTATAATCATTCTTGATAACAATTTTTTCAACATTCAGCTATCTAGTATAAAAATAACACATTTTAAAACAGAAAACAACTAAAGTAGCAGATTTGGATGTATTATTTCCTTACTGATTCATAAAAGATAGCCAATATATAAGACTACTCAAGAAAATGTTATAGAACCTTAAAAAACAAAAACTAACTTCGTGGAGGCAAAACAAAAAATAAAATTACAATGGTTATCATAATCAAATCAATGAAACTTTGAGTATAAATTTAGCTTATTAACCTCTCCATTTTATTGATGAGCAAAACTGATGCCCAAGTAGTTGAAGTAATGTAGTCACTGCTATTAAGCAGTGATGTTGGTATTCATAGGGGGGCCTTCCTGACTGCTGGTAGTTTTACCTAACAGCCACATGCTTTAACATAGAAGCAGTGAATCCTTTATATTGTATATGTCACAGTAAAAGTAAACTCTAAACCCCAAGAATGATTAGATGATCTCCACATGCATAAACAGAGGTGTATTATGATCAGTGTCACATCTTTAAATTTATACATGCAAGACACGAACATAAAGAACTTCACAAAATACATCAATTTGCAATGCCCACTTATCTCCTTCCCCTGTGGTAGATCTCTTTACCTTTTGAGACATTCTAGTGACTTTTGTTTTCCCCAGGCACAGTACAATTTAGGTTCGGTACTTATGCCTTATTTTATTTCTTTTTAACAAAAGAGTGAAGGAATAATTATTCCAGAACAAATGAATGCCTAAATTAATTCAGACCAAATATAAATAAGAGATGTGTACATAGAGTAATGGTGAGATTAGCTAGTAAATATATGGGGCTTGGAAGGGCTCAAAAAAGTCAACCCTTTTAAATATAAAAATTAATAGTGACTTTTGTTCTTATAATTGAATGGATTTAGAGACTGGCAGAACTTATGAAGAATCTCTAGGGGTTACAATGGTCTAGATTTCTGTACCTTATCCAAATGTAGGGGGAAAATAAAAAAACGTATCAGGCCCATTTTTAAAGATTTGTATGAAACTGTTTAATGCACTAAAAACCTATATCACTCGTAGCCAGTTAACAAGTTTCCAGAACAAAGGTTTGGAATCAGATAAATCAACTTTCTCAACATAATAAACCAACCTATTCATAAGTGTCTGATAAAACATCCATTCCCTCCATTTGCTTTACTCAAAAGTGTAATTTTTAAAACAAATTACAGAAGCTTATGTTTCCTTGATCTACTTTGTTCTTTTTATTACACAGCATTTGTCTATAAAAATCCTTAAAATAGCTTGACATTGAACATTTTACAAACAACAAAACAGAGTACTCCATAATCTGTTACCTGAGTAACTGATTAACTTCTTGATTTCTTCAAATTGTTCAGAGTTGAACTTCCCATAAATAAATCATACAATTGTTTTTGAGAATCAAAGTATGACACTAAAGAACAAAAAGTTATTAACTGACATATGCAGGTATTCTATTTACTCTGCTATATACATCTTATCTATAAAGTGAAGGCATGGATTTCTCTCAGTTTCAATAAAAATAGACACAGAGACTTTACATTAGCATATATAGCTCTGGGAAAAGTAGAAAGTGAACATACAACAGGAAGGGCTGATTTGACCCAAAAAGAGGGTCCAATTGTGTCTTGTAAAATGTTAGGTCAGCCAAAAGCTTCAAGAGGAAAACTGCCTGCCCTGATTTATTTTCTGTCATCTGGGAGATGTAGCCTCTAGGTGAACTTACCAATTAAAATAACATGTTAATGAAACCCAATGGAGAAAATAGATGTTGAGTTTTAGATGAACCAAAACTTAAAATTAAGATTCTAAAAATCAAGGATTTTTTCTTTACTTCAGCACAATGAACGTACTAAAACATTTTAAAAGGGGCTTTACTTGAATCCAAACCTGTTTTGTTTTTAATTAGGATCTCAGACAAGCAATGGTAGAGGAATTGCAGCTTCACCATAAAGCCACCCTCACAAAAGCAGAGCACTCAGTTAACAACCTGCTTTTTTCCCTAAAGATTGTTTCTCCAGCTGGGGTATATACACTTACAAAGGTATTTTCTTCCACTAAAGAGGGCTTTCTTTGCATCCAGTGCTCCACCCTACAACTCCTGTCTTCTAAGAGTGGCTCTCTTCAAGAGGAAATACTTCTGTGGCAATGAAGACACCTGATGGGAATATTCCTCTGAATTTTTATCATGCAAAGAAACATTTTTATTAAATACGTAAGCAAATCTTCACACAGAAAGATTAAATATTTACAAAGTACATACTTAATCTATGTATATACAGAGACATACCCACATATAATTATAAAAACACAAATTTACAACTTTCTTATTGCTGAAAACCTACCTCTGATTGAGTATTGACAGAATAAATTCAAGTATTGAGATATTAATACCTTTAGATTAAATATCTAAATTAGTTTATAAACATTTTAATTTTATTTCTTTAAAATCTAAATTACACAATATTTAACGACTATTCCTTGTACTGCCTTATTTGCATTATAAAAAAGCAAGTTTTTAATATTTCTGAGTAGATAACATCTCACCATAGATAAGTGCTTTTGCCCACTTGAGAAAGTCTAAATAGGATGAGAAAATGTTAAATCAATCTACACTTTAATTTCTTTGGTATTCTTAACCCAAGTATAGGCTTCCTATAGGATGTGATACATTCTGAGACCCAAAATGCATACATCTATTCCTGATTCAACTATCATATAATTTCAAGATAATTATTTCCTCTATTGATTTCACCATCTTTGAAATGGAAACAAACATGTGTTCACTTCTAAGTATCGGGGGAACCCGCCCCCAATATTTCAACATAGGTTCTTTCTATTTTCTGGCTGAGAAATAAAAAGAAAGAGTACAAAGAGAGGAATTTTATGGCTTGGCCCCCGGGGGTGACATCACATATTGGTAGGACCGTGATGCCCACCTGAGCCTCAAACCAGCAAGTTTTTTATTAAGGGTTTCAAAAGGGGAGGGGGTGAAATAACAGAGAGTAGGTACAAAGATCACATGCTTCAAAGGGCAAAAAGCAGACCAAAGATCACATGCTTCTGAGTGAACAAGGCAAAGGGCAAAAGCAGAACTACTGATAAGGGTCTATGTTCAGCAGTGCATGTATTGTCTTGATAAACATCTTAAACAACAGAAAACAGGGTTTGAGAGCAGAGAACCAGTCTGACCACAAATTTACCAGGGTGGAGTTTTTTCCCTACCCTAGTAAGCCTGAGGGTACTGCAGGAGACCAGGGCACATCTCAGTCCTTATCTCAACCACATAAGACAGACAATCTCAGAGCGGCCATTTATAGACCTCCCCCCAAGAATGCATTCCTTTCCCAGGGTATTAATATTAATTGCTAAGGAAAGAATTTAGTGATATCTCTCTTACTTCCATATCCGTTTGTAGGCTTTCTGCAAGAAGAAAAATATGGCTCTTTTTGCCCAACCCAGCAGGCAGTCAGACCTTATGGTTGTCTTCCCTTGTTCCCTAAAAATTGCTGTTATTTTCTTCTTTTTCAAGGTGCACTGATTTCATATTGTTCAAACACACGTGTTTTACAATCAACTTGTACAGTTAACACAATTATCATAGTGGTCCTGAGGTGACATATATCCTCAGCTTACTAAGATAACAGCATTAAGAGATTAAAGTAAAGACAGGCATAAGAAATTATAAAAGTATTATTTGGGAACTGATAAATGTCCATGAAATCTTCACGATTTATGTTCCTCTGCCACGGCTCCAGCCGGTCCCTCCGTTTGGGGTCCCTGACTTCCCGCAACACTAAGAGTGTTATAAACTTTAAAGCAGTCTTAGTTCAGAGCTGCTCATTCACCCTTCAGCATCATGAATTACTCATATTTCATTTGTGTAACACGTTCACTTTGTGGTAAAGCTGTATGTAGAGCTGCCTTCAAGTAGCAATGGCCTTCCTGCTACCTCTACATAAATTGTACTTTAGTGCCAATGTGAGCACACTGTATCCAGGTTTCATTACGGCTCACCAAGTAATCATCACCTAAATTAAAACACCACTTCTTCTGTACCATGGGGTTCTCATAATAAAACAAAATCTCATAGACCACCTCTCTCTCACGTGTTTCACATAAGTGCCACGAGCTCATTCAGTCTCTGCATTTCAAGGATTTGTCCCACCATAAGATTATCTGTCTGAGAGAGTTATTACTTTTGGACATTGTATGAGTTGGTATTATTTGATGCTCGTCAATACTATTTAATAAAACAAATTCTGAAAATTGCTTCTACTGCTTTCTTTCTGAGGCTATATAACCTTGCATTTGTTTTTAAATATTTCTTTTTCAAGAACTAGAACTTTGAGTCTTTATTTTTAGCAACTAAATTGATCAATTGCATGAAAGAAAGCAATATTTTTCACTTATTCTAAAAAAAATACATCTAATTTGGTTGACTAGCGAGATCACTGTGCTTTGTTTTAAAAATATGTGATAGCTTCATTGGTTTCTTGATGCTATTCAACAAATTTTCAATACAAACAATGTTCCAAAGAATAGAGGTAGATGAATCACTTTATTGGTCCAGTAAAATCCAATTCTATTATATACAGTTCTCCTTCCTGTTGGCAACTTTTATGACTGCTTGTGTAAAAACACCATGTCAGATTTACATGCTATACCCATGTAATTTATTCTGTACTTAAAAGGTAGTAGATTATATTTATAATGTTGTTTGAGTTGTAGCATTTATGTTACTATGTCTCTATATTTATGATTTAGTGGATGGCCTTTGAACAATTGATCCATTTCTGTTATTTAGGAATATAATATATCATTTCAGTAATAAAAAAACACACATACAAAAAGTCAAGCATAGAATGTGTAGAAATTTACCCACAAATGACTTAAAATGTGTCAGCCAAAAGGAACCACATCTTTTTAGCAGAAAGGAAGTGCTACAATCCTATAGCTGACACGTGTTCCAAGGCTATAGTAATCTTTTACTTAATTAGCAAGATGTCTGCAGAGAGAAAAAAGAATCTTCCATTTCAAATGTATGAAATGCCCATGGGTTATAATTATGAGAAACATAAGAAGCTGGAGGACCTGAGAAACCGCCTCAGCTGGAGTCTAGCATACAGGATGTTCATTAGAGCTCTTGGGATCTGTACCTGTGAAGATTGGAGAATGGATGGAGGATTGATTGAGCAGAGGGAGAAGTTGGATGTCATTGTAGTCTCAAAGGTGTGCACCTTGTGGACTGTGAACTTCCAGGTGGCACAAAGGACCTGCCTGAACACAGTGCTGAGAGACTTGGCCAAACTTTAGCCTGACTCCTACCTCCCCTAGGTGGTATTTCTAGAGGTGGCACCAGCCCCTAGGCTGAGTCTTTGCTCAAGAAAATGTAACAAAGTGCACATTGTCCCAATGTACATTGCCAAATGATTTTCAATAATTTTCCACTTATCCCCCATCACATATTTTTTCACTTCCCCATAGCCCCCAGTCCCCTTTAGTTACTTTATTTTACTTCCTTATAGCCCTTTTTTGTTCTCTCTATTTTCTCCTAGTTAATTTTGTCTTAGTTGGAAGTGAGCATAGTTTTTAATGGAGTGTCTCTTTCCTACTGCAGAAGGCTGAATAAATCAGCCTTGCCACTTTTAATAAGCGTCTAGTGCTATTAAGTATTTCTCTTTGACATCCTTCAGAGCAGTTGTGAATTGAGGCAAGAAGGCCAAGCCTTTATACAATTCCATTTATTGGCCACTGGATGTGGGCTGCCCTTACGATCAGGCATGATCTTATGTAAGGCAGTTTTCTTCAACCGTAGCAATCCTAACCCTCCCAGAATTCTTTGAATTCTGCTCTCTAACATTAATTTATGCCAGTACCATGACACATATTCCTGAGTATTCATTTGTTATCTCAGTTTTTTAGAAGGTCAAGAAATATACAGTTCTGTCTCCCCCAAACGAAATAAAGAAACCATGTCCATAAAGTTATTTCATACTGACGTAAGTTGTTAACACAAGCTATGAAGTATCTTGAAATTCAGGTGACCCATATATAATCTTGAAAATAGCAAACTGAACTAACTTAATTCCCCAAATTCCTTTAAACCTGGAGTCTATTAAAAAAGACTGAGAAAGAAAATAAAACTCACATATTTCCTCTTTGTGCATGTTTTACATTTGCAAATTTAAATGGATGCTAGACCATATGTTATATAGACTTTGTCATAAGTGTTTAGAATTTTGTTCACAAAAAGCACTTTGTGAAATCTATTGTAGTTTCATCAACCTCACACAGCTGTAGTCTTTGCTTCAGGTAATGCACTTAATGCCTATCCCACTTTGCATACATAAAGAACATCAAACTTGTAAGTAATCCACGATACAAAGAAAAACACAAATGATATCTGCACAGAGAAATACAATTTTATTTTATAACAAAAGCAGTTCATTAGCTCCTGAGTTCAAATGAGTCCAAATCCACAACTGATAGCATACTTCCCATAAGGATTCAAAAACTAAAAAGGCAGTAAATGTAGGTGCACAAGCAATGAAGCAGGCAGGATTCAGAAAATCTTATTTTGAGTCCTAAATCCACCACCACCTAGCTCCGTGACCTTGAGAAAGAAAATTTATTACTTTGAATCAATTTCTAGATCTGTCCTGCTTATATTATAAGCTTTTGTAAGGATAGAATTGGAAAGGCATGTAAACGTGCTTTGTAAAGGACTATTACAAATAAATTGGTAGTACACTGCAACAGGAGTAACACAAACTGTCGGGTTTCTGGAATATTTGCTGTGCTCCAAGTGATTTTTATATTGCATCACTTAATCCTTACAAAGACACTGTAAGAGAGGAGCTCTGATCCCCATTTGACAAATGAGGAAATTGAGTTTGAGAGGAACTCTCTACAGGTTTTCTCCAAAGCCCACTGACTTATTATTTTCATAGAGCCTTAGAAGCCAGTAGGCAAAGGGAATGAAGAGATGAATAGATGAAGGATGGTGCCATGTCACTGAGAATACGGGAATACTTGAGAAAGGATCATCCTTGAACAGCAAGGAGAAGACCTTTCCCACTAAAGTAGGAAGGAATTAGGAAGGATTAAGTAGATGCAGATACCTTTATAGGTGATAGGATGCTTAGGGAATAACAATCAGGTATTTTCTCTTTTCTGCCTGCAATAAAAAGTTAGCTCTTCTCCTGAGGGAAGGGTTGTGATAAGGTCAGCAGTTGAGAAGAGAAGCCAAAGTTAAAAATAGGAGATGGAATTGACTAGAAACACAATGAGAATTTTCCAGGCTATTTTGAGGATCATACGTTTGTCACTTTCTAATCCCATAAAAGTGTGTGATTTTTCTTGAGCATACATAGCAGCATGGGTGTAGATGTTGAAAAGGCAGACCCTTGATTGATCTAGAGTTGGGTTTGACCCTGGGTGTAGCACTGATAGGGAGAGCAGACAGGGGAACTGAAGGCAGTCAACGTCCTAAGCTATGGCTGTCATCTTGTGTTCGCAACAGACTATCCTTTTTGAAATACATTTCTTTCTATTGACCTATGTTATTTAATGTATTCAATGATTTTTTTTCTTCCCTGGTTTAACATAAGTGGAAACAAATTGTTCATTCCATTGCTTTGAGACTTGGCTCATTTGAGCTCCATAAATGTGGTCACCCTGTGCTCTGACCACAAGAGATGGTCAGGATGTGGCCCTTGCCAGCTGGGTGGTCCTAGGGCAGGGGACTGGAACAGAGAAACAGCTAAAGTCCTTCCCCACCCATTGGGTAGATGTGTTCATGTTAAGAATGGGATTGTGATAACATACTTTCAGATTTTGAAATACAATGTGCAAACAGCTGTGACCTTGTAACAATGATCACAAAGACCTTGAGATCATTCTTACAGTGCTCTGTTCTCCTTGCTCTGTAAGTGACAAACAATTCAGATTTTGAAACAATAAATAGAACAAAGGAACTTGGTCTCATGTACTTCTTCAAATTTAGTACTGATGCTAGGTAAAGATTGTTAGATTTTGAATATAAAAGTTTCTCCAAAAATATGCCTTGTCCCTCCGTTAACAGATCTGCCTCCCATGACTAACACTGCCTCCCCTCTGTGCTTGACTTCTGATTGGGACTTATTATTACTCTAATTGCTGAGGGAGGACTGCTTGTTTTTAGTGAATTATTTCAATGTGTGGGAAGAAAAATCTCATAAAATGAAGACCATCTTGTAAAAAAAAAAAAAAAAAAAGAATTTCTCAATCCTCACCTGCATTTGCTTTTCTTCTTACCTTGTTTCTTTTTAATATCTCCATAATGCTTATCATCATCTGACATGCTGTATATCAACTTCTCTCTCTTCCTCTCTCCTTCCCTCTCCCTCTTTCTCCCTCTTCCTCTGTTTCTCCCTCTCCCTCTCCCTTCCTCCCTGTTTCTCTCCCTTCCTCCCTCTTTCTCTATCTTTAACCCTCTCTTCCCCCACTCCACCCCAGTATGTAAACCCCATGAAGGAAGTAAGTTCGTTTTGTTAACAGCTATATCTCATACAACTAAAACATCAACAGCCAGAGAGTGGGCACTCAGTGTTTGCTGAATGGATGAATGAAATGAATAGATTACCAACAGGTGATAAAAATTATCAATAACCCAATAAATCTTAGGATTTAGAATTTCAATGTAAAACTAATAGAATTTAATTGTTGAATAAGACAAGTTGAGATAACATTACTTTTCTGTCTCACCAGCAAAGTGAAATGACTTGAGGAATCATGGAGCTGAAACCAGTATCACATGAACTTTAATCCCAGAAGTCATCAGCAGGGGGTGCTACAGTCATGTGTCCCTAAGCATTACTCAGAGCCTTTTCAGAATCGTCCACAAGCTGAACATCATTTTCTTCTCCAAATACAGGAAAAATTCCTTCTGGCCAGAAAGAGAAAATTTTAACTACATTTGTAGTTGTTGTTAGTGTCTCATCAGAAAATTAGTTGGCTCAAGTTTGAGGGCTGAAACTCCTGCTTCTATAGAAACCTAAAATCTCGTTTGAAAAACCCATTCAGAAAAGCAGTATAGTAGATTGTTTTTATGTTAAACTACTAATGCTAATGTTTATCTTTATTTTATACTCTTAATAGTGCAAATTATTTGAATGTCCAGTGTTTAAGGGCAGGACATTATTCAAGGTTCATTGTATTGTATTTCAAGCTTTGGAGAGGCCGTGCATAGTCTCACAGGTCTGTAGACACGACAGTTTGCAGGCATCTGGCAATTCACTGACTTAAACACCACTTCCAATATAGGAATGACTTCTACAATACTTTCATCCTTTTTCTATAAGAAAACTTACAGTGACAATTCATCAAAATACAACATATATTTGTTACATTTTTATCTAACATCGATAGCAAACTTCTTTATAATAGAGTTAACTAAAAACCTAAATGATGAGAGACCATTAGTACATTTTGTTCAAAGGAGGAAGGAGTGATTTAGATATTTGTTTTAGAAACTATATAAATATCCTAGTGATTTGAAAGAGCAGATATAGTTGGAAACTGTAGAGCATGTTAGTTAAAAGTGTAAGTTATTAGCATATTAGCCAGAAGCACTATTAGCCAGTGCTTCTAAAACTTGGGTGGCATTCAGAAGCACCTGTGGGACTTGGTAAAAATGCAAAGAAGGCCAGACCTTCTTCTAAGTGATTTTGTTATATACCAAAGTTCAAGAATTATCATTATTATTTTGTTTGCATTTATTTATTTATTTTGAGATGAAGTCTTGAACTGTCGGTTGGGCTGGGGTGCAATGGTGTGATCTAGGCTCACTCAAACCTCCCCGTCCCAGGTTCAACGGATTCTCCTGCCTCAGCCTCTGGAGGAGCTGGGATTACAGGCACCCGCCACCATGCCCTGCTAATTTTTTGTGTTTTTAGTAGGGATGGGGTTTCACTATGTTGGCCAGGCTGAACTGGCTGAACTGGAGTTCAACGAGGTCTTGAACTCCTGACCTCGTGATCTGCCCTCCTTGGCCTCCCAAAATGCTGGGATTAAGAATTATTGATTTAAAACAATAAAACTAGCTTTTCTCATCCATAAAGATGTTAATATCATCTGTTGTTGTCATGGTGGGTAAATTACTCAATTTTTTAAAAATCCAGCATCTTAGTTTGTAATCACTTAAAAAATGTTAGCTATAACTAGTTCTCAAAGTATTCAATATTTTCTTTTGGAAAATCTATCTTTGCTGGTGTGACAGATAGTTACTCTACTGCACTTTGATGAAGTTGAAGTAATAGTCCCTTCCACTTACTACCCAAGTGACAAAATTTCTGTTGAATCCAGCCATCGAAAAATTAAATTGAGAAACATGAAGAACAATGAAGTCTACTAATATAAATTTTAGAAAAGATTAAATTTTCTGTGTTTTATGTAAGACTATTTAACACACAGATTTGTTTTAATCCACCTGTGTTTGAAGCTGTCATAACAATAAAGTCTTTATAATTGGAAGTGTCTTAGGTGACTACCTTTTAAAAAGGTAGACACCTTTGGAAGACAGGGTCTCACTCTGTTGCCCAGGCTGGACTGCAGTGATGCAATTACAGCTCACTGCAGCCTCTACATCCTGTGCTCAAGGCTCGCTCCTCCCACCTCAGCCTCTAGAGTAGCTGGGGCTGTACAGATGAGCACCACCATACCTGATTAATTTTAAGCTTTACTGACCACATCTGACTAGACTCAAATTTTCATTGCTTAAGTGATTAAGCAACCAAAAAATTATATTCTTGTCATCTTAACCAGTAATGTTCTAAAAGTCTTTTTTTCTGTTGTCAAGCAGCTGTACAATTCACTCTTAGGTGTTTTCATTGAGCTTCATGGTCAGCTATAGCTGAAGTATCTCCATTTGCATATTACACACACACACACACACACACACACACACACACACACAATTACTTCAAATGAAAATAACATATTTGTCTCTGCAATACAAATTATTCATTATTTTCTTTGATACTAGGGTAGGCTCAAAAATCTCATAATCATACTTGATTCTGACCACTTTCTCACATCTATTTAGCGGTCAAACCTGAAGCTACTATGTTTATAGTATTTCTTTCTTATATTCCTAGTATAATTACCATAAAACTAATCTATCTCCTCTTTCTCTTAGAATATTGTAAAACATTGCTAATTTGTATGTATCTACTTTCTCACTGCCTAAAAATATTCTGCTGTAAGATTGCAGATGAATTTTCCTAAAACCATACCATGTCCATGCTTACAAACTCAAGATTTCCTCAGTGCCAATAGAATGAACCCTGAAACTTCTGACCCATAGGGTTCTCCGAAATTTAACCCGACTCTTCCTCCCCAACATTTTTCTGATCTCCCTCTATTTTTGCTTTATTGGTTTTACCTCAAATACATGATAAACATCTTCAAATAATATTCATAAATATTATTTGACAATTATTTTGAAATTTTTAAATGGACAACTCATCAAGCACTATTAATATCCTTGCCTTTCACAGATAAAAAAACTGAAACTGAGCAAGGTTAAGTGGCTTGTCCAAGGACACAGGTAGAAAGTGACACTACTTTCCCAACTTTTAAGATTTTCTCACTCAATTTCTGCTTTATTATTTATTATTTTTCCAAGACAGAGTGTTACTCCGTTTTCCAGGCTGGAGTGTAGTGACAGAATCACAGCTCACTACAGTCTCGACTTCCTGGGCTCAGGTGATCCTCCCACCTCAACCTCCCAAGTATCTGAGACTACAGTTGTGTGACACCACATCCGGCTAAGTTTTGTATTTTTTTGTACAGATGAGGTCTAGCTATGTGGCCCACGCTAGTCTCAAACTCTTAGGCTCTAGCAATCCGCCTGCTTTGGCCTCCCAAAGTGCTAGGAATACAGGCGTGAACTACCGCACCTGACCATATTGAGTATTTTTACTCCTTTATTTCAATAACTCCTTAGAGTTATACTTCAAGACCCATTTCCTCCCTGAATATTTTTTGGACCTAGGAAAACAATCCCTAAAATTGTCAGTTGACCAATTTAATAAATATTAAATTTAAGAACTCAGACAATGTCTAATAACTCTTTGGATTCTAAAAATCTAGCTAAATGCTTTAAGTAAATCTGTATCATTGATGAGGATAGGATGACACCGGAGTCACAAAAGGACCACTATCACAGATGGAAGAGATGATGAGCAGCAAGTAAGAACATCCAGTGCAAGTCAGTAGGCAAATAATGACAGCTGTATTAGTCTGCTTGGGCTGCCATAACAAAATACCACTGACTGCATTGCTTAAACAACAGGAATTTATTTTCTTATTGTTCCGGAGGCTAGAATCTCAAGGTCAAGGAGTGGTCAGGGTTGGTTTCTAAAGAGGCCTCCCTTCCTGGCTTGTACATAGCCACCTGCTCACTGTGTCCTCATACGACTTCTTTCTGAGAACGGAGAGAGCAAACAAGCTCTCTGGTGTCTCTTCCTCCTCTTTATTTTTCTTATTTTTTGAGACAGAGTCTCACTGTGTCACCCAGGCTGGAGTACAGTGGCTTGATCTCGGCTCACTGCAACCTCTGCCTCCAGGGTTCATGTGTTTCTGCTGCCTCAGCCTCCCGAGTAGTTGGGATTACAGGCATCCATCACCATGCCCAGCTAATTTTTGTATTTTTAGTAGAGACGGGGTTTCACCATATTTGCCAGGCTGGTCTCAAACTCCTGATCTCAGGTGATCTGCCTGCCTCGGCCTCCCAAAGTGCTGGGATTACACGTGTGAGGCACTGCATCTGGCTTCTTCCTCCTCTTTTAATGACAAAAGCCCTATTGGATTAGGGCCCCATCCTCAGGACCCCATTTCACCTTAATTACCTCCCTAAAGGCCCCATTTCTAAATGTAGTCACATTGAGTGTTAGGGTTTCAACATATGAATTTGAGGGAGGCAAGCTGGCACAACTCAGGCCATAATAATAGCTAAAACTTGAGCAGTGTTTTCCATTGCCAAGTATTTTTCCCAAACCCCTTAAATATATTAATGCTTGTAATATTCACTATACCCCTATCAACTAACTGCTATCATCATCCCCATTTACACAGAAACAAATCGAGGCACCACAGGGCTTATAATTACACAGGAATCAAATCTAGGCAGACTGACTTCTTCATGTGCACCGTTAGTTCCTAGGCTATGTGGGATCATGAATCAAAGCACAGCCTTAGAACAGCCAAAACGAACACCGCTGTATTACCAAACATACTGGCACCACCACAAGACCACACACATATATACAATAGATGAAGCCACAACATATTTGTAATAGATAAATCAAATGGGCCCCAAATCACAACCCCAGCTCAGTAAATATGTGACCCTGGATATATTAATCAACTTCCTTTGGATTGTAACTTTTTCAACATAAAAATTATCTCCAGAATTCTCTGTTCAGTCCTGCAGTTTCTTAACAGGAGACTGTCCTGACTCATCTTTCTATTTCTCAGAACCTAGTACAGGACCCGGAACAGAGAACATGTCTAGTAAGTGTCTTTAAATGAAGAAGTCAAGGATTTATAGTCTTCATAAATTTGGGGACAAAATTTGGATATTGTTGATATTATTTAAAAATAAACATTCACTTCTAAGAGATTAAATGTGTTGGTTTTTTGGAAACATCTCTTGTTTTATTATGAGACTCAGAAAATATTTAGTATACTTGTAAATAAAACTAAAATGGGTAAAACAAAGAAATCTGCCGGGGATATTTTTTAAATAACATAGTATAGATTTTTGTAGTTATTATTCCAAAGTCGACATGTTTTCATCATAAAATATATAGCAGTATTTGTTCTAGACAAACATAACAAATAAGCAAATATTTGACTTTCTCCCCAATACTCAATACAAAAAAAGTAAAAGAATTTTTGAAGAAATAAATCCACAAAAAAAGAGGAGATAATAACACACAGATTTTTATAAGCTAGAGAGCAAATGAACAAATGGTAAATGACTAGTCAAAACCTGAGGAGGAGAAGAAGAAAGAGAAAAAGTAGGAGAAGGAGTGGAAAGGGAAGAAGGGGAGGAGGAGAAGGAGAATCAAAAGAGGAGAGAAGGAAGAAAAGGAGGATGAGACAGAGAAAGAGGAATAGGAGGAAAAGAAAATAAAAGGATGTCCTACAAACAAAGTCAGCAATGGGCAAAATCAAAAACCAAATCAATAGCCTTACTGTGCTATGAAAGAGAACATTTAGGAAAAAAGAAACACTCTTGAAAATTAAAAACTGATTCTAGAGATTTTTTAAATTAATAGAACTTTTGGAAATAATGTTAAGGAGGCTTCCCTGAAAATAATGTAAAAGTAAAATAGCCATATAATACAGAAGACAAGAAAATTAGACGACAAGCCATTCAGTCTAATATTTGAATAATAGGAGTTACAGAAAGAAAGAGATCATAAACATTGGAGGGAGGTAAATAAACTGAGACATGAGTTTTCATGGTAAACATATTCATTAAATACTCCATACTGGATGACGTGAGACAACTGAATGTTTGCAATTTCCAAACACTCTGAATAGCATTATCCTAGCAGCTTTTAAAGGGTTAGAGGAAAAAAAATAAAGGATATAAACAAAAGATCAGGAATCCGAATGCATCGTATTTCTTAAGGGCAACACAAAAGCTACAAACAATGGACGAATGTCTCAACATCATGAAGGATAGTAATGTCCAATGAAGAATTCTATGTCCACTCCAACTATCTATTGAGTGTGAGTGGAGAATAAGTGCGTTTTCAGCACCCATCTTATCTCAGGGTGCCTCTGAAGATTGTGTTCCACCTAAGAAGGAGAATAAACCAAGAAAACGTAGAGACATAATAAACAGGAGATCCAAAATCATAGAAAAGACAAAGCTACCCACAGGGTAATGTTGAAAGGGGCCAGTAGGGTAGTACAAAGGCAACCAGCCCAAAGTGGAGGACATCAGAAGGCACTGAAGGATACCTCCAAAGATGATGTAATTTACATAGTGCGTTACATGTCTGTATGCCTACAGAGTAGAATTAGATAAATGATGAAAAATTTACATTGATGAGAAATACTTAGAAAAGTAAGAAAACAGAAAACAGAAACATCAATAATTCCAGGAAAACCAAAAATAGTGGAGGACATAAAAATCGTAGTGTTTTATATAACTCAGATGACAAAAACATTTATATTGTCATGAAATTTGCACACTGAATATTTATGTAACCAAAAGTACTACATAACAGTATCAGGCAAATTGGTTTCTGTGTCTGCTGGAGAGGGATGTAGAAAAGAAAGTCCAAAAATAACATCAAAACGGAAAAGTCAACAGGTAGTACAACAAAAAATTCATTAGTTTTAGAGGAAAGAAGGTAAAAGCCACAAAACCTGCTAAAGAAGTTGAAAGGGGATAACTCTGAAGAGAGGGAAATTACAAGGAAGACTGTTATTTTTAAAAACAAACCTTACAGACACTTCGATTCTTAAACAGTGAGCATGTATAATTTTGATTCAAAAAACAAAAAAACTTCCCAAACACAACACAAAATAGATTTAAAAATCATCCATAACCCTGCCACTGCCACTAAGAGAAACTCCACTGTTATTTTTATGTAAATTGTAACATAAATATGTCTATATATTATGTATAAGTATTTAGATACATATGTGTATATACTTAAATATATAAGTATCTAAATATATATGTGTATATATATTTATGTAAGTATCTATACATGTATATATATTTATATAAGTATCTAGATATATATGTATCTCTACTTAATAATTCCGTGTAATCATTATATATACACATACATATAATGCAGATGGTGTTGAATCCATTTTACGTGGTGATGTATAATCTGCATTTGATTTTCACTAACTTTATAGTTTGACCAGTTGCTCAGACACTAAATATTCTATCACATGGTTTTATGACAACTAATATTCTCAGTTATATAGTATATATAATTAAAATGTTAGACTATTTCAAATGTGTCATATTATAAAAATTCTACTGATTTGAAACACTTGAGCTATCTAATTAACTCAATACTCAATGAGCAGGAACAACAATCCGTTATTACTGTCAAATAAATTTAATGCTCTTAAATGATTTTTTTAAACAAAAAGAAACAAGAATTCCAGTTAATGCATAATTCCTATATGCCCATGGAGAAAAGCAGCTGCTTCTTCAAGGAATCTTCATAGTTATAAGCTGTAAACACTCTCAGAAACATTTTTAGTAAAAAAGAAATTTATATTATCAGAAAGCTTCTGAGATCCAGTAACCAATAAGATCAAACTACTCCATATACAGGATTTAACTTCTGAAGTATTTAATATTTAGAGTAGTAATATTTTATCCTTTGTGTGTGTAGATACATATTATATATGTAAATATAATATATCCTTATTTTAATAAATTAATTTATATAAATTAATCCTGTCAATCCTCATGAGAAACTTGGGAGGCAGTTTGAACACATGCTTCTCCTATTTGAAAAATGAGAAAATTCCTTCACAGAGAATATAATTGGTTATATCAAGGTCATACTACTAATTATGACAGAACTGAGGACAGAGCCCAGGCTCCTGACCACCAAACATCATTTTAAGGTGCCAAAGAACAGAAAGATTAAACATTGTCTTCAAATCAGAAGCACAATCCGCAGAGCAAAATTCACCACAGTCATCTTGAAAGCAATATTATCTCTAAAATAGTAAAGGTAACAACAGCACGTGAATCACTTATCAATATATCTGACAGTTTTCAGACACTGTAAAGGGGCACTTTTTATTAGTAGTCGTTCTTGTCGTCATCATAGTAATAAAAGTGGATGTAACCCTACTTACTTCATTCATGGATCAATGGCCTTTACAATACTACAGTATCTTAAGTCCAAGTTTGGTATTAAGGTTTATTATGTTGATCCTTGAAGTGATTATTTATCTCTGTTACCTAACTTTCCAAAATATTATATATATAGTTCTCCCCAAAAAAGGAGATTTTAATATTTATCCGTATTTATCCAAATAAAATAAAAATGTACTCTACTAGCAGAAGCAGTTATATTAAGTATTAGTTTTGAAGGAGTCTAATCAAATCACAGCAATAAATGACATTACTTGAAAATAATATAATGATATGAGTAGAAATAAAGATAATTATGGGAGGAAATGGTTCCCATTTGGTAAATTACCCACAGAATGTGTTCACAAGCATAAAGATGAATGTGCTGTGTGCTAAGTTGGCAGGGAGACCAAATACGCACATTTCTCATTTTGTCATTACTACTGTTTTATACTATTTTTTTTAAATATCACAGACAGTTTAAGCGTCATTCTTCAGATTAATTTGAACCAGGGATTATCTTCTTTTGGAAGAATATTTGACTCACTTTGTTACATCATTTCAGAGACAGGCTCATATCCCCACCTGCTACTGATAATTCACAATCCTCTAACTGAAACAAAGATTTGTCATTTCACAGCAAAATGTAAGGAAGTAAATGTAATCATCCCTTGAATGACATCAGGAGAAATTAAATTTCAGTAGTTGAAGTAAAAAAGAAAATTCACTGATACAAGATCCTTTCTGTTATCTTTGTGCCTTGACCTTAGTAAGACTCTACTACCAAGATGATGGACAGGTTAGAGGAAAGACATGTGGATTGTGCAACTTTTAAATTCACCTCTGTACTAAGAAATGTTCCTCAGAGGAATGTGCCTTGGAGATTAGAGGACAGTAGAGAGGAGTGAGAATGTATAGTAACAGAGAAAGTGAAATTCATCTGACACAAACTACAAAGCTAGAGCTCTACAATTTTTACCTAAAACAAAACTAAGCCTTAATATTTTATGTTTGCAATTCATTTTAGACTAGTATTTAAAATTTCTCTCATGTGTTATATTTTTCAAAATTAATTTCAAATTGTGTTTCAAATATATTTTTCACTTAGTATTATTAGTTATCATGAATTTCAGTAGTTATTTTTTCTTGGTTTTATTTACATAACTATTTGCAACAGATTCATTATTTGAGTATTATTTTTTGTTCTTTGTTTTCCCACAGAGCTTAATTCTAATGAACCAAATAACTTTTGCACTGTAAAGAATTCAAACTGAATGTGTGTCATAATTGTCACTCACATGAAATACTGTTATTTATTTAGTTTTACATGTGGAATTTACAGTCAGTACTAAATTTATTGAAAATTATGCCAAATAAAATTATATCTCCAAACACTTCCAGAACTTTCCAGAAAACATATTTTGTATTTAACAAATTCTCCTATGTAGCCTTACAGCTTTCTTCTCAGGATTTGTCACTGTCAATCAATTAAGAACAGAGACTTTGAAGCAGATGTCAAGGGCATTTGCTCTATGTCTTAACTGATCAACACTGAAGATTAATAACGGGATTTCCACAAAATCTGTGGAACTAGGAAAGTTACTCTTTGGATAAAATCTTTCTTTGTATCAGTTCCAGGTGTAGGTGAAAAAAAAAGCTTCATGTGTAAAGGACATTCCAAAGTGAAGGTGAATAACATCTTCATACCTGTCATAAATCCCTTCTTACCAGTAAATTAGTTTTCTGATTGTAAGGGACAAATGACGGCTAGGCACAACTAACTTTTTTTTTTTGCTGTGGACATTGTTTTACTGAGGTATATAAGGAAAAATTATGTTAAGACACAATGTATAAAACAGTAACATATTAAGCTATTATAAATTGTAATGGGTTCAGTTTTACAGTCGGATTTCAAAAAATGAAAAATAAACTTGCAGTAATGTTCATACGAGCTACCACTACACTGAAGCTTGGATTCACAAAGGTAAAGGTTACTGTGGGCATACATAGTCCACAAACATCATTGTTTTCAGAAACACTTCCCAAAAGAATATTAATTTAACGAAGAAATCCATTTCAAAGGCCAATGATCTTGGCTGGGAATATGTACAGAACTATAGCTCTTAGGCCTACCTAATAAGAAAGGAAATTTTAAAACTTTTTAGTTAGAATCTGTAAGAGAAACATCTTTTTTTATGAGAAGAATGAAAATTGGTGTGAATAGGAACATTCATTTTCTTACAAGCATGTGTCATGGCTTCAAACGAGGCTTTTTTTTCTCAGTGTAATGGCAGTTGCTATTTGGAACTATCCCCCACACTGATGATAATTTAAAAACATGTTAACATAAAATAATATCACTAGACATTTCTAATCTATCTGAATGAGATAATAGGCTGATTTCATCTAGTACCCGCATTAAATTCATAAAATTTCTTGCATATGTCTACATTAATCTGGGAAATGGTTATATTTAGTAAAGAAAAAATAATGATCTGAGAAGTGTTTATTTTTGCATATATTTGCTTCAATATCTTCCATCCTACTAGAGGCTGTATAAAGTGTGTGCATGTACCTGTGTGTATGTAGCCAATAGTGATTATTTTAAAAGTTGTGTAATATGTTTAAACTCTTGAAGTCATGTCATAATAAACCAGAGTAAGTGATGGTTCTCTGGAAATACAATATACCACAGAAATTACATTTATAAAAAAATTGACATTTATATTCCATGTAACTAATTAAAAATCAAGGGCCACACAGATTGACAATAAAATAATCAGTAAGAAACTTTAAAAAAAGAAGAAAGGTTATAGATTTTTTGTTTCTAAATGGATCACTTTCTTTATGGAATTAAAGTTCTTAAGTATCCCACAAAATGAAGTAAAATTATTATATCTTCAAGGCCAGCTTAGATTTTCCATGATAAAAGACAATTCATATTTGCAGCTTTATATAAGACTGGCTTTTCTCTTGCCACTCTTTGCTAGTAAAGTTAACAGAAAGAAATATAAAATAAATATTACTTTTAATAGCTGGTAAATTATAATAAATGCAATAGGTTGTTTTATATCACTTTGTGATAATTTAATATTATTGATATCTATGATTTGGAAAACATAATTAAAAGTGGTATTTTTATCTATTATTATTACTTTGTCTTCTTGTAAACTCGAGTAATTTAAATGGAAGAACTGTGGAGCTGAGCCACAGAGCTGAGGTTGGGGCAAACCTAGACAGCATCAGAGAACTACATCTTGCCTTGGGGACTGAGTCCAATAAAGTTTTCTCAGACAAACAGTGCAATTCTGGTGTTAAGTGGTCTAAAATAAGAAGCAGCATCTGAACGTATGATCAGGGTTCTGTACCAAGTGTTCACATGCCGATAAAAATCCCCATTCTGCAGGCTTCCAAGAGCTCTGGTCCAGAAATCAAGAAAACCTAGGAACTGTGAGCTCATGAGGTACCTGGGTAGCAGACCATGTGTGTCATTGGACAGTCTGATGAATCCTCCTATATAAATTTCACATGGCCCTACATTTTTTTAAAAGTCATCTCCATATACAGCAACTCAGAATTCAACACATGATGTGGCAAATATTTAATTGAGATTCAACAACACATGATGTAGAAAATATTTAATGGAGATTCAACATCTCCAAGCCCATTTGAATTAGGGTGTGTAGGAGGCACAGGGTGAGGTGGTGATGGCAGGTCCATATATCACAGTTTGAGAAATAGCATTCAGCCCTTTATCCAATATTGAGTTATATGCTAGAACAGTAAGCACTAGAACAGTGAGACACATGTCCCTGCCTTGAAGAATTCCAATCTAGTGGAGGCAACTGATGAAGTACAGGTACTTTGCAGGAAAAAATAACAGACTGAGGTATAAAAGAATAACAGTGGATTATCTACTTTAGATTGGGTGACCAGGAAAACAATCTCTGAGGTAGTGACATTTAAAATGGGTCCCAATGAAAGGGAGAAAGGTAGTCATGAAAAGACAGACAAGAGTATTCCACATAGGCCAGGAATGGTGGCTCATGCTTGTAATCCCAGTACTTTGGGAGGCTGAAGCAGGTGGATTACCTGAGTTCAGGAGTTCGAGACCAGCCTCGCCAACATGGCGAAACCCCGTCTCTACTAAAAATTCCAAAATACTAGCCGGGCATGGTAGTGGGTGCCTGTAATTCCAGCTACTTGGGAGGCTGAGGAGAATCACTTGAACCCAGGAGGCGGAAGCTGCACTGAGCCGAGATTGTGCCACTGCACTCCACCATGGGTGACAGAGTGAGACTCCATCTCAAAAATAAAAAATAAAAATAAATTTTAAAAAATTAGAAAATAGAGTATTCCAGATAGAAGCTGGAGTATAGTGAGTATTTAGGTAGGTACTTATAAGAGGAAATTGCAGAGGCAAACAGGGGTCAGACCATGCAAAGCCTAACAGGCCATGACGAGGGCCCTTCCTTTACTGTTACAGATGGGAAGAAGGAGATGATGCATCTAAATCACTATAGTTTTGTAGATTTCATCTGGGAAATGAAGAAACTCTTTTTTTCCCACCGAAAGATAAGAAACTGTCATCAGCTCATATTGAAGGCAGAGGAAATGAAGAATATGTTGGAAATTTGAAGCAAGAAAAAGTATAACTATTTTAAATGTGAGTAATTAAACCTATTAGAAAAAGTTAGTAGTATTGCAAGGCAGTACTGGATGACGAATTGAGATGTAGAGTCAAGTAACTAGAAAGAGCAAGAGTGGTCCAAAATAGATGGTGCTAACAGGAATGAGGTGAATGTCAGGTCTTGATAGGATCACAGGACTCAGAAATGCCCTCTTCCTTCAGGGGAGGTTGAGACAAGAATTAGGCAAACTACTAGCAATGAAGGTTCAAATGACACCAAGGTTCAGCCTTGGCATGTTAATTTTAGGGTCTAACTATACCAAAGAGAGCACTGTGATTTTACAGCTAAGGAGGCTGAGGTTTCTGATACACCATCTGCCCTGACTCCAGAATGCTGCAGGGATGAATTTACAGGTGAAGTTTATTAACAATTACTGCATGGAAAGGCTGTGGAAAAGGAGAGCAAAGTAATGAAATGAGACTTTAAAACAGATAATACAATTCAACAAAAAAAGAGAACAGGATTTGGGAACATTTTAAGGAATTGAAGAAGTCTCCAAATCGAGGAACCAAATTAATCTAACCTGACATTCATTTGGAGTAGAGAAAATTCTTCACTAAGCGGATTTGCAGATTACTTTCCTCTTTTATAAATCTCTTTTAACCATCTTTTGTCAACCAATTATCAAATTTCAGCCACTGTGTAGAGAGTACTGAATTTTTTGAAAGAACATTAAGTGTACTTCAAATGCCTTCCTGTTCTCTAAGAAATGTAAATCTGATAGGTATGTTAGCGATTGCATAAGTGGAATATGTGGTTATCAGGTTTAGAGGTGAGAGAAAACACTGGCTAGGATACCTGGACATGGTCTTTCATAGAAGGTGAATTAAAAGATAAATGTTAAAGAATGAGAAGAATTCTGAGCACGGAGTTTGGTTGTAGATCAGAGAGAAAAAGCATGATAACATTTTAAAGCCTGAACAGGTGCAATGTGAATAAACAAGATAAACACAAACCACTTACTAATACAAACACATGCAACCTATACAAGCATGAATCACATTAAAATATAATACCTCTTTATCGTGACTCAGGTGTGTTTAAAGTAGATTACATGCTTTTATTCAACTAGCCAATAGGGCTTAGGTTGAAACCCACCTCCCCTGACTTCACACCCTGCATACCACTCATGTGAAACTTGCAATCCACCTTAGATCCTAGCAAACCATGAGTTTGCTACAACTCTGCTACAGGAGATTAGCTTGAAAAAGCGTTTTCCAGATTTGAAGGTGTTTTGCATTCTTCCAGGTTTCCTCTCTCAATAGCTCCTGTAAAACAAATGTTTATACTGAGAAGAGCTGAACAATTACACCTTATCAGGCCATTATAGACAGCTTCAAATGTTATTTACTGATTAACATACTCCCCATAATCTCTTCCACACTGTCTCGTTACATCTACATAATTTACACTTTAAGATAAGGACATGGCCATCATTTTATAAATAAAAAGTTGAGATTAAAACAGGTTGAAGGACTTTCTCAAGATCATTATGGACCAAGGGTTTCTCTGCTGCCATTTCATTTTCATTTAACTCTGTGACTTCATTACATGTTAAATATCTAGGAAATATGCTATTAAACCACATATGATTTATAAATGCCTGATGAAGATACCATATTTTTAGCTTTGCTGGATTCAGTGACTCTTATCCCTTGTGGGATCCTGGACATTACAACTATATGGTTTTTACAAGAGACACTTTCTCCTGGGGGTCATGGAGCTTCTAAACAGAAGCTTTTAAAACAGGGCAGCTCCCATACATGCCCCATGTGGGTTCCCTCTCCTTGAACATGAGCTTTCTCATGGGGAGAAGATGGCTCCCTGACAGCTGTGTGAACCGCTACATGAACTGCTCATGTGGGGGCTCCTGCTGAGAGAAACAAGGGATGCCCAACACTGTCCTGCTGCGAAGCTGGGGTTCCTGTCTTGGGCAGACTCCTGCTAAGTATTGGTCATGGTAGTCTTGGGAATCTGCAGGTTTGATGGAGACTTGAGGATTCCTAGTGCAAACTGCAGACACAGGTTTTGTAAAATATTAGATTTAAGAAAGCTTCTCTATGCTCTGGAGCGCATATTATTTTTCTCCACTTTTCTTTTCTCAGGATGAGTCCTCAAACTCTCCAGAGGTTGTGGCAAAGATCCTTTCACTCCCTTTTGTTAACGAGTAAAATTAGATATCAAAGTCTCTTTGCAACAACCCTGATTTCCTTTTATTATGTTCTCCAAGTTTCTCTTCATGTATCCCTTCATAGGACATGGAATACTCGAGCTCAACATTTTTCAGGAATAATCTTCTCTAATCCATAGTGTTCCATGAGAAATATACAACCCACAATTTAATAACAAACATAGATTACAGAGTATAAGGACAAATAAATATTTTTTTAAAAAAGGTTTAATTCTCCTTGTTCAAAATAAGAGAAGAGACATCTTTTTCTTAGAAAATTAACTTTAGAAAATATTTGTAAATTATTTTAGTCTCTTTGAAATGCATGTAGGTATTTGTAGAAGCTATACAAGCCTCTTGCTAGCTTTGTGACCAAGGAATGTTTTCCTCAAGGACCTGGAAGCCATCTTTTTGAAATGAAACTTCAGGAGATAGTACTACTTCCTTCTCCTAGTGTCTATGGGAGGATGGGAGTCTAACTTTAGTTAGTACCTTGCTTTTACTTGCAAAACTATCTCCTACAATAAAGATGTGAGTTTATTTTTCTTTTATACAAAACCAATTAACTAACACAGATGGTCACCCCAATTACCAGGCGAATTTATGATGAACTATGTGCAAAAATAAACGGTGCTGTTAAGTCCCCTTACTTGAAATATAATTATTGTTTATGCTGAAAACATGTTTGTGATAAGTATTCATTTGGCTATAGAAAAATATGACATTGTTTCTTTTGATAAGTGTCTGTTCCTGCCTTCTGCCTACTTTTTAATGGGGCTATTTTTTGCTTGTTGATTTGATTAATTTCTTTATAGAGTCTTGATATTAGACCCTTGTCAAATGCATAGTTTATGAATACTTTTTCCCATTCAGTAGGTTGTCTGTTTACACTGTTGGTTTCTTTTGCTGCACAGAAGCTCTTTAATTAGGATCCACATAACTTTTGTTTGTCTTATAATTGCTTTTGGGGACTTGATGTCCAGAAGGGTACTTCCGGACCCTAAATAAATTATTTGTCAGGGCTGATATCCAGAAGGGTATTTCCTAGATTTTCTTGTGGGATTTTTATAGATTGAAGTATTACATTTAAATCTTTAATCCTTCTTAAGTTAATTTTTGTACATAGTGAAAGGTAAGGGTCTAGTTTTATTCTTCTGCATATGGTTAGCCAATTATCCCAGCACCATTTATTAAATAGGGAGCCCTTTCTCCATTGCATGTTTTTGTCAGCCGGGTCAGAGGTCAGATAGTTGTAGGTGTGCAACTTCTTTTCTGAGTTTTCTATTCTGTTCCATTGGTCTATGTCTCCCTTCTTATACCTGTACCATGCTGGTTAGGTTACTGTAGCCTTTTAGTATAGTTTGAACTCAAGTAGTGTGATGCCTCCAGCTTTGTTCTTTTTGCTTAGAAATGCTCTGGCTATTTGGGCTCTTTTTTGGTTCCATATAAATTTCAGAATCTTTTTTTTTTTCTAATTCTGTGAAGAATGATGTTGGTAGGTTGTAGTTTGATAGGAATAGCGTGAGATCAGTACATTTCTTTGGGCAGTGTATTAGTCTACTTTCATGTGGCTGATAAAGACATACCCAAATCTGGGCAACTTAGAAAAGAAAGAGGTTTAATGGACTTAGAGTATCACATGGCTGGGGAGGCCTTGCAATCATGGTGGAAGGCAAGGAGGAACAAGTTACCTCTTATATGGATGTCAGCGGGCAAAGAGAGAGCTTGTGCAGGGAAACTCCCATTTTTAAAACCATCAGATTGGGCCAGGTGTGGTGGCTCAGGCCTGTAACCCCAGCACTTTGGGAGGCCGAGCCGGACATAACATGAGGTCAGGAGTTCAAAACCAGCCTGGCCAACATGGTGAAACCCCGTCTCTACAAAAAATACAAAAAAAAAAAAAAAATTAGCCAGGCATGGTGGTGTGCACCTGTAATCTCAGCTACTCAAGAGGCTGAGGCAGGAGAATCACTCAAACTCAGGAAGTGGAGGTTGCAGTGAGGCAGAGGTTGGTGACAGAGCAAGACTCCATCTCGAAAAATAAAAAAAAAATTAAAAACCCATCAGACCTCATGAGACTTACTCATTTTCACAAGAACAGCATGGGAAAGAGCTGCCCCCATGATTCAATTACCTCCAACTGGGTTCCTCCCTGACATATGGGCGTTAGGGGAGTTTTAATTCAAGATGAGATTTGGGTGGGGACACAACAAAACCATATCATTCTGCTCCTGGCCCCTCTCAAATCTCACATCTTTTTACATTTCAAAACTAGTCATTCCTTTGCAACAGTCCCCCACATTCTTAACTAATTTCAGCATTAACTCAAAAGTCCACACTCCGAAGTCTCATCTGAGACAAGGCAACTCCCTTCCGCCTATGAGCCTGTAAAATCAAAAGAAAGTTAGTTACTTCCTAGATACAATGGAGGTACTCCCACTGGGTAAATACAGCCATTCCAATTGGGAGAAATTGTCCAAAACAAAGAGGCTACAGGGCCCATGCAAGTCTGAAATCCAGTGGGGCAGTCAAATCTTAAAGCTCCAAATAATCTCCTTTGACTCCATGTCTCACATCCAGGTCATGCTGATGCAAGAGGTGGGTTCCCATGGTCTTTGGAAGCACCGCCTCTGTAGCTTTGCAGGGTATAGCCTCCCTCCTGGCTTCTTTCAGGGGCTGATGTTGAGTGTCTGTGGCTTTTTCAGGCACATTGTACAAGCTGTCAGTAGATCTACCATTCTTGGGTCTGGAGGACTGTGGCCCTCTTCTCTCAGCTCCACTAGGGGATGCTCCAGTAGGGACTCTGTATGGGGTCTCTGACCCCATATTTTCTTTTTACACTGCCCTAGCAGAGGTTCTCCATGACAGCCCCACCCCTGCAGCAAACTTCTGCCTTGACATCCTGGCATTTCTATACATCCTCTGAAATCTAGGCAGAGGTTCTCTAACCTCAATTCTTGACTTCAGTGCACCCTCAGGCTCAACACCACATGAAAGCTTCCAAGGCTTGGGGCTTGCATCCTCTGAAGCTGCAGCCGAAGATGTACCTTGGCCTCTTCTAGTCATAGCTAGAGCAGCTGGAAAGCAGGACACAAAGTCCCTAGACTGCGCAAAGCATGGGGAACCTGGGCCAGACCAACGAAACCATTTTTAATTCCTAAACCTCTGTGCCTGTGATGGGAGGGGCTGCTGTGAAGACCTCTGACATGTCCTGGAGACATTTTCCTTATTGTCTTGGGAATTAACATTTATCTCTCCATTACTTATGCAAATTTCTGCAGCTGGCTTGAATTTCTCCTCAGAAAATGGGATCTTCTTTTCTATTGCATTGTCAGCCTGTAAATTTTTCAAACTTTTATGCTTTGCTCTCCTTATAAAACTGAATGCCTTTAACAGCACCTAAGTCACCTCTTGTATGCTTTGTTGCTTAGAAATTTCTTCCACCAGATACCCTAAGACATCTTTCTCAAGTTCAAAGTTCCACAAATCTCTAGGGCAGGGGCAAAATGCCACCAGTCTCTTTGCTAAAACATAACAAGAGTCACTTTTGCTCCAGTTTCAACAAGTTCACCAACTCTATCTGAGACCATCTCAGCCTGGATTTCATTGTCCATATCATTATCAGCATTTTGGTCAAAGCCATTCAACAAGTCTCTAGGGAGTTCCAAACTTTCCCACATTTTTATGTCTTCTTCTGAGCTCTCCAAACTGTTCTAACCTCTGCCTCTTACCCAGTTCCAAAGTCACTTCCACATTTTCGGGTATGTTTTTAGCAGCACCCAACTCTATTGGTACCAATTTACTATATTAGTCCGTTTTCACACTACTGATAAAGACATACCTGAGACTGGGCAATTTACAAAAGAAATAGGCTTAATGCACTTACAGTTCTACATGGCAGGGGAGGTCTCACTATCATGGCAGAAGGCAAGGAGGAACAAGTCAAGTCTTACCTGGATGGTGGCAGGCAATGAGAGAGGTTGTGCAGGGATAATCCTATTTTTAAAACCATCAGATCTTATGAGACTTATTCACTATCATGAGAACAGCAAGGGAAAGACCCACCCCCGTGATTAAATTATCTTCCACTGGGTTTCTCCCATGACACATGGGAATTATGGGAGTTACAATTCAAGATGAGATCTGGGTGCGGACACAGCCAAACCATATCAGGCAGCATGGCCATTTAATGGTATTGATTCTTCCAATCCATGAACCTGAGATGTTTTTCCATTTATTTGTGTTGTCTCATTTCTTTCAGCAGTGTTTTGTAGTTCTCCTTATAGAGATCTTTCACCTCTTTGGTTAGCTGTATTCCTAGGTATTGTATTTTCTTTGTGGCTGTGGTAAAGGAAATTGCATTCTTTATTTGACTCTCATCCTAGACATTATTGGTGTATAAAGATACAGACTTTTGCAACAAATAGTAAAAAAATGCTCATCATCACTAATCATCAGAAAAATACAAATCAAAACTACAATGCAATACTGTCTCACACCAGTCAAAATGGCTACTATTAAAAAAAAAAAAGATGCTGGTGAGTATGCAAAGAAAAGGGAATTCTAATACACTGTTGGTGAGAATGCAAATTAGTTCATCTGCTGTGGAAAGCAGTTGGGAGTCTCTCAAAGATCTTAAAACAGAGCTACCATTTGACCCAGCAATCCCGTTACTGTGTATATACACAAAGGAATATAGATCATTATGCCACAAAGACAAATGATCTTGTATGTTCATTGCTCTACTATTTGTAATGGCAAAGACATGATATCAACCTAGGTGTTCATCAATGGTAGACTGGATTGAAAAATGTAGTACATATATACCATGGAATATGATACAGCCATAAAAAATGAAATCATGTTCTTTGCAGAAACATGGATGCAGCTGGAGGCCATAATCCTAAGTGAAATTATACAGGAACAGAAAACCAAATCTTGTGTGTTCTCAAGTATAAGTGGAAGCTAAACATTGGGCACACATGGACATAAACATGGGAACAATAGGCACTGTGTACTACTAGATGAGGGAGGGAAGGAGGAGGGCATTGGTTGGAAAACTACCTATTGGGTACTATGCTAACTACCTAGTTCCAACATACTTGTGTAACAATACTACACAAGTATCCCTTGTATCTAAGATAAAGGCTAAAATTTAAAAGATATATATATATATGTATATGGCAAAGTGAGTGACTTACATAAAATAATTAGTGAATAATTTTAATCTTAATTAAATTATTTATCTTAGAATATACATGTTTGTGAATTTATACAAATTTGAAAATGTATGTGTGGATGAAACTACATGTATATTTTGTATTTATACCATGCTTTTAGGTTACTGTGGCCATTTGGTATAGTTTGAAGTCAAGTAGTGTAATGTTTCTGGCTTTGTTCTTTTTGTTAGGATAGCTTTGGCTGTCCTAAAGGCAAATCAATATTTACATTTTAAATACATTTTAAAAATAAAATTATCCTTTTATTTTTCTAAACACTAAGTTATTATCTTAAAATTTTTTTCTATTGAAAAATACAGATGATTTATAACAATGCATGCCAATACATCAATAGAAAATATATTTTAAAAAAAGTAACACCTCCTTTTTGTTTTTGTAATCCCTTAGCAGACTGCCTGTGATACACATCACATTCTAGTTTAATGTTTATTCAGTAATAAACTTGCTTTCTTTCTCTGCTACCTTTGTGAGGAGATGTTTTCTGGGATGCAAGATTTTGTTTTCCATTGTATTTCTGCAACAAGTAATATATCAATTTTCTTCTTGACCCAAAGTGCAAATTGTTTGGTTAATATTGATGTGTTTTAATTCCTATTTCATTATCCATAGATCTGGAAATATTTTTCTTTTTACCAAATTTCAGAGTCACTGATAGTGATGTTATTTCAGAAGATAAATTATCGAGAGAGAGAAAAAAGAGGGGTCACCATTTTTAAACCTATTTTTATTGTGCTATTAACAACTGAATATTTATTGAATGACAAGGATTTTACAGTATAGTCCAAATATATGAAAGTATTATTTTGGCCCTGAGAAATAAGTAGATGGGAAACATATTAACCATTTTAATTTATCTGAAGAATTTCCATGTAGAAGAGATAGAGGCTTTTCTCTGGATGCCAAGGAAAAATCAGTACCAATGAGTTAGATTATCAGAGGCAGAAAGCAGAATTAGATGGAACAATGTTTCAATAATTAAATCTCTCCTGTGCTGAGCTTAGCACCCATTTAAGGTCATGATGATAACGCCAGGTGTCAGCCAAATGCCTAGGCAGGTAGGGGCGGGTCCCCAGTGAAACCTCACCTTCAAGCCAAACAACAGCCTCAAGGTTGAAAGACTGGACTGCTAGTCCCAGATGAAACCTGCCACCCAGCATGAGAACTTCTCTTCCGGTTTGCCTGCCTTTTCCTGATTGATTTTTTTGAATAATGCCTTTTAACCAATTGATTGTTGCCTTTTCCAATACTACCTATGGCCTGCCACTCCCATATTCTAAGCCCATAAAAGTCCTGGACTCAGCCATACTGGAGGACTTTCTCACCTTCAATTAGGGGGACCAACCCCACATCGTCTCTCCATGGAAAGCTGTTTCGTAACTCTAAAAACTTCCTGCCTTGCTTGTTGTTGGATTGTCAGCATATCCTCATTCTTTTTGGATGCTAGGCAAGAGCTCTGGACCCACTGAGTGTGGGTGCCCAGAAAGGCTGTCACACTGGCCTTTTGCCTTTGCTGGCAGAGAGCAGCCACCCCATACAACAGGACCAGGGGCTGACTGAGCTGCTAACACACTGCCATCCATTGGGCAGTGGACAGTGGAACTAAAATAGCTGATTAGGACATTAATTCCCACTCTGAGTCTTCAGAGTTTTAGGCACTGTTGGCTGGGCACTGCCACATTCTGGCCTCAGACCCCCATGGAGCTTGCTCCTGTGTCATGCTCAGAGCAGCTGGCTGGATCCCATTCTCACTCACTCACATGCTCCCTCTTGCTAGGGGCTGAACACAGCAGGCCGAGTAGACAGGGCACCCCTGCTGCAAGTCTGGCAAAGAGGCCAAGAAAAAAATTCTGTGTCAATGAGCATGCTAACAATGAAATTCTTTAAGTGTGGGTTGACAAATGTTTATCTTTAATTCTAAAGACACACCCGGCACTGGTGGGAAATTGAAGCCCGTGCTATGGAGATCTCCCTAACTCCACCTTCTATTATTTTTGTAAAGAAAGAGGGGTTTTATCAAAACACAACATCTACATTAAAAAAAGAATCTCTTGTCAAAAGCCTTTTCTGTTCTAAGCACATCGCTGGCTGAGCATTTAGCACGCGTAAGTCATTTAATCTTCACAACAAGCCTGAAAAGTATGTATTGTGAGCACATTTTACAGCTGCAAAAACTGATGCACACACAGCTAGTAAATTGTATCTGGCCATCCGGTGTTTGGTGTTCGTATTTACTGTTACACCACGCTGCATCTCATCCAGGCAAATGACAGACTCAAGAGTTAAAGTGAACAAAATCAAAAGGATTCATTGTGTCACATTTTATGAGTAGAATAACTTAAAGTTAACAGAAAATCACAGAAGCATGTGGAATGTATTAACTTCTTTCAACATTAACATATTCCCAAAAGGCTTTTAACATTTCCAGAGTTGATAAAATGAATAAGCAACTTAAGAGTTTCTAAAATGGCATTCTAAGGGAAATTATATTTCTTTGTCTCAGAAAGTTTTGCTTCTTAAAAGTGTTAAAGGAATACTACAGTATTTTAGTGTTAGCTTATACTAGTTCCATTGTTTAACATGTTATTGTTGTGACTTCAAGGCAGTAGCACCTGAGATTTTTTTGTTAATCTTCTCCCACATAACTTTTAATCCCATGTTCCTCACCTCCCCCCATTTCTACTCCATTTCTCCTGCTCACTTTTGCTTCAAGCAACAATGTAGGAATTTTCTTATCAGAGCCTACTTCCCTCCTTCCAAGTGTTTACCCTTTCCAAATTCATCTTGGACCCCATAAGCACACTATTTATGCGTCCCCAGTTTCTTTGTTCAATTTCAAGCTGTTGATATTCCCCAATTCTGTATAAGGCCCTCCCACACCCCCACTACACTCCAAATTACTGCACGTGTGTCTCCTTCCCTGAGACATTTATCATCTATGACATGTAGAAACTCTTTGAAGAGAGACTGTCTTCTATGTTCTCTCTTTCTAGCCACATCTATCTCTGTGGGATCTCTCTGCTATCCTTCATCCAGTCAAAGGAGTCTTAATGTAGTCTGACGGTAGGAAAAAAATCTGCTCTGGTCATACTAATCCAAATCTTTCTGACTTGCCTATGGGAGTTCAAAGCTACATTTAACAACTTAAATTGTATTTTGTATTGATCACTCACCTCCAATTAATGAGGAATACAGCATGCTCTAAATGGCAGAAAGGCCCATCTAATGAGAGGGAAAAAATATAACAGAAAAAAAAGCAGGATTAATAGCACATAACTTAATAATTCAAAATACTCCCTTACCAATTCAATCCAAGCCTCTCTTAAGTATTATTGACACTCTACCGTTCGAAGGACTGTGAACAATTTCTCTCTCCTTACTACCTCCAATTTAATTCAAGTCAATGAAAAAGTATTATATACAGAGCTTATAATATAGTAAAGAGGTAAAAGAGGCAGATACAGACTTATTCTGACTAGCCTAAGATAATAAGGAATGATTGGGTCTAACAGACATCACAGGCACCTCCTAACGTGTTGTCTCCTAACATGTCTTCAGGCCCAGAGGAAATATACTTGTTTATATTCAGAGAAATAGGCATAGATATGTGAATTGTTTAGAACAACAAAATGTAAGCGGAAGAGACATATGTCATCCTGAGCTAGAAGAGTTAATATTTAATCACTGTTCTCTATGCTGGACTCCAGCCTTGGAGAACTCTGAAGCCTCGAATTAAGATGATGGTGTCATAACTGTTGGCACTTTCTTCAGCCTGGATTTTCAAGTGATTAAAATGAGTAGAACCCTCTGCCTACCTGTTTAGGGTTGGCTAATTTTTATGTGTTCAATTACTATTTCTTCATGCAAAGTTCTGAAAATTATTGCCTTTATTGCTTACCTACTCTGCCTCATATGGTGAGATTATGCAATATATTTTTACTAATTTTAAGTCCCTGAAGTTTTTTCTTATTCTTACATTCTTAGTCTATCCTTAGCAAATATTTGAGCACAGCAGGTGACAAGAATGCACTAGGGGTATTTTGAATGCTCTAACAAAATATTATTTTACATCAAGTATTTCCCTAGAATGTGAAAATTTAGTAGTCATAAATAAATCCATGTTATCATCTTGGGTTACAAAATGCATTTTAATAATTATGTTAATATGACTCCTAGTCCCCTACTTGTAACTTTTAATGTGTTTTCATCTTCTTCCCCCCCAGTGTTTTCTCCCCAATACAGCAATTTCCCAACTGTTACTAACTGCCTATTTAATAACCCCAGATATCCCCACCTCTCCACTGAAGTTAATTATAATGAAAACCACACCTTAGGCAAGACAGGTGACACAGAAAGAGCTAAAGTGTGAGTAATTTAAAACTGAACAAGAGAAGAAATATTTTGCTTCCTGTTGTTGTATCTGCAAGTTTAGCTGCTGATGTAAGGTAATATCAAAGTTATAACAAAGGGCCAGGTTTGGGTTATACTCTCTTTTCACAGGATGCTATATAGTCTTGTTTTTTTGTTTGTTTGTTTGTTTGTTTTTGCTAAACAGTCACTTGTTTTCTTGGTCTCCTTTTCTTCTATATGACTTCTTACTACTGCAAAGTTTCTCCTCTATTTACACTCCCTTGATCATTTTGTCTAATAGCATGTCTACAAATGCCAGCTCCTGTGTGTTTACAAATCACTGTCAATATATCCAGCCTAAATTACTTCCCTGAATCCCACATTTGTCTACACAACTGCCAATTCAGCATCTCCTCTTGTATGTCTAATATACATGTCAAAACCAACATGTCAAAATCACTCTCCTGTAATTTATTCCCTCATTTACATAACAACACCTGTTCTTCCTATAGCCTCCCCTGTTTTGGTAGAGACAATTCCAACTTTTTGCCTCTTGAATCTTTATCCCCTTACTTTGCTCTCAGTTTTTCTTTATCCAATGGTCTTGTTATTTTCTAACATACTATGTAATTCAATTATTTATATGTTCGCTATTCATATTATGTTTCCTCTACTGGAAAGGAAGCCTCATGGTGATTTTTGTTTAACGTTTCCAGTTTGCTGCATAAAAGTTAAAGCATCCCAAGCACCTAAGTGAGTGGTTTTTATATGAATGTTCCTGTATTATGAGACTTTTAATTAATTCAAAATGTCAATATAAAACTGGCAAATAAGATACCTTTTCTGAAATAGAAAAATACAACTGGTTTTTCTTTCAAAATCTACCTATATATTTTAATTTTTATGTTCCTTTTCTTTTCATTTAAAATTGAAATAAGCACGCGTTAACAGAAAGAAAATCACTTTTTAAAAATTTTCATTCTCCTTTAAACTATAGTGCTTGACAAATAACCAGAAAAGGACAATGTTAACAAACAGTAAAATGCTACATTTCTGATAGATCTACATTTGTTTTAATTACTCATCCCTGCCATTAATATTGCTTCTCATATTTTAATACATTAAGGTTGTTTTTTATAAGAACAAAAATAAGCAAATGCGTTTATAGTTTCATATTTACATTCAGTCTTAGAATACTTTGTTAAGCCTAACTTCATAAAAAGAGGATTTTAACAGCTTTATTGAGATATAATTCATATTTCATAAAACTCATCCACTTAAAGTACATAATTCAGTGGTTTTTATTATCGTCACAGGGTTGTTTAATCACTGCAATAATCTAATTTTAGAAAATGTTTATCATTCCCAAAATAAACTGCATTCCATTAGCAGTCACTCCTCACCCCCTCACACCAGTCCTAGGCAATCACTAATGTACTATCTCCATAGATTTGCCTCTTCTAGAATTTTTGTATACATGGAATTATACCACACATACTCTTTGTGACTAGTTTCTATTATTTATCATAATGCTTTCAAGGTTTATCCATGGGGTGTAGTACAACATTTCCTTTTATGGCATGCAATATTTTATTGCATGAATATATCACACTATTGTTATCCATTGATCATTTGATGCACATTTGGGTTGTTTCACTTTTTGGCTGTTATGAATAATGCTGCTATGAACATTTTTATACAAGTTTTTGTGTGCACATGTGTTAATTTACCTTGGGTGCATACCTAGGAGTAAAATTACTGGGTCATATGGTAACTACAGGTTTGACACTTTGAGGAACTATCAAACTTGTTCTCCAAAGTGGATACATAATTTTACATTTTAAAAAAGCTATTTTTAACACTCTTAAGACTGCATTTTGTGAAATTTTATTGTTTGGCAAAGGAGTAAATTAAACCTTAAATTCTGTTAGGTGCATTTGTCAACAATAAAAGCCACATAAGTTGAACAAGATTAAGGGTACTCTGTTACATTAGATTTAGTAAATATTTCACAAATTTTACCTTGAAAATATCTTTTTTAATGTTCCACAGGAGAACAAGCTAATTGTATACTCATGAGCAAAGAATTTGTCCCCTCTCTTGAACAGAGAGCATAGAATCAGGACTTCAGACAGAGAAAGGAAGGAGAAGACACCAGCGAAGCTTGCAGGTTGGCTAAATAAGCACTGTACATACGCAGCCTAATTGCTTGCAGCCCAATCACTTTCCATCCCCAGTGGGAGTGCATCCATCTCTTAGATATGCCCCAGGTGGGACCAAAAGCCTGTGATGTCAAGTGTGGCCTCCACGCTATGCAGCTATGCAGCAAAGATCTTTCATCAATATAAAAAACACGTAATTTCTCAATGGTCTTCAAAAAAAAGAAGCTAAAGATACACAGTCTTATATGTAGAAGTTCTCTTGCATATAGAGAATTCATTGCACCAAGAAGCAATACATGAGGGTGCTTACTATATCTTTATTCAAAGAGGAAAAATAACCTAAACACACTTTAAGAGGAGGAATAGTATTATGTAATAGTGTTATATGTGTGAATTAAAATGAATTAGACATAGAGATCACAAGTTGGGTAAATCTCAAATGCAGTATTGAATTATGAAAACATATAGCAACTTGTTCACTGATACATGTAAGATAATGCTAGTCATATGGTGCTTTAAAATTCCAAAATTTCTATTTTTTTCCAAATTTACGGAAAAAAAATGAGGGAATAGTAAGATGAAGAATACCCATACACTCTTCACCTAAAATAATTAATTGTTAACATTTTTTCACATTTGCTATTCCTGTTTCTTTACATGTGTGCACACGTTTCTGAACCATTTGAAAGTAATTTGTAAATTTTATATCATTTCATATCTAAATACAATATACTTCTGGATTACAAGGACATTTTTCTGCATAAGCACAATGTCACTATAACACACAAGAAAGTAAGAATTATTGACAAATGAAATAATAGTATATATTGTTCATGAAAGTATAATAACAAAAGAAGAAAATATTGTTGGTTTCAGAAACTCCCTCAAAATTTATTTCTCCAGGTTGGTAATAATAGAGGAAAACAAATGGAGTTAAGGAAGGACATAAAGGGGTCTTCTATGTTATCTGCAATACTGTTTCTTTGAGAAATTTTTTTTAAATGATATAGCAAAATGTTAACATTTGCTAAATCTGAATTAAGCATATATATTTATTTTTCTTAGATGTAATAGTATATGCTGAAATGTTTCTGTAAAACAAAAGAAAGAAGAGGCTATGAGTAATGGAATCTTACATTGCCTTGGATGAAATCATACCTAGTAACTGTAATATAAAAATTATAATTTTTTGTATATAAAATTGGTTTGACATTAGAATTTTATATGGTTCAACCTACTATATTTATATTGTTTTAATATAATTAAGCCAATATATGTTCTATTATATTGACTTAAAGTGATAATTTATGATATACATATACTACTATATTTATAAAACCATTACAAGGGAAGTTTATTGAGATACATAGACACATCAGTTGGCTTGATTCTCATGTTACATATACATGGAGACAGCTCCTGAAGATCCCACCATAATACAAAGGCAAGTGTGGGGCGGTCCACCTGCCAGGCCTGTGGGGAAGTTCCACTGGAACCACCTTAGACAGACAAAACTGGAGGTAGGTTTGTGAGTCCTTCATGGCCCTGCACTCTGGGGCAGCTCACAACAATCTGACAGATAGTGCTAGACTCCAAAAGAGGGACGCTGATTCTGAGTTATGAAACTTTTGAATTTTATAATTAGGGAAATTTGGGCACCCCCATCATATGATCAGGGGCTGTAATAAATAACAGTGGTGTGATGTGGTGGAAACTTGACTCCAGCCCTGCCCTGCCAGCTCAGCATTTGTGGGTCGGTGAGCTCTGGCATAAACAGGGACATTCTGACAATAACTAATTTCCATGGAGTTTTCTAGAAGACTAACTTCTTTTCTGGGGTGCCAACCTGTAAGGGAATTGTATTCAATAAATCATTTCCTGGCAAATACCAAAAAAGTATCATTTTTCTCTAAGAAACATTAATCTAGAAAGAACATATTCTCCACATGACAAAAATGTATCAATGGAGAAGGAAAAACAAAGAAATGTAATAATATAAGGTGGACTATAAACCCTATTATAGAACCATACAGTTTTCTCCTGGTATGTGTGACGGATTGGTTCCATGACCCCTGCCGATACCAAAATCCATAGATGCTCAAGTCCTTTACGTAAAATGCTGTAGTATTTGCATGTAACCTACGCACACCCTCTTGTGTACTTTAAATCATCTCTAGCTTATTTAAAATACCTAATGCTATGTAAATAGTTATTGCAGTTTTTTTAGGGAATAATGACAAGAAAATAAGTTCTGTACATATTCTGTACAGATGCAACCATCCTTTCTGAAAAATATTTTTTTTTATCCTTGGTTGGTTAAATCTGTGGATGTGGAACCCACAGATATGAAGGACCCTATTTATTTGTATTTAACCTATGCAGGGAGGTATATACTCTCCCTGCATACTTTGAATCACCTCTAGATTACTTATAATATCCAATACAATATAAATATTATATAAATAGTTGTGATACTGCATTATTTGTATTTGTATTTTACTTGTTTTATCGTTTTTTTTTTCCTCAAATATTTTTGATCCATGGTTGGTTGAAGCTGCATATGCACAGCCTGCAGATACGGAGTGCCCACCATACACGAAACATATGAATATGGGAGAATCTAGGAAATATAATGGGCAAAGCTTTGGAGGAGAGACAAGTCAGAAGATATAGATTAGAGCCTTAAATTTTCCTTGTTTATTTGATTGACTTCAGGCAAGCCACTAACATTTTTGGATCTCCTAATTTTTATCTAAAACTTGATTTAGAAGTAAATATCTATATTTCATATAAAAATAGAATGACCATGGAATTGTCATTCAATTGTTGGCTATCTCTTGGAGTTCTGAGTATTAAATAACCAATTAATTTATGTCTGGCAAGGAGAAGAGTCTTTCTGATTTGAGTCTTTCTGATTTGGGGCCAAGAATCCCCATTTAAAAAATAAATTCAAGTATTATTTTTGTTTTTTTAAATCATTAACTCACTCATAATCTTTTAAGACTATTTTGGTATACCTTAGATATTGTAGGTATAGCATACCTTATATACCCATACCTATATATATATAATATACTTATCTGGAGTATATTATACCCTGGTATAGAATTCCCTAGATTTTGTAGATTTTTTATAATCAGCAGGGAAAGGGTGTCATTTAAATATTTTTACTTCTAGATCCCATTCTCATCTTCATTTTTATTATTTCTTATATTCTACTCTATAATCTTTTGTGTTAAGAAATTAGCAATAGATAATTTATAGAGTGGTCTCAAGTTTTGCTTTTTGTTTTTAGGTTTTAAGCAATGCTTCTAGGTAGATTTTCAATAGTTAATCAGAGTTTTATCTGGCTGTTTATTCATTTTGTAGCTTTGTGATATTAAAAACTGCTGCCTGTGAACAATCAACATCGGACTTGTTTTTTTAAGGAACGAACTAAGGTATGTGGTTTTGTAAGACTCCCTAAACATCTTGTCCCAGTGCTTAAACGATTCAGGTGGGGAGCCTGCAGATTAGTCTGGATAAAAACTGCTCTCAATTTAGCATTTTCATTAATTTATGTCTTACTCATCCATTCCCCCAAACTTGTTATTCCACTAATCTTTTATGGTATAATTAGAAAAGTAAGAATATAAAAATGACTAACATTTTATAGTACTCTTAACATTTTCATATATAATCTCATTTGATCTGGTTAACAAACCTAGCAGTAGATATTTTAAAAAAATGGAACTCAGGAAAGTCATGAGATTTGCCCAAGAACTTATAGCTCATAAATGATGAAGTTGTGAGTGGAATTCTGACCTTTAGATTCTGAATTTTGTGACAGGATAACTTTAGCTCTTAAAACAGGTAATAGGATTGTATTTCATGTCATTGACTGCCTCTTCATTCCCTGAAGCCCTATTCTGGAAATGAAATTGTAAAGACTGTGTATGTGAGTGCTCTCCTTTAGTGTGAATGGGGAAAAGCCCCGCTAAGGCTCCTCCAGGCTTTTGTCTCACACCCCCTTTAATCCAGCTTTAGTAACACTCCAAGCCACACACTGTATTTCTACAGTAAGTGTAGGCCCCTCCCCAGATATTACTAAAGACCCCTCAGGAGTCTAAGTGGAAAGTACGATAATGCCTACAACAATTATTAATGCATATAATAAATGTTTGACAAATGTTAAATATCATCACTGTCCCTCTCACTTCACTCTTCTCTGTATGTCACCTCTTCTCTTCATGTATCACTTCAGGGTGCTGCACTTCTCCCAAGCTGACTGTGACCCAGAGAGCTAAATCATGCCCTTACCTTTCATTCCTCAATGCACACCTAACACAGGCTACAGTGTTTAACAGATGTGATTAAGGCTTTCATATAGTACAAGAAGAGTAAAGTGTAGTGAGGGAAACTTAAACTTGAATTTTTTTTTTTTTTTTTTTTTTTTAGAATATTACCCTAACTAGCATTCCCTTCTCTACCGCATTATCTGCGTGGGGATGTTATCTTTGGCCTGGTGCCTGGTTGTTAACATTTCCCCATCTCTCCCAGTCAGCATCCCTTATCCGCTGCCCTCTGTCTCTCAAATTTCAGATTGCAGACTGCAGTTTCTGACCCCAAGTTGAAGCCAAAAGCAAATTCATTATCAGCCCTTCATTCAAGGAATTTCACATAATTGTGCAGTCTTTAACTTGTAACTGTCAAAAATGTTGCTTTTCTTGAATACATACTATTACACTTTACTACAACCAACCAAGTAAACTCCTGATGTTTTTGAAAATAAGAAAGCTCCGAAATCCAAAAGCAAATTTAATCTGTCAATTCTACCAGCAGAAACACTAACAGAAGCTTTTATTTTTCACCTCCTTCTTCTTCCTCCTCTTCTTATTTTTCCTCTCCTTTCCCTCCTTCTTCTTGTTTCAGGCATGAAAAATTACAGATCTATTTTTGCGACAGGATTTACCCTCAAACCTCCACCTCTACCCTACCTGATGTTGCTGCGAACAGATATTTTTCCAAAAAAACATAGGTAGCCTCATTTGGGCACAGAGACACTGTGGCATCAGATAATATTACTAACTTTCCCAGATCCAGAGCCAAGGTCCCAGCTTTCCCTAATTACAATCAACCTTTAAGCAAGGCTTATAGAAAGAAAGCAAGAATTAGAATCTGAGAGTGAGTTTTCCTGAATCTTGTGCTGATAAGGTATAATTTGTCAATGAAATTTCTGTACTAGTCTGATTATTTCTATGTGAGGGAAGATGTAATCATAGTGTCATTCTGCTTCTATTTGCCCATTTTCTTGCCCCTGTAGCCTTTGAACTAAAATGACTTTTTTATTCTTATAAATTAAAAACATTCATGTAAACTGATCTCTTCCTAGATCTACTTCTTCTTCTGTCACTGGATCTGTGTCTCAGATAAAAATGTTTAGAGAAATAAAAATGTTTAGAGAAATTGGAAAAAAATTAAAAACCTTTATTTCATCAAAGACACTAAACAGGGTTAAGCAAAATAACATGAGCCTTGCAAATATAGGAATTTTTAAGGTCATCCTTGAACTCAAGGCCTTATTCTAAATAATCAAAGGAAAGACTTCTAGGTGACCTTTTACACAATCTCAGACAACCCTATGCTGTGTAAATAAGGAAAGTAAGGTCTTCTCTAAAGACAAGTGACAGAAACTATTTTGGAACCCTGGTCTCTGTTATGGGCCACCAGAGATGCCAGCATTTCATATTCTTCTACCTACCTACCAAGGCAGTTAAGATGCTCTATTTATTAATTTTTATTACATAAATGATAGCCTACAAAGTAAGTCTTTATTTTTAATGACCTTCCCCAAACACTGAGTCTCATAGATTTAAGTAATTTAAAAAAGCTTTTGAAAGGAGAATATCAACAGTTAATAAATACTTCCTTAAAAATGCACCCACATTTCTCTTTGTATAGTTGAACATTGTTGTATGACATTGTGACACTCATCTAATTCTCCTCTATAAAGTGTTCTTTTCTCTCCCAATAGCAGAGGAAAATGTTTTTGCTCCAAAAGAAGAAACAATATTTGTCCAACCCTGCACCCTCAGCCCTACCTACCTATGAACAAGGGCAAGACTGTCTTTAAACAAGACCTGGAACATCAAACAAACCTGATTTCCTATCTCATCTCAAACCTATTATAAATTTAACATTTTGATTTCTTAATTGTAACAGTACAGGGTTGTACTTTAGGAATCTCTGTATGTAATATTAAGAGACAATTTACTCAGGTGATAGCATTTAAATCTGCATACACCCAGTACTATCCACTCTACTTTTCATTAAATGTGCATTAACCTAAAACTACCCTAGACTGTAAAAGTATGAGGATTGTGATAACATACCATTAAAGTGACAGTAAATCAACAGAAACATAACATTAGATTTTTCAGTTCAGTTGCTTTGCAGACTATAAATGTGAACTATTCTTTCATGAAGTTATAGGAATTTTCAGTGAACACAACTGACCTCTCTGGGGGTCTGCCCTTGAATTAGGGAAATTAAAGAAAATTTAGATACAGAGGTAACCATATTTTCATAATGAAAATTAAAGCTGGAAAAATATCTAATTACAGTTACTAATTTGCAGCAATATTATTTCCTACTGCAATGCACTAAAATGTATCCGTGAGAAGCTAATGAAGTCATTTATTGACGCGGCCTTCCTTTAAGGCTACTCTGGCTTGTTTACTGTTTCCAAATGCTGCAGTGTTGTTGTGGTTTAAAAATATTTTAAAAAGGGAAAACTGTAATTACCATAATTGATTATCTAGCTATAATAGTTTCTACTCCAAAACTTCCTCACAAAGCAACATTGATAAATTTTAAAGACCTGTTTTTTCTTATCTGATTTATATAATTTATATTATTCTAAAAATTTTAGTATGCAAGTCATATATATACAATTTAATTAAAAAGTAAAAAATATTATTCACCTTAATACAATCACTGTTTTCATTTTAATGTATTTGTTTCTCATGCATTACTTATATTTGTACAACATTTTAACCTCTGCATGGCCTTATAGAATTTTGACTTCATTGCATATTCAGCCTTCTGATGAGAAATCCTAAGTTAAACATAGTGACAGAGAAATACTTTCTTTGGTTCTCCTGTGGTGTCTTGGAGGAGACAGAATATCTCTGATATTGTGGAAGCTAGACAATTAAGGAAAACTTTACAGTGAGAGACACCAAAACTCATATGCTGGTGAATTCCATGAACTATTTCATTTAGCAATAATGGCAATAATAAAACACATTTTTGCAGCTCTCTAGAACTTACAGTGGTCCTGTAGAAACCTTTCCAGTTCATTAATACAAAATCCCAATAATGTACTAACTGTCAATGATATACTTTGTAAGTGGAAAAAGTAGTCTCCTATCTTCACATGATTTAACCCCAGGAATAGATTGGGGAATTAGCAGCACCAAGCTAGAAGTTAGTATCTTCTCGCTTTCTTTTCTCCACAAATTCTACACTCCAAGAGTTCATGGTGTGAACACAGGATGTTCCCCTCCACCTGTATGTTTCTGGTCCATGATTTTTATTTAGTACTTTTTTTCCCCTCCCAGCACATGCAAACATACTTTTTTGTGTATCTACTTAAGCACTATGGACTTTAGTTCCAATCTTTATTATGTGATTTGGAAAGACAGTCCTGGAGTCTCCGATATATATGGCTTCTCGCAGCTACTTAAAAGTGAATTTAAAAACCCACCTCTCTGCAATCTTTCCAGTATCTGGCATCTAGAAGTTCATTTCAGAAAAATAATGTAATAATATCCCAAGTTGACTGAGACAAAAACTGTAAGATTGAATCCCATCAAATGTGCAGTTGAAATCCAATATTGAGCTGACTGACTCTAAAATTTTTTTTTAATTGTACTTCTTTTGATTAAAAGACAGCAGGGAATAAAATACCTAGTATACAGTAATACAGTGATATAGCACATCAGCGACTTTCTCTGAAAAATTTTCATTCTAACAATCAAATAATATATTTTATTTTTCTTGTTTCTTTTCTTTTTTTCTTTTTTCTTTTATTTGACAGAGTCTTGCCCAGGCTGGAGTGCAGTGGTGTGATCTTGACTCACTGCAGCCTCAGCCTCCCAGGTTCAAACGATTCTCCTGCCTCAACCTCCAGAGTAGCTGGGACTACAGGTGCATGCCACCACGCCTGGCTAATTTTTTGTGTCTTTGTAGAGACGGGGTTTCACTATGTTGCCCAGGCTGGTCTTGAACTCTTGAGCTCAGGCAATTTGCCTGCCTCGGCCTCCCAAAGTGCTGGGATTACAGGCATGAGCCACCGCTCCAGGTAAGAACAGATTTTAATGCCAGACTAACTATTTCTCATGTAGTAACTGATCAAATCACAAACAATGTGCTTACATAAGTTATTTTAGTTTCAAAATCAAACTTTGGGCCGGGCGCGGTGGCTCACGCCTGTAATCCCAGCACTTTGGGAGGAGGCCAAGGTGGGCGAATCACGAGGTCAGGAGATCGTAGCCATCCTGGCTAGCACGGTGAAACCCGTCTCTACTAAAAATACAAAAAGAAATTAGTCAGGCGTGGTGGTGGGCGCCTGTAGTCCCAGCTACTCGGGAGGCTGAGGCAGGAGAATGGCGTGAACCTGGGAGGTGGAGCTTGCAGTGTGTCGAGATCGTGCCACTGCGGTCCAGCCTGGGCGACAGAGCGAGACTCCATCTCAAAAAACAAACAAAAAAAATCAAACTTTGACACAATACCAAAGTAGTAAACCATAAATAACAGTTGAATATAGTAAGTTTTCTTATGGAAGGGCTGAAGGCTAAAAAATACGTGAGAAGCAGCTATAAAGCTCTACAAAAATCTGGCTTATGTTGGCTTCCAAAAATCACTCGCTTTAAATCCCTTATCTTCTGATAAGTAGCTGTGTAGCCTTGGGCGAATTACGGTTTCCATTATAGCATCCTTATCTGTAAGTAAGATTACCTCCTCAGTGACCTATCTCATTGCAATGGAGGAAAAAAAAAAAAAAGGAAATATGTATGCCAAAATATTTAGAAGGTATTTTTCTCCTTCCATTTCGCACTTTATTAACTTTAAAATTACATATTAATCATCAATCTTAACCATATGCTCTATTTATTATGAAACACCTTAATCTGCCCATATCAGAATCCATATATTTAATATAAGTCATTGAATGACAGGACATCCCAGTTATCAAGGTTTAAAATTTAAAAATATATTTAAATAAATAATATAAATGGTGTACTCACTGCTCCTTTTGCCGAATAACATTTCCCCACTTTTCTAGAAAAATCAGCCTTTTTATGTATCCTTCTTCATAATATTGATTTACCCAGAATGCATTTCCTCTTCTCTTGCTCCAAATAAAGCCCTGCTCATCTTTGAAGCCCCCCGGCCCTCAGTCATCTATCTATCTCTTTCAATTCTAGGTGCATATATTGTCTTACTACACCATTTAAATCCCTTCTGTTGCCCTCAAATTATTTGATGTGGGTTAGATTTGTCTCCCCCTTCTATGTTTACTGAGGAGCAATGATTTATATTGCACACAGCGTTGGGTGCACTGGTGGTGGAGTTACACAGACATTAGTCAGAATTGGTACTTACTATTATATGGCCTCGGACAGGTTATTCACTTAGTTTTATTTTCCTTATCTTTAAAATGTCAAATTGTTATTGTGAGTACTAAAAAGTACACAATGCATTTATATAGGGTCTAGCATGTAGTGAGCTCTCAAAAAATGGAAATTGCAATATTTATTAAAGTTAATACAGTTCCCTTCCTCTTCCATATCTACCACAGTACTTGCCACATGATTTGTGATCCATACATACCTGTTGTTTAAATAACCGCTTTACTAACTATAATGATGAGGTCAATAGTAATGGACATGTTTTAAATTCTTTGTGATATACCAAATTTTTACTCAACAGAATTATGATTGATATTGGTGATATGGTTCACTGCACTACCAAATCTCAATACCACAAATTGCATCCTAATATTTCCGGGTCCCAAAACGCTAATCATTTTTATTGATATTGGCTCTCTGACATAGTCGAATGTCCCGAACAAACTCAGAAAGCCAGAAAGAGAACTAAAATAAGTATCAAAATCTAGAGATAAGAGAGCTAATGGCTGCTTTAGTGCCTTCCTGAATTTCCCCCTATTGTGCTATGGATACTTTAAATATAAGTATTTAAATACTTTATGCTTTGAACATGCATTTTCTCCAAGTGCCAAAAGCCAGAAGTTATCATAATATTCTGTTTAATAAAGAATATCGACATCCTTAAATGACCTTCTGAGATAAAGAATAAATCTAAAACATTACCAATGTAGCAAAATCATAATTACCACTGGGTTATCAAAAGATTTAATGGTAAATTTTTAAATGTTCACAATTATGGTGGAGGAGCTTCACTCCTGGAGCTTCACATCCAGATGTCAGCATCTGGATTGCTGCTGCAGTTAGTGTATTGCACATTGACAACAGAAAATAGATGTTCACTTTCAATGAAATCAATGAAGAAGCAAGATATTTGGAAGTAACTCATTTATTCACTAACACTACATTAGTTTCTTTGTTCCCTGTATAATCATTTTAAAAATCTGTATCAAAATGATTTGCCATTGATATTATTTTTATATTTTTTCTTATGAAATTTTGAGTTTGCAGAGTTGTCATTCCACTATTATTTTATCTTCACAATAAGCAAGACATTACAAAAGAAGTTCTTTACTAGAAAGATTTGGGATAGATGGAATTAAATATATAAGCATCACATAGAGTTCTTATTTGGTTTAATGTATAAATTTAATTGTACAAAAAAACTACAAAGATTGGCATTGATATTTTAATGTATTAAATATTATTTTAATGTATTAATGTAAATATTTCATTCTGTATTAAATTATTATTTAGTTTTATAATCATTAGTTGTTCAAATAAGAGCTATCTTCTTCTTAATGTTATCCAGCTGATGCTCTCCTATTGTCAATCTATTTCCTGTACATTTAAACATTTGAGTGTTCTCAGTTTATGCCAATATACAGAGCATTTTCAGAATTATTAATTAGTGCTATATTTGATGATTACAATAAAAACTATGCATACATACTTACCCTGAGTAATAGAATTTTACCATATAATGCACATTAAGGTTTAATACAAGGTACAACAAGAATGCTGAACTATATTTGAAAGTAGATACTCATAAATGCAAATATTAATAATAAATCCCAGTGACATACTTTGTATAAACTGCTGACATTGTCATGATGCTTATATATGATAATAACCAATGTAGTCATGTGATTATTGATTGTGCAAAGTTCAAGAATTTCAGAATTGAAATTTAAATGAGCCTTGGACTTTCCAAAACTCAAAGATGATACCTAATACCAGATTTTGGCTGAAAATTTAACATTCATGTATTATTCATATACTTTATGCATATATATATATATATGCACAAATGTCTATATAATAGATGCACATCACTGAACATAAACCATACGATATATACAGCTTTATATCTTTTTTTAGTTACCATATTATATTTTATTGGTTTATTAAGTATTATTTTAAGAATTGTACAATATTCCAATATCCACCTATTTCAAATTTATTAACAATTCCCTTATTACTGAACTTCTCCAAAATTTCTTATTGTTAACACATATTACTTTAACATTTAAAAAGACAAAAATATTTTTAAAAACCATATTAACAAAACATGAACTCAGATATTTACTAAAGCCAAAACTTTACATCTAAAAGTTAAACGATTAATTGAATTAAGAAAAAAACTTTAAAAACTTACATATGTGTGTGTATGTGTATAGTCACCATAGAGGGTGAATAAAACAGAGAAGTTTAGTATCAATTCTGTTTTCAGTTCTTAATCCTTTTTTCATATTGCCACCTTAAAATTCTGATTTAAAAAATCTTTACAGTTAGTGCTGATATTAACATTTGCTATTTATTTACTCACAAACATAAAGATTTATTTGCTGAGCGAATATTTATTTGAGAACCTATTATGTCCCAAGTCTTCTTCTGGGTGTTGGGGGTATAACTGTGAACAAAACAGAAAAAAACCTTCTCTCATGAATTTCAAGTTCAGTCATTAACATGTGAAGCAAGATCTTAAGGAAATAATGGAACAAGCCATGTGGTTATCTAAAGGAATGGTAGTGTAGGGAGCAACAGATGCAAAAGCCCTGAGGCATGCCAGGAATTTTTTAACAAGTGACCCAGTGTGGCTGGAGCCGTGTGAGTGAGGAGAAGAGCAGTAGAAGAGAGAAACAGGAGATCATATAATTGTCAATTACTTGAAGGCTTATCAGAAACATTCACTAAAGTTTACAAATTTTATTTTATTTAAATATTTCCAATTTACACAAGAAAGAAACTCCTAAAATTTCAAGAATATATGTAAAATACCAAGGTCATTTGATAAGTAAGTAGCCTGAAAATAGGAGCAAAGACACCACCTTATTGTTACAGAGCAGGGATGGTAGACAAGGCTCTGCCCACTGCCTTCATTCCTACAGTAGAAGGGGAGGGAAGAGCATTTTTTCATGGTGATTGTATGAAATAGAAAAAGGGATGGTGAACATGCTTCTGTCCTTCTGGGGCACCTTTCTCTGGTACGTTGTCTAGAGAGAATGCTTTTCATGGGGTTTTATTTATCCACACACATTAGCTTTTCTGGATTTTTAGGCTTCTCTAGCACCTAGACTTGGATATATAGAAAGGAAGACAACTTCAGGGGTACTCACCAGAGTGATATTCTTCAAGTTTCAGTGTCCCTAATCCACTTGGCTTCTTCCTTCTTTCAGATTCTTTGTTTGTTGCCTTATAAATTTTATGTAGGGTTTTTTTGTGTTGTAGATATTGGGAGAATTAGGGTCAAATGCATTTGCTCCATCTGGTTTGGACACAAATGCTTCCTTTAAAACTAAGATATAAAGTAAATTTAATTGAAAAGAGTAGTCTTTTCAACAGGGAATATTGATATCTATATGCAAAGGAAATCATCTTTGATTTGAATCTCACATCAGATGCAAAAATGCATCTGATGTGAGATCTAAATGGAAAACTATAAAATCATGAAACTTTTAAAGAAAAGGTAGGAGAAAATCTTCACGAACTAAGCTTAGACAAAGTGTTTAGACATAACACTAAAGCAAGATCCACAAAAGAAACAACTGATAAGTCTAACTTAATCAAAATTAAAATAGTTTTGCTCTATAAAATCACTATTAGTTGAATGAAAAACAAGCTACAGACTAGTAGAAAATACTTGTGGATCACTATTTAACAAAGGCCTTATAAACAGGACATATAAAGAGCTTTCCAAATTTAAAAGTAAGAAAATAAACTACCCTAAAGAATAGAAGACTTGAAGAGACTGCCAAAGAGAATGTACAGACAAAAAATGAGCACCTTTGAAAAAATGTTCAACATCTTTAGCCATTAGAAATATGAATATTAAAACCACAATGTGCAATTACTACACATATATCAAAATACAAAATTAAAAGCAATAATGATAGCACTGTGTTTGGATTAAGATGTGAACTAATGGGATCACTCACATATTGCTGGTGGGAATGTAAAATGGCACCATTCTAGAAAATAATGTTATAGCTTCTTACAAACTAAATATGCTCTTAGCAGTTGAACTTTTGGTCATTTATTTCAGAGATATAAAAACTCATGTTAAAACAAATGCTGATAGCATCTTTATTCATAATAGGCCAAAACAAAAAAAAACCATTTGTTTTGTAATGAATAGTTAAACAATCTGTTGTACAAACATATCATAGAAAAATACTCAGCCATAATGAGGAAAGAACTATTGATACACAGAACTACCTGGATGGATCTCAGGGAACTAAATGAAAATAAAAACAATCTCAAAATTTTACATACAAAATTAATGCATTTATATTACATTCTTGAAATGAAAAAATACAAAGATTATAGAGAGATTAGTGTTTGCCAGGGATTAGAGCGCACAGGAGGAAAGAATGTAACTGTGGCTCTAGAAGGGTAACTACTATCAGTATTTTGCTAAAAGAGTGTGTCTCTCTTTAAATCAATTAGACATTTTCATAGTTCTGAAGAGCTGGATTTTTGTGAATTTTCTCTAACAAAACTGCTATGTAAAGGAGGTTACACTTTATTCTGAAACATAAAATTAAATCAAAAGGATTCCCAATGGCTACCTATAAAGATTGTATTGCTGTAATAACTAAGCTAAACAGAAACTACATTTCTGAGAATTCCATTCCCTTTGTGGTAGAACTGACCATGAAAGAAACTACATGACATTTAGAAAGGGAAAGTGAAGCAGCCTCCACGTTTATACTTCAAAGGTCAGTGTAGTGTAAGGCTCTGTTGTAGGTCAAGTACATTATCTGAGATTTTCTGAAAGAGTGACCAACCTTTCTGGTTCAGTTGAGACTGTACCGTTTTAGTACTGAAAGTCCCTCATCTCAGGAAACTCCTCAGTTCCAAGTAAATCAATACAATTATTTACCTATGTTCTCCACAATTTCAAGGCCATCTTTTCTTTAGTATTGACTGTCCTGCTACCTGCACAGCTGCCTACACAAGCCCAGCAACATACAGGCCCGACAACAAACTTGGAAGCAATTATAGTAAAGTGCCTAATCAATCCCACACTGTATTATGTCAAATTCCTATAATAAACCCTTTACTCCGTATCACTTATCTTCTCTGCTCAAACAACAACTAATACTTCAATGGTTTTGTTTACTGTCATCATCTTGAGGACAAACATGGATAGTTATTTTAGCAGTAATAATAATTACTCCTTACATTGGTATAATATTGTATATTTACTAATTACTTACAAGCACATTAATCTATTTGTTGTAATAATTGGAAAGAAAGCAGAATTGATTTTAATATATCCATTATTTATAAGCATGTGGAATATAGCCTTGCTTTTTTTGTTTTTAATAATTTCTCCTCTCTAGAAGGTAATTAACATAGCCATTTACCCAGACATTTAGAATATATCATCTCTTCTAGCATATTTTAAGAAGTCAGTGTGTGCAAAATATACAGAGGTAATCAAGTTATGGATAATCAACTTATGTTAAAGAGTACAGCTTCTGGCTTAGCAGTTAATTTCTTCATTCCAGCTTACATGAATCCCAATCCAAGTTGACTAGTAAGTTTAAGTACCCAAGTAAAAGTTGTGTTTTTTTTAATTGAGTCTGACTATGAGTCAATAGACTCACAGGATTCATATGTTTGCATTAAATGTTTTTTCTTAGGCATTTACAGGACATCTAACTGGGATTTCTATTATACATTTTTATAACGCTTAACTAACAGTACTATTCAATTTCACTTTTTTTCTTTTTGGTTCCTCCTTTGACCTGGACTGTGTTTCTAGATATCACTGCCTAGGTCAAATTGCATCAACCTCCTTAAACTCAAGCTCTCTCCCATGAGTTCTACAGTTTATCTTATGATGTCTGTCTTTTCCCATATACACACTAGTGATTTTTGGTCTCAGTTCACATACGCTTTACTTAAAGCCAGAATAAAGAAGAAATATTATGTGCTTGTTTCAACAGATATAGAAAATAATTTGATAAATATATATTTTAAAAAAACTTTCCTTAAAAAGAAATTTTCTCTCTGGAATTAGATTTAGAAAAGGAAGATAGCTATTTCTGTTTCATACTGTATTAGAGGTTATTAGCCAAACCAAAGAGGTAAAAGTAACAAGAAAAAAAAGACATAAGACTATGATTATTTGCAGGCTATATAATTATGATTACCTCCATAAAGCTATCAAAGTTATCAAAAAACAACAAACTATTTGAAGCAAAAAGTAAACTTAGCAATGTTAATAGGTGTAAAGTAACTGAGCAAAATCAGTTATATTTCTATATAACATCAACATAAACTTAAAAATAAAACTTGAGAAAAGTATTATTTATGAATATTATAAAAAACATTAAATGCATTAAATTAAATTAAACATTAAATTTTACAAAATGATCAACTGAAAAATATAAAATGTTATTCACAGAAATTAAAGAATACCTTCAGTAGACAAACATACTATTTTTATGGATTAGAAGACTCAATATCTTGAAGATGTTAATCATTCTCAAATGGGTCCATAAATTGAATGCAATGAAAATCATAGAAAGTTTTGTATCACGTCTGTGTGTTTGTGTGTGTGGGTGTGTGTACACATATGTTTGAGTATAGAAATAAGCAAACAGATTATGAAATTTTTATGCCTCCAGCTCCATCCATGTTCCTGCAAAGAATATGATCTTGGTTTTTCCTTTTTTTGACTGCATAGTATTCCATTCTGTATTTGTAGTACATTTAATTCTACCATTAATGGGCATTTAGGTTGATTCTGTGTCTTTGCTATTGTGAATAATGAACCTAAATGTACATATGTCTTTTTGGTAGAATGATTTATATTACTTTGGGTATATACCCAGTAATCGGATTGCTGGGTTGAATGGTAGTTCTGTTTTTAGGTCTTTGATGAATCACCACACTGATTTCCACAATGTTGACCTAATTTGAACTCCCACCAACAGTGTATAAGCATTTCTTTTTCTCTGTCACCTTGCCCACCTGTGCTATTTTTTGACTTTCTAATAATAGCCATTCTGACTCGTGTGAGATGGTATCCTATTGTGGTTTTGATTTGCATTTTTCTAATGATCAGTAATGTTGAGGTTTTCTTCATATGCTTTATTGGCCACATGCATGTCTTCTTTAGAAAATGTCTGTTCATATCCTTTGCCCACTTGTTAATGGTGTTTTTTTCTTGTAAATTTGTTCAACTTCCTCATAAACACTGGATATGATATATTTGTCAGAGGCATAGTTTTCAAATATTTTCTCTCATTCTGTAAGTTGTCTGTTAATAGTTCATTTTAATGTGCAGAACTCTTAAGTTTAATTTGATTCTATTTGTAAGTTTTTGTTTTGTTGCAATTGCTTTTGGTGTTTTCTTAATGAAATCTTTGCATGTGTCCATGTCCTGAATAGTATTGCCTACGTTGTCAATCAAAGTTTTGATAGTTTTCGGTTTTACCTTGGAGCCTTTAATCCATCTTGAGTTGATTTTTGTATACGATGTGAGGAAGGAGTCCAGTTTCAATCTTCTGCATATGGCTAGCCAGTTACAACAGCTTTATTTATTTAATAGGGATTCATTTCCCCATTGCTTGTTTTTCTCAGCTTTGTCAAAGATCAGGTGGTCAAAAGTGTGTGGCCTTATTTCTGGGTACCCTATTCTGTTCCATTGGCCTATGTGTCTGTTTTTGTACCAGTACCATGATGTTTTGGTTACTGTAGCCCTATAGTATAGTTTGAAGACAGATAGCATGATGCCTCCAACTTTGTTCTTTTTAATTAGCATTGCCTTGGCTACTTGGGCTCTTTTTTGGTTCTTTTTTTTTCTTTTTTGGTTCTTTTTTTTTCTTTTTTTTTATAGCCCAGAGGTCCTTTATTTATTTTTTTAACACCTATTTTTTTCTAGTTTTTTATTTATTATTATTATACTTTAAGTTTTAGGGTACATGTGCACAATGTGCAGGTTAGTTACATATGTATACATGTGCCATGCTGGTGCGCTGCACCCACCAACTCGTCATCTAGCATTAGGTATATCTCCCAGTGCTATCCCTCCCCGCTCTCCCCACCCCACAACAGACCCCAGAGTGTGATGTTCCCCTTCCTGTGTCCATGTGTTCCCATTGCTCAGTTCCCACCTATGAGTGAGAATATGCGGTGTTTGGTTTTTTGTTCTTGCAATAGTTTACTGAGAATGATGATTTCCAACTTCATCCATGTCCCTACAAAGGACATGAACTCATCATTTTTTATGGCTGCATAGTATTCCATGGTGTATATGTGCCACATTTTCTTAATCCAGTCTATCATTGTTGGACATTTGGGTTGGTTCCAAGTCTTTGCTATTGTGAATAGTGCCACAATAAACATACATGTGCATGTGTCTTTATAGCAGCATGATTTATAGTCCTTTGGGTATATACCCAGTAATGGGATGGCTGGGTCAAATGGTATTTCTAGTTCTAGATCCCTGAGGAATCGCCACACTGACTTCCACAATGGTTAAACTAGTTTACAGTCCCACCAACAGTGTAAAAGTGTTCCTATTTCACCACATCCTCTCCAGCACCTGTTGTTTCCTGACTTTTTAATGATTGCCATTCTAACTGGTGTGAGATGGTATCTCATTGTGGTTTTGATTTGCATTTCTCTGATGGCCAGTGATGATGAGCATTTTTTCATGTGTTTTTTGGCTGCATAAATGTCTTCTTTTGAGAAGTGTCTGTTCATGTCCTTCGCCCAATTTTTGATGGAGTTGTTTGTTTTTTTCTTGTAAATTTGTTTGAGTTCATTGTAGATTCTGGATATTAGCCCTTTGTCAGATGAGTAGGTTGTGAAAATGTTCTCCCATTTTGTAGGTTGCCTGTTCATTCTGATGGTAGTTTCTTTTGCTGTGCAGAAGCTCTTTAGTTTAATTAGATCCCATTTGTCAATTTTGGCTTTGGTTGCCATTGCTTTTGGTGTTTTAGACATGAAGTCCTTGCCCATGCCTATGTCCTGAATGGTAATGCCTAGGTTTTCTTCTAGGGTTTTTATGGTTTTAGGTCTAACGTTTAAGTCTTTAATCCATCTTGAATTGATTTTTGTATAAGGTGTAAGGAAGGGATCCAGTTTCAGCTTTCTACATATGGCTAGCCAGTTTTCCCAGCACCATTTATTAAATAGGGAATCCTTTCCCCATTGCTTGTTTTTCTCAGGTTTGTCAAAGATCAGATAATTGTAGATATGCAGCGTTATTTCTGAGGGCTCTGTTCTGTGCCATTGATCTATATCTCTGTTTTGGTACCAGTACCATGCTGTTTTGGTTACTGCAGCCTTGTAGTATAGTTTGAAGTCAGGTAGCATGATGCCTCCAGCTTTGTTCTTTTGGCTTAGGATTGACTTGGTGATGTGGGCTCTTTTTTGGTTCCATATGAACTTTAAAGTAGTTTTTTCCAATTCTGTGAAGAAAGTCATTGGTAGCTTGATGGAGATGGCATTGAATCTATATATTACCTTGGGCAGTATGGCCATTTTCACGATATTGATTCTTCCTACCCATGGGCATGGAATGTTCTTCCATTTGTTTGTATCCTCTTTTATTTCCTTGAGCAGTGGTTTGTAGTTCTCCTTGAAGAGGTCCTTCACATCCCTTGTAAGTTGGATTCCTAGGTATTTTATTCTCTTTGAAGCAATTGTGAATGGGAGTTCACTCATGATTTGGCTCTCTGTTTGTCTGTTATTGGTGTATAAGAATGCTTATGATTTTTGTACATTGATTTTGTATCCTGAGACTTTGCTGAAGTTGCTTATCAGCTTAAGGAGATTTTGGGCTGAGACAATGGGGTTTTCTAGATATACAATCATGTCGTCTGCAAACAGGGACAATTTGACTTCCTCTTCCTCTTTTCCTAATTGAATACCCTTTATTTCCTTCTCCTGCCTAATTGCCCTGGCCAGAACTTCCAACACTATGTTGAATAGGAGTGATGAGAGAGGGCATCCCTGTCTTGTGCCAGTTTTCAAAGGGAATGCTTCCAGTTTTTGCCCATTCAGTATGATATCAAATAACTAAAATCAGAGCAGAACTGAAGGAAATAGAGACACAAAAAACCCTTCAAAAAATTAATGAATCCAGGAGCTGGTTTTTTGAAAGGATCAACAAAATTGATAGAGCACTAGCAAGACTAATAAAGAAAAAAAGAGAGAAGAATCAAATAGATGCAATAAAAAATGATAAAGGGGATATCACCACCAATCCCACAGAAATACAAACTACCATCAGAGAATACTACAAACACCTCTACACAAATAAACTAGAACATCTAGAAGAAATGGATAAATTCCTCAACACATACACTCTCCCAAGACTAAACCAGGAAGAAGATGAATCTCTGAATAGACCAATAACAGGAGCTGAAGTTGTGGCAATAATCAATAGCTTACCAACCAAAAAGAGTCCAGGACCAGATGGATTCACAGCCGAATTCTACCAGAGGTACAAGGAGGAACTGGTACCATTCCTTCTGAAACTATTCCAATCAATAGAAAAAGAGGGTATCCTCCCTAACTCATTTGATGAGACCAGCATCATCCTGATACCAAAGCCGGGCAGAGACACAACCAACAAAGAGAATTTTAGACCAATGTCCTTGATGAACATTGATGCAAAAATCCTCAATAAAATACTGGCAAACCAAATCCAGCAGCACATCAAAAAGCTTATCCACCATGATCAAGTGGGCTTCATCCCTGGGATGCAAGGCTGGTTCAATATATGCAAATCAGTAAATGTAATCCAGCATATAAACAGAATCAAAGACAAAAACCACATGATTATCTCAATAGATGCAGAAAAGTCCTTTGACAAAATTCAACAACCCTTCATCCTAAAAACTCTCAATAAATTAGGTTTTTTAACACCTATTATGCCATGAATTCATAGGGAATAAGTTCCAGCAGCTCAGGCTCCTTCCCATTGGTTCTCACAAAGTGTGCTTCTCTGGGTGGAGCAGGCTGGAACTTTAGTTGAACCCAGGTACCTTTCTCTTTGGCTTCTTTCTTTTTCTGATCATTTTCCTTCATGCATTTCAGGAAGCTATCTCGGCTCTTAGAGTGCTAAATGTGCTCAATACGCACATTAATTCTCTTGGCAAGAATCTTGCCCTTAACTTGTTTGTTTACAACAATGCCAACAGCATGCTGGGTAACATTGTAGACTCTTCCAGTTTTGCCATGGTAACACTTGTGGGGCATTCCTTTTTGAACAGTACCCATTCCCTTGATGTCTACAATATCACCTTTCTTATAGATTCGCATATACGTCGCCAAAGGAACAGCTCCATGTTTTCTAAAAGGCCTAGAGAACATATATCGGGTGGCTCTCCTCTTTCCCTTTGTGTTTGTCATTTTGGCGAATTACTGGAAGATGGCGGTTCCGTCCAAAAGCTCCTTTTTGGTTCTGTATGATGTAATTTGGCTCTGTGTCACCACCCAAATCTCATATTATAGCTCCCATAATTCCCATGTGTTGTGGGAGGGACCCGGTGGGAGACAACTGAATTATGGGAGTGGGTCTTTTCCATGCTGTTCTTGTGATAGTTAATGGGTCTCATGAGATCTCATGGCTTCAAAAATGGGAGTTGTCCTGCACAAGCTCTATTTGCTTGCTGCCATCCATGTAAGATGTGATTTACTCCTTCTTGCCTTCTGCCATGATTGTGAGGCTTCCCCAGATGCTTGGAACTGTAACTCCATTAAACCTCTTTCTCTTGTAAATTGCCCAGTCTTGGGTATGTCTTTATCAGCAGTGTGAAAACAGACTAATACACCATATAACATTTACAATAGGTTTATCTAGTTCTGTGAAGAATGTCATGGGTATTTTGATAGAAATAGCATTGAGTCTGTAAATTGCTTTGGACAGTATTGCCATTTTAATGATATTTTAATCATCATTCTTTCAGTATGGCCATTTTAATGACATTTATTCTTCCTATCCATGAGCATAGAATGTTTTTCCATTTATTTATATTACCTATAATTTATTTGAGCAGTGTTTTGTAATTCTCATTGTAGAGATCTTTAGCCTGCCTGGTTTGCAGTATTCCTAGATTATGTTGAACCAACCTTGCATCCTGGGGAAGAAAACCACTTGATTGTGATGGATCACCTTTTTGATGTGCTGCTAGATTCGGTTTTCCAGTATTTTATTCAGGATTTTCGCATCGATGTTCATCAGGGATATTGGCCTAACATTTTTTTTTCTTTGTTGTATCTCTTCCAGGTTTTGCTATCAGAATGATGCTAACCTCATAAAATGAGTTACAAAGGAGTCCCTCCTTTTTAATTTTTTGGGGAAGTTTCAGCATGAATTGGTATCTGCTCTTCTTTGTACCTCTGGTAGAATTCAGCTGTGAATCTATCTGGTCCTGTGCTTTTTTTCGGTTGGTAGGTTATGTATTACTGCCTTAATTTCAGAACATGTTATTGACCTATTCATGGATTCAATTTCCTCCTGTTTCAGTCTTGAGAGGGTGTATGTGTCCAGGAAATTTTCTATTTCTTCTAGATTTTCTAGTTTATGTGCATAGAGGTGTTCATAGTATTCTCTGGTGGTTATTTGCATTTCTGTGTGGTCAGTGCTGATATGCACCTTATCATTTCTGATTGTGTTTATTTGATTCTTCTCTCTTTTTTTCTTTATTAGTCTAGCTAGTGGTCTATTTTATTAATTTTTTGAAAAGCCATCTCCTGGATTCATTGATTTTTTGAAGGGTTTTTTTGTGTCTCTGTCCCCTTCAGTTTGGGTCTGATCTTGGTTATTTCTTGTCTTCTGCTAACTTTAAGATTTGCTTGCTCTTGGTTCTCTATTTTTTTTTAGTTGAGATGTTAGGTTGTTAATTTGAAATCTTTCTAACATTTTAAAGTGAGCATTTAGGGCTATAAATTTTGCTCTGTTAATACCGCTTTAGCTGCATCCCAGAGATTCTGGTACATTGTTTCCTTGTTCTCATAAATTTCAAATAACTTCTTGATTTCTGCCTTAATTTCATTATTTACCCAAGATTCATTCAGGAGCAGGTTGTTCAATTTCTATGTAGTTGTGTGTTTTTCAGTTGATTTCTTAATCTTGAGTTCTAATTTGATTGTGCTGTGATCTGAGAGACTGTTTGCTATGATTTCAGTTCTTTTGCATTTGTGGAGGAGTGTTTTATTTTCATTTATGTGATCAATTTTAGAGTAAGTGTTGTATGGCAATGAGAAGAATGTATATTCTGTTGGTTTTTTGGGTGAAGAGATCTGTAGATATCCATAAGGTTCTCTTGATCTAGAGCTGACTTCAGGTCCTGCATATCTGTTAATTATCTGTCTCAATGATCTGTCTAATACTGTCAGAGAGGTGTTAAAGTCTCCCAGTACTATTGTGTGGGAGGGAGTCTAAGTCTCTTTGAAGGTCCCTAAGAATTTGCTTTATGAATTTGGGTGCTCCTGTGTTGGGTTCATATATACTTAGAATAGTTAGGTCTTCTGTTGAATTGAAGCCTTTACTATTATGTAATGCCCCTCTTTGTTTTTTGTTTTTATCTTTGTTGGTTTAAAGTTTGTTTTGTCAGAAACTGAAATTGCAACCCTTGCTCTTTTCTATTTTCCCCTTGCTTGGTAAATTGTCTCAATATCCTTATTTTGAGCCAATGTGTGTCTTTGCACATGAGATGGCTCTCTGGAAGACAGCATAGCAATGGGTTTTGGCTGTTTATCCAGCTTTCCATTCTGTGTCTTTTAATCAGGACATTTAGCCCATTTATACTTAAGGTTAGTACTGTAATGTGTGAATTTGATCCTGTCATCATGATGCTAAATGGTTATTTTGCAGACTTGTTTGTGTTGTTGCTTCATAGCTTCACTGGTCTGTGTACTTCAGTATGTTTTGTAGTGGCTGGTAACAGTTTTTCATTTCATATTTAGTGCTTCCTTCAGGAGTTCTCGCAAGGCAGGCCAGATGGTGATGAATTCCCTCAGCATTTGCTTGTCTGGAAAGAGCTTTATTTCTCCTTTGCTAATGAAGCTTAGTTTGGCCAGATATGAAATTCTGGGTTGGAAATTATTCTCTTTAAAAATGTTGAATATTGTACTCCAATCTCTTCTGGCTTATAGGGTTCCTGCTGAGTGGTCCACTGTTAGTCTGATGAGTTTCCATTTGCAGGTGACCTGGACTTTCTCTCTGACTGCTTTTTACATTTTTTCCTTGATTTTGACCTTGGAGAATCTGACGATTGCTTGTCTTGGGTTGATCTCTTGTGAAGTATCTTACTGCAGTTCTCTGTATTTCCTGAATTTTAATGTTGGCCTGTCTTGCTAGGTTGGAGAAGTTCTCCTGGATGATATCCTGAAGTATGTTTTCCAAATTCATTCCATTCTCCTCGTCTCCTTCAGGTACCCCAATCAGTCATAGAGTTGGTCTCTTTAAATAGTCTTATATTTCTTGGAGGTTTTATTCATTCGTTTTTATTATTTTCTCTCTATTCTGGTCCGCTTGTCTTATTTCAGAAAGATAGTCTTCAAGTTCTGAGATTCCTTCCTCTGTTTGGTCTAGCCTGCTATTAATACTTGTAATTCCATTTTGAAGTTCTTGTATTGTGTTTTTTCAGCTCTATCAGGTCGGTTATGTTTTTTTCTACACTGACTATTTTGGCTGTCAGCTCTTGCATTGTTTTATCATGATTTTTAGCTTTTTTGCATTGGGCTACCACATGCTTCTTTAGCTCAGCGAGATTTGTTTTGATACACATTCTGAAGTCTACTTCTGTCATTTCAGCCACCTCAGCCTCAGTCCAGTTTTGAGCCCTTGCTGGAGAGGTGTTCCAGTCATTTGGAGAAAAAGGGGCACTCTGGCTTTTTGAGTTTTCAGCTTTTTTGCATTGATTATTTTTTCATCTTTGTGGACTTATCTACCTTCAATCTTTGAGGTTGCTGACCTTTAGATGGAGTTTTTGTGGGATTTTTGTTGCTGTTTTCTGTTTGTTTATTTTGCTTTCAACAGTCTGCCCACTATCCACAGGGCTGCTGCAGTTTTCTGGGGTTCCACTCCAGACTCTAGTTGCCTCAGATTTTCCCATCTCTGGAGGTATCACCACTGAAGGCTGTGAAACAGTAAAGATGGCAGTCTGCCCCTTCCTCTGAAAGCTTCATCCCAGGAAAGTATTGACCTGTTGCCAGCACACTCCTTTCTTAAGAACTGAAATAATTATTCTCTCAATTGAGAATACTCTCTTCCACATTTTATTCCTCACAGCAAATAATATTTAACAATTCTTAGGTTTCATAAGCGTCATACCATCAGTAAAAGTCAATCAAGCCACAAAAAAGGAAAATATCCACTTGCCAACAGTTTGACCATCCCTTTATGGGAGAATACCTTGTCTCTAATTAAAGACTATTTAAATGTAGTCATAGAAGAGCCAGGCTAAGAATCCTTCTGCACAGCGGGGAGAGACATGATTATAATTCCAAATAAATTTAGCCATTTTTTTTGGTTTGTTTTTTGGGCTATGGCATGTGTTTCTGTTGACACCAATTAGCTCATAGCAATTGGTGAATAGTAGAACAGTATCAGTATACATTGATTGTTGTGGTGGTTCATGTGAGATTTTTTTTTTTTTTTTTTTTAAGCAAGAGGAGCCAGAAGAGAGGGAACAGAATTACAACCTTTATCAGGAAATGAGATATCCCTCAGCTTGATGACTGCACAGGCAAGGAGGACTTTCATCTCTAATTTAAGAGGTCCCACCCAAAGGGCCTTTCCCCAATCTTTCAGGGCTTTCCTTTGCTCACAGTTCCACTTGCATCTGAATTTTCTTAGTGCCCACAAGCCAGCATTTTCATTCTGTTTGCAAATTTGTTGTTGTTGTTGTTTGAGACAAAGTTTGCCTCTTGTCACCCAGGCTGGAGTGCAGTGGCATGATCTCGGCTCACTGTAACCTCTGTCTCCCGGGTTCAAGCAATTCTCCTGTCTCAGCCTCCTGAATAGCTGGGATTACCAGAGCACACCACAATGCCTGGCTAATTTTGTATTTTTAGTAGAGACAAGGTTCGCCATTTTTATATCCCTTGAGGCATCTACTGCCTATGCCATCCAAATTATTACCAAAGGCCCAAATTACTGTTCCTTTATGGGTCTGTAGAGAATGTTATATAGGTTTTAGTAGACTGCCCAAAATGACTTTTCCATAAGCCCTATTATTTCTAGTGTGTGAATTGGCAGAAAGCAAGCTCTTTTGCATATTTCATGTTGTGGCAGAATACTCTTATTGCTAAAAGGAATTCTGTGGCTAATGAGGAGTAAATTAATAATTTAAGTATAGATAAAATAAAGTGATTCAATAAATTTAATGAAATAATAATTGTACTTTCATAGCAGAACTATGTGTTAATATAATCAACTCAAAAGACAGTTTGTAATCAAATAAATTGTTTTATTTAATGAGTTATGGCCTATGTTTAACTTCAAAAAATATATAAATATTTTATAAATATATATAAAGTACACACTGCCCTCTCAATTTTAGTCTGTTTCTCTGCTTCTATGACTATTATGTGATCTATAACACAAGGTCACAAGGCCAGTGTATGGCCCCATCAGCCACTGGCTACTTTAAACATCATACATTTTGAGTTGTAGGAATAAAATGATAATCATTGGCCATTTTTCATAATAACTTGTTTCTCCTCTGGATCAGAACTCTTGATTACTGAAAATTATCTTATTCTAGTGTAAGACAGTTATCCTCAATGTGAGAGAATTATGGTAAAATAAAAAGGTGAAATCTGAATAATAAGTGCTGTGATAGTTAATTTTAGGTGTCAACTCGACTGGATTAAGGCATACCTGGAGAAGTGGTAAAGTATTACTTCTATGTGTGTCTGTGATGGGGAAGATCTGTCTTCAATGTGGGCAGGTACCATCCAATCAGCTGGGGGCCAGGTTGGAACAAAAAGGCAGAGAAATGGTGAATCTCCTCTCTCTCAATCTCTCTCTCTCTCTCTCTCTCTCTCTCTCTCTCTCTCTCTCTCTCATAAAGCTGGGGAGCTGGTACTCTGTTCTCTTGCCCTTGGACGTCAGAACTCCAGGCTTTCTGGGCTTTGGACTCCAGAAGCTAGAGCAGCAGCCTCCCTGTTTTTCAGTCCTTTCTCCTTTTACTAATAATTACACCATCAGCTTTCCTAGTTCTGAGGTTTTCACACTTGGACTGAGCCATGCTTAGCATCCCACGGTCTCCAACTTGCAGAAAGCCTGTTATGGGACTTCTCAGTCAAATAATCACGAGTCAATTTCCCTAATAAATCCTTTCTTATCTATCTATCTATCTATCTATCTATCTATCTATCTATCTATCTATCATCTATCCATCTATCCCTCCATCCCATTGGTTCTGTCTTTCTGGAGTACCTATACTAATGTAGGCATCAAAAAGCCTAGCTTACCCCACTGGTAGCATCTTTGGAATAAAAGGAAATAATGGGGGAAATATGGTAAGGTCTTATCATGTTGTGAAAGACTTACTTTGGGAACAGAAGTGAAACTGCTTAAAGAGGGACTAAAAATTGTGTGGACCGGCTGGGCGCAGTGGCTCATGCCTGTAATCCCAGCACTTTGGGAGGCCAAGGCAAGTGGATCACGAGGTCAGGAGATCGAGACCATCCTGGCTAACACGGTGAAACACCATCTCTACTAAAATACAAAAAATTAGCTGGGCGTGGTGGCAGACGCCTGTAGTCCCAGCAACTCAGGAGGCTGAGGCAGGAGAATGGTGTGAACCCGGGAGGCAGAGCTTGCAGTGAGCTGAAATTGGGCCACTGCACTCCAGCCTGGGCAAGGGAGCGAGACTCCATCTCAAAAAAAATTAAAAAAACCTTGTGGACCTTTTATCCAAAGAGTTGTTTTGAAAATAAGCTGTAGTTACCTAAATAAAAAACACTGTTACTTACAGCAGTTAAATGAAATGTTTACATGTCTTACTGATAACAAATTTGAAATAAAGTTGAGACCAATATGATTCCTGCCTTAATAACTCTGGATGGCATGAATCATGGCACTCACATTAGTTCCCCTTGATAATGGAATATTTGTTATTTTCATTTATTAGTCCTTTTTGCCTCCCAAGGTTCCTTTTGAAAGCTTTATTTGCCAGCAATAAAAAGGAATAAAATATATGATAAAAGTAGACAGATTATTAAGGAAACTCAAGAACAAAAGATCTTTTTTTAGCAAAAATAATTGCTATCACTTAGACTATAAACAAAAAGATCTTCTCTGTTTCCCATGGTCCCTCCCACTTGATGACGAATTGAATTACTCTGAAGGAAAGCATAAATCAGAGTAAAAGTAGGTATATTGGGGAATATTTATAAATATATATGTATTTATATACATATGTCTTAATTTGTTTGTTGTTGTAAAGGAATACCTGAGACTGGGTAATTTATAAAGAAAAACATATGGCCAGGCATGGTGGCTTATGCCTGTAATCCCAGCACTTTGGGAGGCCAAGGCAGGCGGATCACTTGAGGTCAGGAGTTCAAGACCAGCCTGACCAACATGATGAAACCCTGCCTCAACTAAAAATATAAAAAATCAGCCGGGCATGGTGATGGGCACCTGTAATCCCAGGTACTCAGGAGGCTGAGGCAGGAGAATCACTTGAACCCAGGAGGAAAAGGTTGCAGTGAGCAGAGATCGTGCCAGTGCACTCCAGCCTGGGCAACAAGAGCGAAACTCTGTCTCAAAATAAATAAAGAAATAAATAAAATAAAAAGAAAAAAATATTTATTTGGCTCACAATCTGGCTGGAAGACTGGGCATCTAGTGAAATTGTAGAGCTGCTTTCATTCATAGAAGAGGTGAAGGGGAGCCTGTGTGTGCAGAGATGACATGGAAGGAGAGAAAGCAAGAGAGAGGGGTAGAAAGGTGCCAGGCTGTTTAAAAACCAGCTCCTTCAGGAATTGATAGGGCAAGAACTCACTCACTCCCCACCCCATTCAGGAAGGGTGTTATGTTTTTCAAGAGGGTTCCACCCCCATGATACAAATACCTTCCATTAGGCCCCACCTCCAACATTGGGGATCAGTTTTCAAAATGAGGTTTGTGGAGACCAAATAGACCAAATATCCAAACCATAGCAACATATATGTTCAACTTTGTTTCTAAAAAGAAAGCTCTTCTCAATTTTTATTAGTAAAATAGAATTTAGAAGTAACAGTTAAGTTGGTTTATACATAACAGGGGTATTAAATTCTTTCTATAAATACAAATACATTTCTGCAAGTAAACAGTAAACTGTTCTTGGTAGGATAAAGGTGACTTATGGAAATAAATTAAACTTTCCAGAGGCCATAGTTTGATAACACAAAATTTAACAATGACACCATTTCAGTTAAGAATTTGTGTAGATATGTGGATTGTTGCATCTGAATCTTATTATGGACATTATTTATATTATTATGAATTTACATCTTAAAAACTAAACTAGACTTCTGGTTTCTATTTTATTTATCAAGATTATATCTAATTTACTGGATCAAACTTCAAGCACCCCTCCTTCCAAAGTTGCAGCTTGAGTATCAATTTCTATCTTATAATACTGTGAGAAACACCTTCAGTACTCAAATACATATGAGACCAGAAGAAAAAATAGGTGGTAATAGATGAGGAGTGGGAAGAGCAAAAAGGTAGAACAGAGAGTATTCCTCTATGTTTTCTCAAAACTGATAGACCTAGAAGAGCCAAAACAATTTTAAAAATAAGAAAAAACGATTGAAGTTATACTTTATTTCCAAGTTACAGTAATCAAGATGTGGAATTAGCATAAGAATGGGTGTAATAAATATCAGTGGAACAGAATTGACAGTCAGAAATAAAACCACACATAAATTGTCAATTGATATGTGATAATGGTGCAAGGTAATTTAATGGAAAAATTACAGTCTTTTCAACAAATGTGTCAGGAACATTTGGACATGCATATTGTTTTCCCATGATCCCCTACAAAATGAAGCCCCACCTTTTCCTCACGCCACATGTAAAAATTAACTCAAAATAAATCATAAGCCTAAACATAAAAACCAAAACTATGCAATTTTAAATAAAATATATAGGAGAAAAGTCTCTGTAAACCTTGAGTTAGACAAAGATTACTTAGTACATGTGATCTTTAATTTTTCTGTGTTAATTTGCTTAGTATATGGTGAATACGGTTAGTTGTTTGGTCAAACACGAGTCTCAATGTTTCTATAAAGATGCGTTTTAGACGTGATTAACATTTACAATCCGTGGGCTTTAAGTAAAGAAGATTACTCTTCTGTAGCAGTCCATTTTCACACTGTTATAAAGAAATACCCAGGACTGGGTAATTTTTAAAGGAAAAAAGTTTAACTGACTCACAGTTCTGCATGGCTGGGGAGGCCTCAGGAAACTTACAATCATGTCAGAGGGTGAAGCAGGAACCTTGTTGATAGGGTGGCAGGACAGAGAACAAGAATGAAGGAAGAACTTCCAAACACTTACAAAGCCATCAGATCTCATGAAAACTCTCTCACTCTCATGAGAACATCATGGGGGAAATTGCCTCCATGATTCAATCACCTCCCTCCCTCAACACGTGGGGATTACAGGTCCCTCCTTCGACAGGTGGGGACTAAAATTTGAGATGAGATTTGGGTAGGGACACAGAGCCAAACTGTATCACCTTCATCATGAGGGTCAGCCTCAAAGAGTCAGTTGAAAGCCTTAAGAACAAAGGCTGTAGTTTCCCAAAGCTGGAGTTCTGTCTCCAGACTGCAACATAGAAATTATGCCTGAGTTTCACCAACAGTGTAAAAGTGTTCCTATTTCTCCATATCCTCTCCAGCACTTGTTGTTTCCTGACTTTTTAATGTTCACCATTCTAACTGGTGTGAGATGGTATCTCATTGTGGTTTTGATTTGCATTTCTGTGGTGGCCAGTGATGATGAGCATTTTTTCATGTGTCTTTTGGCTGCATAAATGTCTTCTTTTGAGAAGTGTTTACACTGTTGGTGGGACTGTAAACTAGTTTAACCATTGTGGAAGTCAGTGAGGCAATTCCTCAGGGATCCAGAACTAGAAATACCACTTGACCCAGCCATCCCATTACTGGGTATATACCCAAAGGATTATAAATCATGCTGCTATAAAGACACATGCACACGTATGTTTACTGCGGCATTATTCACAATAGCAAAGACTTGGAAGCAAACCAAATGTCCAACAGTGATAGACTGGATTAAGAAAACATGGCACATATACACCATGGAATACTATGCAGCCATAAAAATGATGAGTTCATGTTCTTTGTAGGGACATGGATGAAGCTGGAAACCATCATTCTCAGCAAACTATCACAAGGACAAAAAACCAAACACCACATGTTCTCACTCATAGGTGGGAATTGCACAGTGACAACACATGGACACAGGAAGGGGAACATCACACACTGGGGCATGTTGTGAGGTGGGGGGAGTGGGGAGGGATAGCATTAGGAGATATACCTAATGTTAAATGACGAGTTAATTGGTGCAGCACACCAACATGGCACATGTATACATATGTAACAAACCTGCACGTTGTGCACATGTACCCTAAAACTTAAAGTATAATTTAAAAAAAAAAAGAAATTATGCCGGAGTTTCCAGCCTTTGAACTCAAGACCACAACATCAACTTTTTTTTTATTGTGGCAAAAAACATGTAAGATCTACTCTATTAAATTTTTAAGTGAACAGCACAGTATTTTTAACTGTAAGCACAACGTAGCACAGCAGATCTCTAGAACTTTTCCATCTTGCCTGACACAATCTATACCCATTGAATAGCAACCCCTCATTTCCCCCTACCTTAGCCACTGGTAACCTCTAGTCCATTTTCTGCTTCAATGAGGATGAGTTTGACTATTTTAGATATCTCATATAAGATAAATCAAGTAGTATATTTCCTTCTGTGACTGGCTAATTTTACTCAACATAATGTCTCCCCGGATCACTTATGTTATAGCAAATGACAGAAACTACATTTTAATGGCTGAATAATAGTCCATTATATGTATGTACCACATTTTTTTAATCTATTCATCCATTGGTGGAAATTTAGGTTATTGTCACCTGTGGGCTATTGTGTCATTGTGAATAGTGCAGCAGTAAATGTGGGAGTGCAAATATCTCTTGAATATGCAGCTTCCAGCTTGCCCTATGCATGTTAGACTTCCCAGCCCCCACAGCCACAATTCTATAAAATAAATAGTGCCAATTCTATAAAACAAATCTCTTTCTATGTATACACAGATAGATATAGAGATATAGATATTGATACATAGACATTCTGTTGGCACTGGAGAATGCTAACTAATATAATGTACAAAATACATTGACAAGAAAATGAAAAGACAAATCACAGACTAGGAGAAAATTCTTCTAAAAGCATATCTGATAAAATACCTAAATATATGTGAGCAATTTTAAAATTCCATTTTAAGAAGAGAAACAATCCAAGAATTGGCAAAAATTTGAACAGACACCTCACAAAAGAATACATATGGATGGCCAATATGGATTGCAACAAGAACATTAAAAGGTGCTCAGCATGATTAGTCACTAGATAAATAAAAATTAAAATCACATTGATGTGCATTTTTACACCTAAATGAATGGCTAAAATTAAAAATCTGACAAAACCAAGTGCTGATAAAAATTTGGAGCAACTAGAGCATTTATACATAGTTTTTGAAAATGTAAATGGCATGACCATTTTGGAAAACAATTTGCAATGTCTTATAATATTGAACATGAACTTATTGTATGACCCAGAAATCCTACTGTTACCAAGGAAATTAAAAACATATGTCAACACAATGACCTGCAAATAAATACTTTAGCATATATATATATATACACATATATATATAAACTGGAACAATCCTTAATATCCTTCACCTAGTAAATGGATAAATATGTTGTAGTATGTCCATAGAATAAAATACTATTGAGAAGTAAAAATCAACCAACCACTGATACATGGAAAAACAACAATTTTAAAGGCATTATACTGAATGAAATTAACAGGAAAGAAAAGCCTACATTCAGAATGATTTCATATATAAGATATTCTGGAAAAGGCAAAAATCACTGATACAGAGATCAGAGAAGGAGATAATTTTTTTTTTTTTGAGACACAGTCTGGGAGACTCTGTCACTCATACTGGAATGCAATGGCATGATCTCAGTTCACTGCAACCTCTGCCTCCCAGGCTCATGTGATCCTCCCACCTCAGCCTCCCGAGTAACTGGGACTACAGGTATGCACCACCACGCCTGGCTAATTTTTTGTATTTTTGATATAGACAGGGTTTCACCACATTGCCCAGGCTGGTCTTGAATTCCTGGTCTCAAACAATCCGCCTCAGCCTCCAAAGTTCTGGGATTACAGGCCTGAGCCACCGTCCCCAGCCAAAGAGAGGATTTTGATGGGATATAACTATTCTATACTTTGAATGTAATAGCCAGTATTATTCCATTCTAGATATTTGTCAAAACTCATTGAGCTACATAATCAAAAGGCATAAATCTTTCCTTAAAATTATGCTCCAATAAATTTGACTTTAAAATAAAATGACAAATGAAAGATATCTGATTCATCAAAAAATTTCTACAAATGTAGTTCCAAATAAAAGTTAAAATTGAAATTAGGAACAAGTGCGAATGCTGTCTTATCTTACCAATAACAAACATAAGTGTTTTTCTTCCTGGAAAGTGAATATTTGTAGCATTGAGATTCAACTTTTTATAAAACTAAAAATCAATTTGATCATATCTTTGGGAGCTTGCTCCTCTACCTCATATTCATACTCAATGTCCCTGATGATTTTGGACAAAGAAATAAAAATTAAGTTCAAATAACATGGCAATTGAAAATGTTAATTTTAAAGAACTGGTATTTAAGGAAAATGGATTTTAAAAACACTCATAGATAGAAAGCAAGAGAGAAAAAATACCATATACAGACTTTTTATTAAATGTAGACAAAAGCTGAAATCAAAGGACAACAACAAAAGAGGTTCAATTTTTAACTTTGATGTTTCCACAAGATAATCAGTAGAAAAAAGGATAAACAACAAAAATATTAGTGTGCCAGGAAATCTATGTTAAATAAAGAACATTTGATTTTATTTAAGATGTACAAATAAATCTCAAACACAGTTGGATATTTGTGTTGTGATTTTTCTATTTGTTTAGATTTTATGTATAGGAATATAAAACTGAAATTTAAAATTAAAAAATGTGTTGTGGCTAGTAGTATGAGAAGTGCAGTTTGATAGAATTTGTTTCTTATTTCATTTGTTCATGTCTCACTTTCTGTGACACCTTGAAATAGATTTACTTTCTGTAGTTATCAACAATTCTAGCATTTTACTCAATGGCTGGGTGCGGTGTCTCATGCCTGTAATCCCAGCACTTTGGTAGTCAATGTGAGAAGATCACTTGAGGCCAGGAGTTTGAAACCAGCCTGGGCAGCGTGGCAAAACCCTGTCTCTACAAAAATAAATAAATAAATAAATAAATAAATAAATAAATAAATAAATGAATACAAAAATTTCCTGGGCGTGGTGGTGCACACCTGTGGTCCCAGCTACTCCAGGGGCTGAGATGGAAGAATCACTTGAGCTTTGGAAGCTGAGGCCACAGTGAGCCTGGATCTTGCTACTGTGCTCTAGCCTAAGCTACAGAGTGAGGCCCTGTCTCAATAAATAAATTAATAAATAGATAAATATTAAATGCAGTTGGACATTTGTATAGTGTTTTTTCTGTTTTTTTTAGATTTCATGTATAGGAATATAAAATTGAAATTTAAAGTTAAAAAGAAATTGTTTTTTGTGGTTAGCAGTATGAAAAGCACAGTTTGATATAATTCGTTTCTTATTTGCTCAGATCTCAGTTTCTGTGATATCTTGAAATAGATTTACTTTCTGCAGTAATCAACAATTCTAGCATTTTATTCATGTAAATTCTCCCTCCAATAAACTCCCATGTTTGGGATTACTGAAAAACATAAAGATAACTTCATAATCATATCCAATAACATTGTACCCTGAGCTCCCTATCAATGTATTTTACTTACGATCAAAATATTAGTCCTACTTATTGTACTAAATACATGTGATGGGATTTTAATGGAATTAAACAATTTGAGAGTTGAAATAGATATCAGTCCATTATGTCTATGTATTCACATACATTATTTTACATTGTTATAAAGGGATGTATTGAACTTATTTTTCTCCACCTTCATTTTCCAGGTTCGCTCATGACATATATGACAATTTTGGACTCCCTACTACACATTCTAATGCAAAATTGAAATTATTTATTAATGAAAATATTTATTTTGCCTTATTTATTACATTCTAAACACATTATGATATAATATTAGGCTTTATGTCGACATTTTGAACAGTATGATTTCAATCCCATAATCTTTAGTGTTCTCCTACATATTTATGCTATCTTTTTCTCTAACAGTGTTAAATGTTAAAATGTTTTAATTGATTACAGTGTTTAATTTTATTACAGTGTTTTGATTTTTAAAAATTAAAACTTATAAACCAAATTTTTAAATCTATCTTTTTAGTTTTAATTTATTTCGATGACTTTAGATTAATGAAATGCAACAAAGCAAAACCAGCTCCAACCTTTGTATTCCCTACCTGATTGATGTCAGCACCATAATTTTAATCATGTTTATTGTATTTTTTTGGAGTCTTATGTCTAAAGGTAACTAAGCTCTGAGGACTTCTGTCAACCAAAGTTTCATATACACATTTTCTTTACCCTCACTGTCTCAGTCCTAGTTCAAGCCCATGTTAACTCCCATTTGGAAAACAAATAATGTCACAATTGTTCTCTTTGCTGAATCTGACTCTGATGATGGAACATCTTCTACCTTCTGACTTTTTGGATTATTCATCTACTAAAAAATTATTTATTACTATTAATATTTAAAGAAATTGCATCTAAACCACTTTGTATGTTACACAAAGTCCTCATACATGCATATCCATGATATGTTTAAATGTATCCTTCCTAGTTAGGGATGGTGGCTGGTGGCTCTCACCTGTAATCCCAGCACTTTAGGAGACTGAGGCAGGCAGATCACTTGAGGCTGGGAGTCCAAGGCCAGCCTGGGCAACATGATGAAACTCCACCTCTACTAAAAAATACAAAAATTATCTGGGCAGTGGCACATTCCTGTAATCCCAGCTACCTGGGTGGCTGAGGCATGAGAATCGCTTGAGCCTGGGAGGCCTAGGTTGCACTGAGCCAAGATCTTGCTACTGCACCCTAGCCTGCATGACAGAACAAGACTCCGTCTCTAAATAAATAAATAAAAATAAATGTATCCCTCCTTTCCGATGATCACCTGGTTACTTAGTCAGCTTGGGTTCCCTTAACAAACACCATAGACTATATGGCTTAAACAACAAAAATTTATCTCCCACAGTGAAGTCCAAGATTAAGGTGCCAGATTATTTGGTCTCTGGTGAGAGTTCTCTTCCTGGTTTGCAGATGGATATCTTCTTGTAACTTCACGTGACAGTGATGAGGTCCTCACTAAAGCACCTACTTCCAGAAACATCAGGGGTTTTTGGAAGTAGGTTTAACATATGAACTTTGGGGGAACACAATTCAGTCCACAGTATCTGGCATCTGACAGTGAGTTTTAACCAGAGAAGACAATATGTCATGACTGAAACTTTTTCCACCCACTTTTCTCTGATTTCTTCTGTGTTTTCACCTCCATAGCTTTATCTTGAACTTTTCAAAACTTAACATCACCTTCTCAATTCATCTGGAAAATTCTACCCATCATTAAAGGCCTTGCTTAAGTTATCAGGCAGTCAAAATCTTGGAATGTTTTTCCAGCTTTGTCAGTAAACTAGCAGTGCATATTTAGCAAGTTGTTTAACAGTTCAGTTTATTTCATTACCTTTCAAATGAAAATGTTGGACTAGACAATTTCTAAGCTCCTGCTAACCTATGAGTTTATGATTTTGCATAAACCTTTCTCAGATGGTCCCCATGAGCTTTAATCTCTATTGTCCTGAAGTTTACTAAATTCCCTCCATTCTAGAACCTAGCTGTAATAGTCGATTTTCACACTGTTTTACAGAACTACCTGATACCAGGTAATTTATGAAGAAAAGAGGTTTAATTGACTCACAGTTCTGCATAACTGAGGAGACCTCAGGAAATGTACAATCATGGCAGAAGGTGAAAGAGAAGCAAGTACTTTCTTCATAAGGTAGCAGGAGAGAGAAAGCCAAGGGGGAAGTGCCACCTTTAAACCATCAGATCTTGTGAGAAGTTACTCACTATCATGAGAACAGCATGGGGGAAACTGCCCCTATGATCCAATCACCTCCCACCAGGTCCCTCCCCTGACACGTGGCGATTACAATTGAAGATGAGATTTGGGTGGGGACACAGAGCCAAACCATATCACCAGCCTATTCTTCTCTGTGTCTGAGTTAGTTGTGTATATTTTGGGAGTTCTTTGAAGGCAATGATCTCTCAGCTTCCGAGGCACATTTTGTGTTTTTGCCTTCATTCCTCAAAATATTGATACATGTTTGTTGAGTTTATTTTAGTTCTTTGGGTTCTAACACATAAAAGAAGTCCAGAAACAACTGAGACTCATTAGAAGAGTTATGATTAATACTGATGTATCATAATAGTGACCATCATAGGTATTAGTATTTCTTTTTTGGGAAGTATTACTTTGTTTGTTTTTTCATAAAAAATGGAATAGGAGACAAAGATAGTAAGAAATTATTTTTAGATGAGGACATAAAAATATAATCATATTAATGACCCCTCTAAATTACAGTGGAACTGGAAACAAAAACTGAAATATCATTTTCATTTTTATTAAGGTTTTTTCACTTTTGCTTGACAAAAAAACAAGTTTTTTATATTTAATTAGTTACGTATATTAGTTATACCCTGTATAACAATGTTTATAGTTAAAAATCATTATTTTCGGATGTCATTTACTGAAATATTTAATGCGTCCAACATAATGTAAAGTATGAAGCTAAAGTATATATTAAATTCTTGTAGGAGCATGAGTTTAAATACGAAAAAATTAGACAAATATTTTTTAACCATCCTTCTCTCCTTGGAAAATTGTCTCTCAAAAACTGCATATTCGCTTCCAAAATAGTAAACATACTAGTAGAAATCGTGAACTAAAGACCAATAAAATAAAAATAATAGGTGAGTAATTATAAATAAAGAGTATTAAACCATAGTAACAGTTCAAAATATCAATAATTCAAAAAGTCAAAGACCAATAACTAATAATTATAATAAAATAATAATAATGGTATAGAATTGTAGGGTAAAGCAAGAGAAATTACCCAGTAAAATTTTTCTTGACTGGCAAAATAAAATCTGATGTAAACTCAGCTGTGAAACAATCAATAGGAATATGATGAAACTGATCCTTTTGTTCAATCTAATATAATGATTTGGTTGCCAGATGAAGTTCAGCACCATGGGATTTATCAATCACTATGTGTCATTGTCTACTTCCATATGTGCTGGTTTTCTAAACTAAGGCATGCTTTTACAGTTAAGCTTATAAAGTTAGTGCTTATTTTTTAAGATGACCATGGACTCAGAAGAGGAGTACATGGTTTAGAATCCCGGTAATTCCACTCATTAATTGAGGGCCCTTGGATAATTGATGAAAAAGGAATAATCCTTAATAGTTTTTTAGGGATTAAATGAATATCTATTCATAAAATTATTTGAGGGACATACGCTACATATGTGCAGTGAACAAACATTAGTTAAATATGCACTTGGAATTGAGCACCATATTTATTAAGTAATATTTTATTTTGATACCTGAATAAAGAAAATTATTAAAAGACATGTTAAATTGGATTAGGTTGCTTTTATGAAATAATCACACTTTTGTTCATTTTAAATATTTACAAATACCAAAAGAAAGCAATATTGTAAAATTATACTACTGTGTAATATTGTTTTTACTCAAAAGTACTTCAGAGCAGGAGTCCAATATATCAGATTTAGCAATGTCATCAATAATTATCTAAAACATCAAGTTATAGGCCTATCAAATGTTATTACACTTCTTGACACTTTCTTTAATGGTCGATTATATGTGGCACACAATTTTGGTCATTACTTTGTTCAGAGGAGGTAAAGCAAAATGGATTCTGATGCTGCTATTTTACTCCAGCAGCTCTCAGCAGTCATCTACCTTGTCACTTTCTAAACCAATTGGCAGATGATTACAAAAGAATGGGCTATCTTTTCAGTTTCATAGCATCATTAGCTACAAGCCTCACTCATTACTATCAGGAAATTGACAGAGCGAAGAGCCCTTTTATGTAATCTCTAAGGAATTCTAGAGAGGATGTTTATGTCAGTGGAAGACAACTCTTTGTGTTTCACCAAAAAAAAATATTATTTTTAATCTGTACTGTGTGTGACACATGAATTTATGTGAACACCTAAAATAGATAATAAATATTTGAGTAAAAGCAACTATTATGTTGTAAACATATTTTGGGGAATAATTTTATCCTTTTAGTTTGATAAGCTTAGTCGGCTTCAATCACCATTAATCTACTCAAATTATTTACTGAAGTTCTACTATTATTATTGTTACGTCAGGATGATATTGGCTAGTTGCTTGAATAGGTAATTATTCTTGTTACCTGTTAATCTTCAAATCACTACTTAGGAGTAGCCAGTATCATGACAATTTTACAAAGAGGAAACTGAGGCTGGCAAAGCTAGTTAAAATATTCAAAGTTGACCAATGAGTAAGTGTTGTAGGTAAGTAATAAACTGGGACTAGTTTTTATTACAGGTATGGTACTCTGTTTACTACAGTAACACTACCATCTGTTATGTTTATTAAAAATATTTATTCAGCACCAAACATATGTTAAACATTAAGGATTCTGAAACATATGAGGCACAATACTTACTCAAGTATACAATGTAACAAGAATCATAAACTTTTTATTAATGCATTTTGCTCTGTAAGATAGCTTTAAATTTACAGAAAAAAATGCAAAGATAGGAGAGTGTTCTCTCTACCCTACACCAGTTTCCTCTATTATTCACATTGTATGCTAATATGGTAAATTTGTTATAATTAATGAACCAATATTGATATATTATCATAACTACATTCCATACTTCATTGACATTTCCATAGTTTTTATCCAATGTCTTCTTTCTGTTACAGGATTCTATCCAGGACATTATATTTAATCATCATGTCTCCTTAAGCACCTCTTGGTTGTGACAGGTTCCCAGACACTGCTTGTCTTTGATAACCTGACAATTTTGAGGAGTAGAGATCAAGTATTTTGTAAAATGTCGCTCAGATGGGATTTGTCTGATGTTTCTCTCATAATTAGACTGGGGTTATGGGTTTTTGAGAGGAAGACCACAGAGGAAATTTGCCATTTTCATTATATTATTTCAGCATGGCTTTTATCACTATTGATATTGACCTTGATCACCTGGCTGAACATACACTTTAAAAATAATTAAAATCGGTGTTATAAATATTCAAAACAGATTCCTGAACAGAGGTACTCTTAATGAGGATAAGTGAAACATAAATTATCTTTCATAAATCCATACTAATTATTTATTTGCTTGTTCTATCACTTACGGAGAAACATGTTACAATCTCTCCATATAATTGTAAATTTGTTTATTTCTTAGTTTTTAGTTTTTGTTTTATATATATTTATATTTTGAGGTTGTATGAAGTTCATTAAAATTTAGAACTGCTATATTTTCCTGGTGAATTTAACATTTAATTACTGTAAATTGTATCGCTACTTCTATACATCTAATAATGCATTTTAAGAAATTTGCATTGTTATTTACACAGCTACTTCAGCTTACTTTTCATTAGTGTTTGCATCATATATAATTATTTTAATCCTTTTACTTTCTACTATTATGTACCCCTCTATTTAATATGTATCTTTTGAAGCTAACATGTAGTTGTGTTTTGTTATCTAATTTGTGAATTGTTGTCATTTAGTGGAGGCAGGGATATTTCATGTAATTATTCCTATGCTCGCATCTATGTCTACAATTTTAAGAGTTCTATATATCCCATCTTCTCTATGACACTTTTCTTGTCCTTTTAAAAATTAGTTATAAAATTTTATTTATTCCATTTTCTCCCATATTTGCTTGTTATGTAAGTTACTTTACTAATGTTATCATGATTATTCTATAGATTAAAACAAACACCTTTTGATTTACCAAAAGTTAACATTAATCTATATATTTAAATTATTTCCATATATGCTATGGTTACTCCTTATCTCATATATATAATACTGTTGCATAAATTTTAATATTAGAGATCTTAATCCCAAGGAGACATTATTATTGTTATTAGTGTTTTTCTTTATAAAGGCAGTATTCATTTAGATTTAGCCGCATAATTACTATTTTTTTACTTTTCATTTCTTCCTACCCTTTCTGAACTTCCATCTGCAATATTTTCCCAATGCCTGAAAGTCATCTTTTATTAATTTCCTTAGAGCATGTATGTAAATAATAAATTGTTATTTTACATTTATTCTTGAATGATTGTTTTCTATACTGAATTATAGAATAGCATGCTTTCTTTCATCAATTTATATAAACAATTCTCTTGTGTTTTGGCTTTCATTGCTTCTATTAAAAAGTCACTGTCAACCTAATTGTTATTTTTATGATACACATTTTTTAATCTGCTGATTTTTAGATAATTCTCAAGTTTTATTATAATATTACTAGTGGTTAATTTATTTTCTGTTTAGCCTGTTTTGGGTTCAGAGGTCTCTGTGAATTTGTGACTTAATAATCTTTGTTCACTTTGGCAACAACAAGAAAAATGGTGAAATATTGCTTGTACCCTATTCTCTCTTCTTTCCACTGAGATTCAAATGACATTATACTTTCTCGTTATATTCTTATATCTATCTATCTATCATCTATCTATCTATCTGGATATTTTTAATGTATTTTACATAATTTTTGTTTCTATGATGCATTTTCATTATTTTTTCTGCTCTATCGCCCAGTTTATTATTTCCCTTTTCAACTGTATTTTATCTACTTCTTACTTTTTTAATATATTTTCATGTGGCTATTTTGAATCTTTTAATAATTTCCTGTATCTCTAGAAATTCTTTATTACAAAATGTTCTTGAACATATTAAGCATGGTTACTTAATTTAATTTTTTTTATTTTTAATTTTTGTGGGTACATAGTAGGTATATATATTTATGGGCCACATGCGATATTTTGATATAGGCATGCAATGCATAATAATCAAATAATGAAAAATGGGGTATCCATCCCCTCAATCATTTATCTTTTGTGTAACAAACAATCCAATTATACTCTTAGTTATAAATATACAGTTAAATTATTTTGACTATAGCTGCCCTGTTGTGCTATGAAATACTAGGTGTTAGTCATTCTTTTCAACTATATTTTTTGTACCCATGAACCAATCCCACCTACCCACACCCGCGACACCCCATACTGTATTTTCCCAACCTCTGATAACCTGCCTTCTACTCTCTATCTCCATGTGTTTAATTGTTTTGATTTTTAGATCCCACAAATAAGTGAGAACGTGTGATGTTTGTCTTTCTGTGCCTGACTTATTTCACTTAACAGAATCATCCCTAGTTCCATCCATGTTGTTGCGAATGACAAGATCTTTTTTGTAATAGCTAAATAGTACTCCATTGTGTATAAGCACATATTTTATCCATTCATCTGTTGATGGACACTTAGGTTGCTGCAACAAATGTGTGCGGATATCTCTGCAATACACTGATTTCTCTTATTTTGGGTATAACCCAGCAGTGGGATGGTTGGATCATATAGTAGCTCTATTTTTAGTTTTTTGAGGAATCTCCAAATTGTTCTCCATAGTGTACCAATTTATATTCCTACCAATAGTGTTTGAGGGTTCCTGTTTCTCCACACTCTCCTAAGTATTTTTTATTGCCTGTCCTTAGGATAAAATCCATTTTGATTGGGGTGAAATGATATCCCATTGCAGTTTTGATTTGCATTTCTCTGATGATCAATGATATTGAGCACCTAATGTCTGCTTACCATTTGTATATTTTCTTTTAAGAAATGTCTATTCAGATCTTTTGCCCATTTTTAAAATGGATTATTAGATTTTTTTCCTATTGAGTTGTTTGAACTTCTTATATATTTTGGTTATTAATCCCTTGTTAGATGGATAATTTGCAAGTATTTTCTCCCATTGTGTGGGTTGTCTCTTCACTTTGCTGATTGTGTCCTTTGCTGTGCATAAACTTTTTTACATGATGTGGTCCCATTTGTTCATGTTTGTTTTGGTTGCCTATGCCTGTGGGATATTGCTCAACACATTTTTGCCCAGACCAATATACTGGAGAGCTTCCCCAGTGTTTTCTTTTAGTAGTTCCATAGTTTGAGGTCTTAGATTTAAGTCTGTAATGCATTTTAATTTGATTTTCATATATGGCTGAGAGATGAGGGTCTAGTTTTATTCTTGTGCATATGGATATCCAGTTTCCCCAGCAGCATTTATTGAAGGGACTATCCTTTCTCCAATGTACATTCTTGGCACCTTTGTTGAAAATAAGTTCACTGTAGACGTTATCTATTTGTTTCTAAGTTCTCTGTTTTGCTCCACTGGTTTGTGTGTTTTTATGCCAGAACTATGCTGTTTGGGTTGCTAGTATAGCTCTGCAGTATAATTTGAAGTTCGGTAATGTGATTCCTCCAGTTTTGTTCTTTTTGCTTAAGAAAGCTTTGGCTATTCTGGGTTTTTGTGGTTCCATATAAATTTTAGGGTTGTTTTTTCTACTTTTGTGAAGAAGGTCATTTGTATTTTGTCAAGGATTGCATTGAATCTGTACATCAGCATCGTTATTTTTTAAACTTTGTTATAGCTCTGCTATCTAGAATGATGATAATAATCCCGCTATCTTCATTTATAACCTATTAATATGCCCTATTTTTAATTGTTTATTTCAGGGTATGTTACTCTCTTCTTGTCTCCTCATGGAACAGGTTTTTTTTTATTGACTGCCAGGTATTCTATATTAAAAAACTGTAAAATAATCTGATGTTATATACAACATCAGATTCACATTTGTTTCTTGCAGATGAACTAGCACTTCAGGATAATTTTATTCATTGGAATTTTGCATAAGAGGGTTTAAGAATGTATTCCATGGAAACAGTTGGACCTGAAATACAATTTTTGCTCTACCACTTTGGGCTATTTCTGTAACATGTTTAGCTAGTACTTTTTTTTTCTTTTGTTTGTAAAATGACGAAAATAATTATAGCTTCTTCTGAGTGTTGATGTGACGATCTAACCACAACGTTTCAGAGTTTGTTAGCACTCAAAAGGTACACATCATTATTTTTATTATTATTAATGATGATGATTATTATGTGGTCCATAGAGGTAAACTGGATATTTGTGTTGAGTTGTAAATTTAAACCTATCATAGTAAACAGGAGATATAAAATGCAATTATTAATGAAATTCCCTTTATATTTTTCCATTGATTATTTTCTGATAAAACACAAGAAGTAGGTCCCTATGCAGTTGTTAATTTATTTTTCTTGCTGACATTCTTGGTCGTCTTTTCTTGCCTTCTGTTTATGTGTATCTTTTTCTCTTTTCCCAAAGTGCCACTGTATCAAAGTGCCTTCTTAATGTGTCTTTTCTTATATGAGTAATGAGTATAGTTAATATTGTGCTTTATGGCACTAAAATCGATGCAGTTTAGTAGAAAAGAACAAATTGTTTGAGGTAATTAGAAGTAAATAGCATATGTAATATGCTCAATCTTTGTAACATATTAAGAATATACCTCTGTCAAGCAAAAGTTACTATAATTTTAAATAGTTATAAACATCAGTTATTCAGTTGGTACAGACATAATTGCAGTTTTCCCATTAAAAGTAATGGTGAAAACTATGATTACTTTTGAGCCAACCTAATAAATATTGAGTTTCTGATTTATAGAACATTTAAGAAGTGAATTGAATGATGACTATCCTAATCTTTCCATTGGCCTCTATGTCATTTATGCACTTTAAAAGTTTTAGCCTCATCTTAAAAAGTCGAATTCAAATCTTAAATCAGCTTCAAATGAATTGTAGAGAAAGTGTATTTGGAAGAGATTAATAAAGAACTGTATTACTTTGAGGCTAATTTGTTTTTAATTATAGCTACAGATATTCAATCCATTGGCCCTTCATATGAAGCAGGCTTTTGATGAAAATGAAAATGACTAGACTTGATAACTTACAAACTTTAGATCAGGAAGATTTATTACAGCTCAGGGAAATAATTTCAGTAAACTGCAGAAATAGGAAAGTAATGATTTTATCAAAGCAGGAGTATGAAAAGGATTGTTTGTTGCATGTGATAAATTAAGTTGAAAATAATTTGTTCTCTAATTTATGATGGAAAATTTGGGACTTTGCTAAATAAAATTATTTTAAAGAAACAATATTTAAAAGAAAGAGAGAGGTAATATCTCAAGCGAGACCACAAAATATCACTGAATTTCTTTTACATCCAAGACACTGATGCACTTTGTGTAAAAAAAAAAAAATCTATCAAGTACTGAACACTTTCACCTACAGTATTTCATTTAAGTCACATAAAAACTCTATGAGGTACAACTGTATATTTTTATTGGTGTTAACAAGTAAGAAAACTAGGACTTTGGTTCTTTTCAAATTCACCCAGTCCTTTACTGATGAAGTTGTGTTTCAGTTCTACATCTTTGCACTACACAAGGGTGTCTCTTCATCTGAGTACTAGCCTCTTACGTAATAACATTATCCCTCAGTTTGTTCTACTAAGCAGCCATTTGCTGTTGATTTACAGAAGTATGCCTTTATCATTCACTTACTGTTATACTATATTTTGTTCTTGTTGTTGTTGTTTATTTGTTTGTTTGTAGCCTGGGTTGAATTTGTTAAGGGAGAGAGAAAAGGCTAAGTCCCAAAGAGGGCAAGTGACTTGATAAAATGCAGAGCTAGTATCTTTTATGACAAAATGTTTATAATATCTACAAATGGTTGAGCAAAATAAATAATGTAATGAAAAATGCTTTCATGATCCTGAGTTACTACTTACAAGTTAAATAATGTGAGGACTGAGATTTGCTTTAAAATATTTCAGGAAAAATGTGGTAAAGGAGATAGGCGGAATGAAACTAGAGGAATATGATAACTATAACTGTTGAACCTAGGTCATGAGTATGTGGAGATTCAGTATACCACACTCTCTACTTCTGTATATGTTTGAAATTTTTCATAATACAAAAGTTATTTCCAAGTGCCACCATGAATGAAATTCTGTTTATTATAATCAGAGGCAATACGATTTGTTGTATTTTCTTAAGGTTTTGAATTGTTAAAAAAGCAAAGTTCCTGTACTCATGATGTATGATCATTTCTATCAGGAATTTTTATCTTGCTCACTGTTTACAATGACCTTACTTTCAAAACTTTCATATTATAATGAAAAATATCAAGCAAGAGAAATGAAGAGGAAAGAAAATAAAGTAAATCTAAGAACAACAAACCTCATTCATCCAAGCATCCAAGGATTTGCTTTTGAATGTCATTTAATTTTCATGCTGCTGAGCAAGATCATAAGAGAAATGACACTGAAAGGCCAGAGGACTAAAAGAACTGTCACTATTGTATTAAAGTAAAATATCCTTTAGTTCCTAGGCTGTTTCTCATTTTTCCTAACTTAATGTCACAGAATATCCAGCATACCAATGTATTTTAAATCCAGGATTGGACTGTATCTAAGAAAAAAATTGCAACTTCCTATTGCTTTTTTTTTAGTTAAAAACAAGTTTTTTAAAAAAAGAACAAAAAGTGAAAAACTAAACCAAATATTACTAATTTCATTAAGCAGACTCAACATTATATTCTCCCGGAAATGTCCTCTACTGATGCTAAAATTGTTCTTTTATAACCATTTTTACTCAGGCTTTGTAAAAAATCATGGTGTTTTAAGTCCACTTAGAAATGATAACTTTTAATGTTGACACAATAAAAGAAATAGAAACTGTTCAAAATTGGCCAAAGAAATTGGCTGAGACACAAGCATCGCTTGACCCCAGGAGGCTGAGGTTGCAGTGAGCCGAGATTGCACCACATCACTCCAGCCTGTGCAACAGAGCGAGACCCTGTACAAAAAATAATAATAATAATAAATTATTAATTTTAAAATTGGCCAAAGAAGTGAAATTGACATTCAATAACCTCCATCATCATACTTCCCTCTCACCATGCATGTAAATAGAATGCAAAGTAACCCAATGGAAAGCTTTATCCAAACCCACTGCAATCATTCTCCCAAAATAATTGTGCCAACCACACATGTTAAAATCTTGAACATTAATAACCTGAACTGCAAGACAAAATTAAATAATAATCAAAATGTCTTCTAAGTGATATTTGGGCTGGCAGTTGTTTATATATCCTCCTTATCAAGGCTAAGGAGTTTCATGAGTCTCCTATGAAAGCCAATTAACTGGACACAGCAGAGCTAAGAAGAAAGCAGGGAACATATAGCAACAATGAGTATGAATGAAAATCTCCAGGCATTTTTGTATCTGTATGCTTTCAATTTTGAGTTTATAGTTCTGCCTTCAGTTAATCTTTGAGAAAATGCAATAGTTTACTTAAATATTTAATTAAACATATAAGCCTATTAAAGTAAGACTTTGTTGCAAAAGTAAGTTAAGATATTAAGCTAAGATACCAATTTCTTTTCTATAGTGGTGAAAGTTATAAAAGAAGATCATCTCAAGAAAGTTATTTTAAAAGTTATACAATATAAACCAAGAATAAATGTAATAATTGATACACAAAATCACACCCAGAAAATGGATCTTAAGTCAATAAACTCAATCTTGGATGGACTAGATACATAAGAAATGTGGTGTTGAATGTTACATTGCTCGGTAAAATTCCTCTATGGAAAGGTGACAATATAAAGGGAAATAAAGCTTTCAAAGGAGCCAGTTAAAAATGAGCTCTTGGCCGGGCGCGGTGGCTCACGCCTGTAATCCCAGCACTTTGGGAGGCCCAGGAGGATGGATCACGACGAGGTCAGGAGATGGAGACCATCCTGGTTAACACAGTGAAACCCCGTCTGTACTAAAAATACAAAAAAATTAGCCGGGCGTGGTGGTTGGCGCCTGTAGTCCCAGCTACTCGGGAGGCTGAGGCAGGAGAATGGGTTGAACCCGGGAGGCGGAGCTTGCAGTGAGCCAAGATTGTGCCACTGCACTCCAGCCTGGGAGACAGAGTGAGACCCCGTCTCAAAAAAAAAAAAAAAAAGAAAGAAAAGAGCTGTCTTCCAGTGGTGTGCTGAAACTACCTCATAATAGGTCACCAAGGAAAATTTTTAAATTTTAAGGAATTTTGTGAGCCAATTGTTAGTTGTATTCATTATTAAAAATTAAATTATAGGCCGGGCTAGGTGGCTCATGCCTGTAATGCCAACACTTTGGGAGGCCAAGGCGGTCAGATTGCTTGAGGCCAGGAGTTTAAGACCCGCCTGGCCAACATGGAAAAATCTGGTGTTTACTAAAATTACAAAAATTAGCTGGACTTTGTGGCACATGCCTGTAATCGCAGCTACTTGGGAGGCTGAGGCAGGAGTATTGCCTGAACCCAGGAAGTGGAGGTTGCAGTGAGCCAAGATAGCGCCACATCACTCTAGCCTGAACAACAGAGAGATACTATATATATGATTAAATAAATATTATTAATAAGAAATGTAATAAGTACTCAAAAGTTATTACTTCCAAATGATTTTGCTGCATTTTACTGTTATCTATGATCTTGACATACTTTACATCTATTGTATTGTATGGTGGGAATATCATGTAAAGGTGTGCTACTGTTCGCCTCTTTCCAACTCCACATTCAGTAATATGTTGGTAGGTTGGATTAGAAAATGATAGAATTATTTACACAATGGAAATCAACAAAGTTTTTTCTTAGAGAGCTAGTTTTTAAACATTTATCAAAACAGTGCATATTGATTTATAAGAATAAGATAAACAACAGTATATACAAATAAACTTTTATACATAAATGGTAAGAAAAAATACCTATGCTCTATTACATTGCCGTTATAAATTCTGATTTGTTTGACACCTCAATTAAGTTGGGGATTCTTTTATCACAGATCTATATAGTAATCTAGTTCATTTGTTTTATCCAACTTGGAACATTCCTAAACAATATATTACATACAGAAAAAAAGAATCTGTTATTTTATTAGTTGTTTAGAAAAAATAATTGCATAATTCCAAGTAGTAAATCATTTCTACATATATTTACTTCAAAAAATCTGTGTCCATATCTAACATTTAAACTAAAGGTGGAGTAAAATTAATTGGCAGATGAAAAATAATGTATTCACAAAATAAATAGTTATTTATTTGGTTGATCCTCAGTAAATAATCTACCTTTCTGTAAAGTAGAAGTTACTAGTTACCCATTTACCAGTTATTAAAATGAAAAAGTGGTTGAATTTGGAACTTCACTATTAGAAACCCAATCTTAAATAATCTGTTTTTTTTACATTCACTCAAAAACATTCAGTATATGAAAATAGTACAAAACAATAAAAAGTCAGAAGTATTTGGTAGAGAGGAAAACACTACTATTGAGAGATGATTTCATAGAATAAGAGGTATTTAAGCCGTACTTCTGTAGCAAGAGCAGAATAGAAGGAAAAGGAGTAACCATATCACCCAGCACCCATAAACATATTTGCTACTATTGCCAAGTGAATAGTTCGTTTCTAACTATTCATAAACTCAGAGCTGCTACTATTGTTACAATAGAAATTCTTTGTACCCTGAAAATCCCCTGTTTTTGGTGGAGGCCTTGGGAAGCAGCTCTGGTTGAATGGAGTCAATAACTTGCATGTTAAATTGTCAGAACTTTGCATGACTAAAATAAATGCAGAAGTGGAATTTATTAAAAAAAAAAAACTAGGCTGGATAGTAAAGAGATATCCATTGTGGGTAGTCTTAAATATAAGTTTAAGATAATATGGAGTATTTACACTTCACTTCCCCACTCCTTCAACATGCTTCCTAAGAGTCTCTTCCTTGCCCATTCCCCGCCCCGATACAACTCCCTTGCACTCAATTCCTTTGTCTTAAGGTCAGCTTTTGGAGGAATACAAAATAATATAGAGTGATTGTAAATGTTCAAGATTGAGAATGGTATGACAAAAATAAGTAATGCAGGTATGACTGACTACATCTCAGGTAAGTGTTTTCATGTTATGTAAATACAAATTTTGGATTGACACAAAAGACAACTATGTCAAGTATGCAAATATAGGATTGTGAAAACAACTCAGTTTAGTGAAATTTTTATGGTATCTGCCATATGCACTGCAGACAGCGGGATGGTCCCTTAGTATCAAAATTGATCAAATTGCCCACACCCATAAAGTACCGAGGCACCTTGCACAAAATTCTCAATAGAGGCTAGTAAACTGTTACAGCAAAATAGGAAGTTAGATTCTCGAATGGTGATCAAATAATTTTATTACTAGAATCTTAGATGGTAGGCTGAATGTTTACCAAATCCTGACTGGGCTACTGAATGAATTAACATTTTCCATATGATTTATTTGGAAGCTGATCCTAGCAAATTCAAGCTCATTCCTCAGAACCAAAAGGAGAGATATTTTCCACTGAGGATGGACAATGATTCATGTAACTATATTTGCCATTATTATGAACACACCAAGCAATTATCAAATGTAGTTTCATTTGACAATGTCACTGATACCATTTCCCTGCTGCCTGTCCAAAAGACTGCCCTGTTCTTGGTTCAAAGCTCAAGGTTCTTTAGGGTTTTTCTTATAAGACCAAAACTCTTGAAAGCCTTTGGAACTCAACTCAATTATCTACTGATGGATCTTATAGACTGACCCTCCTACCCCCACAGTCATACCTGCCTCCTGCCAACACAAGCTTAAAATGCATCTTTAAGGACTGATAAGCATCCCAGCCCTACTTCAGTCTGAAGTTACACATATTGGAAGTTCATTAAAACACAAGAGACTTTAGAATGACTTCTCACTGTAGCTGTTTTGATCAGAGCAGGTGGAGGTGACTAGGATAGAAGGGAATGCAAGAAAGCAGACATAGAATGCCACATTACTCAGATCTTGCGCTCTGCTTGTGAAATTATCCAATATCAAATTTCCCAGAAGCTAAAGTCACATAACGTAGCCTCTAGAGCAAGTTAATTTTTTAATTTTAATTATTTTCTATTCTGATGTAAAATCACCATCAGGCACATTTTAAAGTAAATATATATGAAAGGAATACTGCAAAAGCTAAATAGCCCACATATGATAGAAGTAAATCTGTTTCATTTCCATAAAAAAGCATTATCTTTTTAATTAGTTGTGAAGAAAAGTAGGCATCGCAAGGCAGTTACTGTCTCTGTGGGAGTGGCTTGGGTACCTTAGTGGGAGTGCCAAAGCTATGCTATACAGTAGACAACCCCACCACACAATGCCCAGCCTCCCACATGTGGCAAAATGTGGTCCATTATGTACAGTTTAATTTCTGGAAATGATGCCAGGAATATTATGTTGGAATGGAATAAAAAACAATATAATTTTATGTCAAATCTCTAATCAAAACAATAATGCAATTCAATGAGATTCACTGCAGATCATTTCTTAAAGCAAATATCAGAAATTATAGTAAGTTTCAAGTAGAAATAAGCAGAAAGATGCATATATGTCCTTTTATAAAAGCTAATTTTATCTTGTTGCTCTAGCACTGCATGAAAGCAACTGCTGTTACCTTTGATTTGGAGAGTAAATGAAAGCTAAAATATCTGCTATGTGGCCAGCTTTAATACATAAATTTCCAGCCTTTCTGCTTTATTTCTTTTGTCCTTACAGACTATTTTTGTCAGTTTTTAAAAATTTAAGTACTTATTAAAAAGAATGCATCCTCCTATCCTTGGACACCTTAGATAGCAGCTGATTTCTATGGGTTTAGCACATTGAATAAATATTGTACAACAGTGACAGCATCAAAAATGAAGCTGGAGAAAGACACAATTTTGCTAAGAGCCAGCTGTCTCACTAGATTACCTATAAGCTATTATTTAGCCTATTAGATAAATAATAGATACTTTCAGAAAGGAGTTCTGACTGAAGATATCATGTATTTCTTCTAGCATTTTAATTTAATTGATGCTATTTTCACAGAAAATTAGACTATCAACATACTTGTAGGCCTTGGAAGCCATATAGCCTACCTACCTCACCATTCCTTGAAGAAATTGAATCCCACAGAGGTTGGCTTGTCAAAAGTCAGGCAGGTATTTGTTGGCAACACTACAGCTAGAATTCTGGTGGCCTAAGTCCTACTCTAAGACTTTCCACTCTTTCTCAAACCAAAGACATCATGTCTTTGGGAGAGGATATCATATTTTTATATTAAAACAAACATAGAACAAGGATAGAGTAAGCTTTTTCATTATATAGTTTGCAATGAGTTCTTCCTGATATGGGCTATCCTTAACCCGCCAGTGATTACATTATTACCATCGGATAAGGGAGATTTTAGCAAAATCTTTGAGAAATATTGCTTTATAGAATTGTGACCTCTTGCCAGTCTTATTTTTTCATTTCCACCTACATCAGGTGACTCATTAGGTCTCAGTTTTTACAAACAAAAAATATACATTTTCTTAATAAGCATTACCTTGTCTCAGGATTAATGCTTCTATACAATATTCATAAATAAAACAACATAGCCCAATTACTTGTGGTCTGGGGAATGTTAATTTATCCTTTTCACCCAAAGTCATTCTCTAGATTAGTTAAATAGCATCATTGAAAAATAACCATGTAGAAACAAACACGAAAGCTTTACAGCCTATAGGCAATGAATGCAATTAAGTGACCAAACACTCTCATATGCTGGGGGGCTCTAAATTGGTATGACATTTTCCACAGAGAAATTTTATCCTTTATATTTAAAAATCCTAAAAGTGAACATATACGTGACTCAATAATTCACTTTCTCAGAAGTTATCTGAAGAAATGTCCACAAATATATACAAAAGTTAACCTACAAGACGGAGAATGCTTGCTTCCTAGAGCACCCAGCTTCTCATTCAGCTGGATGTTTGCATACTGTCTTCTCTGTGTTTAAAGCATAACTCCTCTCTTTTCTTGGTTATCATTAAGTTCTCTTATCTGTACTAGTCAGTGTAAGCAAGGTTATGCTGTGGAAACAAGCAATTCTTAATCCTCAGTGGTTTTATATAAATAAAATTGTGTTGTCCTCTTTCATAGCATCATGCATGGGGATTGCAGTCCTCAGAGATTCAGATTAACAGAGGTTTCACCGTCTTGCAGTAACATCTTCTGGAACATGTTACCTCCACAGTCACCACTGCAGGCAAAGAGAAATGAGAGCATTGTGCATTGGCTTTTTATGCCCTCAGCACAAAAATAATCCAGATCATATCCAATCTCATTTCTTTGGCCTGAGTTAGTAATGTGTATCCACCAAACTGCTCAGAAATAGGAAGGGGAGATGCAGAATATGAAATGATTGGCAAGAACTACTCCCTATCTTTGTCACAGGTTCTTAGAATAAATGACTACAGAAAGGTTTTTTTCTTTTTTCTGGTACATCTTAAATTGGGATATGAGTAGCTGCTATGCCTTCTTAAAACACCCTATACTTTCTGTTATGGTACTTATGATAAAATGTTTCCTTAAGCTTTCATTGTCTCTAACTCTCATATCATCATTCATGAAAGGAAGGATGTTGTCATTTAATACATTTTTAGTATCCTATATGAGGCTCAAGGATAGATACATAGTAAACATTCAGTATATAGTTCAATGACTAAATAAATTTTAAATAAATAAATCATTGTTAATTTTCTTAACAGTAAAATTTGCCTAAATGAATAGCAATGTAGTATTGGTTAAATAAAGTCTGGCAAAGACAAATGATAGAATACTACACATGCATTAAAATAATGCTGCTGAAAAATATTTAATAACATAGAAACTATTTTTATTATATCAAGATAAAAATCAGTTTACCAAGTAGGAAATTCCATTTTTTTGGCAAATAAAATATGTGGCTAGAAAGATAAGCATTAAATGTTAATAATAATTATTTCTGGGTTATTGTTTTACTTTATTCTTGGCATTCTTCTGTACTTCAAATCTTTTAAGAATAACAGATAGCTCAATAAAACTTAATACTTTCTGTAAAATAACAAGTCCTATTAAATAACTAATCTATGATACTTAGTAATAGAGAAAATGGCATCTGCCTAGATCTACCAAATTTGGCTTATTTGTATAATCTCAGAAAACAGCAATGATGTTTAACAATTTTAGATCTTAGAAAGTGATTTTATACTCTGGTTCATAGATTTCAGTTTGTAAACATGAGCTGAAAGCCAGTGGTTTGGGAAAAACATCTGACATCAGTACCTGAGCAAGAGGTGATGGTTATGCACCCATCCTGAACTCACACAAATATCTGATAAGTCACTTAATCACTCTGAGCATCCACTTCCTCCCTGTGAACAATTGCTGACTTGTTTGTTTTGTGATTAGATGAAGCAATGCCTTGGTAAAGTCCCTTGCACAATGCTAACCATTCAATGACAGCTAGTTCTCACTATTATCGAGCTATCATTATTTAAACTGAAAAAAGTTAAACCATTAGAAACTGAAAATTAATAAGTATGTTAAAAGACAAACTTGTAGCAGAGGAAGTACTTGGAAGTATAATGAGAAAGTAAAGATGAAGTCCTTAACAATACTTATGCTTGCATATGTATACACACTGATATACCAAAAACAGACAATAAATTGGAAATTGGCATGTGACACAGAGATAATTGCTAATCTCTTAATTATTACCAAAACTTAATGCAGTGAGGTTCATGTTATTTAAAAAGTAGGTGGAGAATATTGGAATCAGAGATTTCTGGAAACAAATTCAATCAATACCATTTATTCGCAGCTTATTTTCTGGAAAATCAAAGTATGTCTCTGATACTCAGTAAAAATGGAAATAAAAATTTTATAAAGGTTAAAGACAAAAAATGGAAACTGATATAAAGAAAGGAGTTAGTAATATTACTTATAACTTTTCCTTCTTTTGAAAGAAATGGAGCTATTAATACTAGCAAGGAAGAAAAAGCAAAATTGTAAAATTAAACCAGCTTGGAAGTCTCAAAGCAGGCAATTTGAGGTGAAATAAGGATGAAGACAAAATTAGAGGGAAAAATAATTGATAATATTGTGAGAATAGTTCACAGATTTGGAAGCTAAATAGAACACATAATGAATGTGTTTCTATAGAACATAAAACTGACCCCAATGCAAGATGCAGTTGTGCTTGGGAATTTCAAGTCCCGAGCCATCTGCTGGGAGCTTAATATTGTTTAATGCCAAGAATCTGATAAATAGTTAATGAATTTAATACTTGACCTGATACAAATAGCCTTCCACAGTGTTGGAATGGTTGAAATATAAGTGTGGATTTGTCAAGGGAGCTACTTAAATCAGCCTCTTCCAAACAAGGTACCAGTGTCATTTAAATGGAAAAGATGTCAATATGAATATCATTTCTCTTAATTTTCTCTTTGTTGGTGGACTTCTTAGAGAAAGGTGCATGTTAAATACACATAAATTGTGTATGTATAAAATGTAAATATAAATTTAATCACATTTTTATAAATAATTTTCTAATAAAGGTAGCAATGGGGAAAATATATTGGAATTATCCCTAAAATAGTCTGTCAGAAAACAAATATATAAATGACCATTTGTTCATTTATTTCATAAGAATATATTGATAATCTAGTGCAAATAATACAAAAATATCTTGTTTTCCTTTTAAAACGACCTTAAATAGATATTTTTAAGTCTGCCATAAAAATTGGCATTAATATACTTTGCTTTACTAAAAGCTAACCTTTTAGAAGATAGAGAGTACTTTTAAATAATACATCAAACTGAACAGATCAAGGAAAATTTTTATGTATCCTCAAATTTTCATCATGCTTGGGCATTGATTTTATAAGTAGGAAATATGTACAGGGTCAGAAATGGGTTCAACCAGAAAACCTCCTTCTGATTGACAGATACGGATTTTTATTTGATTATATTAGACCTGCTCTGTGAAATCTGTACTCAAAGTGATATCCAAGATATATGAAAACACCAGGATATGTGAGTCAGTCCAGGGATCTATTTGTGACTAGATTACTGGCCTCAGTTTTGTTTGTTTGTTTTTTATTAATTGTAAATTGAGATGGCAACTTCAAACTACTTACCAAAGACAACTTTGTATATTGACACCAAACATTTTATCTTCCTTCAGAAATTGCTGTCAACTTCAGTTCACAAAGGAAGGTCGGGAAGAAAGGAAGGAAAAGGAAAGCACACCTTGCACCTGAATCTCCCCTGAGAAAGTAATTGAAGCTTGCGTGTGCCTGTGTGTGTACACATGTGGGATGGAGGTGGAGAAAGGCTGACAGAACAATGGCTCTCAAGGTTCTCAAAAGTTTGTGTTCTCAGAATCTTTTTATTGTAAATATTTTGAGATCCTTCTACAAAGAGATTTTGTTTAAATGGGTTATATTTATGAATATTGATTATATTTGATATTTAAAGTCAAAATTTTTTATTTAAAATTGCAGTAATAAATCCATTATTAATGAATATTAATTACATATTTTATCAAACATAATTATATTTTCCAAAAAAGGGGGAACTTTGAAAATATCTTTAGACTGCAACAGTAGAAAATAGCTAGATTATCACACCAGCTTCTGCATTCAATATAGTGCTACATTTGTTTTGGTTTAAATATATTAAGAAATTCTGTTTCAAAAGACAAAATTAAAAAAGGGAGGGCTGTTTTAATAGCCTTTACAGGTAATTGTGGATATTATGTTTTGATAGTATATGAAAAGTTGATAAGCAGTAACTTCATAAAGTTACTTGCAATGTAGAATCTGCATTGATGACATATTCTGTTATATTAAGATCTATTGATCTGTCTTGAATTTGGATGAATTTTTTACCCATTTGTGATTTTGTAGCATATCCATTCTTTATTTGGAATATACTCCTTCAGTGAAATATGCAGACCTTTCAAATATTTACACATTTGATTACACAATATTGTTTTAAAAATCATTTGTTAATATTACCACTAATGACTAGAAAAGTCAGTGTGGGGAAACTGTTAAGTGCACAATGGCAGGGACAAATTTTCCAAAATTCCAATTTTCATTGAAGACTCAAATTTTGCCACAACAAATATAGTCAGTTTTATTTGAAGTGACAGACTCAACTCATTCATTATAAAAACTAGCCTGGTAAATATTGGCCGGGCACCGTGGCTCACGCCTGCAATCCCAGCACTTTGGGAAGCCAAAGCGGGTGGATCACGAGGTCAAGAGATCGAGACCATCCTGGCTAGCATGGTGAAACCCCGTCTCTACTAAAAATACAAAAAAATTAGCCGGGCGTGGTTGCGGACGCCTGTTGTCCCAGCTACTCGGGAGGCTGAGGCAGGAGAATGGCGTGAACCCGGGAGGCGGAGCTTGCAGTGAGTTGAGATCCTGCCACTGCACTCCAGCCTGGGAGACAGAATGAGACTCCGTCTCAAAAAAAAAAAAAACAAGCCTGGTAAATATTTAAGTCTGATAAGTATTAATATAGTTTGTCAGACTTTCTTTCAAGTAAAAGTTATATTTTACAGGGAAAAAAAGCAACAACTAAGCACCTAGCTTATTGAGTTACCAACTCAAGCAATCACACATGCTTTTCTTTGAAACTTCTATCTTATTTCCTCACGCAGTAGAAAAGCTTTATGCATGATTCCCATTTTGTCACACAGAATATCAAAAAGACATGTACTAAAGGATTGAGGTTTAATGAAATTAAAAATTGCATCTACTTCAACAAGGACAAGGACATAGTTAATAGAAACTTGTTTAAAAAATAGAATGTGTATGACTAAAGAATATGACGGCAACTAGTACATTGTGTTGCTACTGTCTTGACTTAGGCCAGGATGCCAGCAGTTTTATGCACCATTGCCTTTTACACTATTGTACAAATGTCACAAATGTCAATACAGTGAAGAGGGTAAATCATGTTTTACTACTATTACGAAAATACTTTTTACTTCATGGACTCTCTGAAAAGGTTTTGGGGATTTCTAGGGTTCCACACAGTGCCCTTTGAGAATCATCCTTTAAAGCTCTGGTTCTTCACAAGGCTGCCTATGAGCATGACCTGGGAAAAATTTAAAAATAACAGCTTTCTGGGCCCACTCCTAAATTAATAAAATCAGTCTCTGGTGTGGGGCCCTGACATAGGTATTTCTTTTTTAATTTTTGTGGGTACATAGTTGGTGGACATATTTATGGGGCACATGAGATATTTTGATACAAGCATGCAATGCATAGTAATCATATCATGAAAAATGGAGTATTATCCTCTCAAGCATGTATCCTTTGTGTTACAAACAATCCAGTTATACTCCTTTAATTCCATTTAAATGCACAATTAAATTATTTTGACTATAGTTACCCTGTTGTGCTATCAAATACTAGGTATTATTCATTCTTTCAAACTATATTTTTGTACCTACCCATTAAACATCCCCACCTCTGCCTCATCCTACACAATCCTTCCCAGCCTCCGGTAACCCTCCTTCTACTCTCTATATCCATGAGTTCAATTGTTTTGATTTTTAGACCCCACAAATAAGCGAGAACACATGATGTTTGCCTTTCTGTTTCTGGTTTATTTCTCTTAACATAATCCATCATGTTGTTGCGAATGATGGAATCTCATTCCTTTTAATGGCTGAATAGTAATCTATAGTGTATATGTATTACATCTACTATACCCCTTCATCTGTTGATGGACACTTAGGTATGTTTTAAATTATGCAATTTTAATGTGTAGCCACCATGAAAACAACTAATTTAGGGACCAGCAAAAGAGGGGTTGGTAAGGGGAATAATTTGTGATAACTAAACTACAGTATAGTAGACCCTCTCCTATCATGGGCAGGCTCTTGGAAACAGCAACTTTAAGCAAATCGATATAAAATAAAACCAATTTTACCACAGGCTAATTGATATAGACAAGACTTAAGTTCCTACAGTACATTTCTGGTTACAAAAACATCACCAAACTTCTAAGTAAATGTGAGATATCCATAGATTTAAGAAAGATTCATAAAAAACAAGTAAGACAAGGATACCAAAATCCAGTGATGCTCGTTGCTTATATATTAAATTGCCTAGTATTTGCATATAATATGTGCACATCCTATGGCATACTAACACAATGGAATTGCTATGTAAATAGTTGTTATACTGTGTTGTTTTTTATTTGTGTTTTTTTTATTGTTGTACTCTTATTTTTAATATTTTCTGAATATATTTGATCCTTGGTTGGTTGAACAATCAGATGTGTAACCCAGGCATATGGAAGGCCAATTGTAAGTGTAAACAGTTATATGAGCCACTCAGGGTCCACCTAAGATAACTATTATTGCTGTTTCAATGTTTTCTATTTACAAAAGTATGTACATTTTTAAATGTCATACAGAATATCTTACATCATTTCACTTCTTTAGTCATTGGTATCATCCTCTGTGAAACAAGATATTAAACTAGACAAATCTAAAAGTCATCCAATAGCCTGTGAGAGCATCACTTAGGCTTATTCAGTGAAGTGAAGTCAATGCTTGAATGACATGTTGGGAGAGCCAGAAAACCATTTCTGTCTCCTGCTTGCATTCAAGCAGTATCTGCTGAATATCCACTTACTGTACTGTCAGAGGTCTGTTTATTTGACTTAGGACTTAAAGTAGATTTTAGCTCTTAAAAATAAGTTTTATTTTTTCAGTAATGCTAAGAGATTTACCCTCAATAATAACCAAAGGGAAGCTTCCTCAGTGAAAGCTAAACTAATCTGAAAGAATGGAGTCATATAAAATCTGATGGCTCACCCATCCCCAGTTATTCAGGGCCTTCTTTGTATCAGGCACTCTATTTAATGCTGAACACCTGAATCACATTTATTTAACAACATATTCTCTCTCTCTCTCTCTCTTTCTGTCTTTCTTTCTTTCCCACCCTCCCTCCTATGTGCTTTGTGGCTTAGAGAATTTGTATTTGGATTCCTCGGGGCTTTCTTTGTTGGGACGTACAATTCTTAAAAAGCAACTGTGCTAGAATTTACTAATCATTTAAAGCTCATTCAATTTTGGCATATACTAACCTAATGAGATGGTATTTAGCATAATATATTATGCAAATTTTCTGTCACTTCAGTACCCCAGTAATATAGATAATGTGCAGTAAAATTAAATCACTTTTTGTTTACTCTTACCAAAAATATTGCATTTTAGATAAAAGTTATTAATATCTTATAGTCACAGCCCTTAAATGTATTTTCAATTATTTAATAACATTTCTTCTCTCTTAACTGTAGTGGCATTTTTAAAATTCATCAAAGTTTTAAAAATTTATAACATCTATCAAAGTATCTCTACTTCGTGTCTTAACTAAATTAAAAATTTCTTGAATGAAGGGACTAGGCCACACATTTGTTTTCTAAGAGCAAACTGGGTCTGTTCTGCTACTTAATTATGTTTCTATAGTACAAACTAGCTCATAAACAATTAGCAAATAGAGGAATCATGTAGTATAATGTGAAAATTATAATGATTACTATGGATTTTTTCCTGGGTAAGTGAAAATAAGATGACAAATAGTGGAATTCAACTTTGAACAGAACAGGATAGGGCCCTCTAAATGACATTTTAATAAAATTTCAAATGACTCTGTACTCAGGGTTGTCTCCCAAAATAGTCACACCGGACCCCCAGTGTGACTCTGGGCTTAAGCAAGGTTGAATTTCCTCCTGTGCTCACCTGAACAAAAGACCCAGTAGTTCAACTCTGTTTTCATTTGCATTTTCTCAGTGTCCCCAAGCCAGTATTTCCACTCTACTAATAGATTTAATGTCCCAAAAGGCAGTCCGTAGCTGCTGTGAGTCTCTTGCCTTTAGTGTCCAAATTATTTCCCAAAAAACAATTATTATTATTTTTCAGTAGTGCTTTGTTCAGTAGTGCTTCAAAACCTTGCATACGTTTTGAAGTCTGCGTCTCCCTTTGTTTTCTAATATACACTATTATTTTAGTGGAAGATTCAAAAAATGCATTGTTTTTATCCCCAACAGGTGTTGTGGTGAGGAAAGTAATTGGTGAATATAGGCTAATAAGCATTTAATTTTTTCTATGGAATTAACAGTTAAACTTTTAAAAGTTTTTCCTTAAATATTATAGTTATCATGATACAGCATTCCTTAATTTGGAAGTCTTATTACAATATTGTATGTGTTGTAATTTACTTTTTAAAAGCATTATACATTTTTGGTTAAAATATAATGTTTGATCAATTATATTATCTGTGGCATTAATTATTCTCCATTTTTAAATATTGAGAGACCACACTGAACACTGAGCAAAAAAGTTATTCTATACTCAACACAGAATCAATGTTTTTACACATAGTATCATTTATTAAATTAAAATCTAGTTAAAATTTTAACTGGTAAGATGCCCATTATTTTTCATTACTTTTGTTATTAAGAAAATGTGTCTAAATTATTTTTTCTTACAAAAATACCTATTCCATTAGTGCAAACATATTTATGCAAAAAGAAATTTTCTAAGTCTTTATTCTAGATAAAACTATTCTAATAGACATTCATGATTGTCCTCAAGGTTATATTTTTCTTCTTGCCAAGAGAAGTAGAAAAAAGCAACAGATTGTAAATGTTTGGCCTCTTTCCCTTCTCCAGAAGAGGAGAAAGGGGGAGGGAAGTGGAGAGATCCATGATGCTTTGGAATGGAAAAAAACACGAAGTCTGTGTGTAATGAAAGCATTTATTATGCCCTTGTGAGAGAAAAATGGATTTTTGATGCAGCCACTAACACTGAAGTTATGAAAAGGCTACTTGTAGAAGTTGATTGAACATATTACATCCACTGTTAAATTACCCATGAAAGAAGTAAGAAAATGTTTGCATCCATTTGCCAAAGCTTCCTTGCATACTACTGCAGATAGATCTTGGCAAAGACAGTGAATTAGATCAATCATGCTTTCCAGAAAAAAAAAAAACAGTAAAGCAATATCTCATGTCTAAGAAATGAAATGTAGGGTAATTTGGAGTAGCTGAGACAGTCCTGTATAGCTGGGAAGGCTCCAGACACCTTTCTGATGGACAGATCACAAGCCCCGAGTAAAAAGCACAGGACCCAGGCTGATGTCTGTGTAAAACAATTTTATGTACCTCAGTAATCCCGAGATACAGATTTGCAAATATCCTAACATATCTGAGATCATAGCGTGTCTTTTGATGGCCTCTCACAATTGCTGTTTTAGAATTGTTACATAGTTGTCATTACTGTTTGTGTGCAAACTTGGCTATATTTTCATTATTTCAGTTTAGTTTCATTCATTGAGTTTAATTGCCATTTACAATGATTTCCCGGTTGATGACTAAAAACTTTATTTTTATGCCATCTGTAATGATTAAGAAAGTGCTGACATTAAAATTTTTATTAAGAGTGCCAGCAGCTGAGAAGTTTGAAAGCCCAAAGTTGAGCATTCTTTCATAAAATGCAGTATTAAAATGCTTTTGATAACACATAGAACAAAAATGTACAGAAAAATTATGGGCAGTAAGAAAGCATTTTGTCATAGTTTAACTGATAACATTTTTTTCTTTCCCAGCAAGTACAATAAGAGTGTATCTTAGTAATGACAACATAAGATTCAATGAAATCTAGTATTTTTGGGGAGAAGGATTCAGCAGCAATGGGTATTTAACAACAGTTAATGATCCCCTCACTACAAAGCTCTAACCGAAAACCAGATGAATAAGCTGTTTCATCTTTAAATTCTAAATAATATTTTATATTTTTATCACACTAGTTTTCCTGTGAAATGGAAACCTGCACTTCTAGGTTTTTGATTCCTTAAAAATTACTCACATCACTAATTGCGAAAATGTATAATAGAAGAATAAGAAAGGGCTTTGGTTAGTTTCTTTATTTTCAAAAGCAAAGCCTTCTCCATACTTTACTAGATGGCTTACAAAATAAAGCAGATGCCATATAATTTGCTAATGACAAGAAAAGATACATCAGAGAGAAATAACATCTAAGACAGAGAATATCAGAAAGAGAAAAACACCTTTAATTACCTCCTGCCTTCATCCAACAATGATTTATTTATTACCTATTTGGCAAGCAAAGCTACAATATTATCTAATGCATAGGAACATTCTTTTCCAAGGTACATATCCACTGCATATTCATAGTAATAAAGCCTCAACTTGCAGATTAGGAGATAATTATATATTCCTCTGACACTACGAGGGAGTAGCAAAACTAAGAGCCGAAATGTCTTCACACCTCATTTGAAATTTCTAAATGGTTTCATTTATATATGGAATCAGACCCTCAAATTTTTTATCATCTGGGCCTATGCAACTGACATGAAAGAAATGGGAGTCCTGTGGCTTTTCCCAGGACTTTTCTATCAATAACAAGAATGAGAAGATTCTTTTGGCATCACATTACTCTTAAATTTTTAACTGAGAAATCATTTCAGAGTTTAAATGCCCAAATCATCTCTAGTTGGCAACTTTAAAGATGGCCCCTGGAGAGCTTTCTGAGAAGCAGCTCAGCAGTGGATTTATATGTGGTTTCCTAAGTTGAACCAGGAAGGAAAGCACCACTAGGTAATATCACATATTGATAACAAACTTTAATGAACATAAAATTATCTCTGTGCGTGGAATCAATATATAAATAGAATAAATGTCCCTATGGACATCAATAATTTGGAGATTGGGACACTGAAACATCTCTCTCTCTGTTGTACATGGAAATGGGGTGACTCCTGCCCAAAAAGATGAATGGTGCTGCACACTCACCAAGAGGGTTTGAAAAAGTTTGCGACTCATCTAATAAGCTATGTGGAGAGACGAAGCTCTTGGGCAGGTAGGAAAATGTCTTCAGAGAGCAAGGAAAGGAGACTGGCAGGGAGTTTTTTATGGTGGTTATGGGGTGGGGCTGGGCTAAAAGTTCCCATGTGTGATTTGGACTTCGAGCCTCTGGACCTCATTGTCAGCCTGCCCACATGTGGGGCAGAAGGGAAAGAGGGAGGAATGAGGCTTAAAAGATGTTACCAGTCAAGCCCCAAAACATGGACTCAAACTATATTAGCCTTTTTCTGCCCTTTACCTCTTAAATTCTGAGTTCAGCCTCTTCAACTTGACTAGTAGTACTTGGCTCTGCTTGTAGGCTACTGTTCATTACTTCTTTCCATGGATCGACGATTTTAACATGTCCTTGCTACTAGTCAGAGTCCAGTCAGAAAAACAAAGGCCACAGCAGCTAGCTCAAAAGAGAAATTTTTCTTTTCTTTTTTTTCTTTTTTTCTTCTTTTTTTTTTTGAGACGGAGTCTCACTCTGTAGCCCAGGCTGGAGTGCAGTGTTGCCATCTCGGCTCACTGCAACCTCCACTCCCTGGGTTCAAGCGAGTCTCCTGCCTCTGCCTCCTGAGTAGTTGAGATTACAGGCATGCACCCCCATGCCTGGCTAATTTTTGTATTTTTAGTAGAGATAGGGGTTTCACCATGTTGGCCAAGTTGGTCTTGAACTCCTGACCTCAAGTGATCCTCCCACCTAGCCTCTCGAAGTGCTGGGATTACAGGCATGAGCCACCATGCCCAGCCAAAAAAAGGGAATTTAATATAAGTAACTAGTCACACTGATACTGGAGTCACTGAGAAGCCAGTCTGCCGTTGGTGAAGGAACCCAGAGACTAGGAACAACAGGCAGCTGGAACCATGGCAGAGGCTACCCTGAGGGAGCAGGAGCTACAGAACTGATATTTCCTATCATGGAGCTAGAACCAAGCGGAGACACAGACACAACCAGAAATGTCAACATAGGCAAAGAACAAACATGGATTTGCTGGGAAGCCATTGAAACTTAAGCTTCTGGGCCCTCACAAGAATCCTTAGAAGTGTGTTTACATGACTCTGAGATTTGAAATGGTTAAGTTTGAGGAATTCAGTAGGACTTACTAACTGCAGTTGGTTAAGACCATAGTCTACTTTTATTTCCGTTTTCCTGTTATCAGACTTTTCTCATGTCAGATGCCATGGAAGAAGCTGCCAGGATTTAGATCCAACTAAGGAAAAGTCGAGTTGGAGATACAATTAATGGAGTTTCAGTAAACTATAGTCTGTGGCTTGTAGTGACTTTCATGTATAGTTAAGTTATTGCCAGCTACCCTGGTGTAAGATTGGCTTCTGGGTACTCCTCTACTACCCACTGAGCTGATTAATCTGTTGTCCTGATGGGAAAAGGATGTACTGCTATATGAAAGCATCATAGGGTGCCCTGCTCCAAGTATATGGGTTGTGGAAGAAAAATTGCATTTGCAGTATGTGGAACCAAAAATTTCTTCGTGAAAAATTCTTCTAATCATCAATCATATAAAATTCTAAGAAAATTAGGTTACCTATAAAAAACAGAAGTTTCCTTTTTTTCACGAATGTATTTGATTATGCATTGCATATATTCATACTTGTGTAATGCATTTTTAATAAAAATGTATGCAAAGTAGAAAAAATTAGAATTCCTTTGTTGTACAAAATCCATAGCAGGACTACAAATAATCAAAATGTCTGCTTGTAGAGTCACATGTCTGTGCATCTCAACTATAAATAATAAAAGAAGAAGTTCTGATCAGCCATGCTAGAGGAAAGGCTGAATAAATGTGTACTGTCTTTAGATGAAATGTTACAAAATCATTGTCATATGAACAAGTGATTTAAGGTATGTAGTTAATATTTATAGGAAAAGAAAAAATTATGGATGTATATCAGTAAGTTAATAAAATTTTTATGTCATTTTCCTTAGTATTTTTATGTTTGTGGTATTTGCTAGCTTTTTAAAATTATTAACTTGTAGTGATTTATTTCCTAATGCTAAATAAATATTCACTTTTCTATCTAATTTAATGTAAAATTGTACAAACTTTTCCTGAAAGAAAGCTCAAAAAGTTATATGAACTTCAGGTCTCAACAATCTTTTATGCATGTCTGTCGGAAGAAAAATCCCGGACTGCTGCCTTCCATTGGCTTCCAATCTCTCAACAATGCTTCATATTGACTGAATCTAGCTGTGAGTCTGTTGGCAGGGCAGCCTAGGAAAAGGAGATTGAAGGAGCCAGCCCCCTGAGATATAGAGCAGTGCTGGAGAAGGCCGGTGAGAAGTAGATTATCCACGAGCAAAAGGAAATGGCCAGCACAGCCTCTGATTTGCAAACTGTATTTAGGAAATCCCCTGTCTTGCTGCCTTCACTGGCACTGACTGTAGTAACTGGCCACTGGAATTTTTCATGTTCTCTCACAAATTTCTAAACCAATGCACAGTTTAATTTTTAGTCAGGTTCAGAGTAAGCTGACCTGTTTCATTACTGTTATTTATTTATTTATTTACTTACTTATTTTGCAGAGCCTAAATGCAGGTTTGAAAAAAAGAAGAGGAGGATGAAATCTCACTTTCACCTTCACATTTCACCATCTTGGTCACCAATGTGAATCTAGTCTGTGAAAAAAAGCCAAGTAGGCAAGGCTTTCCTGAGTTATGATGAGTCATTATTAATGACCCTTATTTAGTAAGTAAAAATCACATCTATCTGAGCTCAAAAAGTCCTAAATTTCCTAAAATGAGTCTAATGAACTTCAGATCCTCTTATGCACATTTATAATGTCTTATAGATAATAAAAAGAATCGTTTGAAGACAAAATTAAACATAAAATGTTGCTTTGTTTAATTTTATTGCTCTCAAATAGGTTTACAGATGGTCAGGGAACATATCAGTGACCCAGCTAAATTTCAGTGTAATGGTCAAACTAATGTCAGAAAAATAAGTGAAAAAATATGTTTACCATTAAAGAATCCACATATCTGTGTGTTTAACTTATCATTTTAAACACTGATGGTTATGAAAAATTTGTGGTAAGAGTTTGTTGTAAAGTAACATTGGTTTTATGAGATGAAATTGTAGAGTTCTCTGAAATATATAGCATTCCTTCATGAATGAATGTGATTAATATCATAAGTAAAATTCTAGTTTCCTTTGAATTATATTTAAAATTCTATAAATTTTAAATACAATTTATATAATTTTATATGACTACAATGACTATATCTATATTTATAATGTCCTCAATTCAGAGGTTTTAAATGTTGAGCACAAAGAATTAAAGATACCAATATTGTGAATCATGTTTTAATTTAAATATGGCTTTAAACATGAGTAAAAACACTATGCTATATAAAAGATTCATTCATCATGTGTTTAGAAACATGTTATTGCCTACAGTGTACTAGACTGCTGAGGACTTTATGGAGCTCATGCTACTATTATTTTTCTTATTTTACAATCAGTATAGTTAAAACTAATGAAACTCAACTGATTCTCCCCAGGTCACAGACCTACTAAATTATAGACTTGGACCTCAAAAAAAAGCAATATTTTTCTTATTCCCATATACTGACTCTTAGATAGGGTAAGCACTAAAAATTGTATGTTTATTGTATAAATATAAGTTGTTCCTCTTAGGGAGCATCATTAAAATTATAGTTTTTTAATCAGTAAAGGACAACAGACAAACTTGGCTACAATTTTTACATAGTCCTCAACCATCTTTCTCAGGGGCTATGTTCATGCATAAGGAATCTACCATTCCTATGGGATTTATAAGCTCCTGAGGATCCAGTTCTGTATTCATTTGTTAAGACCTGAAATGCTGCTTAAGCTTTTCTTTTTAACTTATTTTTTCCAAACGTGCTCCCTTAACCACTTGCATCAGAATTAGTCAGGGATCCTGGCAATTAAGAAAAGAAAAAAAATACTATACAGATTGGAAAGAAAGTTAAAGTATTTCTGTTTGCGATGATATAATCTAGTATTAGAAAACCCTAAGTGACTTATTAAAAATATTAGAACTAATAAATAAGCTTAGTAATGTTATAGGATACAAAATTAACATATAAAAATCAAGTGTATTTCTATAAACTAGCAATGACAACTTCAAAAAATATATTAGGAAAACAATTCAATTTACTATAGCATCAAAAAGAACAGAATGTATATGTATAAATTTAACCAAAAAATAGTAAAAGACTTGTACACTAAAAACTAAAGGTAGGAATTAAGGAAGATCTAAATAAATGGAAAAGCATTACATTTTTACCCATCATAAGATGTGATATTTTTAATATGGCAATATTTTCCATGTTGCTCTACAGAATCAAAGCATTTTTTTCCGAATCCCAGCTTCTTTGCAGAAACTGACAGGTTAATCTTAAAATTTCTATGGAATTACAAAGGATCCAGAATAGCAAAAAGCAATCTGGAAAAAACTTAACAAAATTGGAAGACACACACTTTTCAGCTTTAACACTTAATACAGAACTACAGTAATTGAGAGAGTGTGGTGCTGGCATAAGGATAGACATAGAGACTGACAGAAAAGAATGAGAGTTTCAACATAGATTCTGACATTAATGGTCTATTGACTTTGAACAATAGTGCCAAGGCTGTTCATTGGGGGAAAGAATAGTCTTTTGATGGGACAACTGGATATCTACATGAAGCGAGATAAAATTGGACTCATACTATACATTATATGCAAAAATTAACTCAAAATGAACTACAAAAATAAATGGAAAAGTTAAAATTATAAGAAAATGGAAGTAAACACTTACGATCTTAGTCAATGGTTTCTTGGATGTGACACAAAAAAAACACAAGCAACAAAAGAAAAAGCTAGATAAATTGGACTACATAAAAATTAAGAGTTTTGTGCTTCAAGAACTACCATTAAGTAAGTGTAAAGACAAACCACTAAATGATGGAAGAAAATATATGCAAATCATATAACTGATAAAGGACTTATATCCATAATACATAAACATTCTTACAAGTCAATAATAGAAAGACAAATAAATTAACTAAATCCAGGGCAAAAAGTTTGAATAGACGTTTTTTTTTCCAAAGAAGATATACAAGTCTTTAAAAGCACATGAAAATATGTTCAGCATCATTTGTTATCAGGGAAATGCAAATAAAATCACAGCCATTATGATGGCTAAATTTTTAAGAAATTGATAACAAGTGTTTATGATGACACAGAAAAATTGGAACTCTTATATTGCTGGCGGAAATGTAAAATGGTACAGCTGCTTTGGAAAAAGAGTCTGGGGGTTCTTCAAAAAGTTAGGTTTAGCACATGATCCAGGAATACCACTCTTAGGTTTACACCCAAAAGAAAATAAAACATATATCCACATAAAAACATTTATAACTGCTCATGGTAACGTTATTTACAATAGTCAACAAGTGGATACAACCCAAACGTCCATCAACTTATGAATAGATAAATTAAATATAGTATATTCATACAAAAGAATATTTTGTCAAATCAAAAGGAATGAAGTATCAATACACGCTGCATGATACAATATGGCTGAACCTTGAAAACATTATGCTAACTGAAAGAAGCCAGTCACAAAAGATTGCACAATTCCATTTATATGAAATGTCCAGTTTAGGCAAATCTAAGGAGACAAAATTAGTGGTTGTCAAGAGATGATGGAGAGGAAAATGTGTAGTGACTGCTAATGGGTACAGGTTTTCTTGAAGGAGTGATAAAATGTTATCAAATTGACTGTGGTGATGGTTGCACAACTCTGTGAAAATACTAAAAGCCAGTGAATTGTAAATTTTATATGGGTGAATTATATCTCAGTGAAGCTACTTTGTAAAATGCCTTAATTAAGAAAAAATTTAAAAAGTAACTCTGGGAGCTTTACTCCCAGATTACTTGACCCCACTACACACATCTGAAAACAGATTTCTCAGAATGCAGTTCAAACAGTCCGCAATGGTTATCACAATTTCACCAAGTATTTTTCAGGTATCCTGAAACCAGAGAATCCTAATTAAGACTTCAGTAGAATTATTGCCAGAGCAATGAATCTCCCTGTTGTTAACTATCAATCCACCCTCAGGATAATGATAACCCTCATGATGATTTGAGTTTTTTGATCTACAATGAGCTAAGAAACCATCAAAAGAAGGAAGCCAGCACTTGTGGATGAGGAGCACTAAGAGTAGAGGGGACATAGAGTTGGAGTCTGGAGGTCTCAAGAGACAGAGTTACTCACTCAAAACTATTCTCCTAGGTTAGCCAAATGGCTTCAGAAGCATTAGCGGGCAGCACCACAGCCAGAGCCCTGGACTTCACTGCTCTGTTGCTAGTCCAGCTTTTAGCAAAGATAAAAACAGTGAACAAGTAGATCACCAAGGATGTAAAAGATCCCAATTGTGGATGTTAAGATAATGACAAAAAAAAAACCTTTAGCTTTATTTTTTTTCATTATTATTATGTTTTTTTTGTTGTTGTTTTTTGTTTGTTGCTTGTTTGTTTTTTACTTTAAGTTCTGGGATACATGTGCTGAATGTGCAGGTTTGTTACATAGGTATACATGTGCCATGGTGGTTTGCTGCACCTATCAACCCATCCTCCAGGTTTTAAGCTCTGCATGCATTAGGTATTTTTCCTAATGCTCTCCCTCCCCTTTCTCCCTATCCCCCAACAGGACCCAGTGTGTGATGTTCCCTTCCCTGTGTCCATGTGTTCTCATTGTTCAGCTCCCACTTATGAGTGAAAACATGTAGTGTTTGGTTTTCTGTTCCTGTGTTAGTTTGCTGAGGGTGATGGTTTCCAGCTTCATCCATGTCCCTGCAAAGAACATGAACTCATTCTTTATTATGGCTGCATAGTATTCCATGGTATATATGTGCCACATTTTCTTTATCCAGTCTATCATTGATGGGCATTTGGGTTGGTTCCAAGTCTTTGCTATTGTAAATAGTGCTGCAATAAACATATGGATGTGTGCATGTGTCTTTATAGTAGAATGATTTATAATCCTTTGGGTATATTCCCATTGTTTCCAGATTTTTAATGATCACCATTCTAACTGGCATGAGATGGTATCTCATTGTGGTTTTGATTTGCATTTCTCTAATGACCAGTAATGATGAGCTTTTTTTCATATATTTCTTGGCCACATAAATGTGTTCTTCTGAGAAGTGTCTGTTCATATCCTTCCTCACTTTTTGATGGGGTTGTTTGTTTTAAATTTGTATAAGTTCCTTGTAGATTCTGGATATTAGACCTTTGTCAGATGGATAGATTGCAAAAATTTTCTCCCATTCTGTAGGTTGCCTTTTCACTATGATGATAGTTTCTTTTGCAGGCAGAAACTCTTTAGTTTAATTAGAACCTACTTGTCAATTTTGGCTTTTGTTGCAATTGTTGTTGGTGTTTTAGTCATGAAGTCTTTGCCCATGCCTATGTCCTAAATGTTATTGCCTAGGTTTTCTTCTAGGGTTTTTATAGTTTTAAGTTTTACATTTAAGTCTTTAATCCAACTTGAGTTAGTTTTTGTGTAAGGTGTAAGGAAAGGGTCCAGTTTCTGTTTTCTGCATATGGCTAGCCAGTTTTCCCAGCACCACATATTAAATAGGGAATCCTTTCCCCATTGCTTGTTTTTGTCAAAGATCAGATGATTGTAGATGTGTGGTCTTATTTCTGAGGCCTCTGTTCCATTCCATTGGTCTATATATCTGTTTTGGTACCAGTACCATGCTGTTTTGGTTACTGTAGCCTTGTAGTATAGTTTGAAGTCAGGTAGCGTGATGCCTTTAGATTTGTTCTTTTTGCTTAGGATTGTCTTGGCTATATGGGCTCTTTTTTGGTTTCATATAAAATTTAAATTAGAATTTTCTAGTTCTGTGAAGAAAGTCAATGGCAGCTTGATGGGAATAGCATTTAATCTATAAATTACTTTGGATAGTATGGCCATTTTCAAAATATTGATTCTTCCTATCCATGAGCATGGAATTTTTTTCCATTTGTTTGTGTCCTCTCTTACATCCTTGAGCAGTGGTTTGTAGTTCTCCTTGAAGAGGTCTTTTACATCCCTTGTAGGTTGTATTACTAGGCATTTTATTTTCTTTGTAGCAATTATGAATGGGAGTTCACTCACGATTTGATTCTCTGCTTTTCTATTATTGGTGTATAGGAATTATTGTGATTTTTTCACACTGATTTTGTATGCCGAGACTTTGCTAAAATTGTTTATCAGATTAAGGAATTTCTGGGTTGAGACAATGGGTTTTCTAAATGTACAATCATGTCATCTATAAACAGAGATAATTTGACTTCCTCTCTTCCTATCTGAATATGCTTTCTTTCTTTCTCTTGCCTGATTGCTCTGGCCAGAACTTCCAATACTATGTTGAATAGGAGTGGTGACAGAGGGCATTCTTGTCTTGTGCCGGTTTACAAAGGGAATTCCTGCAGCTTTTGCCCATTCAGTATGATATTGGCTATGAGTCTGTCATAAACAGCTCTTATCATTTTGAGATATGTTCCATCAATACCTAGTTTATTGAGAGTTTTTAGCATGAAGAGGTGTTGAATTTTATCGAAGACCTTTTCTCCATCTATTGAAATAATCATGGGATTTTTTTCATTGATTCTGTTTATATGATGGATTACATTTATTGATTTGCATATGCTGAACCAGCCTTGCATCCCAGGGATGAAGCCGACTTGATCATGGTGGATACACTTTTTGATGTGTTGCTGGATTCGGTTTGCCAGTATTTTATTAAGGATTTAACATCGATGTTCATCAGCAATATTGGCCTCAAATTTTCTTTTTTTGTTGTGTCTCTGCCAGGTTTTGGAATCAGGACGATGCTGGCCTCATCAAATGAGTTAGGGAGGAGTCCCTCTTTTTCTATTGTTTGGAATAGTTTCAGAAGGAATAGTACCAGCTCCTCTTTGTCCCTCTGGTAGAATTTGGCTGTGAATCCATCTGGTCCTGGAGTTTTTTTGGTTGGTAGGCTATTAATTACTGCCTCAATTTCAGCACTTGTTATTGGTCTATTCAGGGATTCGAGTTCTTCCTGGTTTAGTCTTGGGAGGGTGTATGTGTCCAGGAATTTATCCATTTCTTCTAGATTTTCTAGTTTATTTGCATAGAGGTGTTTATAGTATTCTCTGATAGTAGTTTGTATTTCTGTGGGATCTGTGGTGATATCCCCTTTATCATTTTTTATTGTGTGTATTTGATTCTTCTCTCTTTTCTTGTTTATTAGTCTGGCTAGCAGTTTATTTTGTTAGTCTTTTCAAAAAATCATCTCCTGGGTTCATTGATATTTTGAAGGGTTTTTCTTGTCTCTATGCCTTCCAGTTCTGCTCAGATCTTAGTTATTTCTAGTCTTCTGCCAGCTTTTGAATTTGTTTGCTTTTGCTTCTCTAGTTCTTTTAATTGTGACTTTAGGGTATCAATTTTAGATCTTTCCTGCTTTCTGATGTGGGCGTTTACTGCTATAAATATCTCTCTAAACACTCCTTTAGCTGTGTCCCAGAGATTCTGGTATGCTGTGTCTTTGTTCTCATTGGTTTCAAAGAACTTCATTATTGCTGCCTTAATTTCATTACTTACCCAGCAGTCATTCAGGAGCAGGTTGTTCAGTTTCCATGTAGCTGCCTGGTTTTGAGTGAGTTTCTTAATCCTTAGTTCCAATTTGATTGCACTGTGGTCTGAGAGGCCGTTTGTTATGATTTCTGCTCATTTGCATTTGCTGAGGAGTGTTTTACTTCCAATTATGTGGTTGATTTTAGAAAAAAAAGTGCTATGTGGTGCTGAGAAGAATGTATATTCAGTTGATTTGGGGTGGAGAATTCTGTAGATAGCTATTAGGTCCACCTGGTCCAGAGCTGAGTTCAAGTCCAGAATATCCTTGTCAATATTCTGTCTTGTTGATCTAATATTGACAGTGGGGTGTTAAAGTCTCACACTATTATTGTGTAGGAGTCTAAGTCTCTTTGTAGGTCTCTAAGAACTTGTTTTATTAATCTGGGTGCTCCTGTGTTGGGTGCATATACATTTAGGATAGTTAGCTCTTCTTGTTGTATTGATCACTTTACTATTATGTAATGCCTTTCTTTGTCTTTTTATTTTTTTAAAAAATCTGTGTTGGTTTAAATTCTGTTTTATCAGAGACTAGGATTGCAACCCCCACTCTTTTTTCTTTCTTTTTTTTTTTTTTTTTTTTTTTTGCTTTTCATTTACTTGGTAAATATTCCTCCATCCCTTTATTTTGAGCCTATGTGTGTCTTTGCATGTGAGATGTGTCTCCTGACTACAGCACACTGATGGGTCTTTACTCTTTATCCAATTTGCTAGTCTGTGTATTTTAATTGGGGCATTTAGCCCATTTACATTTAAGGTTAATATTGATATGTGTGAATTTAATCCTGTCATCATGATGCTAGCTGGTTATTTTAACTGGTTAGTTGATACAGTTTCTTCATATTGTCATTGGTCTTTATATTTCTGTATGTTTTTGCAGTGGCCAGTACCTGTTTTTCCTTTCCATATTTAGTGCTTCCTTCAGGAGCTCTTGTAAGGCAGGCCTGGTGGTAACAAAATCCCTCAACATTTGCTTGTCTAGAAAGGATTTTATTTCTCCTTCACTTATGAAACTTAGTTTGGCTGGATATGAAATTCAGGTTGAAAATTCTTTTCTTTAAGAATGTTGAATATTGGCCCCCTCTCTCTTCTGGCTTGTAGGGTTTCTACAGAGAGATCTACTGTTAGTCTTATGGGCTTCCCTTTGTAGGTAACCTGACCTTTCTCTCTGACTTCCCTTAACATTTTTTCCTTCATTTCAAACTTGGAGAATTTGACAATTATCTGTCTTAGGATGGCTCTCTCGAGGGTTATCTTTGTGATGTTCTCTGTATTTCCTGATTTTGAATGTTGGCCTGTCTTGCTAGGTTGGAGAAGTTCTCCTGGATAATATCCTGAAGTGTGTTTTCCAACTTGGTTCCATTCTCCCCATCACTTTCAGGGTCCCCAATCAATCATAGATTTGGTCTTTTCACATAGTCCCATATATCTTGGAGGCTCTGTTTGTTCCTTTTCCATCTTTTTTCTTTAATCTTGTCTTCACATCTCATTTTAGTAAGTTGATCTTCAATCTCTGATATCCTTTCTTCCGCTTGATCAATTCAGCTATTGATAGTTCATGAATTATTGATACTTATGCTTCACGAAGTTCTCATGCTGTGTTTTGCAGCTCCATCAGGCATTTATGTTCTTCTCTAAACTGGTTATTCTAGTTAGCAGTTCCTGTAACCTTTTGTCAAGGTTCTTAGCTTCCTTGCATTGGGTTAGAACATGCTCCTTTATCTTGGAGGAGTTTGTTATTACCCACCTTCTGAAGCCTACTTCTGTCAATTTGTCAATCTCATTCTCTGTCCAGTTGTGTGCCTTTGCTGGAGAGGAGTTGCGATCATTTGGAGGAGAAGAGGCATTCTTATTTTTGGAATTTTCAGCCTTTTTGCTCTTGTTTTTCCTTATCTTCATGGATTTATCTACATTTGATCTGGCCTTTGGATGGGGTTTCTGTGTCGAGGTTCTTTTTGTTGATGTTGATGTTAGCTATGCCCACATGCCCACAGCTGCCCCTTCCCCCAGTTGCTCTGTCCCAGTAAGATGGGAGTTTTATCTATAAGCCCGTGACTGGGGCTGCTGCCTTTCTTTCAGAGATGCCCTGCCCAGTGAAGAGGAATCTAGAGAGGCAGTCTGGCCACAGCCACTTTGCCGTGCTTTGTTGAGTTCCACCCAGTCCTTAGCACTGTAAGGGGAAAAGCAAATACTCAAGCCTCAGTAATGGCTGATGCCCCTCCCCACGACAAGCTCAATTGTCCCAGGTTGACTTCTGACTGCTATGCTGGCAGTGAGAAGTTCAAGTTCTCAGCTTTCTGGGCTCTGTGGGAATGGGACCCACTGAGCAATACAACTTGGCTCCGTGGCTTCAGGCCCCTTACCAAAGGAGTGAACGGTTCTGTCTTGCTGGGGTTCCAGGAACCACTGGAGTATGGAAAAAAAAAAAAAAACTCCTGCAGCTAGCTCAGTGTCTGCCCGAACAGCCTCCCACTTTTGTGCTTGAAACCCAGGGCCTGGTGGTATAGGCACACAAGGGAATCTCCTGGTCTGTGAATTGCAAAATCTGTGGGAAAAGCATAGTATCTGGGCCAGATAGAACAGTCCCTCATGGCTTCCCTTGGCCGGGAAAGGGAGGCTCCCCAGCTCCTTGCACTTCCCGGGTGAGGCAATGCCCCACTCTGCTTCTGCTTGCCCTCCGTGGGCTGCACCCACTTCCTAACCAGTCCCAATGAGATGAACAGTGTACCTCAGTTGGAAATGCAGAAATCACCCACCTTCTGCACTGATCTTGCTGGGAGCTGCAGACTGAAGCTGTTCCTATTCAGCCATCTTGCCACACCAGCCTAGCTTTGTTTTTTAAGATAGTCCTTTTTATGAGAGATTTATTTTCACTAGACAATGCACTGTACTTTCCAGGAGATTCATTAATTTCCTTTTACTTTTAAGTTTATTATCTTTGCAGAGTATTTTATGTATACACACACACACACACACACACACACACACACTATACTTTGCTGAGTATATATATACACATACACTATATATATAAGCATGTATGTGTGTGTGTCTGTATATATGTATACATATAGTAAACTCTAAATTATCCGTGGAGACTTCTATAATCACCTCTTTTGATGGACCAAACTGGATTCACAAAATATAAAGTTTTGTTCTATTAATATGTACTGAAACATGCTGGTTTCACATTGTATTTTAAAAATTAATTTATTTAACAAATTGTAGCATATTCCTTTTGGCTGTCTGTCCCTAACAATCATTTTAATCAGTTTCTCAATGGAGGTTTGGAGAAATAGTATTTTTTAAGCTATGAATTTTTATTTTTTTAAGAGAGTAGCAAGAAGAAAGAAAACCTCTCCAGTCATTTTGTCAGTGTCAATGTCAAACGTCAATATGAAATTTAATAACTAATTTGTAAAAAGCAAATGAGTTACATTTATTCTCTCGCCATCACACTAGGGCAGGCTTCCTCTGGCTTGACAAAATTACCACCATATTGAAAAAGACTCAGGAATCAAGATCTTTGCCAAAGAATCTGAGATAATATTAGGACCTGTGAAAGCTTTAAACAATGCAATGTAATAATTGATTTAACATTTTGTATACTCAGAAGAGGCATTTCTTATTAGGGAAACTTGAAAAGAATGAATTTTTATTACTGTTTCAGCTCACAGCAGGAACATTATAAGAATTTTAAAGATTCTTATAAAGCTTTCTACATCAAACTGAATCTATTAATCATTGACTATTTTAAGTCCAACTCTTACCTCTTAATTTTGTAATTTAACATGAATTTAATTTGGGGTTCTCGGGCTCCTTTCAGGTTTGTAAAAGGACCTTTCATGGAAAAAAATTATGCTATTATTTATCAATTTGTTGTTGATTTAAAACAAAAAACTCCAGAATAGTTTAAAGGTCACTTTAAAATTTACACTTTGGTACCACTTTTGACATTTTAATGCAGTGATCCTCTTCTTAATATCTAGTAAATATTTGAAAGAGGGATATTAAACAGTTCCCTATACATACAGCATTCATCTGAATTTATTCAAAGAACCAGATTCATCAAAGCATAACTACTAACTCTTTAGTAACTAGTGAGTAGTTAATACTTCTGCAATTTTATATGTAGACAAAACCTACAATTGCCCTGCTTCGCAAAACAGTGATGGAGGACAGGTTGCTTTTGGAACACATATATTACGTATTTTATGCATGTCCTGTAATCTCTAACAACTTCCATAAAGATTTCCAATCAAATAAAATATACTTAGTCGTATAAAGAAACACAAAAGAGTGGTTTTGAAGATTTATAAAGTTTTTGCTTACATCTTAAATGTCATTCTAAACATACTGAATAGGAAAGGAAATAAAATTCATTATAAATGTTATATATCTTATTTTTTATAATTTTGTCAGTAGATTTTATTGAAAATAAATGTTAATTTGATATAAAAATTACCTATAATATTACCTATGAAATTAAGTATAATTCTTATTTTCTGATAATTTTGTCTATTTGGATGTATATATAATTTTCATGTTTATGTTTCAAATATATAATGTATATATTTTATATTTTGCATTGAACCAGAAAGATTTATTATTTTGCAATTATGAAATTTTCAAATGTACATTGAATTAGATAAGCTACTACAATGGACCACCATATACCCTTCCCCAGAGTGAACTCTTATCAAGATTTTGCTTCTTGTTTTACATGTCCCTTTCTCTCCTTTACTGCTGAATAATTTTAAGGCAAATGTCAGTTATCATATTATTTCACTCTTCCATAGTTTCATATGAAGGCATAAAAAATGGATCTTTATATTATATAGCCTTCACTCTTAACAAATTATCAATAATGTTTGAATATATTCTAATTTCCCATGTTGCCTCAAAAATATGTTTTCACAGTTGTTTTGTTTGAATTAGGATTCAAACAAGATAAACACATGATATTTCAATGTAATGTCTCAGAAGTCACTTTTAGTCTAAAATAGAGCATGCACCTTTCTTTTTTCTTCTTTTCTGCTATTGACCTGTTAAAGAAATTGGATTATTTGTCCTGCAGAGTGTCCCACATTCTGGATTTGTCTGTTTCATTTCATGTGATATGTTCCATTTGCCTATTGCTGAAAAACTAAAAATCCCATAATTAAAAACAACAACATATTATTATCTCACTGCTGTGAGTCAACTGGGCTCAGCCTTGGGATTATTAGTCAGGGTATCTCGGAGTTTTTTAGTTACATGATGACTACATGTAAAAGAATCAGAAGGCTTGATTAGGGTGGATATCCCAGCTTGATTCCCAAATGCCTGGAAGTCAATGCTGGCTCTCAGCCTGGAGCTCAGTGGGGCTGCCAACAAGAATGGCATCTTTATGTTGCTTGAACTTCTTACAGCATGGAAGTTGGATTTAGAGAGGGTAGATGCCAAAGCAAATGTTCTAAGAGCAAATGCTGCAAGACTTCTTATCGTCTACCCTTTGATATCAAATAGTGTCACTTCTGCAGCATTCTATGGTCCTAAAAGCAAGTCACAAGACCACCTAGATGCAAGGCAAGAGGATTATTGTGAGAAAAGTAAATGCAGGATGTATGCATTGTAGAGCAATGAGTCTTTAGCAACTACACTGTGTTTTTTAATGTGTTCCTCTAGTATCAAGATTCTTAAATAAAAGTAAACTCTAGAGGCTTAATTATATTTAACCTTTTGGCCAAGAATATATCCGAATGATACTGTATACTTCAAAGCATATCAAAAGGTACATTGTGTCAGGTATGATTTTAGGCATCATACAAAGTTATGTGAATATAGCAAAAAGTAAAAGAATGAGTGAAATATTAAAGATAAGTATTAATAAGAGTATATAACCTACTATTAAAATTGAGTGCATAAAAATATGTGCAAGTGAAGAGTCTCCACTTGCACCCCCTCCAGTTTCTATCCTTGCTATGGGAGGACATATCAGAATATACAAGATGAATGGAACATGGGCCTTAAAGGTGTTTTTAAAGATTATCTTATTCACATAATTGAGCTCGTTAATAAGTGCATCTATGTTGCTGGTAGAGAATCACATATGTCACATATCAGACGGCCATTCAATGTGAGTCATTAAGAAGCTACCTTGTAATTTAGGCCAAGATGGAGGCCTGCCCAGTCCATCCCTGAGAGAAGTTACTGGCTGCATTGAGTGAAGGACATTATTTTTCTCAAAAGAAAGATTCTGAAACAACTTAATTCATTGAACAAGTATTTGTTCAAGTACAATGAGATTCAACAAATAGATTTGTCAGGTAAAATACTTGATGTTCAATTACATTTGAATTTCAGATAAACAATGGTTTTATAGCATAATTGTATTTCATGAACTGTTTGGACATACTTATACCAATACAAAATTGTTATTTATCTGAAATTCAAATTTAATCTAGTGTCTTAATATTTATCTTTGCTAAAGCTGGCAAGAATTATCCCTGAGAGCATAAAAGAGGCTACTTGGACTTGATAAATTTAAGAGCAGAACGATATTATATTGATTTAATTATAAAATATATACATTATATGTATTTCATATATAATATATAATCATATATGATTTCATTAGTTTCATATATATAGAATCATCTGTATATGAATATGCATATTCATGTATGTGTGTGTGTGTATGTGTGTGTATATATATATATATATACATACATATGGAAGTTTTGCATTTCTCTTTTAGTGTATTTTGTTCCTAGAAAATATTATTGCAAGACACTATTCAGTTCAAGACATTACAACCCAATTCAGGGCACATAGTCATTCTAGAAGCAGTGTGTAATTAGCTATATGGCTGCTGATTATACTGCTGCCTAGCAACAGGAAAAGAACAAAAGTGCGAGTAACAAAAATATAACATTACCAAATGAAGGATGGATAAAAGGGTTACTCTAATGATGAAGTAATTATGGTCCAAAATATCTTAGTAAGCCAACTTTACCACAACCAGCATTCAAAAGATAAAACAATTTCTACTGGAAAAGAAAGTAACACAAACATTACTGAGAGAGAAATCTGTTCACTATGAGACCCTTATAAGATTTCAAACAATATCCAATTTAATACAATATAATCTCAAAAGTGAAGTTTAGGATTCAGTCTACCCAGTTTTATATTCTGCTTCTCCCAAAACTGTTTGTCTTTACATAAATTTCTTAACTTTTCTAACTCTCAATTTCTTTTTTGCAAAACTGAGAAAATAATATCTACATAACGAAACTGCTTTGGGAATTAAGTGAGATACTCCATGCAAGGCATTTAACCTTGTGCTAGCACATAGTGGGCACTCAATCAACTTTGGCAATAATGATGATGGGAGGGAAATGGTTGGAAGGTAAAGATAGTGGTGTCGATACTGAAAATAAACATGTATAAAAAAGAAACATAGAAATGCTATCCATCATTATCTCTAGGTGGACTTGGTTTTCTTATTATTTCATTAATTGTGAAATTTTCTAAAATTATGTAACTTTAATAATCAAGCAAAACTAATATTTTAACTGACCATACAATAAATAATTAGAGTACTTTTTTTTGGTACAGCTTGAGCACAAGAGTTGTCGTTTACCCAATCAATTTCCTAATCTTCTATAGTGTCTAAAATGGCAATCATGCCTTTAAAAATAGAAGTGTATCTGTGTTACCTGGAAAAAAAAGAGAAACTATAGATATAATCAAAGTAGTGTTCATTAGGATTGAGTAAATCATTCATTAGATGATTTAGCTGATGTGCAGGGAAGAAATAAGAGGAGAAATTGACAAAATATGAAGTTTTCATGGAGAACAACTGGAGTGAAGAGGCTAACCAGCAAAGCTCTGAAATTCTGGGGGCTCATTGGTGTAAGCAGGTGGGGAAAAGGGAATGCTGGGTGTAGTCTGAAGGCAAAAGCATCTGGGAGTGACATGATGCTAGAAGGATTTTGACCACAAAGTTGAAGTGCCAAGAAAGTTATCAATCGGATTCTCTGCTTTGCCTAGTGAAGCCCTCAGAGTCATGAAGTTGGTAAAAATGATTATCCATGGTGTTTGGTTAATTTCAAACTACTCACATATTTTATGCTTTCAATTCCTTGTTTTCTTCTTACTTAAACTTTGTTTGAAAGGCAGTGCATAACTTGGAGGCAGCTTTAAAAAAAAATCTAATGTCTTGTTTTATGTAGAAGCCTCTAAACATTTATGTTTTTCAGATTCAATTTATAACTCAAATAATATTCAATTATTTTCATATCACCTCTAAAAGAATGATCTCCAAATCTTTTTCTCTAGCTTAAACTCCTTTTATGAGCTCCAGGAGTATAGACATTTGTCTAGATATCCCTGAGACATCACAACTTCAACATGTTCCAAAGATAACTCATGGTCTTCCTTTCCCACTATCCCACACCCCACGTGAACAATATTAGAGACTGGAAACCCCTATTGTTTGTTTCTCTTTACACAATCCACAAAGCTGTAAATTTCCCATTTTCTTTTACCACTTTATTCCATGAATTTTTTTTTGTTTTCTTTTTTTCCCAGTGCACAGTTATTTTAACCATAGGAAAAAATGTAAACTCCACCCTTGGAGGCTACCCACATTTTTTAAAAATGTGACGCTGACATATATTTAGAAAATTTCATTGGTACTTTCCTAAACAACGCATTTTAAGTGTTGCAGGACAACTTCATACAAACATATTTCTTTTAAAGGGCACTTGGATATCTTTAGTGTTTTATAAAAGTCAGTTGACCAAGGAGAAATTTTGGCACCAAAATTTCCACACACATAGAATACTTCTATCAATAATTGAATGCAATCTTCTAATTTGAAAAATTATATTCTTTTATTTTTAGATGAAGAAACAAATAGAATACAATGAAAATGTAGTAATGTATAGACCAAGCAAGTCTTCATGTTGTGGATTTCAAAGAATATACCTTTTGAGGGGCAGACTTCATAAAGATCATCTGCCATTAGGTAGGTTAGTGACTTTTCTTTAAAAGAAACAATGCCTAGAAATAATGACTAACATCATTATACAAATTTCAAAATAATTACCAAAATAAAATTGATTGGCTATAGTAATTTATACCTTGTTCATCCTAATGTCTACCTCATCCTTCCTCTACCACCTTCTGAATTATCAGCCTTTGTAATGATTTATTTTGTAACAATCAGGCAGTAATTTTTCATTTGAATTATATGTATTATTTTCTCTTCATATTTTTCTCATAATCACTGCATGAATTTTCTGAGGCAAATGAGGAAATTTGAGATGAAATCATATTGCGATGTATCACCCATTGCTCTTTCTCATATTTTTACTTACATTCTGTGACCTCCTCCAACTGAGCTGCAAGATATAACTACTTCTGTACTTTCAAGAAATTCTCAAAAATTAGTGGAAAGGGAGACAGCCAGTTATCACAAATGTTTTGTCCCTTGTGAAAAGCAAGAAAGGCCCTCTCAGTGAATGTGCTGGTTTTCATCTGGAGAGCAGTTGGGGATGTGAACATTCATTCAGGTGCCAGTAACCATGATTTACTGCACCCAAGATCCAGACTGGATGATCTGTGTCTGAGCAAATGTCAGTGTGGCATACATAATGGTGCCAGCAACCACATCCTTTCCTAAACAACTCACTACCCACCAATCCATGTGGCCAATTCTATAGAATCTCATGAACATCCTGAAATTTAGAGACCACTTCAAGAGGTAAGATGGTAGGGTGATCCTGAATAGCATGGACACATCCCTAAACTTAACCCATCTTCTGGGATCTTTCTACTCACAACTCTTCAAATGGAAACAAGACACTTTTCTTATTCTTTTATGACTTTGAATTGGTTTTCTTTTTACTATATGATACGTTTAAATCCCTATTCAATGTAAGGAAAAGTATTATCTCCTCAGAACCAAAGAACAATGTTTTATGCTTATCCTTATTCATATTCCTCTTCTTCCAAGTATAATTGTAAGATGGTGACCATACACATCTAAATATCCTTTAGTTAGTAGTACAGTGATTTCCTGAAAAGAACTCTGAATTGGGAGCTGGGTGAATGCACCACCACTCCATCTTTGCCACAGCTCTGTGACCTTGTGTTGGGGAAATATTAATGAAAACAAAATCTCTCCCCTCCTAACCGAGAAAATTTCATCCCAAAAGTAGAAGAGAAAGAAAACAAATTTTATTTTTGAATAACCATTAAACTAGAATGTGATGTGTACCCAGACAATCCACTAAAGAGATTGCAAAGACCCGTAGAAATCTCACTCCTTTATATAGCCAAGCAGATACAACTCATTATTCACATGTTGTGAAGATAAAGAGTAACTAGTCCTCAAGTAAGAGGATTTGACAATACCATTTGTCACACACAGGTCATCCTAAATTCACCTGGTAACTAAGATGATTATCTGTATTACTTAACTGACTTATCCAAAGGAAAATAAAATTTCTTATGTTTTTATGACAGAAAGTAGTTTTGCAACTTTGTGGGAGCTGACGACAGCCTCCCACCCTCCCATAGAAACTGGGAGACAGGAGCACTGTTGTCCTTGATGATTACATTTTACAGAGATGGCTCCCAGGTGCTTGAGAAACACAATCCTGAATCATAATGTGGCAAGAAGTTTATTTAGCTTTTAAAAGGATTTATATATATATTTCAAAGAGATGAAGAACTTACAAGTTTTTCAAACTACATGCTCTAATAAAATGGGAATGGAAGTCTGTCATTTTCAACAGGGAAAATAAAGCCTCTTATTTTTCATTTGTATTTGACCTTATACTGGGACACATAATTAATTTACTCTAGACCTTTGTCACCAATTTATAAAAGGTAAGTTTGTATTTTATAATCTCTTACCTATGTTTTATCTCTAGTGTATACATTGTCTTTTTTTAAACTTTTTATTTTTAACCGTGATTGTCTATCTTTTGTCAGCTTGATGTCATCTACAAATTTGATTAAGTTGCCCTCTAGGTACTTATTTAAAGAAATCGTTGAGAAAGAGAAAAGTGTCCCCTGACATCCTGGTCTGTTGCTTACAGCTAAGCTGTGTTGTTCTCTTGCTGAACATAAACCATCTCACAGTACAGCAACATCAGAAAGGTTACTCTGAGAGTATAATAAAGTGAAGCAAAACAAAGTCACTTGCAACTCTCAACATAGTAAACTTTATCTGCTCCTGGCTAGTATGAGTGACTGCTGCTTCCTCATCAATTATGGCTTTATCCTCCTCTAGTGTGCTTTCTTTGTAGATAAGATTGATTGAGGTACCTAATCATAAAATTTCCCCTGCTTCCTAACAGCATCCAATCCAGAGCAAAGTTCCATTTCCTTAGAACCTCCTGAAAATTACTCAGCTAAAACCTAAATCCTATAAAAGAATTCCCCATAATGAGCACTCTCACTCAGTGCAATAAATAATAAATCCAAACAATTTTTTTTTAAACTACAGGTATGTTACTGGTGGTCTTTAGGAAAAGGGAATTGATATCATTGATTTAAAATGTAATGTGGAATAGGACAAAACCAAGGGCAGATCCTGTGAAATAAGACTAGAGTCTTCACTGTGTATTGCCATTGATCCTTTAATCAATAACTTTGTGGTAATTCAACCCAACACACATCCACCTGACTATACAATAATTCACTTCATTATTCCATTTTATTCACAAGGATATCAGCAGAGGCTTTCTCAAGTTAACTTGTTTGATAATTTATGTGGTATATTTGACATTGTCCTGACTTTTCACTTTCGAGTTTTTGATGTGTGTGTGTGTATGTGTGTTTACAAATTGTACATATTCTTTAATTTGGGGTGAAAGGCAATCAAGGTAGTTTGGCTTAACATTTTTTTTACTAAACTCATGCCAACACTTACTGCCTTCATACATGATGTTTAATATGATGTCTTCTACCTTAGTGGTAAAAGTCTATATTTTCCATTTTTTCCTTTTTGCCCTATCCTATTCTTACCTAAAATATCTTGAGTTTCTTTTATTTCCTCATTCAGTTAGGCTGAATTATTTTATTCATTATTTGTTCTGTCCTTTCAATGTAAAGCTTTTTTTAAAACAAAAAAGTAAAATGATTTGTTGAAAGGTTCTCTTTTTTTTCTATAATGTTAGGTTTGCAGTATCTATTATAATCAGTGGAGCTGAGTCCCTAATACCATTAATATTCTGTTTATTACAAGAAACACTTAATAATTAACTTAAGTTTTTCAGCAAAATTAATTTATTATGTGTTTAAGAATTGTTAACCAGATCTAAAGCTGTGAACCACAAAAGCATCAAAGTTATCATGGAAGTAGAAACTGTGGGGAACAATGACCACCCCGAGTCAGGAAACAAAGGGAAACAGTTGGCATTATTGTGGCCTGGAAGCTTGGAAGAGCGATCAGTGGGCCTGGGACTCAGACTTCTGAAGAGGAGGTGTCAGCTGGCTGGTTCTGGTGTCCCCGAAGGAGTCCCTTGAAGTCAGTTCTGCAAGTGAGAAGGAAACTGCAAATTGGATTCAGGTGCCTCTGCCTGGGTGAAAAGCATTGCTGATACAATGCTCACAGGAACAGGAAGCAGATACAAGCCTGCAGAAAGGAGAAAGCCCCATCTTCACCCTCCAGCTTGTGAGTTCTTCTGGTGTCCCCATTGCCAGACTGTAGCAGGAAGAAGGTGTCAAGGCAGAAGTACTGTCTGCTGAGTCCCAGCCCAGCCCCACAAGCTGAGTACAGAAGGGTGGGTTTGGAACTGAGAGCCAATCATCAATACCTGACACAAACACTCCTGAGGTCTCATGCCAGGCTTTTGTATTTGCCTTTGATTCAATGTGCCCCTTTTTCTTCTTACATATGTCCTATCACACACAATGAATTGTTTAAGGTGCTTTACTAATGCCAAGAACCCGTCTGAACATTCCCAGTAGGGGCTGTGATTTCCAATGTGGTCACTGTCTCCAGGGCTTTATTTCCTTTTGACCAAGTTTTCCCAGTGGGTCATAATTAAACATAATTAAGCACAGAAAATAATTTCCTTCATTATTTTCCCTTCTTTGTGAAATATGTCACTTTACATTTCCTCAGAGTGACACGTTTACTCACAAATCTGTTTATCTCCTGATTCCACCTCCATGATCACACATCTTGCATCCTCAATGGTATATCTCTGGAATATTCCCGAAAAGTGTTAATGAAAACCCTGGCTATCTTCTGAGAAGCTCTTTCCCTAGCAATACATATAAAATATCCTGATATTACTTCTTCATAGAAAATAAATTTTCTCTTTTTCTCTGCCATAATTGGATTTATTATATGTTAAAAACAGCAGTTACATACTAAATGTCTTACAAAATGTTTTTTATAATTTTTATGTCCTTAAGTATTAAAATTTAGAAAATTTAGAGGTCAAACATTTATTTAAAATTTGGCTCTTGTAATTTGCAAACAACAGAAAGCTTATATGAGTATCTATCTTTAAACCAATTAATTAAAAATGCGCTGGGGTTAACTGGGCACCAAAGTATAAGAACATTTTAGTTCAGTGAAAAAGCCTGAGTAGTGACCAATTAAGAAAATAAAAAGGAAATTATACTTTCAACCCCTTTTCCCCCAATTGCTCTATTTTTTTCTTTTGCTGAGTTGTACAATTTTATTTTTGTCCTTGATAATTTTACTTTATTTTAATGTGACTAGATTTTTTCATTTATTTTATTTTATTTTACTTTATCTTATTTTATTTTATTATACTTTAAGTTCTAGGGTACATGTGCACAACGTGCAGTTTTGCTACATATGTATACATGTGCCATGTTGGTGTGCTGCACCCATTAACTAGTCATTTACATTAGGTATATCTCCTAATGCTATATAAAAGGCAAGAGGCCCCAGTGCATGATGTTCCCCTTCCTGTGTCCAAGTGTTCTCATTGTTCAATTCCCACCTATGAGTGAGAACATGCGGTGTTTGGTTTTTTGTCCTTGCGATAGTTTGCTGAGAATGATGGTTTCCAGCTTCATCCATGTCCCATTAAGCCATTTTTGACTTAGTTACCTTGCATTAAAGCAATCTGCTTTTATTCTCTCAAAGTGTAGTAATTACATTTCCAGCCTTTTGAATATCTCTGTCAATTTGAGGATATGCTCCCCACCCCCAAATTCTGTAATTTCATTTTGTTTCTAATTCGGCTTCAGTATCTTCTCAGTTTGATGCCCTTTATCCTTAGATTCCACCAGCACTGTTCTTCCTGTTCCTATTTTGCTTGGTCTTGTCTTCTATTACTATTCCTCCTACACCTTTTCTTTCTTCCTCTGTGGACTTCAGACAACACAAGTGTTTTAGAGCTTAACTTTCTATTTCTTTCCTTCAGCAAGAACTCTCTTCTCCTTGCTGTGTCCTCACCGCTCTTCCTGTGTCACCTCAGGAAGTTCGCTTGCGTCCTTTCTCACTATTCTCACCACCACATCACCTGGAGTCCTTTCTCCCACCTTTTTATTTTCTTCAAACTGATGATTTATTCTCACTGATCTCAGTTGTGCAAGTTCCAACATTCTGTCTGCTATTTTGTTCTGCTTCATGGAAAACCATCCACTTGGCTATTTATTTTTATCAGTTGCTTTTCAGTAATTTAAGAAACAAATGCGTTCTTCATCACTAACAGAATACACAATTTAATGGATGACACTAACCTTCCTTTTATTTTACCTGTAAAATCTGTCCTCATTATATATTCAACTCAATTATTATTTTTACCTCACGTATATAGTTTCTGCTTGATTTTAATACATTGTGGCAATATTATGTTCTTTTTCAAAAAACTTAAAAGCTTTTGACAATTGCATAGCCTCATCTTCCCCTTTCCAAAACTATTACAGAGTTGGATTCCCCAGAACAAATCTAAGCTGGTCTACCATATGATGGAATTGCCAAAATAATGCAATATTAAGAGATAAAAATGAGCAAATTCTGCCTTATACAAGAATAGAATCAGCCTAAAGTTCTCAGGCAACATAGAGCTATGTTCTCCTGATGCAGTTCAAAATAAATCAAACCTCTCTGATTACATAAATCAAACATCAGACTCTTCAATTCCCCTGGGTTGGATTACTACAATTCTCCTTTTCATTTTATTCTAATTGAACTAATAATGATTACAGTAGTTTGCATTTTCCAAAATTCCTTCAAGTATTTGATTAATACAGTACTCTGTAAATGGTAGAAAAGTAAATATTATTTCTGGATACAGGTAGAAAAACTGTTAAATTTTAAATTTGGTGTTAAATTATACCCCAACCTGCAGACAAAATGGACTCCCTGTGGCTAACTCAGATGCTCAAGTTAAAGCAGAACGAGGCAGTCATAGCAGGACGAGGGGCAGTCATGACCTCTGTGTTCTGGAAAAATGTTGCAAAAATATCACAAAATTTCCCTTTCTGCAACCAAGCCAAACTAGTTCCCCTCATCAATGAATATTGATGCCAAAAGACTATACCCAGAAATTCCCCAGCTGACCAACTAGAGTCAGCCAATAAAAGATACTTAGGTTTTAGACCTAAGGTTCAAGGTTCAATCAACATTCTGTTACTTACTCCCCAGATCCCCCTTCATGGCCTTGCAGTTTTTTGCCTTTATAATCTCCGACTCTCCAACCTCTTCTTGGAGCACACTTTCACTTTGTCCCAAAGGCTGTGTTTCCCCAATCTATAGATTGCTTTAGGCAAATAAAGCAACCCTTTTTTGCCTCTGAAAATATTATGGTCTTCTGTTAGCAAAGGTCACGGAGAAGAGAAAAAGGCAATATTTAATTTTGCTTTTCTGAGTACACACTCTTTGAACTACAAAAGGGAATTTCGGAGTCCTCACCACATTATCTTGCTAATGAGATCCCTATACAATTTGAGACACAAATTGAAATGAAAAAAAAATCTCCCATTAGACATTGCCATAAAACTCTGTTACAAATCCTTCTGGAAAGCTATTTGGCGATGGCCATCCAATATCATAAATATTTTCTTAGTATTTAATCTAATTATCTCACTTCCAAAAATCCATCTTGAGAGAATAATCTGAAATACAAAAGCAATTCATGCACAAATACATCCATTCAGAGTTATTTATAAGTGAAATCAAACCACATGCCAACAATTGTGAAGGTTAAACAAATATGGGAAATCCACAAGTTAGAATTATGCACAGCTGTTAAAATAAGGCTCATTATGAGTTTCTATTACTATGAAAAATTATTGTTCTGTAAATGTTTATTGAACAGAACAGGATTCCTTTGAATGCACAAATTATGATCACGAGTACCACATATCCTCATCCAATATATCTTTTCATTCATGTAAATTCAAAGTTTTCAGTGTTTTTCTGTTTTGTTTTCTGAAAATGTACTATTAAATTAATGCTACATCTTATAATCAATGGGATTTTATACTCAAGAGAAACCAGTTTTAAAAATTTATAAAAAAGCCTTCTGAAATAAAAGTCAAAAAATGTTAAAAGTTATCTGAAGTAGTGGAATTGCGGATGATTTCTTTCTTTTACTTTTCTGCATAACTTAACAAACAGTATTAACAACACAAACTCTTTCAGAGAAGTCTGCCTATTGTCCATTCTGTCACATAATTGAACACCTTTTTGTATCATCTATTTTCATTCCAATCAGCAATATTTTATTTTTTAGTTAATTCTTCTAATATCCCACATTTTTCCTCCCCTTTTTCAGTTTAAATTCTGGTCTTTGTTTGTTTGCCTGCTTGTTCGTTTTCTTCCTATTTGTTTCCCAAGACTGCAGTAACTCATTAAAGTTTACTCTTGATCCTCCCTTTGTTCTCCTCATGGAAGCCTTTCTCTGATCTATTCTCACAGGTCTCTAGACTGGTAATTTCTCACATGATCTCAAAAAGTGACATCTTGGCCAGGCGTGGTGGCTCATGCCTGTAATCCCAGCACTTTGAGAGGCCGAGGCAGGTGGTTCACCTGAGGTCAGGAGTCCAAGACCAGCCTGGCCAACATGGTGAAACCCTGTCTCTACCAAAATATAAAATATTAGTTGGGTGTAGTGGCACTTGCCTGTAATCCCAGCTACCGGGGAGGCTAAGGCAGGAGAATTGCTTGGACCCGGGAGGTGGAGGTTGCAGTGAGTCGAGCTCATGCCAATGCACTCCAGCGTGGATGACAGAGTGAGACTCCTTCTCGAAAAAAAAAACAAAAAGTAACATCTCAAACTGAAAAAATTCTTTAGTGCCATAGCTCTGTTCCTGACATCCTGTAAGACAAAACCACCAGGAGTCTGTTTTCATGAAGAAATGAGGAGTTTATTGGGAGGAAGTTTATATTAAGTGGACAGAATATCCTGCTTATGTCTATGAATAATAGGAAAGCTTAAGTTTATGAAAGGCATGTGTTTGTCACTCAAACATGTCTTAGAAGACTAGTACTCATCAGTAAAAATGCCAGTACATAAGATTACTTTTTCACTATTGAACTTTCATAGTTGTGCACAATGCCTCTCCAAGCAGAACAAAACATGTTTCATAGAATGTAAATTTTATGTAAGGAGTGAAGGAGAGTTGTCATCAAGGATGTTAACATACAGTATGATAACCAGCTGAGCCTCTGAACTAGCTTAATTATATGAAGCTAGAGCACAATTTCCCTTGACTATGAGATTGCTGGAAAAATGGTAACAAGTAACAAGTGTTGATGGCTCATCAAATAGCACCAAACCCCAAACAGATAAAGTAAATAAGATATGAGAGTCACAGTGGTAAAATGAGGAGAATATTCTGTCCAGCACTGAACCGACACTATACTGTATGTTATGTCAATTTAATAATTAAGAAAGTATTTTAAAATTTCTTCCTAAAATGGATGAATAAAAATTACTATTTTCTCAAACTCCACAGAAATGCAGTTTTTTAAGAAATTAGAGTGTACTTGAACCCACAAAGGACTGCGAGGCATAGTAGTAAGTACAAGAGCTTAAGTGTGGGACTGTCTGGATTCTATATTGGCTCTGCTAACTTGGGCAAGTTGCTTAACCTCTCTATACCTCAATCTCTTCATTGGTGAAAAGGGAATAATAATAAAACCTAATGCAAAGCATAATTATATTAATTAAATAATTCGTTAGTTATGAATTACTTAGAAAAATGTCTAGTATATTGTATTAGTCAACGTTCTCCAGAAAAACAAATTCAAGAGGAGAGTTACTATGGAAATTAGCTCACATGATTATTCAGGCCTAGAAGCCCCATAATATGTCATTTGCAGCTGGAAATCCAGGAAACTATGTAGTATAATTCAGTCTGAGTTCAAAGGCATGAGAACCAGCTGAGCCAATGTTGTAACCCTCAGTCCAAGGTCGAAGTGATGAGAACTGGAGGAGGAGGGGTGCTGGTGTTAAGTCCTAAGATCTGAAGGTTCGAGACCAGGAGCTTTGATATCTGATTTCCAAGGGCAAAAGGTGATGGATGTCCAGCTCAAGAAAAGACAAAGAATCCACCCTTTCTCTGCCTTTTTGTTGCATCTTCAATAACTGAGGGTCAGGATTGGATGATAGTCACCTAAACTGGTAAGGGTGACCTTCTTGATTCATTCTGTTGTCCCAAATGCTAATCTCTTCCAGGACGCTCTCACAGACACACCCAGAAATGATGTTTTACCCACTGAGCCTTCCTTAACAGGATCATGTTGACACATAAAATTAACCATTACATATGTAACACATACTAAATAAGTTTTGTTAAATCAATTAAGAAAGGAACCTTGAAAGAAGGTCAAGGTTGTGTTTTAGATTATGTTTCACTGGTTGAGGTAATCACCCAGAGGAGTCTGGACCCAGCAATGGACTATATTACTGATGTGGTCTATCTGTTAACAAATATGGCAGAAAAATTGCTGTAATGGTCGTTTGTATGTGTCAGCCTGACTAGGTTATAGTACTCAGTTGTTTAATGAAATACTAATCTTGGCATTGCTATAAAGATATTTTGTAGAGGAGATTAACACATACAATCCATCAACTTTATGTACAAGAGAATATCTTTCATAATCTATCTAGAGCTGACTCAATCCATTGAAAGGCAAAGCAGAACTGCAGTTTCCCTAAGAAGAAATTCTACCTGAGGGCAGTAGTTTTAGCACCTGCCCGAGTTTGCAGCCTGTCCTTCCTCCAGGTTTACACTGCTACAGACTTCAGATTTGCCTAGCCAGCTGTGACCCTTGCATAAGCCAGTTCCTTGCAATAAGTCTCTCTCTCTCTCTCCATCTTTCTCTCTCCCTTCTACTAGTTCTGTTTCTCTAGTAGAACACTCACTGATGTAATTGTCAAAACTGCTAAACCAGGTATTTGTGTTGGACTTAAAATATGTTGCTAGGAGAATAGAAGAATAGACCAGTCCAGAGGGTTGTTTGTGGAGTTAACCATAAATGTTGACATTTTTGTGCAGGAATATATCACCGTTTTGAGCAATTTACAGCAAGATGAACACGACTGGGATCTAGGCACTGAATTCATAACTGCGAATCAATTACTTACAGAAAACATATGTTTAGCCTAGGAAATAATACTACAGTAGCCATCCATGGGTTGGCAGTGATTGTGTTTCCTACAGGCAGGGAGATGGGGAGATAAAGTGTGAGAAGAAAGGAGTCAGAAGTGACCATTGTTGAACTTCACTAGTTGGATAATCTGCTTGAATTATACTCTTTAGGGGAAAGTAATCAGGCTGACACATTTCTGTAAGCTTCTAAGAATCAAAACAACAAAATACAAACCCAAAAGCCAGAAGTAAACTAGGTACAACAGAAGAGTAGTTGGTTTTTCTTTTCCCCTTGAAGACAGAGCCCGGCAGGTAAGGCCCGTAGTGGGTGGAGTTAAGCCCAGATTTCAGCCTAGAGCAGCCCCAAATCAGGTTAAAGTATTATGTTGGTGCAAAAGTTATTGAGGTTTTTGCCATTACTTTCAATAGCAGAAACTGCAATTACTTTTGTACCAACCTAATAATTTACCTTTAAATTGCTTCCAGTGTAAGAGTTGATCATGGGTTTAAATTCTCTTAGCAAGTAGGAATTTTCCAAATGTAAATATTTTCCAGGACATGTTAATAAATGTCACCCACTAAAAATAAAATTATTGTGAAATAATATTGTGATCATGAGATTATGAAAATTACCACTTTAGAGCAGGAGTGGACTCAAGCAAATAATACCTAATTCTTATATTTTGGTATATTTTCAATTCCAGGTATTTTTAATCTGCTAAATTTCATACTCTAAAACATTTTATATTCAGCATTTCAACTTTAAATATCAAATTCAATATTATTCAATATATAGGAGATAAATTATTTGATACAACACTGACAATTCATATTTTTTTCTATTTTAAATGTTAGTCTATCAGTTTTAAGCACTTTGGGTGTAAAATACTGACTCAATGTCACCAAGAAAAAATAAAAAAAAACCCACAATTTTTTAAAATGTTTTCTTTAAGGGAGAAACTTAAGTTTAAAAATCCTGCCTTATGTCACAAAAAGCAAATACAATCTGAAATTAAAATTAAAGTTATTTTTAGAAATCCTGAGTCTGAAATATTCAAATTCCAAATTAACTGGACTATTTTAAAAGGAAGAATGCAAAATCTGCAAGATCAAAGTCATAAATAAGACTGAATCCAAAATCTCACCTCATATAAAACAGGCCACTGAGTTAATGTATCCCCAGAGTCTGACTCTGAAGAAAGAGAGAGAGAAAAAAAGGACATGTTGCCAGCTACAAAAATATCTGGAACAAAGTTACATTTTTACAGGTCTTATGGAAATCCAAAGTGGGTGATTTGTAGGCTTCATAAAGTATGCATCACCAAAAGTTACTTTCTCAGGTATGAAATAAAACAGGTTTCTACAAATTCAAAGCATATGCTGCTCTCAGGTGAAAAAAATGAAATAAAATAAAAAGAAATCCATTTTGATCACTGTGAGAAAGTGTGGTTTTTCTTTTTTTTTTATTTTCAGTGAAGCATTATGTAGGGGATTCTATATTTTAGAACTATCACTGAATAATTAGTGAAGGCTGTATTTACAGCTAAAAATGAGTAACAGCGAACAAATATTCTGACTGAATAAAGTTCGGATTTATTTTGATGAAGAACTATAGTTCTTGCCTTTGATAAGGAAATAACAGTAACTTGACTTATTTTGTACTGTCAGAGGTTTGGAATTGCCCTGTAATTCAAGAATTATCTTTTGAAATGCAAACCTTTACAAATCTACATCTTTTCAGTGGCCCAACAGACGCTCCCAGTTAGAGGGTAAGCTAACTGTGAAATGTTACTTTCACTTTTTCAGAATCTCCTGATGGTCAGAATCCCGTGACAGGGGCTTGCCTTGGACCAAGTGAGTGTGTTTCTTGACTGTCTAATTCAGCATAATTAATCTGATGCTCTGATTTATTTTGACTTCTTTTATTGTTTTAGAGGCAACAAGCAGTGATGACTAATATATCTTATGATATGTTTAACAAAAAAGATTGTCTAGATATTAAGGTTAGAGAGTCAACCTCTGTCTAGAACTTTCTGAAAGACTATAGTGTTATTTATTGTTCCTTCTATAGTAACAGCCATACTGTCCCACTCGCCTCTACCAGGCATTGCCTGCCACTGTATGTATATCTCTTTCTCTGAGACTTCCCAGTTCCACCAATGCCCCTAGTCTGCCAGGAAGAAACATTCTTTGCCACCTGTAAGGCTGAGAATCTATAAACACTAGAACTATACCAGACAGATTGCCTGGAAGAATTGAAGGTCTTGTCTCCAAAAGCCCTTTCCTTCATAATTCTTAATGTAATAAGATTTGCATTTTAAATAATTTTATTATGATGAAATATAATGTAATTTGCCATTTGTTTAAGTTGTAAGAACATTTAGCATGATATCTATCCTCTTAACACATTTTTAAGTGTAGAATACAGTACTGTTAGCTCTAGGCACAATGCCGTACACCAGATTTCTAGAACTTACTCATCTTGCATAACTGAAACTTTATACCTATTGAATAACAATTCCCCATCCCCCCCTCCTCTTCTAGCCCCTGGCAAAGACTATTCTACTCTCTGTGTCTATGCGTTTTTAAGAGTACAATTCAGTGGCATTAATTACGTTTGCAGTATTGTGCAACCATCACCAGGATCTATTTCCAAAACATTTTCATAGCCCGATACACAAACTCTATCCATTAAGCAACAGCTGCCAATTCCCCCTTTCCACCAGCCCTTGGTAACTTCTAATCTACTTTTTGTAATAAAATTTACTGTTAAATGATAACTTCTGGAATGGTCCTGTTTATACATCTTGGTTTGTTAAATTAAATTCTGATGGAAAAAATGATAGAAATGTTATTGAATCTATGCAAATAACTGCATTGCTACAAAAAGTTTTTTTAATAATATTTGACCATGTATCTGATTAGTTTTGAAGACAAAGATAATCAATATACGGTTACTATATTTTATAGATGAACCATTTTTAAGTTGTGATGATGATCATTAGATTAAAAATTATGTTGATTTTCCTACAGGATATTTTCTCTCAAATTCTGAGGTTAGTTGGGGCAAGGCACCATTTAAAGAGGCTGTTGATTTCAGTTTGCACAAATGTGACCTGTTAATCTGTGTGCTAGAAATAAGCCAAGGAGAAAGAAAATTGTTTTATAATATATCCATCAGAAAATGTAACATTACCTACAATTAAATTTCTCTCATATTAGTTATAATCTATCCTACATAATTAAGTCTTTACTGTCAAGACTTGGCTGAGCAGGCTGCTTTCAATGAGTCATCTGTTTCTTGACCAAAGGTCTCCTGGGGGCCCTGATACAGTCCCCTGATACTTTGAAAAGCATCTGTTCATGACCGTGAAGTCAACTGACACCTGGAAACCTGCACTCTGAATTTGGGAGGGCCAATATCAATAACAGTTATCAGAGGAGATACCCAAAGACAAGAAAAGTGGTTACAGTTTTGACAATAATTGTAACCAAAGTGACAGTATTTTGAAATAAAAATGGCAGGAAGTAACAATAATTGCCAGGAGTGTGAGCTCTTTCTGAAGAAAAGAATTGATTTTGGCTTTGAAATGTTTCATAAGCATGACACAGTCAGCACAAAGGCACAAAAAGGTAATAGATCCCTAAGCACAAAGGCACAAAAAGGTAATAGATCCCTAAACACAGACAGTCTCAAACACCCAAGTGTGACCAGACTAAAATCATTCCCGTGATACAGTTACAAATGAGTATGTGCCAGGCACTGGGGTTTTCTTGAAGTTCTATAAACAAAACGCAGAGTAAAGGCAGAGCCAAATATAATGTTAGTGGGGTAAACTCACATGATACCTAAGACAAAACCAATCCAGATCTGTACAAAGAAGAAATACACCAGAAATAGATGGAGGGAAAGCAACAGTTCTATCACCATTTTTAGATTTTTCTATCTGAAAATCACCTCAGAGATCAAGAAAGAAGCCTGGGAACCAAATGTCCATGAGATGTCTCTACTGAACAACTTATTTTGGTTAGTTTCATTGGGTAAATCTTCACGGGAATCTTAACAGGTCCTTCAGAAACTATAAAACAAACAAACAGATAAATAAATAAACAAGCAAGCCAACAGGGGAATTCGTAAACAATTTAGATCAATGAGTGAAGATTATCTTAACTTGCAATAAAGTATTGTTCAAGCCAGTTTAGCTTTCAGAACAAGTGGGTTTCTGGAATAAGGAATAAAGGCTGTATTTGGAATTTAAAGAAATATATTCCAATTCTTATTGGAGAGCATTTGGGTCAGTGTCTATACAAAAATAAGTTATATAATCTTTCATAAGAAAAAAACTAATCACAGCATACTTCAGCTTGTAGTTTTCAAAATTATAGATAGTAAGAACTAATTGAGGCAAAGAGAAAAAGAAAAAATGCACACACATATACATATTTAATATATGTTCTATTTCACATATAATGTGTGTGTGTATATATATACATACACACACACATTATATATATATACACACACACATATATATAATGAAATGTGAGTGCATTTTATTTTAAAGTTCTGTATATGTGTTATATAGGTAAAGACTTTTTAAAAACAATATTATAAAAATTCAAAATAAAATCTGAGCTAAAAAATATCTTACATTAATTTTGTATCCAAACCACAGTTTTTCTAGCTATTCAAGCATAAAATAATACACTGGGCCTAATACCTTCATCTGGATTTTGGAAACAAATACATGTTTTTCCATGGTTGTTTACAATTCTTCCCTTCAGTTGTCCCACAGAATAGCTCTAGATCTGAAACGAGTTTGCATTCTAAAACCAAACTGAATCTGTCTAACTTCATCACTGCCACATTAAAATTATTCTTAATGATCATTTTTTATTTAACAATATATCTAACTTCATTACTCATTTTCTTCTAAAAATGTAATGTGACAAGTATGTTTCTAAACATAAATCTGCAATGAATTGCTTATTTAAAATACTCTGTTCTTCCAAGAAGAGACAAGCCTCATTAATTCAGACATTCAAAGGGGCAAAGATCAAAATAGTGACATATTTACAAATACATAAAGAAGTTATCATTTATAAGACATTTACTGAGCACCTATTTTGTGCCAGCCATTATGCCAAACACCATTAAAATGCAAATGTGAAGCTAGCAACATTATCCTTGAATAGCTTCTCCATAGTAAAGAACACAAACACAACCAAGAGTAAGCAAAATACACAGAAAGTGCCACAAAGCAAATATAAATGAAAAGCTGTGCATGTTCAGAATGATGACAAACTACCTCAGACTTAGAACTTTTGAAATTACTTTATAAGGTCTTCAAGAGTAGTAATGATATTGCCATCCATGAGCAGGGGAAAGTACTCCAAGGAGAGGCATGAAAAAAATGAAATGATCTAATATATTCCCTCATTTAAAAAATCTCAAGTATGCCCATTCCTATCTACAGCCACTGTCTAGTGTAAGCCACTGCCGTCTCTCACCAAGATTCCTGTAATTCTTGCTAACTGGTCTCCATCATTCAATCTAGCATCCTCCATCCCCACTGCCATAAATATATAGCAGCCAAAATAATTTTTTATTTTGATTTTTTAGTATATATTGGATCTTGTCACTGCTCTGCTTAAAATCCATCAAGGTTTTCTACTGCATTAGAATAAAATCTAAGCTCTTTATAAGAGCATAGGTAATCTGCTAATTCTTCTCACTTCAACCTCTATACTACTACTACTCAGGCCTGATATAGGGATCTTCTTTAAACTCTATTCCTCAACAAACTTACTTATTTGTAAAACCATATTTTTAAATGCTCACATACATTGTAGAACCAGAATCTATTTCGAATAGTATTTTTTAAGTTGGCCAGTTGATTGTTCAGTACCTTCTTTTTTACTCTGTTAGCAACATACAACTTGAGAGAAAAGATTGAATTATGGGCATATACATTTATTTACTAGATGAGCTTCTGAAAAACAAATAGAAATAGTATTTCTTTAAACTTAGAATCACAGTAGAATTGCAAAAAAAGACTTCCTGTACTCATGGACTAGTTAATTCAGACAGATATTTCCAGTGAGAATAACTGGAAAAAGCATTCTAAAAATTATATGTCTAAGCTTATAGAAAATAGAAAGCTAAAATGGCCATCATATAGAATTATTGGGCTAAAGTTTGAGAGACAATGGAAATTCAGGGATGTAATTCAAGTATTTGAGAGCATGTTCCTTTTGGGGCTTAATTATTCCAGAGGCAGGAGGGAGGCTGAATGGCTGAGCAGGTTCATGAGACTAGGGAGAAAAATGTGAGTACAAAGCAGCCAAGAGGTTTGTTTCTAAACTCTCATGCTCAGGATAGGAGCTGAAGGGTTACACATTAGTGATCTATCAGACCACATAGGGATTGATTGCATCCTAACTTGGAATTACTTCACTTATTAAAATTGGATTACAGAGATCCCCAGGTGGTGTAGTTACTATAAGTATCATGCATAAGCAAACAAAAGCCCTCTGCGGAGGAGGCTAATGTCATCTTAGGCCTCAAGTTAATTCTGTAAATAGTTTTTCAAATACAATGTTTGGCATGAAATGAAAAATAATCAAGTCTATTGATGGCAGCAGCGGGCAGTCTGGAGTGGCAGCTGCCATCACACCAGCTGCAGCAGGGAGACGTGGCTGGGGCTGCATGCTCCACGGAGCCTGCAGGAGCTGGGGACAAGTGAGCCCCAACCCTTCCAAGTTGGAGCAGGAGCCCCCTGGGTGCCGCTGCAGCCACCCAAGCCAGGGCTGCAGACCAGGTATCCCTGTGGCCTCAGGGCCTGGGAGCAGGTGGGAACCCAGGGCTCCTGGGTGTAACTGCAGCTGCTTAAACCATGCTGCGACCTGGGCCTCCTGCTCCACAGAGCAGGCAGGAGCCCCACACCCCGGCCCTGCCCGTGCAGCTGCATCCGCCCAAACCGTGACTGTGGACCCAGGCATCTCTGCACTCTAGAGGGCCCAGGAAGTCCTCCTCTGCCTTCGCAGGCTTGGAATCGTTTGTTCCCACTGCCTGGATTTTCCCTGATGTCGGCCCCTGTTCCAATCTTGAAGGAAAATTGGGCCCAGCCCAGGGCTGTCACAGCCTGGCTGGGTGTGCACACACTGGAGGCACTGTTGACACACCAGCCCCCTGCCACATCAGCCCCCTCCAGACTTTGGGCACCAATGAGCAAAGGAGGGATGCCAATGGGGAGCTGAGAGCAGCTCAGAGCTGGCCTGCAGGCACCCCCATGGCACCCATAGCCTGGGCGCCATGAATAGCAGCAGCAGGCAGACAGGTTCCTGGGCAGAAGGTTGTTGTCTCCAGTGAGGGTCCGCCTTCAGGCCATGGACGGCCTGAAGGCTGGGGCCAGGCTGCAGACTGGGGACATGTGATGCCCTTTCCTGGTCTACCCATGGTTGCCCATGGACCTATCTGCACGCACTTCCTCCCCTCTGAAGCCCATAACGGTGGCTCAGCCAGAGCTGAGCAGATGTCAGAATGACCGACTGCAGAGAGGGACAACCCACTCTGGGGCCTCCTCTCTGCTGAGAGCTGCACAGACGATGGGATAACCAGCTGTAGAGAGGAGCTTCCCTCTCTGCTGATAGCTGAACACTTGTTGGAATGACTTGCCTAGCAGAAAGGAACTACCCTCTCTGCTAGGAGCTGAACACTCATTGGGACACCCTGGCTGTGGAAAGGAGCTGACCCCTATGGGTTTCCTCCGAGCTGTTCTATCACTCAATAAAGCTCCTCTTCATCCTGCTCACCTGCCACTTGTCTGCATACCTCATTCTTTCTGGTGGCAGGACAAAAACTCTGGACCAACTGAATGGTGAGGCTAAAAGAGCTGTAACACAAAAAGGGCTGAACCATGACCATTGCTTGCCACGTTGTGGGTGAAGAGTAAGAAAGAAGAACTGCAGCCCTTCGGGGAACCACATCTGGGCACTCTCCGAACCAGGGCTGTGGCCCCTCTTTAGGGCCCTGCGGTTCCTGGCATGTCCAAGTTTCTGCGTTCCTCTGTATTCCCCAGGTCACTGTTGAAGCTCCTTGTGGTGCGCCTAGTCTGGCCACAGCCTCACAAAGAACCAGCATTCCTGCCAGCAACAGGAGCTGCACACCCCTCTGCAGCAGTCGGCATGTCTGATTGGGCCCAGTGGCCATAACCCATGCTTGTTCACACACCCCTCACCATTCCATGCCTGACTTGCCCTTAGCCAACATAGGACAAAGGCTGGTAGTGTGATTCAAGTACAACCTGCCAGGCTGAGTGAGTGAAATAAGCCCAGTGGGCTGAAGCAAAACTCAGGCAAAGGCATCGCTGACCACAGAGATTTCTGGCCAGAAAAATGACACCCCAAAGATCGCGTAACACTGTGAGGAGATTAAGCACCATGAAATAAGAACTACAGAAATAACAAACAATAGAAATAGATCCATTATCTGGTAATGGAGCAAAAGTGCCGAAACATATTAAACTTTGCTAAGTAAAGGATAAATGCCGTAATTCCTAAAATAATAACTAAAAAAATTGAATGAATATATCACTTCTAAGGTTAATGAAGGCAAAAAAAAATAGAATAATAAATCAAATGCAAAGCAGTCTGGAAAAAAGAGAAAAGAAAATATCAAACAAGTGAGAGCAATAGAAAACAAACAGTAGTGTAATGTATTTAAAATAAACTATACCTGAAATTACAATTAATGTGAGTGAATTAATACTCAATTTCAAAACCAAAACTTGTCGAAATGGATAGATGCTGGAAAGAATGAAGGTAGGGACAGAGTCCCTGTGGTTAAAGGACAAGCAATACCTTTTGATAGATTTGTAATGTTGGGAAAATTATATCACCTCTCTAATTTTCTCTTTTCTCTCTGTAATCTTATGAATAAAATATATACAATCCACATCCCTGGGGATAGTTAGGCTGTGAGTTCATTTAGGCAAGGCCACTAATAGCTCCTAGTCTTCATCCTGTAAGATAAACATATTAGTTAAGGTCAAATTTTCTTATTTCAGATTCACTTAAAGTGAGGTGCATCTTTATTTTTAACAAGACTTCACATGATGAGGTCTACTTAGCTCTAAAGAGGACTAAAGCTATTATAATATATGAATTGGGTCATTGAAGTACAGGGCATGAAGCTTGGTAAATAATTAATACGAATAAGTATATCCTAATATATCCCTTTACATCTTTTATTGATATCATAGACTGAGTGTGGGAAGTAAGTGTGATTTTGCTGTTTTTGTGGGTCAGATTTTATCATATAAACATTTCAGTTTTAATCAGGCTGTTATTATGTTAATATATTTCATTAACAGTGGATATTTATTTTCCACACCTAGCAGCCTACAATCTTGAAAACTAATTTAAATAGATCTTTTTATAGCAAATCTGTGAAAACTGTATATATTCATTAAATTAAGGATCACTTTGCATGCCAGTACAACCAAATTGTATTTTGAAATGATGCAGGATAAACAACAGATGTGTCCAATATATTTTTTCTTCAGTTGCTAAGGCAACATTGTTCAGTCTTTAAAGGAGTTTCAAAAAATAATTCCTTTGAGCATTTGATTCAGTAAGACTGTGTCCTTTATATTTGCCATTTCAAGGTGGCCAGTGTGGTTCTGAAATATTCTAGCATTATATTATCTCTCCTAGATTTTATGTATCTGATTATTTTTGTCAATATAACAAGTTCTGATTCCCTTGGTACAATTTTGAACAGCTCTCCATATGTTTCCACCTTTCATCCACTATTTATTTACCTCCCCAAAGGTGGTCTAATATCCCATTCCTCATGCTGAGGATGGTAATTCTGATCATGGCCAGGAAAAATTCTGAAAATTACTGACTACATGCTGATAACATGCAAATTATCATGCAGTCACTATTTTCTTTTTTGTTGGCAGGGTGAGATGGGTTAGCAAGAAACATGGGGCCTCCCCCGAGAGCCCAGAGTGGAAACTTTCTGAGAACTAGTGAGTGGCTCCAAGTTCTCTGAAAATAACAACATAGCCTAAGGGAAGTTATGAGGAGAGAACCATCTCCTTTAACATAAAAAGCTTTTACAAAGCTAGACAATATCAATAGAAAATCAGATAACGTAACCATGACTCTAGAAAGAATCTGTTGGCTTACACAATTTGGCCTTATTACTTGGATGTCCTTTAGATCATTTTGGTATTTAAGAAAGACTTATTTGAACCATATTATAGAAAGGAGGTAAGAAAGAATTTTTTAAATTGTGCAAGGAGTCAATATGCTTATATGTGCAAGGAGCCAATATGCTTATATGTACAAGGCAAACTTAGGGTTAAATATCCCAAAATATTTTTTAGAAATAATTTTACCATAAAAGAAAAGCTCTTTATAAGTGATATTACTCTATGTGAGATTGTGCGATATTAATTAATACTTAGTTCTTTTCTGAGATACTTAAAGCTTCAGATAAAAATGATATGTTATTTTAACCTCTACACATATTACCTGTGTTAAGCATATTTTCATAACTTCATTACCATGTTAAACAATCTTCTTTGCTCTTGGAAAGTAAAAATAAATAAATAAATAAACATAAACAAACAAACTCATTAAAATTGCCTTTTACTAAAATGTGTATAATGCTAACAATTTTAGAAGGTGAATAATACATTCCATTATGAAAACATTAAAACTCTTTATCTGTTGCATATCAGTATAAGATTTATAAACAATACATCTCTTCTTCATCATGCAAATTTTAAAGGTAGAAATTCAGAAATATGCAGAATATTTTGAAGACTTCTCATTTATATAATGGGGGGAGAAAAAGTTCTGTTCAGTTGTTAGTTTATTTGAGTTTTCAGATTAAATTTAACATGTGCTTTAGAGGTGAGATTTTGACAATTGCATTTTCTCTAAAATGAATTCTTTTTTCCAAATTGGGATTTCAATATCTGTAACAAATCAAGATGTCTGGGTTTTATAAGAACAAAATAATTACTGGGGTAGTGATAGCAAGACAGCCCTAAATTTTAGCTAAACAATTTTGTGGGTTAAATTCCAATAGAAAAATAAGGAAATATTAACAGAGATGCTGAAATACAAGATAATAAGCCATTTCTTTGAAATAGATAAAAAAAATCAGCTAGAGAGATTTTTTTCTAACTTAAGTACTTTCATAGCTTTACGACAATAAATTTGAAATTCTATCTGGAATCTTTTTTAAAAAATACCAAATTCAAAATTTATCTTATGAAGAATAAGCAAGGTACTCACTATGGAAAATAAAAGATTATGGTTAAACGCTCCCCAAACCATGAATGAAAATTCAAGTTATTATTGACAAGTTCTACCAAACCTTCAGAAACAGATTCCAGAGCAGAGAATATATATGAACCAATGTCAAGTTCCAGAATTCCTGTTAAGACTCCTGTTATGGAAAAGGTGAACTTAGGATTTATTAAAAATTCAGAAACTGTCAAGGAGATGGCACATGCCACTATGACACATGCCAATGCAGTAAGGTCAAAAACAGACAAAAACACACAGGTATAAATATTTGAAAGTATTAGTCTCCTTAAGTATAATATTCTGTTTAGCAAATCCAGGAGAATAGTGTGTTGAATAAAATAGGACTAATGCAAGACTTCAGCCAACTCACTTGCTTCAGAATAAACATATAATTGATTAGTTTCCTATATAGTATTAACAAGAATCAATCAAAAATGTATTATTCAAAAGGAATCCAATTAAAGTAGCAACAGAATATATTTCTGAAAAACTCATTGTAGTACATCTAAAAAGAAAGATCTAATAAGGATATAAATCTCAATTGAAGGACATTAGAAAGGCACAAAATAATGGAGATACAGAACATGACTAGGAAAAATACACAATATTTTAAAGAGATCAATTTTTTCTCCATGAAAACTCAACAATAATTCAAACATCTTTTAAAACAAAACTTATCAAATTGATGTCCAACTTTAAAAAAAATTCAATCTGAGCCAGAAAAGATTTGAAGAGAAAAATGAGAAAGAATTTGCTATACCAAAATTTAAAACAGGCTATAAAATAATAAAATTTACACAATAGTCTGGTTTTGGTGAATATCAGACAAATATCAATGAAATGGGATAAAGGTGAAGAAATATATTTATATATTTGAATTTAATTAATAATAAAAATTACATTTTACATCAGTGTGTAAAATAAAGACTAGTCAGTCACAATTGTTTGATAACCTATCTATTTGAAGAAAAATAAAGTTAGACTGTTATTTTATTTTCAAAAACTTAACTCTCCATGGATTTAACATCTAAACAAAAAATTTTGAAATGAAATGTAGAAATATTAAACTGAAATATAGACCAATTTTTTTATGTCCTTGGCATCAGAAAAGCTTCAATGACAAAATATTAAGTGCAAAGTTTATGGAGCATAAGGTTTGTAATTTTATGTATCCCTAACTTTAAAATGTCGACACGACTAAATAAATCCTAAATAAAGTTCTAAAGTAAACGAAAAGAAAGGAGAAGATACGTTAAATGGATAAAGAAAATATATTCTGTCAAAAAGGTAGAGGGTAGGCAGACAAATTTTATTATCAGTAAATTCACAGAGGAAAAAACGTGAACTGAGTTATATTGTGTTATTTTTGCTCACTGGATGAGCAAAAATGACAGACCACATCAAGTGTTTCCGAGGAAGTAGAAAAAAGTGTACTCATACTCTGATGATGCAACTTTAATTCATACATAGCCACATTGGCCAGCTCTATTAATATTTAGAAAGTGTAACCCAGAAATCTAGTAGTTATCCATCCTACATGATTATGCATATATGTAAAAGATAGCAAACACAACAGATTAAAAAAAGGAAACGAGAAATTTCTATGCATAGGGATATCTAACTAACCTATGGCATACCCAAATGTTGAAATACGATACAGCAGTAAAAAGGAACGCAACAATATCATATTGTGATGTGAAACAATTCTTCAAGATTTGTAGGAAATAAAGTTATGAAAAAAATTTCAACATTTATTCGAATATATACAAAACACTTTTCTATATGTATTTATGTCTCCCAAGTTACATAGGAAATAATAACAATACTGAGGTTAACTTTTGAAGAGAGACTGGAATTTTTAAGTGGGCAGGCATACTTTGATTTATCTTCATGGTCTAATAGTTTTAAATGGAAATATATTCCAAATATTATTTTTATAAATCAAAAATAAATTATAAAATAACTTTTACAATGTCAGGACTGAGGGTAAATTTTACAAAATTAAATCCATCAGGTATTTAATGAGCTTGTAACTATGGCAAAAATTGTATCTCATTACTTAAAAAAGCAGTTCATTTTTATATGGCAATCCACACAAATTATGTTATATCAAGGCCATACTTTCATGCATGGAGACCACCTAAAAATATTCGAAGTTACTATTTATACCTCCATTTGGAGTATACACAGTACATCTGGGACTTATTTTTAATGTTATAGCAGGGCTTTTTGCAATTAAAGAGGGTTAATGAAAACAAAATAGAACTTAAATGACTCTTATCTTTACTCTGAAAGGTCCAAGAGAAAAACATACTGTTAAAAAATGTTACTCCTTGGGGTAATTGACTATTGTAATATTGTTCAATAGACCAAGACAGAAGTGAGTCGATTACTTGGAGCAAGCAACTTGTGTGAAGGAGGGTGATTTTTTTTAACAGAGATTGTGCCCTTGAGGAAATACAAAGGAAGGTGAAAGTGATAGTTCCAGAATCAGTTGGGAAAATTACTTTTTAAATTATGAAGTAGCTGCTTAAAGCTTTTGCTTAAAGCTTTGTCAAAGATTTGTGTAACTATTTCAATTCAAGCAATATTTATTTAGTGGATGTCTGTCAAGATACATAAGCATGATTATTCTTAAAATCTGTAATTCATAATCTGGCTGGGGAGATGAAGACTACAAGTACTAAATAATTAAGGAACATTAGAAGACTATATAATATTCTCAAGTATTAATTGATATGATGAACTATGCAATGCTATAGTAGGTCCATACTGGAATGCATCATTATTATCTGGAAATATTAATTTAATGAATAAATTGAAATGAGACAAGTTCTTATACTCAATCCACCTACCTAAATTTTGATCCCTACCATAACCTTGTGGAAAGCATACTCATCCTTGGATTGACTAATTCCAATGTGTGTCAGGAACTCACAAACCACTGGGATCCAGCTGAGAAGATTCTTATATGAGTCAAAATCTGTTTCCCTATGGTTTTCAGCCAAATGTCCAAACATAACATTTCAGAACTGATCTATGCAATATGGTAGGTAGCGTAACATGATGTCAGAGATGAAACTACTGTATTTCATTTAACAGATTAGTAAACTGAAGATAAAAGGAAATTGAATGTCTTAAAAGTTTCCTAGTTGATTTTTTGGCTGTATAATGACGGTAACACATTTCTTCTGAATCCTACTATAGCCCCACTGAAAAGTCTTCATGAAGAGATTTATCTTAAAAAAATGTTTCTGCCACCAAAATTTGAAAAAATAATAACCATTAGACTTCATGACGTAAAGGGAAGGCCAGAGAACACAGCCAAAGCCCTAATATTAAAATTATTTCATGGTGAAATATTATTGCTAGGACTCTTATCAACATACAAAATGTCAGGCACATGAAGACTTGCCTAACATAAATATTCAACAAGTTTTAAACTATACTAATATTTTGAATTAGAGAACTAATTCTTCTTTCCTATAGGCATCGTAAATGAGTTACATAGTGAAAACATCCAATAATTTTTAAAAGCCAAAGGGTTAAAATTGGAAAGGAAAAAGACAATTATTTTCTACGTAATTTGTGAGTCTGATTTTGATTTTCTTCCACATTGATTATGTTTGCTTGTTTATTTTCTTATATTTCTTCTATATTGACTATATTTCCTATATTGTATTCTTCATGTTCTGGCATTTAGGTCCTTAATCCTGTAGAGACTGCCTCTCCTCAGGCTAGCTTATTCATAGAGATGAAAAATTACTCCTCTTTGAGTATGCATTTGATAGGCACACCAACCAATCCAGAGCCCACACACCCAACCATCTCCTTTATCAAATTCTCTCACACCAAGCCAATATTCTCTCTGCCCTAAATCGCCCCAGGATAAAGTACTGGATAGTAGGTTCCACCCCTATAGCCCAGAGCCTGTTAAAATCTTTCAGACTAGCCTGTACTAAGCTTTACTCAGTGCACTTACCCTGCCTTACCCATTTCTTCCCATAAAAACCCCAATAAAACCTCAGGCCTCTCCCTCTCCCTCTCCTGCCTTCTAACCGACGCTGTTGCTTCCCCATGCAGCCCTGCATAGAATGGTGTGTTTTCTTTTTCTAGAGATCTGTGAGTATAATCTTTTTCCTTTATGACAATTATTTCCATGTCTACTGTCTTACCATACTGAATTAAAACACATCCCAGCTACATTGTAGAACACTTCTCCAACCTTTGAGATTTGGAATAAAAAATGGTAAAACTATAGTACTCAAAAATGGTACATATTGGTCTGAAAAGATATTTGTCTGGCTTAAGATTAAGAACTCCCAAACACATTTTTTAAAAATCTATTTCGTTCTTAAGGACCTCTAGGAAAGAAATTGTTCAAACTCCTTTCAATATGTTTTGAGTTTATTGACCTCTTTCTCAAGCAATTTGTCTTTACAGTTAACCTAAATCCCCCAGTTTTCTATTTAAAGTCTATGTGATGAGTTTTATTGCCTCCCTCAAGGCCAAAAAAAGTTAGCTTTCACCATGAGTTATATGATGGAAAAGAGAAAAAAAGTCCAGTTCTTCCTCCTCTCTTTTGCTCTCCTGAGTAGCTAGTTTGAGGCTTGTGTTTTACAGAGATCAAGTTCCTAAATGCTAATTAAAAACAAAAATCCAGCTACTCTTTCAAACAAATCACTTTAGAGGCCTCGGCATTAATTACGTCATGGCCAGCATGGTCAATGTGTGCATTCTACCCTAAATGCAGGAAAAGGAAAGCTGTTCTCTAACCCACACACCCTCAACACATCAGAGGCACATCAGTAGAATCTTCACACACATTTTTACTTATCTAATGTAGATGTAGATACAACATAATTCATGTTAAAGGTTAAGAGAGAGAAAAAATAACCTCTATGCAGAATATGACAGATTTTTTTCTGACCTAGTAAAATCTTTTGATGCATAAAATGTGTTTTGACCACCCACTTGATATTTAGTATTTTACATTTACATTTTGACAATTTTAATTTTATATACATGTTAAATAAAGGAAACCATTTAAGTTACTTGTAGTTATTTAATTTTTATACTAAAATGTGATTTAGATATATTTAGGACATACTGTAGAATTTTGTATAAGCTGACAGCCTCCTGAAAATGCATTTAAAATAACTGATAATACTAAAGCCAAGCTATGGACCCCATCCTCACAGAGTTTCTAAGTCAGAAAGTCATATGGCAGAAGATATGCAGGGGACTGTAAGAGCACACAGTGATGGCATGCAACCCAATCTAGGAGGGGCAGGGAAGACTTTGTTAAGAAATGGCAGTAAAGTTGAGGTCTAAAGGTTGAGTAGCCATTGATCTGGGGATGGGTAAGTAAAGAAAAATCTTCCAGTCATGGGAAAAGTTCCAAAAGCAAGAGAGAATGTGTGGTAGATGATTGCACTCATAGTCCCAATTATTCAGGCTTCGCTGTAGCCACAGCCTTTGATAGTTATACTGACCATGAACTTGGTCATGTGACTTGCTTTGGCCATTGGGATAGTAACAAACTTGGTGTAAGCAAAGAAGTATATTTGCATTCGTGGTTCCTATCTTGAATCCTGTAATCATGATAACATGGCCAAGCCATCCTACTGAAGGATGAGATCCTGGAGCTAGCCAAGGACATCCTAAATGAGCCAATACTATAAAAACCACCAGTTTTGTGAGTAAATCCCAACCAAGACCAGAACTCCCACCCCGGCTAATACTGACAAGCGAAATTACCCAATTGTACAGGAGAAATAAAAAAATGGTTGTTTCATAAACCACTAGGTTTTTGGGTTTTTTATTATGTAAATGATTGAGGCAATAGGTAAACAATAGAGAAGATAACACACTGACAGGCAAAAAATAAATGCATTTCACTATTTCAGCATGTTTTATTAAATTTCTGCAGAGGCTGAATCTTCTTTTGAATAGATCCTTCCTATTTCTTTAAACCTAGGTATTCTTCAAGAGTCTCGCTGAAGCAAATTGAATACATACAGCTATGGCTTCACACTATACCATGGCTTCACACTATAAATTTATTATCTTCCTCTGCCTTTACTCTCATGTATGTGACCTGTTGGAACTACTTTTTATGGCTTTTTGACCCTCCTGCCTTTGCTAAGCTTGAACCTCTTCTATGCTCCCTTGATTTTGTCTTCTATATTTTCCAGCAAGGAACACACCTACTGCCTACTGTCTAGTTTCCACAAAGTCCATTTAACCATGCTTTCAGGCTCTCAACTTAACCTTTGAGGTACTGTCTGCTGCCAGTCAAGGGGACTGTGTAGTATGTAGATGGGGATTCCCTATATATTAAGGATATTGATTTTTACTTTTGGCAAATATTTTTCTCAATCATTTTAAATCATATTTTAATTTGGTTTATACTTATGCCAATGTCAGGAAAAAATTTATAGTTCAGTCAATTTTCTTATAGTATATTTTCTAAGTTTTTAAGGTTAGAAAACCCTATGCTAATAGGCAATATTTACTCTTCAGAGAAAAGTTAATTCCTAGATAGTAATATAACTTTTGGCCCAATAATAGCACTGCTAGTGATTTAATGATTGTACATATTAGATAAAATAATCTGGAAACAACTTAATATCCATTTATAGCTTAATATTTAAATAAATTGGGCTGTATGTAGCTAAAATCTGCTAGCACCTAATAAAACTGCATGTACAAACATTTGCAATTATGGAAATAGCACTATGACATTAGAAGTATAGAAAGCACATATTCTATAAACTCATGCATCAAAAATTACATAAATATGTAATTTCTATTTATGTAATATATAACTACAATTTATACATATGGTTTAATAATGCATATATTTTTCAGTGAGGCCCCCAGAAAAAATACTACTGAAAGCAGGAGTTACATTTGGGGAAATAGAATTGACAGGGATAGAAATGGGAAAGAGAGGGTTACATTTTATATTTCCTTTTGAAGATTAAATTTTTTACTATCTATATATAAAATGTTTATTTTTAATTAGATTTTTTAAAGTATTTTTATTGTACAAACACTTTATATCTGTTATCTTCCCAGGCTTTTTGAATGGTTTAATTTCTTTTTTCAATCTAAAGTTTGTCTTACATTCATGTTTATAAAGCAGAAACTAAAATGTCACATCACAATGTACCATGACTTGACAAAACATGTCATTTTAAAACGTGTTTAGTAAGATGACATAATTTCAGTAATTTTGATAATATAGAAACCAATAACTTTTGCACAGGTTAGCTTATGCCCCCATATTGCCACTTATCCTCAGATAAATAAAAAATGAAGTCAAAGTCTACAGATTTCTAACCTTGCTTCCCTTATTGGGCTTGCTAACCTGAAGTGTCCTGTACTGTATCTGATTTGGGAAATTCTGTCCATTAGACTCTTCCACACACATACACATGCACACACACTCCATATACCCCCAAAAGCAAAGTAATTATCAGTTTGCAAGACAAGCGCTTTTTTTGAAAATGGTCTAGAGAGGCTGCACTATTCTGTAAAAGAAGAATAAAACATTAGTTCTGGGTGCTAATCATGACAATTTCTGACCTCTTCCTGATTCTTAAGTGCCTGATTTTACCTCAATTCCCCAAAACCCACAACATAGCTCTGTAGCATAGCCATTAAGCTGAGGAACGGCTTATCTGATTCCATATAGAACTCAACCTCTATTTGCTGAGACTAAATTACTTTTCTGATATCCTCCACCTGGTGGCCAACCCTGTACCAAAGCTATCATGGAGACCTACCTAGCCTCACAAACGAGCTGCTTCCAATTCTGTTCCCTAGCACTCTGTTCATTCCTGTTAATTTATCTTTGTAGTTAACACAAGGGTTTGCAAGAAAACCCAATGGTTAAAAGAATGGGCATTGAAGCTGTAGTCACTGGGTTCGATTTTTTACTATCATTTACTCTTTTGATCAATTTACCAAATTTCCCTACAGTCACATTTTCTTTATTATTAAAACAGTATTTAAATATCTAATACCTGATTTCTGAAGGAATTAAATGAGGTAACGTATGTAAGAGTTATTTAGAATCTTGTTCCCCTCTGACTCCACTCAGTGAATATTGACATTTGCCTGAGTTGAATTTCACACAAACCATCTGGAGCTGGAACTTGACATTTGAATATGGAGGATGAAGAAGTGTAGACAAGGAGTCATGTATGCCCAAACCCCAATTACTTTCCTCAGTCAAAAATATGCCCACAGTGGCAGCTTACAGATTTTTATCAACCTGCACATCCATACTTTCCAAAGAGAATTTTGCTGTTTGCTCTTAGTTTAAAAGAGTCAATAATAAAAATAATAAATATAAAATACTCTCACCACTCTTATTCAACGTGGTCTGGAAGTCCTAGCCAAAGCAATGAGGCAAGAGAAAGAAATAAAGGTCATGTATATTAGATAAGAGGAAGTAAAATTGTCCTTCTTTGCAGATGACATGATCTTATATATAGAAAAACCTAAAGACGACTTACCAAGAAAAAAACCTATTAGATATACTAAAGGAATTCATTAAAGTTGCAGAATTTAAAATTGACTTTTTAAAAAAATTAACATACAAAACCCAGTAGTGTTTCTTGACCCCAATCACAAACTAGCTGAAAAAAATACAAAAGCAATCTTCTTTACAGCAGCTAAAGTCCACAAATATCAAAGAATAAATTTAACCAAGGAGGTAAAAGATCTCTACAATAAAAACTACAAAACACCAATTAAAGAAACTGAAGAGGACACAAAAAGATGTGAAAAGACTGCATATTCATGTATTGAAAGAATTGATATTGTTCATATATGCATACTACTTACTCCAAGTAATCTTCAGATTCAATGTAATCCCTATCAAAATTCCAATGCTATTTTTCATAGAAATAGAAAAAGCAATTCGAAAATTTGTATGGAAGCACAAAAGACACATAATAGTTAAAGCAAAGACAACAAACCTGGAGAAATCACACTACCTGACTTAAAAATATACTACAAAGCTTTAATAACCAAAACATCATGATACTAGCATAAAAATGTACACATAATCCAATGGAACAGAATAGAGAACCCAGAAATCTACAATTTACAGCCAACTGATTTTCTATAGAGTTCCCAAGAACATTAGAGAAAGAATCACCACTTCAATAAATGGAGTTGGGAAAACTGAATATCTATATGCAGAAGAAAGAAACGAGACCCTTGCATCTCACCATGCACACAAATCAACTCAAATCGATTAAAGACTTAAATGTAAGGCCCAAAACTATAAAACTACTAAAAGAAAACCCAGGAGAAATACTTGAAGACATTGGGCAAGTATTTAATGGGTAAGATTCCCAAAACACAGGCAACAAAAACAAAAATAGATTGGGTTTACATCAAACCAAAAAGTTTTGGCACAAGAAATAAGACAATCAACAGATATAAAGAGGCAATGTGTAGAACGGAAGAAAATATTTGCAAACTATTCATTTGAAAAGGGATTAATATCCAAAGTGTACAAGGCGCTCAAACAACTGAACAGCAGTAAAACAATCTGATTTTAAAAATGGGCAAATGAGCTAAATAGCTATTTCCCAAAGGAAGAAACACAACTGGACAACAAGTATATTGGAGAAATGCTTGGTGGGGCAGCCAAGATGGCCGAATAGGAACAGCTCCAGTCTACAGCTCCCAGCATGAGCGATGCAGAAGATGGGTGATTTCTGAATTTCCATCTGAGGTACCAGGTTCATCTCACTAGGGAGTGCCAGACAGTGGGCACAGGACAGTGGGTGCAGTGCACCATGTGCGAGCCGAATCAGAGTGAGGCAATGCCTCACTCTGCAAGGGGTCAGGGAGTTCCGATTCCTAGTCAAAGAAAGGGGTGACAGACGGCACCTGGAAAATCAGGTCACTCCCACCTTAATACTGCGCTTTTCCGATGGGCTTAAAAAACGGCGCACCACGAGATTATATCCCGCACCTGGCTCGGAGGGTCCTATGCCCACGGAGTCTCACTGATTGCTAGCAGAGCAGTCTGAGATCAAACTGCAAGGCAGCAGTGAGGCTGGGGGAGGGGCGCCCACCATTGCCCAGGCTTGCTTAGGTAAACAAAGCAGCCTGGAAGCTCGAACTGGGTGGAGCCCACCACAGCTCAAGGAGGCCTGCCAGCCTCTGTAGGCTCCACCTCTGGGGGCAGGGCACAGACAAACAAAAAGACAGCAGTAACCTCTGCAGACTTAAATGTCCCTGTTTGACAGCTTTGAAGAGAGTAGTGGTTCTCATAGCACACAGCTGGAGATCTGAGAACGGGCAGACTGCCTCCTCAAGTGGGTCCCTGACCCCTGACCCATGAGCAGCCTAACTGGGAGGCACCCCCCAGTAGGGGCAGACTGACACCTCACACGGCCGCATACTCCTCGGAAACAAAACTTCCAGAGGAATGATCAGAGAGCAGCATTCCTGGTTCATGAAAATCCGCCGTTCTGCAGCCACCACTGCTGATACCCAGGCAAACAGGGTCTGGAGCGGACCTCTAGCAAACTCCAACAGACCTGCAGCTGAGGGTCCTGTCTGTTAGAAGGAAAACTAACAAACAGAAAGGACATCCACACCAAAAACCCATCTGTACATCACCACCATCAAAGACCAAAAGTAGATAAAATCACAAAGATGGGGAAAAAACCGAGCAGAAAAACTGGAAACTCTAAAAAGCAGAGCGCCTCCCCTCCTCCAAAGGAATGCAGTTCCTCACCAGCAACAGAACAAAGCTGGACGGAGAATGACTTTGACGAGTTAAGAGAAGAAGGCTTCAGACAATCAAACTACTCTGAGCTACAGGAGGAAATTCAAACCAAAGGCAAAGAATTTAAAAACTTTGAAAAAAATTTAGAAGAATGTATAACTAGAATAACCAATACAGAGAAGTGCTTAAAGGAGCTGATGGAGCTGAAAGCCAAGGCTTGAGAACTACGTGAAGAATGCAGAAGCCTCAGGAGCCGATGCGATCAACTGGAAGAAAGGGTATCAGTGATGGAAGATGAAATGAATGAAATGAAGTGAGAAGGGACGTTTAGAGAACAAAGAACAAAAAGAAACACACAAAGTCTCCAAGAAATATGGGACTATGTGAAAAGACCAAATCTACGTCTGATTGGTGTACCTGAAAGTGACAGGGAGAATGGAAACAAGTTGGAAAACATTCTGCAGGATATTATCCAGGAGAATTTCCCCAATCTAGCAAGGCAGGCCAACATTCAGATTCAGGAAATAGAGAGAATGCCACAAAGATACTCCTTGAGAAGAGCAACTCCAAGACACATAATTGTCAGATTCACCAAAGTTGAAATGAGGGAAAAAATGTTAAGGGCAGCCAGAGAGAAAGGTCAGGTTACTCACAAAGGGAAGCCCATCAGACTACCAGCGGATCTCTCGGCAGAAACTCTACAAGCCAGAAGAGAGTGGGGGCCAATATTCAACATTCTTAAAGAAAAGAATTTTCAACCCAGGATTTCATATCCAGCCAAACTAAGCTTCATAAGTGAAGGAGAAATAAAATATTTTACAGACAAGCAAATGCTGAGAGATTTTGTCACCACCAGCTCTGCCCTAAAAGAGCTCCTGAAGGAAACACTAAACATGGAAAGGAACAACCAGTACCAGCCACTGCAAAATCATGCCAAATTGTAAAGACCATCAAGGCTAGGAAGAAATTGCATCAACTAACGAGCAAAATAACGAGCTAACATCATAATGACAGGATCAAATTCACACATAACAATATTAACTTTAAATGTAAATGGACTAAATGCTCCAATTAAAAGACACAGACTGGCAAATTGGATAAAGAGTCAAGACTCATCAGTGTGCTGTATTCAGGAAACCCATCTCACATGCAGAGACACACAGGCTCAAAATAAAAGGATGGAGGAAGATCTACAAAGCAAATGGAAAACAAAAAAAGGAAGGGGTTGCAATCCCAGTCTCAGATAAAACAGACTTTAAGCCAACAAAGATCAAAAGAGACAAAGAAGGCCATTACATAATGGTAAAGGGATCAATTCAACAAGAAGAGCTAACTATCCTAAATATATATGCACCCAATACAGGAGCACCCAGATTCATAAAGCAAGTCCTGAGTGACCTAAAAAGAGACTTAGACTCCCACACAATAATAATGGGAGACTTTAATACCCCACTGTCAACATTAGACAGATCAATGAGACAGAAAGTTAACAAGGATACCCAGGAATTGAACTCAGCTCTGCACCAAGTGGACCTAATAGACATCTACACAACTCTCCACCCCAAATCAACAGAATATACATTTTTTTCAGCACCACACCACACCTATTCCAAAACTGACCACATACTTGGAAGTAAAGCTCTCCTCAGCAAATGTAAAAGAACAGAAATTATAACAAACTGTCTCTCAGACCACAGTGCAATCAAACTAGAACTCAGGATTAAGAAACTCACTCGAAACCACTCAACTACATGGAAACTGAACAACCTGCTCCTGAATGACTACCAGGTACATAATGAAATGAAGGCAGAAATAAAGATGTTCTTTGAAACCAACGAGAACAAAGACACAACATACCAGAATCTCTGGGACGCATTCAAAGCAGTGTGTAGAGGGAAATTTATAGCACTAAATGCCCACAAGAGAAAGCAGAAAACATCCAAAATTGACACCCTAACATCACAATTAAAAGAATTAGAAAAGCAAGAGCAAACACATTCAAAAGCTAGTAGAAGGCAAGAAATAACTAAAATCAGAGCAGAACTGAAGGAAATAGAGACACAAAAAACCCTTCAAAAAATTAATGAATCCAGGAGCTGGTTTTTTGAAAGGATCAACAAAATTGATAGACCACTAGCAAGACTAATAAAGAAGAAAAGAGAGAGGAATTAAATAGACGCAATAAAAAATGATAAAGGGGATATCACCACCGATCCCACAGAAATACAAACTACCATCAGAGAATACTACAAACACCTCTACGCAAATAAACTAGAAAATCTAGAAGAAATGGATAAATTCCTGGACACATACACCCTCCCAAGACTAAACCAGGAAGAAGTTGAATCTCTGATTAGACTAATAACAGGATCTGAAATAGTGTCAATAATCAGTAGCTTATCCACCAAAAAGAGTCCAGGACCAGATGGATTCACAGCCGAATTCTACCAGAGGTACAAGGAGGAACTGGTACCATTCCTTCTGAAACTATTCCAATCAATAGAAAAAGAGGGAATCCTCCCTAACTCATTTTATGAGGCCAGCATCATCCTGATACCAAAGCCGGGCAGAGACACAACCAAAAAACAGAATTTTAGACCAATATCCTTGATGAACATTGATGCAAAAATCCTCAATAAAATACTGGCAAACCAAATCCAGCAGCACATCAAAAAGCTTATCCACCATGATCAAGTGGGCTTCATCCCTGGGATGCAAAGCTGGTTCAATATACGCAAATCAATAAATGTAATCCAGCATATAAACAGAACCAAAGACAAAAAACACATGATTATCTCAATAGATTCAGAAAAGGCCTTTGACAAAATTCAACAACCCTTCATGCTAAAAACTCTCAATAAATTAGGTACTGATGGGACATATCTCAAAATAATAAGAGGTATCTATGACAAACCCACAGCCAATATCATACTGAATGGGCAAAAACTGGAAGCATTCCCTTTGAAAACTGGCACAAGACAGGGATGCCCTCTCTCACCACTCCTATTCAACATAGTGTTGGAAGTTCTGGCCAGGGCAATTAGGCAGGAGAAGGAAATAAAGGGTATTCAATTAGGAAAAGAGGAAGTCAAATTGTCCCTGTTTGCAGATGACATGATTGTATATCTAGAAAACCCCATCGTCTCAGCCCAAAATCTCCTTAAGCTGATAAGCAACTTCAGCAAAGTCTCAGGATACAAAATCAATGTACAAAAATCACAAGCATTCTTACACACAAACAACAGACAAACAGAGAGCCAAATCATGAGTGAACTCCCATTCACAATTGCTTCAAAGAGAATAAAATACCTAGGAATCCAACTTACAAGGGATGTGAAGGACCTCTTCAAGGAGAACTACAAACCACTGCTCAAGGAAATAAAAGAGGATACAAACAAATGGAAGAACATTCCATGCCCATGGGTAGGAAGAATCAATATCGTGAAAATGGTCATACTGTCCAAGGTAATTTATAGATTCAATGCCATCCCCATCAAGTTACCAATGACTTTCTTCACAGAATTGGAAAAAACTACTTTAAAGTTCATATGGAACCAAAAAAGAGCCCGCATCGCCAAGTCAATCCTAAGCAAAAAAAACAAAGCTGGAGGCATCATGCTACCTGACTTCAAACTATACTACAAGGCTACAGTAACCAAAACAGCATAGTACTGGTACCAAAACAGAGATATAGATCAATGGAACAGAACAGAGCCCTCAGAAATAACGCCGCATATCTACAATTATCTGATCTTTGACAAACCTGAGAAAAACAAGCAATGGGGAAAGGATTCCTTATTTAATAAATGGTGCTGGGAAAACTGGCTAGCCATATGTAGAAAGCTGAAAATGGATCCCTTCCTTACACCTTATACAAAAATTAATTCAAGATGGATTAAAGACTTAAATGTTAGACCTAAAACCATAAAAACCCTAGAAGAAAACCTAGGCATTACCATTCAGGACATAGGCATGGGCAAGGACTTCATGTCTAAAACACCAAAAGCAATGGCAACAAAAGACAAAATTGACAAATGGGATCTCATTAAACTAAAGAGCTTCTGCACAGCAAAAGAAACTACCATCAGAGTGAACAGGCAACCTACAAAATGGGAGAAAATTTTCACAATCTACTCATCTGACAAAGGGCTAATATCCAGAATCTACAATGAACTCAAACAAATTTACAAGAAAAAAACAAACAACCCCATCAAAAACTGGGTGAAGGACATGCACAGACACTTCTCAAAAGAAGACATTTATGCAGCCAAAACACACATGAAAAAATGCTCAACTTCACTGGCCATCAGAGAAATGCAAATCAAAACCACAATGAGATACCATCTCACACCAGTTAGAATGGCAATCATTAAAAAGTCAGGAAACAACAGGTGTTGGAGAGGATGTGGAGAAATAGGAACATTTTTACACTGTTGGTGGGACTGTAAACTAGTTCAACCATTGTGGAAGTCAGTGTGGCGATTTCTTAGGGATCTAGAACTAGAAATACCATTTGACCCAGCCATCCCATTACTGGGTATATACCCAAAGGACTATAAATCATGCTGCTGTAAAGACACATGCACACATATGTTTATTGCGGCACTATTCACAATAGCAAAGACTTGGAACCAACCCAAATGTCCAACAATGATAGACTGGATTAAGAAAATGTGGCACATATACACCATGGAATACTATGCAGCCATAAAAAAATGATGAGTTCATGTCCTTTGTAGGGACATGGATGAAACTGGAAATCATCATTCTCAGTAAACTATTGCAAGGACAAAAAACCAAACAGCACATGTTCTCACTCATAGGTGGGAATTGAACAATGAGAACACATGGACACAGGAAGGGGAACATCACACTCTGGGGACTGTTGTGGAGTGGGGGGAGGGGGGAGGGATAGCTTTAGGAGATATACCTAATGCTAAATGACGAGTTAATGGGTGCAGCACACCAGCAGGGCACATGTATACATATGTAACTGACCTGCACATTGTGCACATGTACTATAAAACTTAAAGTATAATAATAATAAAATAAAATAAGAAAAAAAAAGAAATGCTCAACATCACTAATTATCAGGGAAATGCAAATTAAAAAGCATATGGAGAGATCATCTCATCCCACTTGGAATGGCAATTATCAGAAAGACAAAAAAATAAATGCTGGTGAGGATGTAGAGAAAAGGGAAGTCATACATGGTTGGTGGGAATGTAAACTAGTGGAGCCATTATAAAAAACAATATAGAAGTTCCTCTATACCGAAAAATAGAAATACCATATGATCCAGCAATCTCACTACTGGATACTTATCCAAAGGAAAATAAATCAGTATATCAAAGAGATTATCTGTACTCCCATGTTTATTGTAGCACTATTCACAATAGCTAAGGTCTGGAATCAACCTAAGTGTCTATCAATATTCAATGAAATACTATTTATCTATTTATAAAGAATGAAAGCCTATCATTAATGGCAACATGGATATGTCTGGAAGACATTATGTTAAGTGAAATAAGTCAGACACAAAATGATGAATACCTCATGTTCTCACTCGTGAGAGCTAAAATAGCTGAGCTCATAGTAGAAGAAGAGAGGAGAATTGTGGTTACTAGCGGCTGGAAAGGATAAAGGGAGGAGATAATAGGGAGAGAATGGTTAATGAAGAGCTGCAGCTAAATAATAGGAATAATTTCTAGCACTCTATAGCACTGTAGAATGACTATTGTTAATAATCATGATGTATATTTTCAAATAGGTAGAAGAGAAGATTTTGAATGTCCCCAATACAAAGGAATGATATATATTTGCAGTGATTAATGTGTTAATTACACTAAGTTGATTATTACACATTGTATACATGTATTAATGTATCACCATGTTCTCCATATATATGTACAATTATTACGTTTCCATAAAAATGTTTAAAGGCAGGAAGACAGGGGAGGGGAGGGTCAAACACACTATGTAAAGGAATTCAAGCAGCATAGCATTCTAGTACATTTAGATTAGGGCAAAAAAACTCTTTACATTTTGAGTTATTTTATTTTTTATTTTTTGAGAAGGAGTCTCACTCTGTCACCCAGGCTGGAGTGCAGTGGTGTGATCTCAGCTCACTGCAACATCCTGCTCCCGGGTTCAAGAGATTTTCCTGCCTCAGCCTTCCAAGTAGCTAGAATTACAGGCTCATGCCACCATGCCTGGCTAATTTTTGTATTTTTAGTAGAGACAGGGTTTGCCATGTTGGCCAGGCTGGTCTTGAACTCCTGACCTCAGGTGATCCACCCACCTCAGCCTCCTAAAGTTCTGGGATTACAGGCATGAGCCACCACACCTGGGCAACCCTTTACATTTTAATAGTTTCTGAATCTGTGTTAAGAGCAGAGTACACTAATCAATTTCACAATCATGAGCCATTTCATAATGATGGTAAAGTGCTCTGTTGTGGAAGTCATAAAAATATGATATATTTGGAAATATTGCCATTCATAATAAAAATTAAAGTTTGGGCACCCTAAATAGAATTTTTTCAGTTATTAAAAAACTTCCATTTTGATGAGTTTCTTTCTAGTAATGGTGACTAAATTAAGTTTATTTCCAAATGAGAAACATTTTAGACATTAATCAATTCAAAGCCATAGAAAGGTCAGTTTATTTCTCTGAATTACAAAAAATTGGTTTCCTTAATCCATTTAAATTTCTGATAAAGTCAAGAGTTAACTTGTTATCTGTTTCTAATCTTTTTAAAGGGTGCACAAAATCGTAATGTAATGGATTTTGATATCATTATGATTTCCTTCAAATTTACATTCAATTATTTATGAAAAATAAGTATTCTGCCTATTTTGATGTCTTACAGAAATAAGGACAGTCTTAAAAGTAATCTGACAGTGGATCTAATGAAGATCTGGTAATGAAACCTAATGAAAATATAATATATTTAATTGGTCCTTTTATTTGCCATTTGTTAGACTTTCTAAAATGAAATATATATTTGTGCATGAGGCTGCTCTGTACAGACAGATGCGTGTATTTTTTTTAACCATGTGATAATAAGAACAATAGGAGGAGACAGAAGAAAACAATAGGGAATAGGGTAGAATTCATGAATGTGAATAGAGGCGAAGCTAATTTTACAGACCAAACACTACTTTTACGGATAGAACGCTTTCAGGTGATTTGCGAAGCTAACTAAAGATTTTCCTACTTTCGCTTTCTCAGTGTAAGGCAGTAAAATGCTCCATTAAAATTCCTGCAGCATTTTTAATGTAATTTTCCTTTCCAGTAGAAACAAAAGCATGGGCATGCATTTTCATTTACTTGAATTTTTTCAGATGATGTAAAAAGAAAAAAAGAGACCTGTTGCTTATTAGCTGTGTGAGCTTCAGTAAGGCATTTAATTATTCTGGGACTCAGGTCCCCCATTTATAAACTAGACATTATAATATCTACCTTATCAGATAATTATGAGAAAGTGTTTATACAAATATTTGCAAGTTCTAAAATATACAAATGTGAATTCATGTTATTATCTTTGGCTTTTCACATAGCCGAAGGGTTTATTTCTGTTCTGATTCAATTATAAAAAGAATAAATCCACATGTAGCAAACGTACACACACAGCTGAGCCAGGGTCTACCCAAAAGATATATGTATATTATTAAATAAGGCTCCTGATAGCAAGTCACTCATATTTTTCAGTCTCTGTAATGAGGGACCAAAATCAAATGCCTTTTGGATCCAGGAGAAGAGCATAAGGGTATGAATGCCCAATGTATAGTGACAGGATACAGTGAAAAAAAATGAAAAGAAAAATGTGTTCTTCATAAAGAAAATCAAGTTTAATTTTACAGTTAATGTGCTGGCAAACACACACATCTGCCCCCTGCCAGTGTGTGGCTCTCATATGGTGAAAGAGTTAAATACATATAAAATAAGAAAACAATCAAGATCACAATGCTGTAGATGAATGACATTCAATGGAAGTTTAGTAAAGGGAGACCTGAGAGTAGATGGAGCATTCAGAAGTCAGATCAAAAAGAGGGCACTAGAAAGTGACTTTGAAGATTGACTAATGTCTACAGAGATGGATGAGGGAGGGGAGAGGCCAGAGGAGAAGAAGCAACTTCTGAGAACTCATGCACCAAGCATAAAATGAATGAGTTTTCTTTGAGAGCTATCCTATCTTACAATACTGAAAAACTATTGAGGATAAGCAAAAGACAATGTTAGAAGATAGAACACAAATAAATGTAAAGAAGATTGATAAACAAGGAACATAAATAGGATGTGGTAGGGTATAGGGTGCCAGTGCACATCTGGGGAAAGAGAGGTTTTGGTAAGAAAATTGTTGCAATAACAATGGACTGAAAATAAAAAGTGAAACGTATTTCAACACAGGAATTTATTTCAAATGAGTAACTTATGGGTAATTTATCATTGATCAATTTTCTGATTTTGATTAAATTATAAAAAGACATTGAAAAGGCAAAAAAGAAAGAGAGAGAGAGAGAAAGAGAGAAGAGTGGAGAGAGATTACTGGGCATCCTATGGTGTCCACCACAGGTTGTCCCAATCTATAGATATCTGCACCTTTTCATTTTTGGATTATTTTTTGACTCTGTATATTGTAGAATCCTAATTGCATCATAAACAGTTCTTGTCCTTGGAGATGTAAATGAATTTTGTCTGGAGGAAATAAAACAATTCTCCTTCAAGAAGGTACATTTACATCACTTTAAAAAATTAATTTTGGGATGTGATAGCAGCCAAGATGGCCGAATAGGAACAGCTCCAGTCTACAGCTCCCAGCGTGAGCGACCCAGAAGACGTGTGATTTCTGCATTTCCATCTGAGGTACCGGGTTCATCTCACTAGGGAGTGCCAGACAGTGGGCGCAGGCCAGTAGGTGCATGCACCGTGCGCCAGCCGAAGCAGGGCGAGGCACTGCCTCACTTGGGAAGCGCAAGGGGTCAGGGAGTTCCCTTTCTGAGTCAAAGAAAGGGGTGACGGACGCACCTGGAAAATCGGGTCACTCCCACCCGAATATTGCGCTTTTCAGACCGGCTTAAAAAACGGCGCACCACGAGATTATATCCCACACCTGGCTCGGAGGGTCCTACGCCCACGGAATCTCGCTGATTGCTAGCACAGCAGTCTGAGATCAAACTGCAAGGCAGCAGTGAGGCTGGGGGAGGGGCGCCCGCCATTGCCCAGGCTTGCTTAGGTAAACAAAGCAGCCTGGAAGCTCGAACTGGGTGGAGCCCACCACAGCTCAAGGAGGCCTGCCAGCCTCTGTAGGCTCCACCTCTGGGGGCAGGGCACAGACAAACAAAAAGACAGCAGTAACCTCTGCAGACTTAAATGTCCCTGTCTGACAGCTTTGAAGAGAGCAGTGGTTCTCCCAGCACGCAGCTGGAGATCTGAGAACCAGCAGACTGCCTCCTCAAGTGGGTTCCTGACCCCTGACCCCCGAGCAGCCTAACTGGGAGGCACCCCCCAGCAGGGGCACACTGACATCTCACACAGCAGGGTATTCCAACAGACCTGCAGCTGAGGGTCCTGTCTGTTAGAAGGAAAACTAACAAACAGAAAGGACATCCACACCGAAAACCCATCTGTACATCACCATCATCAAAGACCAAAAGTAGATAAAACCACAAAGATGGGGAAAAAACAGAACAGAAAAACGGGAAACTCTAAAACGCAGAGCGCCTCTCCTCCTCCAAAGGAACGCAGTTCCTCACCAGCAACAGAACAAAGCTGGATGGAGAATGACTTTGACGAGCTGAGAGAAGAAGGCTTCAGACGATCAAATTACTCTGAGCTACGGGAGGACATTCAAACCAAAGGCAAAGAAGTTGAAAACTTTGAAAAAAATTTAGAAGAATGTATAACTAGAATAACCAATACAGAGAAGTGCTTAAAGGAGCTGATGGAGCTGAAAACTAAGGCTCGAGAACTACGTGAAGAATGCAGAAGCCTCAGGAGCCGATGCGATCAACTGGAAGAAAGGGTATCAGCAATGGAAGATGAATGAAATGAAGCGAGAAGGGAAGTTTAGAGAAAAAAGAATAAAAAGAAATGAGCAAAGCCTCCAAGAAATATGGGACTATGTGAAAAGACCAAATCTACGTCTGATTGGTGTACCTGAAAGTGATGGGGAGAATGGAACCAAGTTGGAAAACACTCTGCAGGATATTATCCAGGAGAATTTCCCCAATCTAGCAAGGCAGGCCAACGTTCAGATTCAGGAAATACAGAGAACGCCACAAAGATACTCCTCGAGAAGAGCAACTCCAAGACACATAATTGTCAGATTCACCAAAGTTGAAATGAAGGAAAAAATGTTAAGGGCAGCCAGAGAGAAAGGTCGGGTTACCCTCAAAGGGAAGCCCATCAGACTAACAGCGGATCTCTCGGCAGAAACCCTACAAGCCAGAAGAGAGTGGGGGCCAATATTCAACATTCTTAAAGAAAAGAATTTTCAACCCAGAATTTCATATCCAGCCAAACTAAGCTTCATAAGTGAAGGAGAAATAAAATGCTTCACAGACAAGCAAATGCTGAGAGATTTTGTCACCACCAGGCCTGCCCTAAAAGAGCTCCTGAAGGAAGCGCTAGACATGGAACGGAACAAACGGTACCAGCTACTGCAAAATCATGCCAAAATGTAAAGACCATCGAGACTAGGAAGAAACTGCATCAACTAACGAGCAAAATAACGAGCTAACATCATAATGACAGGATCAAATTCACACATAACAATATTAACTTTAAATGTAAATGGACTAAATTCTCCAATTAAAAGACACAGACTGGCAAATTGGATAAAGAGTCAAGAACCATCAGTGTGCTGTATTCAGGAAACCCATCTCACGTGCAGAGACACACATAGGCTCAAAATAAAACGATGGAGGAAGATCTGCAAAGCAAATGGAAAACAAAAAAAGGCAGAGGTTGCAATCCTCATCTCTGATAAAATAGACTTTAAACCAACAAAGATCAAAAGAGACAAAGAAGGCCACTACATAATGGTAAAGGGATCAATTCAACAAGAAGAGCTAACTATCCTAAATATATATGCACCCAATACAGGAGCACCCAGATTCATACAGCAAGTCCTGAGTGACCTAAAAAGAGACTTAGACTCCCAAACATTAATAATGGGAGACTTTAACACCCCACTGTCAACATTAGACAGATCAACGAGACAGAAAGTCAACAAGGATACCCAGGAATTGAACTCAGCTCTGCACCAAGTGGACCTAATAGACATCTACACAACTCTCCACCCCAAATCAACAGAATATACATTTTTTTCAGCACCACACCACACCTATTCCAAAATTAACCACATAGTTGGAAGTAAAGCTCTCCTCAGCAAATGTAAAAGAACAGAAATTATAAAAAACTATCTCTCAGACCACAGTGCAATCAAACTAGAACTCAGCATTAAGAATCTCACTCAAAGCCACTCAACTACATGGAAACTGAACAACCTGCTCCTGAATGACTACCGGGTACATAACGAAATGAAGGCAGAAATAAAGATGTTCTTTGAAACCAACAAGAACAAAGACACAACATACCAGAATCTCTGGGACGCATTCAAAGCAGTGTGTAGAGGGAAATTTATAGCACTAAATGCCCACAAGAGAAAGCAGGAAAGATCCAAAATTGACACCCTAACATCACAATTAAAAGAACTAGAAAAGCAAGAGCAAACATTCAAAAGCTAGCAGAAGGCAAGAAATAACTAAAATCAGAGCAGAACTGAAGGAAATAGAGACACAAAAAAACCCTTCAAAAAATTAATGAATCCAGGAGCTGGTTTTTTGAAAGGATCAACAAAATTGATAGACTGCTAGCAAGACTAATAAAGAAAAAAAGAGAGAAGAATCAAATAGACACAATAAAAATGATAAAGGGGATATCACCACCGATCCCACAGAAATACAAACTACCATCAGAGAATACTACAAACACCTCTACGCAAATAAACTAGAAAATCTAGAAGAAATGGATAAATTCCTCGACACATACACTCTCCCAAGACTAAACCAGGAAGAAGTTGAATCTCTGAATAGACCAATAACAGGAGCTGAAATTGTGGCAATAATCAATAGTTTACCAACCAAAAAGAGTCCAGGACCAGATGGATTCACAGCCGAATTCTACCAGAGGTACAAGGAGGAACTGGTACCATTCCTTCTGAAACTATTCCAATCAATAGAAAAAGAGGGAATCCTCCCTAACTCATTTTATGAGGCCAGCATCATTCTGATACCAAAGCCGGGCAGAGATACAACCAAAAAACAGAATTTTAGACCAATAACCTTGATGAACATTGATGCAAAAATCCTCAATAAAATACTGGCAAAACGAATGCAGCAGCACATCAAAAAGCTTATCCACCATGATCAAGTGGGCTTCATCCCTGGGACGCAAGGCTCGTTCAATATATGCAAATTAATAAATGTAATCCAGCGTATAAACAGAGCCAAAGACAAAAACCACATGATTATCTCAATAAATGCAGAAAAAGCCTTTGACAAAATTCAACAACCCTTCATGCTAAAAACTTTCAATAAATTAGGTATTGATGGGACGTATTTCAAAATAATAAGAGGTATCTATGACAAACCCACAGCCAATATCATACTGAATGGGCAAAAACTGGAAGCATTCCCTTTGAAAACTGGCACAAGACAGGGATGCCCTCTCTCACCACTCCTATTCAACATAGTGTTGGAAGTTCTGGCCAGGGCAATTAGGCAGGAGAAGGAAATAAAGGGTATTCAATTAGGAAAAGAGGAAGTCAAATTGTCCCTGTTTGCAGATGACATGATTGTATATCTAGAAAACCCCATCGTCTCAGCCCAAAATCTCCTTAAGCTGATAAGCAACTTCAGCAAAGTCTCAGGATACAAAATCAATGTACAAAAATCACAAGCATTCTTACACACCAACAACAGACAAACAGAGAGCCAAATCATGAGTGAACTCCCATTCACAATTGCTTCAAAGAGAATAAAATACCAAGGAATCCAACTTACAAGGGATGTGAAGGACCTCTTCAAGGAGAACTACAAACCACTGCTCAAGGAAATAAAAGAGGATACAAACAAATGGAAGAACATTCCATGCTCATGGGTAGGAAGAATCAATATCGTGAAAATGGCCATACCGCCCAAGGTAATTTGTAGATTCAATGCCATCCCCATCAAGCTACCAATGACTTTCTTCAGAGAATTGGAAAAAACTACTTTAAAGTTCATATGGAACCAAAAAAGAGCCCGCATCGCCAAGTCAATCCTAAGCAAAAAGAACAAAGCTGGAGGCATCATGCTACCTGACTTCAAACTATACTACAAGGCTATAGTAACCAAAACAGCATAGTACTGGTACCAAAACAGAGATATAGATCAATGGAACAGAACAGAGCCCTCAGAAATAACGCCGCATATCTACAACTATCTGATCTTTGACAAACCTGAGAAAAACAAGCAATGGGGAAAGGATTCCTTATTTAATAAATGGTGCTGGGAAAACTGGCTAGCCATATGTAGAAAGCTGAAACTGGATCCCTTCCTTACACCTTATACAAAAATCAATTCAAGATGGATTAAAGATTTAAACGTTAGACCTAAAACCATAAAAACCCTAGAAGAAAACCTAGGCATTACCATTCAGGACATAGGCATGGGCAAGGACTTCATGTCCAAAACACCAAAAGCAATGGCAACGAAAGACAAAATTGACAAATGGGATCTAATTAAACTAAAGAGCTTCTGCACAGCAAAAGAAACTACCATCAGAGTGAACAGGCAACCTACAACATGGGAGAAAATTTTCGCAACCTACTCATCTGACAAAGGGCTAATATCCAGAATCTACAATGAACTCAAACAAATTTACAAGAAAAAAACAAACAACCCCATCAAAAAGTGGGCAAAGGACATGAACAGACACTTCTCAAAAGAAGACATTTATGCAGCCAAAACACACATGAAAAAATGCTCAACTTCACTGGCCATCAGAGAAATGCAAATCAAAACCACAATGAGATACCATCTCACACCAGTTAGAATGGCAATCATTAAAAAGGCAGGAAACTACAGGTGCTGGAGAGGATGTGGAGAAATAGGAACACTTTTACACTGTTGGTGGGACTGTAAACTAGTTCAACCATTGTGGAAGTCAGTGTGGCGATTCCTCAGGGATCTAGAACTAGAAATACCATTTGACTCAGCCATCCCATTACTGGGTATATACCCAAATGACTATAAATCATGCTGCTATAAAGACACATGCACACGTATGTTTATTGCAGCATTATTCACAATAGCAAAGACTTGGAACCAACCCAAATGTCCAACAATGATAGATTGGATTAAGAAAATGTGGCACATATACACCATGGAATACTATGCAGCCATAAAAAATGATGAGTTTATATCTTTTGTAGGGACATGGATGAAATTGGAAGTCATCATTCTCAGTAAACTATCGCAAGAACAAAAAACCAAACACCGCATATTCTCACTCATAGGTGGGAATTGAACAATGAGATCACATGGACACAGGAAGGGGAATATCACACTCTGGGGACTGTGGTGGGGTGGGGGGAGGGGGGAGGGATAGCATTGGGAGATACACCTAATGCTAAATGACGAGTTAGTGGGTGCAGCACACCAGCATGGCACATGTATACATATGTAACTAACCTGCACAATGTGCACATGTACCCTAAAACTTAAAGTATAATAAAAAACAAAATTAATTTTGGCATTCCTGATTGCCTGAATATGATTATCTGCTCTTTGTGTTTTCCTTAAAACTGGTTTTAGGTGTTTTACGAGTGCCCTCATGTATTAATTTCCCAGGGCTGCTAAAGCAAAGTGTCACAAGCTTCGTGAGTTAAGACAAAATAAATTTATTATCTTAAAATTCTGGAAGCTAGAATTTTGAAATTAGGTGTCAGCAGGGCCACGCTCTCCATGAAAGTTCTAGGTGAGAATTCTTCCTTGCCTTTTCCTAGCTTCTGGTGGTTGCTGGCAATATTTGGCCTTCCAGAGCTTGCAGCTACATCAATCCAAACTAAGCCTCTGTTGTCACATGGCCGTCTCTCCTGTGTCTGTGTCCCTGCCTTCACATGGTCTTCTTATAAGGACACTAGTCATTTGATTTAGGCCCCAGCCTAATCCAGTATGACCTTATCTTAATTTGATAAATCTACAAAGACCCTATTTCCAAATAAAGTTATTTTCACAGGTATACAGATTAGGACTTCAACATATCTTTTTGAGGGCACGATTCAGCCCACAACACCTAATTAATTAACAAATTAAGTGAAACTTGTAACATGTTCATTTTATGTTTTGTTTGAATCATGGTTATACCTTGTGTGTGTGTGTGTGTGTGTGTGTGTGTGTGTGTGTGTATAATATATATATTTCAACAAAATTAACATTCTGTTAAAGAAGCATTAACCCCTCCCCCCCCAAACCCTTATATATTTTCAACAGCTAAAATCTAAACTGTGGACCTTCCAAGGACAGGGTCAATATCTTTCACTGTTTCATCCCCAACATGTAATGTCTAGTAAAATAGTACACACTTGGTAAACATCTGTTGGACTTAAACCAAAATAGGGGTATTTTAGTTTACTTTTATGTGTTTACTTTGTTAACAATCCATTCTACTCTCAGAAGATTTCACTAGTAATAATTCTTTCTTTGTAACAATTCAGCATAAAAAGGATGAATTGTTCAGGCCCTAAGGAGGTTGCCACCAGTGCTCCAGCTGTGAAGTCATCAGGCCTGAGTCAAAACAGCGTGGAGGAGAAAGAGCAAACTTGAGTATAATGTCAGAGGAAAAAAATTCAGAATTTGGTTATACGCATTAGGAAAGGTGAAGGAAGAATCTAGTGTGACACCAAAGTCTGGGATAAATAAAACAAGGATAAGGTGGTATCAATTTACCAGTGATAGAAAAAACCCTGTGATAGAAAAACTCTGTGATAACTCTAATATAATGAGAAAAACACATATCTGGACTCTGCCCCTGGTTCCTGGCACTTAGCTCCTAAACCCTTGGAGTCTCCCAAGTGGTAAGAGTTTTGTATGCTTATGAAATGACTGGCAGCTGGGGGGTCCCTGGACATCTTCAGGCTGAGGCTGGTCACCAGAAAGACCAAAGTCTGAGAAGAGGATTAGCACTTTCAGCCCCACCCTCCAACCTCCGGGAAGAAGAGAGGGGATACAGGTTGAGCTGATCACCAATGGCCAATGATATAATCAATCATGCCTAGGTAACAAAGCTTCCACCAAAAGGACAGAATTCAGACGGCTTCCAGGTTGGATAACACATAGAGAGGGCAGCATGCACGGAAAGGTCATGGAAACTCCATGCCCCTCCCCAGTATCTCCTTTATTGCATCTCTTCCATCTGGCTGTCCATCTGTATCCCTTGTAATATCCTTTCTAATAAAGGGGTAAACATAAATAAGTGCTTCCCTGAATTCTATGAGCTGCTCTAGCAAATTAATCAAGCCTGAGAAAGTGATTATGTGAACCCCCAATTTATCGCTGGTCCGTAAGAACCACAAGTCACAACCTAGAATTTGCGACTGGCATGTGAAGTAAGGGGTAGTCTTATGAGACTGAGCTTTTAGCCTGTGGGATCTGATGGTATCCAGAATGGAAGTGAATTAGAGGGTACTCACCTGGAATCTGCTGGATAATTGCTGGATGTGTGGGGGAAAATCCCTGACATTTGGTGTCTACAGTATCGTTTGAATGGTGTGTGAAAGTCGGAAACCATTTTGCTTTCCTTTCCATTCAGAAATAAACTCATAACATTTTAAAACCAGAGACTTTTTAGAGTCAAGCCTTTTTGTTTTATAGCATGTTAACTGATTTTCAGAGAAGTAGCCAAGTCACACAATCCAGCCAGTGGCACAACAGGACACCTTGACTCCCAAGAAAATGATATTATACCTAAATCTTGATTTCTCCCCATGAACATACCTTCGAGTTTTCTGCTATTAACAGGGTTTCCTACATATCAACCTTTCCCATCTACTCTCAAGTAGTAAAGAGAACACCAGAAGCAAGTAGTGCATACCCAGATTGGCATACTGTGTTAAGATTAAATTTTTCCCACTGGAATGGCTGTATCTGTAGCGTCATCATGCACTCCCCTTCTTTTGCATGAAGTAAGCTTTCACTCATCATTGCTCTACTGGCTTGGATCAGTGGAAAGAGCTATGTGATTCTTAACCTCTGATATTGCAGCGGAAATTCTTTATCTTTTCAGTTTCATCTTCCATCTTTTTTCTGTCTTGCTGGTCCACAGGTGGTGGGCCCTTATAAAATGTATCACCCAGATTTCTTGTTGTTTAGTTTTCAGTGGATTTGGCCAAAGGAAGGCATGGGCAGGAGATTATGGAGGGGAGGAGAAAGGTTGGGGTATTAGGGTAATTTTTTTTTCCCATAAATATATTTTTTGACCTCCCCACCCCCAGCACACAAGGTCAGTGTTTCCTGGCATTGCCTCCGTGCCGCTATGGTTGCAGCCCCTAAGAGGCGGTCCTTTATCCATGGTTCTACTTCTTACCAGGTCTTCAGTGCATTATTTTCTCCTTTTGTCCCTTCAGGCCTAGGAGTAATAACAGTTTTCCATTGATTCACAATGATCTTTGCTTGCCTCCATCTTACTCGTTGACTCCCTTGTCCCTGCCCTTACCTCGGCAAGCAGTCCTTACATTAAAGTCTTCAGTGGAACCATCTGAATGGAATTCTATCTCACACTGGGACACTGATAGAGTGATCTTTCAATAACATTCAACATTAATCAGCACTGAATTTTCAATACTTTAAATGCATGTGCACGTAATCATAAGCTACTTAAAGCTAGCTATTTGTAAAATAAAAGGTTAAATAAAAGAGTAAAAGAAAAAGTCAATGTTTCCAGATGGGTTTAATCATAGAATTCTGAGACATCCTTCTTACTCCATTTTTATGTATTTTTCTATGTTTACCACATTTGTTTTACTTTCTAAAGTCTTCTTTCATCTTTTTAATGACATCTTGATGAAGCGTAGATGTGTCATTATTATAGAGAACCTCAGAGTAATAGGCGGGTCTAAAAATAGCATATGCAGTAGTACGGAATTACACAATACCCTCTGTCTTTCAGTACCATACAATCACATGCATCAGTTCATGTAAGCGGTCAGAGGACCACCCGTGACTTCCAGTTTCCCAAATAGTAACTTTTTTTGAAAACTGCCTACGTATCTACAATATGTGTCTCTGGAAATAATACTAGGTAAAAGCATCTACAAAACAGTTAGACATAGAAAACCATTTTAAAAACCGAACCTTCTAATATGTGAGCCTGTGGAAGCCCTGGTCAGTTACTTGGAAAATCAACAAACTTACTTCTATTATGTTCATTTACTACTTTTTTTTTATGGAACAAGATTTGTTTCTCAATTTTCAATGTGGGTTTAATGACAAAGTGAGAAAACACATGTCTCATAGGGATTTTAACAAGAAGAAAAAAATTTAAATAACATAGAGGATACAGAAATGTTTTTGTTCGGGTTTTTTTTCCATTCCACCTCTTCATCACTTCTCAGACAAGGGGTAGAGTACATTATCCTGCAAATGAAGTAAGAAACTATAATTTTCATCCGTGCTCTCTTTAACTGTAGCAATGTATAAGAAACAACTTTTCTAGGATAGTATTTTCTCTGAGCGAGTTGGAATATAAATTTTTTAAGATCCCTTCCAGATTTTGATTTGCATATATACAAATATTTACCATCTTAGGGGAAGGCCTATGGGATTCTTAGTTTCATGGAAGGGAATTGCCTGGGTACAGAGAAGGGAGAATTTGATTGACATTTAAATACAGTTTTAAATGCTTAGTGGCTCCAAATAAATACATTCACTCCTTTAGTAGTAACATACTTCATTCAAACAGCTGTGGATGGCCACCTGCCATGCAAACATGGTCAGAGAACATGCAGGATCTACAGCTTTAGTTTCATTGTGAAGACCTTCCTCAGACTAGTTCCGTTCCTTCTGTCTATTAATAATGATGAGTCCAATCTCTCTTCACCCATTACCTAATGAAACTCTGAAAAAATGCCTTCCAGCTGTCTCTAGACTGGTACCTGAATTCTCTTGTGATCTCCAAGGGGGTTTATGCTCACCTTTAACCTTATAAAATATATAATTACTTAACCATCCTTTAACCTTTGATCCTTCCAACCACTTGGTAAATTTGTGCTGTACCTGTTAACATGCCTGATTCTCTTTAGCACTGCTGTGCTAAATAACATTTGAGCCACTACCCAAGCTGAAATGCTGCTCCCTCTGCCCCTCTCCTTCTGTCATCAGGAATGAGTAGAGAAAAATCCAACTGGATTCTTTTTGATTCCCAAATGTCACACCGTTTAACCAGCGAATGTGGAAGTTTTCAGTTGATCCTGTGATCTATGATCTTCACACAGTGTCTCTGTTATTCACTGTTCTCCAATGATATGTACAAATGTAGTGAAGATCAATATTCCAGATTTTTCAAAAGCAAGCATAGGCCCTGTTAAGAGAATAAAGTACTCCCTCATGATAATAGAATTTTTACTAAACTTATAAAAATAATGAGTTTAATATGATTATTAAAGGGGTGAATTATCTAAAATCCTATGAAACCTCATAGTTGGTCCTTCACCTTAGAAAGATCAGTAGCAAAGGCAAAAAAGCAGACCCTGTCTCATTCATCAAGAAGGATCAGATCCTCTGAGAGAAATAGAATTTGGGAGATCAAAGTCATATGTAAAAGTGATTTTATGATTACTAAAGTATATAAAATATAAAAGTTATTTTATGTATTTCAAGATATTAAAATTAATTTCTATTCATTATCCCTATATTCACTAGGTGATAGCTGTAGATTTTCTTTCACCAAAGCCTTCAGCAAAATGTGTGTGTGTGTGTGTGTGTGTGTGTGTGTGTGTGTGTGTGTTGGCTGCAGAAAATATGCATGTTTAGAAATGTTTTTATTTTCCAGGATCTGAAGCTTCTATCCAAATGTTAATGGCTATTTGATATACAGTTTAGAGTTATTGATTCCCTCTTTAATTTTCTCATAGTCACAGAAATAAGTAATAATTTGCTTCATATAGAAAATTTGGGAGTAACTTTATCTAATATACTCAGCTATGGTAAATAGAAACTTTTCAACAGCTCTTCCCAAGAGTTGTTGGGGGTTATAGAATCTTAGTTCAGTCAAGGATGACTTTAGACAAAGGGTTTGTTCTGAGTCTGTCTTTCCACAGAATGTACTGAGTGCATCTTTTCTGATAATCTGAGGGGTGCAGATCTAACTCACTGTTTGACTTTCATAGATTCCAAGCTTTATTGCAAAATCCTTTATTCCTACTCTGTCATCCGTTTTATTTCTCTATTATATTTCCAGTTCTCTCTTTTTCCAATTATTCCCCAATAGAAATGAGTCATGATTTGGGGGAATTGACATGCTCTCAGCCATGGAAAAGTAAATAGAAGTAAATCCTGGAATAAATGTTTCTGCTGAGTGGAGTTACATAACTGGCACACATGGGCAGGGACATGGGAAGGATTTAGCGGAAGGTTGAGACAGGAGCTTTCACATTTGTTTATATAAAGGGGAGGGGTAGAAAGAACTAATGGACAGAAACAGGTTATGGCAAGGTATCTGTTTCCTGCCCAGTCATTTGGACTAGGTTTCAGCCCTTTATGCAAAAATAGCTTAAGGCCAGAAGAGCTATTATGATTTCTAAGAGACCCTGGAAAGAAATATTGCTGCTAATGAACTGAGGTGACATAGGACAATGCAGAGTTGAAGAGAGGATAATTTCTCCTTGTCTGCACAGAACGCAGCACACCTTCAGCCCTTCAAAGACGGGCAGCTTTGGCTGCACCCCTGGGCAGTTCCCTGGGTATGCACATTGATGCAATTATAATGTCCTCGCTATGAGATTTCCCACCACCCACGCTGGTGTTCACATCTAGCGGCATCACAGAGAGGTAGAACTAAAGGGAAGAAGTTGATGGATGCCATCTGGTATTGCAGATGATGACAGGTATGTGAATCTCCACAATGCACTGCTGTCAGCCCACAGAAACACCTGAGAAAGCTATGTGGAATTTGCATATGCCGTTGGAAGTAAGGAGAAATTCTGGGTTATTGAGATTAATATGATTTCTTTCATGTTTATATGTAGTTTAAGTGTGATGCCTGAATAGCATAATGCCTTGTTTTTTCCTTCTTTCCTTTTAGGTACTATAAGCATGACTGTAGTACAGATGATGTTTTAGTATTGAAAACAGAGAAATCATTTTACATTCTAAAGTATATTCATTACTTTAAAAATCATAATTGTTAGTTTCTTCATAAGTATATATATTTTAATTTAGTTACTGTATGCAGGCTAATTCCATGCATTTTACATATATTAGTTAATTTAATCATCATAAAATCTTGTGAGATTGATGCTATTGCTATCTCTAGTTTACAGGTAGAGAAACTGAGAGTGCCCAACTAGAAACTGATTATCTACACTTAACAAAGGTTCAGAGATGGGATTAGTTATTCTAATTAGGATGTTTCTATGTGAAATTTAGTAGGAGCATAAACACTTTCCATAAATGTATTTCTCACCAGTTCCAACTTACGTATTTTGTTGCAAAACAAATTAATAAAACTTTAGGACTTCTGTTTTTTAAAAGGGCAATTAGAAAAATTTATCATGTCTGGGTGCGGTGGCTCACACCTGTAATCCCAGCACTTTGGGCGGCCAAGGCGGGCAGATCACCTGAGGTTGGGAGTTCAAGACCAGCCTGACCAACATGGAGAAATCCCGTCTCTACTAAAAATACAAAAAATTAGCCAGGCATGGTGGTGCATGCCTGTAATCCCACCTACTCGGGAGGCTGAGGTAGGAGAATCACATGAATTGGGAGGCGGAAGTTGTGGTGAGCCAAGATCGTACCATTGCACTCCAACCTGGTCAACAAGAGTGAAACTCCATCTCAAAAAAAAAAAAAAAAAGAAAGAAAGAAAGAAAGAAAGAAAGAAAAGAAAAGAAAAATTTTAAATGTTGAGTAGCTGCTTAAGAAGCAGGAAATAAAGATGGAGATTTACTATACAGAAAATCCTCTAAGTGGAAGGGTCTTTTCAAGGAAAAAGTATCTCAGAAGAAAAATTGAGATCCAAAGAAATACACTGTATTAGAGGAACATGACTTCAGATTGACTGTTTTGAAAACTTAAAAAAAAACCTTAATTATTGATAGCATGATAATGATCAGGGTCCTTCTGGTGGGGTACCTCTCAACAAAATTAAATTTTTAAAAAAAGTGAATCCAATAGCAATAGTATTAGTGTTTGACAGTGTTTAAATGCCAGAAAAAAATAAAAGTGAATTTGTTACATGCTGTTAGAAAGGGCATTATTATGTTTGTAAATCATTGCTGCTGTTAGTAAGGTATAATATTAAAGAGCTCATTTTCTGGAGCTAGATAGCCCACATTTAGATCTTGTCTTAATCAGTTTTTAGTTGGGCACTCTCAGTTTCTCTACCTGCAAACTAGAGATAGCAATAGCGTCAATCTCACAAGATTTTATGATGGTTAAATTAACTAATATATGTAAAATGCATGGAATGTAGCCTGCATACAGTAACTAAATTAAAATATATATACTTATGAAGAAATTAACAATTATGATTTTTAAAGTAAATGAATATACTTTAGAATGTAAAATGGTTTCTCTATTTTCAATTCTAAAACATCATCTGTACTACAATCATGTTTATAGTACCTAAAAGGAAAGAAGGAAAAAACGAGGCATTTTTATCAGATATTTTTAAACTCATATACAGTGAAAACACTCATATACAGTGAAAGGGACATTTCTAAATATTTCTGTCCCAGCAAAGAGGTTTTTGTAGCCAAGGTATTTGCTCATAAGCATCTATAGTTGGATGATGTCACATACTTGCTCATCTGCCATTACTTGGGAACAGTAGCTTGTGGCAAGCAAGAACCTGAAGCTTTTACATGGCCATGGTTATGAACCAGGAAATAGGGAATTAAATAAAATCAGAAAAACGGTTGTTGGATCTAAGTTAGGAATCAGTACAAGACCTCATAGAATGATAGGATGACTCATGGTTCTGTGCCTCCTAGAACAATGTTCAATATGACTAACCTGCCACCAAATTAAATGTTTGCTCCAGGATGGTCAGTAAGACAGGCTTGGATTTTCTAATGGACATTTTAGTAAGCAGGTCTGAGGCAAGGTAGAGAGATTCAGGAATACTGGGCCATCAGGGATTATAAAGGTTTGAGGGGATAGGAGGGTAGGAATAGAAGAAAGATTCTGTAAATCTTTCTTCTTCACATTTGCAAGTCTTTTTACTCTCTATTATGCCTAGGAATGTGTGCTAGTGCCAAGCAAATCAGAGTAAATTCCTCTCTAAAAGAGCCATCCAGTTAATTAGATTGCAATACATAGATGATATATATCATTTAGCATTCTTAGAGGTTATAAATTAAGACATTACATTCAGTGAAAAACAGCTATATAGTTTACCGATTTTCTACATGTCTCATAATTTGATGAAAATAAATTAACCCATGATCTGCCTTTATTCTAAAAAAAAAAAAAACTAAAGTTTATTGAGATGGTCACAATACGCCAACCACTATGCTAAGGAACATGTATGCATTGCTAAGAGATTATTGTGCATATCTATAAAACCAGAGGAAGTATTATTAACCTCGGTGTACAGACAAGGAAACTTGAAGCTGAGGAAAGAAACATGAATTTCTAAAAATCACACAGTTCATATGTGTGGGCCTGTGAAATCAAACCCAGGTCAACGTGACTTCATCCTGGGTGTGTAGGCTTCACCATAAAGCTACCCTCAAGTTAAGCCCTGAATTTTTCCAGTGTTGCCAACCCTATGTGCAAATTAAAAGCATCTGGACAACTTTTCTAAATCCTGAGACCAGGCCATACCCAGAACCAATTTAGTAAGATCTTGGGGATAGAATCCAGGCACTCGTAAGTTTAAAAAATTCCCCAGGTGATTCCAATGTGCAGCCAAGATTGAGAACATCTGTCATATATTCCACTCAAAAAAAATTTCACAACTTTGAATTTTGTCCTTTACATAAAATTGCCACAAAGTATCTGTGGTTCTCATGTTCTACTATTTTGATAAATGAAAAAATACTTGTATTAAAAATATATTCCAAATACCCTTCTAACCATTCTCAAAACTGAAATACTCCTAGAAAGACTTAATCTAAATGTTTGTTTGCCACTAGCATTTTTTTCTAAGTTCATTAATTTTTACTTCATGAATTAGAATATTTCAATAGCATGTAAATGTACAATTCTCTGTAGTGTGATGGTTAAGCATTGGGGATTTGATGCTGGCATGTCTAGGTTTGAATCCTGGCTCTATAATTACATTAGAGCAACTTAAATTCTTTGTGCTTCAGTTTTATCATGTGTAGAATAAGGTCAACATTAGTACCTAACTTGTAGACCTTAGAATTATGTCAGAATTAAGTTACATATAAAGAAGACTTAGAATAATGCCTGTTACATAGTAAAAACCCAATGAATTTTAGGTATTTCTATTGTTATTTTGTGTGTAACAGGGGAAAACAAGAGAATGCATTTTCCTCTGTCACACAGACATCCACTGATGAAATAAGAATCTAATTATGTCTCATATACCTGCCCCAGATTTGAAAGGTCATTTTTTCTCATCAGAATGAGTCATTTCATTACCCTCTTTTCATTGCTGGAAAACTTGGTGCAGGCTTTTTACTTTTGCCATTGAATATGCACTTAATACTTGGCCTGAATCAATTCTTCTGACTTGTGATCACTACTATCTATCCATTTTTCTGTCTCAGTGCAGCACTAGAGAAATTCTGCTCTACTCCTCAGTAGACACAGTAGTAATTAAGATAAGTTCAAAGTCTGCTGTAGCATATGGAGCTAAAGTCTGTTTCCACCTATATCACTATGGGCTGCCTCTCACTTGCATCAGAATTCAGAGACTGACATTAGCAAGCCTCCTTCCAGCTTGCATGTAAGAGAGACCTCGCTGGGGATACAGTGGTGAGGCTTCAGCTTTCTGCAGTGCACATTCAACATGGCCACAGCTCTCAGCTGACACATAGCATTTATACCATAATCTAGCACGTTTTTCAATTCAGCATTATATGTTTTTTCAATATATGACACTAACACATATTTGACAACTATACTCCGTTTTTTCTTCTGCCTTTCTTTCTCCCTATAGATCTCAGCTATAGACTTTTTTTGAGTGACAAAGAGTTTTCTATACTTTGTCTTCTTATCTCTGGGCTACAGTATATTTTGCTTACGCCATTTATTTGCTTCCTTTCACTATTCCTTTCAACACATGCTATTCCATTTTTTCTCTGAGGTGCAGAAAAAATTTAAAAGAGAATGTAAATTGAGTCTCACATACAAAAATGATTGGTTGGTTTCATTTTGGAAATTGAGAGAAAACATAAAAATTTCAACAAAGAAATAGATAGGGATATTCAGAAGGCTGGTCAAACTCTAGAGGCTGTCTGCATATTCCTAAACAGAAGTGAATGGATGAACCAGGCAAGTCCAGAGTCAGTGAAGCATGATATCAATAAGGCCATTTAACAACAAAATGTGTTAGTTCAGATGGACCTAATTGATGAGGGATATCTGATGGGGCAATCTTTGTACAGAAGGTCAAAACCAAGGTAGCCTGCTCAGACCTATGGCAGAGGCAGACTGATATCTTCTCAGTGTGGGCCCAGCCAGAAGTTTTTCAAAGTAAGGTGGTAATAAAGCTCCCTGGGAAATCAACCAATTGGCATTGAAAAAATTTGTCACACATTATAAATAGAGTACCCAGGAGTAAATTGTGCATACTTGTGAAATACATCAAGCATTAAATGGGGCCTCAGTGCAGTAACATGTCCTGGTAACCTTAAACACGTCATATAATTATTTCCGAATTCCCCCACACACTGAGTAGCTTGACTATCTTACACATTTAGATAAGATACTACCATTTCATTTATTATATATATGAAATGTACCTCCACTGTTATATATGCAAGATCAATGCTTCGAATTTTATAAAACCTACATTTGTGCCCATTCTTTGGAAGTACACATTTGGTATTATGATAAAAGTATTAAAATATTATTACTCCAATACTCGCAGCCAAAATTTCTGTTGTTAGATATCAGACACTGGCCACCTTGTACTAAAACATATCCTATCTATGATTTGTACTGCTTAAATAAGACTCAATACTTTTACATTTCATGATAATGATGGATATAATGAAGTATTACACCAGGACAGAGCTGAGCTATTACTACCAAGCCTATTATTATTTAGGTCCATGTGAGAACTTGGAAGAAAATTTCAGTAACTCAGTGGTCTTCAAACATTTCAAGTAGTGTGATCTATTTAAAGGAACCACTTAGAACCTCAGTTTCTCAAAATCTCAATAGAATAATAGCAAGCCTCTATTCTTCAAATAATTATAGTGAGGTTAAAATGATATGGTACAAGTTGTATAAAGATGTACAACTGTGATATTATTATTTCTGGTATTGGTCATACAAACAGCTATTTTATAGTATGATAAATGAGGTTTTCACAGCTTCATCAGAAACTCTTTTAAGTCATAATTATATAAATATAACTATTGTATGATTTTGTGAAACTATTCTTTTTAATGTAGTTCTTTACCTGGTAGATATCAATTTGTCAATTGCTTTCTCACACGATATATTCAGAAATTAAAGATGTATGGTTTCTCCAATCCCAGTATGAGCTGAGATTCTAACAGTTTCCTACTAAGAGGACATGTTTCTCCATGGAAGCTTGATCTTAGCAAATAGGACTTTGTTATTTCAAACTCTTTATTTGAAGGTATTATTACATTCAACGTACCAATGAAGGAACTGAAAGACAAAAGCATCAAATTCCCTGTTTCTGGTTCAGCTGCTCTCCACAGCTCCACAGGATTTCTCACATCCATGGCTCATTTCTCCTTTGGTTTTTAGAACTTGCAATTACATTATTTAAGGTTATCAGTTCTGCCAACCAAAATCCTTTGTTTGTTGTAGGATAAATAGATAAGTAGTCTTTAATTAACAGAGGCTAATAAAACAATGTCACCTTATTGTCAGCGGTCTAAAATCTTCAGAAGGCTCTCTCCAGAGACGCATAATCCGTGTTTTCTTACTTCTTGACATTGTGTTTCTCTCCATATGCAAACCAGGAAGTGTGGAGTGAAGGATGCCGTGACACGCTTTGGTCCCTAACAGTGTAAGCGGCATGAGGCAAGTTATCTTCTGTGTCACTGACTTCACCACATGAAAACCAGGTCACTGTCTCATTGCCCTCCCATGGATAACTTAAGGAAGAAGCCCTCAAAAGGATTCTAAAGTTATTGCAAATACAAGGTGTTTTCTTAATTCTCCCTGATAGTCATACCAGGTAAATATGAAAGTTTGCCAATGAAAAGTGGTTTCACTTCAATAAATTCTCTGATTAGTTAAACTATAGAAGGAAAAACACAGGGATTTCAGACTTTCACTAACTGATTTTAATTTTGTTCATTCCTTCCTTCCTTCATTTACATGGACAGCAGCTGCAACACAGTGATTTTATTTTTACTTCTCGTACCATGGCATTTTATTATTACCTGTCTCTGCATAGCTTTTTATGTTTCACCATTTTCCCTTCATCCCCCATCTCAAGTACTATTCCTCTTCCCTCATGAAACCCACCTTGATGTATTTAATATATGTCCTCAAAGCTATCTGGCATAAATTAGTTTACCCGTATGTATGTCTCTGATACTTATGTAGCTTTCAGTTTATAATTTATATAAAATAATTATTCTGCTTGTTTTCCTCAATCTATGCTTTGGAAATCTATTTATTCTGTAACATGTAGATCTATTTCATGTCCTATAACCACTGCACAGAATTACAATTATATCATAGGCACATTCCACATTTTGTTGCCTATCATCTTGATGAACGTGGTGATTTCGGGAGAGCTCACCTATGATTAAAACACGACAGTTACACTGTATCTGTTCTCCTTCCCATTGGAAACTAGGAATTGAGCAGCAGTTGACGAGTGCTAAGATAGAGAAACTATTTCTTTTTACCAGAGGAAGAAAAAGGAAGGGAAGTATCATTTATTAGGGCCAATTCTACTGAAATGGAGATAGGGAAAAATATCATCTCCCAGGATTAATTACAGTGAAGCTACTCCTCTCTACCTATGCAACTATGTGAGTCTTGCCTGGCCTTGCTCTCTTAGCCTACCCGAGCAAGTCAGGCCAAGAAGCTAACTTTTTGTTTTCATTAACTTTTATTTTAAGTTCCTGGGTACATGTGCATGATGTGCAGGTTTGTTACATAGGTAAACATGTGCCATGGTGGTTTGCTGCAGAGATCAACTTACCACTCGGGTATTAAGCCCAGGACCCATTAGCTGTTGTTCCTGATGCTCTCACTTCCCTGCCTGACAGGCCCCAGTGTGTGTTGTTCCCCCATGTGACCATATAGTCTCATCGTTCAGTTCCCACTTATAGGTGAGAACATGTGATATTTGGTTTTCTGTTCCCGCGTTACTTCGCTGAGGATAACAGCTTCCAGTTCCATCCATGTCCCTGCAAAAGGACAAGATCTTGTTCCTTTTATGGCTGCATAGTATTCCATGTGTGTGTGCATACCACATTTTCTTTATCCAGTCTACTGTTGATAGGCACTTGGGTTGATTCCATGTCTTTGCTGTTGTGAACAGTGCTGCAACAAAAATGTGCATGCATATATTTTTATAATAGAATAATTTATATTCCTTTGGGCATATACCCAGTGATGGGATTGCTGGATCAAATGGTATTTCTGCTTCTAGATCTTTGAGGAATCGCCACACTGTCTTCCACAATAGTTGAACTAATTTACACTCCCACCAACAGTGTAGAAGTGTTCCTTTATCTCCTCAACCTCACCAGCATCTATTGCTTATTGACTTTATAATCATCATCATTCTGACTGGTTTGAGATGGTATCTCAATGTGGTTGTGATTTGCACTTCTCTAATGAAAGAAATAAAGATATTCAAATAGGAAGAGAGGAAATCAAATTATGTTTGTTTGCAGATGATATAATCCTATATCTAGAAAACCCCATCGTCTCAGCCCAAAAGTTTCTTAAGCTAAGAAGCAACTTCAGCAAAGTCTCAGGATACAAAATCAAAGTGCAAAAAATGCTGACATTCTTATATGCCAACAACAGGCAGGCAGAGAGCTAAATCATGAATGAACTCCCATTCACAATTGCTACAAAGAGAATAAAATACCTAGGAATACAGCTAACAAGAGAAGTGAAGGACCTCTTCAAGGAGAACTGCAAACCTCTGCTCAGGGAAATCAGAAAGAACACAAACAAATGGAAAATCATTCCATGCTCATGGGTAGGAAGAATCAATGTCATGAAAATGTCCATATTGCCTAAAGTAATTTAAAGATTAAAGGCTATTTCCATTAAACTACTATTGACATTCATCACAGCATTAGAAAAATATATTTTTAAATTCATGGGGAACCAAAAAAGAGCCTGTATAGTCAAGATAATCCCAAGCCAAAATAAAATAGCTGGAGGCATCACACTACCTATTTCAAACTATATTCCAAGCCTAGCATAACCAAAACAGCATGGCACTGGCACAAAAACAGACACATGGACCAATGGATCAGAATAGAGAACTCATAAATAAGACCACACAACTACAACCATTTGATCTTCGATAAATTTGACAAAAACAAGCAATGGGGAAAGGATTTCCTATTTAATAAATGATGCTGGGAGAACAGGGTAGCCATATGCAGAAAACTGAAACTGGACCGCTTCCTTACACCTTATAAAAAAATGAACTCAGGATGGATTAAAGCCTTAAATGTAAAACCCAAAACTATAAAAACCCTCGAAGAAAATCTATGAAATATCATTCAGGATATAGGCATGAGCAAAGATTTCATGATGAAAACACCAAAAGTAATTGCAGCTAAGCAAAAATTAGCAAATGGTACGTAATTAAACTAAGAGCTCCTGCATGGCAAAAAAAAAAAAAAAAAAAAACTATCATCAATGTGAACAGACAACCTACAAAATGGGAGGAAATTTTTCAATCTATCCATATGACAAAGGTCTAATATCCACAGTCAACAAGGAACTTAAACAAATTTACAAGAATAAAACCAACAACCCCATTAAAAAGTGAGCAAAGGACATGAACAGACACTTCTCAAAAGATTATATTCATGCAGCCAACAAACATATGAATCTAACATTTAAAAGGACTGAAACTTTATTGACTTTATTCACTGAATAATTCTTAACCCTCTTTATTTTCCATTTTCAAATTTGTTTGATATTCCATACTCCATATTGCTGACCTTGGCTTCAGCAATATGGAGTATGAAATATAAAACAGTTTGAAAAATATATATATTTTTCAGCTATATACAGCTTCACACATGCACTTGGAGTTTGACTTTTGAGAACACTCGGTCAGGGCTCATATAATCTTTTATCTATGATTTGCATTTACCTGTTAGATCATTGGCTTTAAGCTGTTCTGGGGAGCAACAAAGATGTCTCCAATTAAGGCTTAAGGGTTGCCCCAAGTAATCAATATTTAGCTTTAATTTGCATCCTTAAAAGGAACAAAAAATATATATAAATTGAACAAAATTGATAGCAATTCACTTTCAAGGTTTGGGGAATATGAATGGTAAAATGCCATTCCCCTAGCAAAGAAAATCAATGGATAGTACATTACTTTCCAAATATCTGATTAGCTTACTTTAATATGACTAGCATAAATCCACAAGAGAGTTACTGTAATATCGTATATTTCATCTTCAGTGCCCATATTAGGCTATTTGATTAATTGTCCTACATTTTCAGTAATCCTTAAAAATTTTCCCAAAATGAACTCCTTTCATTCTGGTATTTTCAACATAGATTTTTCTTCCCTGGGTTTTTCAATAATGAGACTCTGTGTGAAAGTAGATATAGCTTTCAGGAGCACAAAGAATATTACATAAAAGGACATTTTAATACTTGTAAATGAGTTGTAGATGCAAACTTCTCTCATGATCCACAGGAAACATTCTAGTTACTATATCACATATGCAGATCCTGTTTTGAATATGAAGAACATGGAGATAACCTAGCACAGCATGATTGGATTGTCAACTTAATGTTTTTATTCATTATTCCCAGCAATTTCAAATCAGATTATAACATGTGTAAACTACAATTATTATAATGCAGTTTTTATGAATAGATGCTATGCAATTTAATATGGTCATTAATTATCAAAACAATCATTTTTATAAAATACAATTATGCAATAGGAAAGATGCGTATTTTAAAGTACACACATGCAATATGCAGAAGGAAGAAATGAAATAAAGAAAATATAAAAAAAACAAAAGGACATAGGAAAACAACTTTAAATGGCTATTGATATTCACCCATCAGTAGTTACTGACAAAAAAAATCTTATATTAAAATAACTAATAAGCTTAATTTATATGCTGGCTTAATATACAGACAACATATATATATATGTAAATCCACATTGTTTACATGTATATGATATATGTATATGTTTGTATGGTGTGCGTGTGTGTATACCCATAGATATTCACATATGCAATCCAAATATATCTCCAGATGTATATATATCCATGCATATCTCTCCATATATATCCATCTCTCTATATTATATATAATATATATATAATAATATATATATATCTGCCTGCTTTGAGCTGCTTTGAAGGCTCGCACTCTCTTTCTCTCTCTCCATAGATAGATGGATATTTCAACGCAGATCACAATGGTGTAGGCACTCGATCTTCCAGATGTTTTAGAGGTGAGCCCACTGGAATTATATTAGTTTCGAGTTTTCTTTGATTATTTTAGTAGCATTTTGAGAGGGCCTAAGATAGAGTCCTTACTTTCCAATTCTTCTTGGTTGTAAAACTGAAAAATTGACTCAAAAAGTCAAATGGAGCAAATTATAATATTGGATTTATCGCTGGTAACATTGGATTGTAGAGATTGGGTGGACCTGAAGTCAAAACAGGGCCTTCTCTTTTAGGACCACAAGCCCATAGAGTAGGGTGGACACACCCCTTCACTGAGTATCAGAAGGGAAGACAAGACAGAGAAGAGGCCTTGATGGGCTGCAGAAGGGAGGTGCATTTTGTCTGTTCCTGGCATGGTGACTACAAGAGCAAGTTCCACTATGCTTGAGTTCTGGGAAGCCATAAGTAAGATAAAAGGCTATGTACTATCAGCATTGTTTCTGTAGAACTCACTGGTAACATAAGCCAATCATTATTCACTCCCTTGGGGAGGAACAAGTATTAGGATGAAGATAAAACTGGTCACTCCTTCCTCAGAATGTAGAATTATTGGCAAAAGTTTCCTTTTCGGGACCTCAGTAGCAATGCAACAGCATCATCATGCCAACAGTAGTTTGTGGAATCCATTCATCTTCCTACCAGACTCTAGGGGTGATATCATCAAGATTCCCAGAATATAGAGGCAGAAATATAAAAAGTGATATGGAATCGAAACATAGGTCATTTTCTCAGCTTAGGATCAGAAACTGTATTATTTAATGGTTGTCTTCTATTTTCTTAGTGGATTTTATCTTGGGCTACTTCATGGTAGCTGATGCCTGTATCCCACCCCTGACATGGACACATACATTTTTACAGTTCTTATGTGATTCGATATAGATTGGTTTCTCACCTAAATAGAAAAAAGAATTATAAAACTTCCTAATGGTGGTGAAGGAAGCAACTTCCTTGGTAAGTACAAATGTATCAGAAGTGCTTGATTCAAAATGTAAACCTTTCCTGTTCAGGGAGTAACAGGCTATAAAAGGATTGGCAGGACTCAGGACTTACTGGTTGGCAAACCTATTACAATTAACTGTTTCCTGAAAGTGTCATTCAGCCTTGTAGAATAGATGCCTCTGTTGGGGCTGTGTTCTCTTGTCTGTCATGAACAGACATAGAGAAAAATAGCCTCAGTATCTCAGTCTTATATTGTTGAGAATAATCTTATTGTATAAGAATATTGAAGCAGGAGTGCTGTAAAGGATTTTAATATTTTGACTATAATACAAAACTGTCTTTTACATTTATACACATGTATTTAATAAAGGCAATGGTTTCAAACTGATTTTTATGTTGCTACTATTGTATTGTCTGTGATATTTATGCTGTTGTGGGTCATCTATACAGTCTCTAGTGAGCTGCTTTGGAGAGTGTGGCTGAGCATAATTTGATGAGAAAAATAGAAGAACAGAGGATTTTTTATTCAGATTCTATGTGAAAATAGGTTAAAAGAACATAGCACATAACATTAGAGATAGAGGAGGACTCGGATCATCTTACTACATTCCCATTGTGGTCTCCAAAAAGGAAACTGCTGCCAATAATTCCAGATGCTGAGGAAGTGTCCACATTTTTCTTTATCCTATTAATTGCTCCTTCCCAAGAAAGTGAGTAATAATTGGCTCATGTTACCAATGAGTTCTGTGGAAGCAATGCTAATTGCACATAGCCTCTCTCTTACTTGTGGCTTCCCAGAACCCAAGCATAGTGGAATTTGCTCTTGTAGTCACCGCACCAGAGGCAGAAAAAATGCACCTCCCTTCTGCGGCCCATCAAGGCCTCTTCTCTGTCTCACCTTCCCGTCTGATACTCAGTGAAGAGGTGGGTCCACCCCACACTATGGGCCTGTGGTCCTAAAAGAGAAGGCCCTGTTTTGACTTCAGGTCCATCCCACTCTCTACAATCTAATGTTACCAGTGATAAACCTATATTATAGTTTTCCCCATTTGACTTTTTGGGTCACTTTTTCAATTTGTTAGAGCCAAGAAGGATGGGAAAGGGAAGAATCCATCTTAGATCCTCTTCCACAAAATACTACTGAAATTAACTAAATGAAACTAAAAAATAATTTACTTCCAATGGGCTCACCAGTAAAATATTTGGAAGCTCAAATGCCTGTACAAATATGATCTCATTGAAAGATCCATACATATAAATATATAGATATATATTTGTATAGATATAGATATGGATGATGTAGAAGATATATATATGGATTATATAGATGATATATACATATAGTCACATAGATATAGATAGATATAGATGTGGATATAGGTAGTCCTTCAGGAAAAAGATGGCATTTTTTACCCAGCCTTGGATAAATACCCCAACCCTCTCTGCAGATGACGTCTAATTGCCAGAAAAGTATTTCCTTTGTTCCACCGACCACGCTATGAACATTGACTGTGGCTAAAGTTATTTTGTGGTTTTATATGAAGGTACTGAGTCAAAAGTCCTCTAGCACTCTTGTTGGTTTGAAGATGAACAGACTTTTTAGTTCATCTAGAACTAAACTAGATTAACATCTAGACTTTTTAGTTCATTTAAAAACCTGTATCCTTTGTCTCATCTGCAAAAAAAAAAGTATTAACAAATGCCTTACCAAAGAAGAATTATAGCAAAGCTTTAGTAAATTGAAAAGAATTAAATCCTTACGTAAAATTCAAAAGGTTATGCAATTGGTATTTTATTTATTTTCATTAACAACAAATGAGGGCTTAAAATAAATACCCGATTCTTTACCCCAGCTGTCCATGATTTTATCAATCATTGAGAAATGACAGTGCAACTTAATAAACTTATCTAGAAAAGTAAATATTATTAAAATGTTATATTTTTATAAAAATTGTAGTGCCATCTGCAAATGTTTTAACCCTATTACTGAATAAATTACCTAATATGTGTTCACCTCAGCACACAGAAAGTTTGTGTAGTTTTCACAGATAAAAGAGTTTACATCCTACAACTGGATAGTCTTGGTTCAAATCCCTTGTTAATTGTGTGTCCTCCATTGAGTAACCATATGTAACTTAGTTTACTCATCTATAAAATAATGCCTACCTCATAGGGTTGTTTGAAGGATTAAATGTGACAAGCATATATTGATCATTGATATGGTTTGGCTCTGTGCCCCTACCCAAATCTCATGTTGAATTTTAATCCCCAATCATGGGGGAAGAACTTGGTGGGAGGAGATTTGATCATGGGGGCAGACTTTCCCCTTGCTGTTCTCTTGACAGTAAGTGACTCCTCACAAGATCTGGTTGTTTAAAAGTGTGTGGCACTTCCCCATTAGCTGTCTCTCTTTTGTCACCATGTGAAGATATGCTTGCTTCCCCTTCACTGTCCATCATGATTTTATGTTTCCTGAGGCCTCCCCAGCCATGCCTCCTGTACAGCCTGCAGAACTGTCAGTCAATTAAACCTCTTTTCTTTATAAATTCCCTAGTCTCCAAAAGTTATTTATAGCAATGTGTGAATGGACTAACACAATAATTTAATGCAGTACATGGCACAGAAGACACAGCTCTTATTTTTATAAAAAAGTGTTTGTTTTGTTATTAATATTGCTTTTTTATTCATTCCAAACTGTTACGAATATGCTTAAAAATTTTAATGTGTTCGTAATTTTGCAGTCCTCCTTGAACATTTCTTTCAAATCTAAGCTCAAATCATAATCACTCAATTAAAAATGTAATAGTTCAAAAATTGCAGACAAAATGGAAAAAGGAAACAAAATCAGCTAACCAATTATTCTCTTGCTCTTTATGTCACCATGTAACCTAAGTGACACTTTTTTTTCATCAACTTGTCATTTTTAAGTTTACATGACTAAATTGTATAGTTCTTTTGGCAGCTTATGGGCCAAACTTAGATACTGCTGTGAGTGTCCAAATCACAAATCTATATAAAGGTCCACTTGTGTCTTTAACCACATGCAGTAGATTTATAATCCCTTCAATGCAAAATAAGCGCTTCTGAAAGTCCTAGAAGATCCAAGCATCTGTCTGTTCTAAAAATGATCACATTAGTGTGCTGATGAATAGTAAGGGACTTAAGCCAACTTAGAAATATTGTATGGCAGAGACAGAAAAAAACAGAGAGAAAGAAAGAGACCAACCTTATTGAGCCCCAAAACTCTTTCTTCCTCCCCCTCTTCTTAAGAAGAATGTTTACTGTTTTATCACAATTCACTGAGGATATACCTATTTCAATGTGTAGATTTTCCTAACGTAATTCTACCCAATGAGATAATATATATTGTCACCAAGATCTACAACACTATTTCAGTTTCCAAATTTATTCTTAGAAAGCTAAAACTAGCTTTAAAAGGTACCTCATTACCATTTGCAAGGTTCAAATCCTGGAAATATAAAATGACGAGTGAGTTTATGAAACTTTTATTTTGGAATTCAGATGAAGTGATAAATGACTACAGTAAGGCCATACTTAAAATACACTACACCTTCAGGTTCAACTAAAGAAAAACTTACTGAAATATAAAAATAGGACTAAACTAATAGAATTTTTTAACCAAATCTGATACATACTATACAATAATGTTGTTTTTACCTGCTAATCTGCTAAGGCTGCCATGAAATATTACCACAGACTAGGTGGCTTAAACAATAGAAATGTATTTTCTTACATTCTGGGAGATGGAAGTCCAAGATCAAGTTGTTAGAGGGTTTGGTTTCTCCTGTGTCCTCTCTCTTTGGTTTGCAGATGACAACTTTCTTGCTATGATTTCACATGGCATAACTCTGCCCTTGCACACTCGTGATGTCTCGTCCTCTTCTTTTAAGGACAAAAGTCTTATTGGAATAATGCTCCACCATTAGGAAATACCACATTTAACTTTAATTACCACTTGAAAAGCCCTAGCTCCAATTATAGTCGCATTGGGGTCCAGGGCTTCTATCTTGGGGAGGACACAATTCAGTCCAAAACAACACCTTTTATCAGAGTAAAATGCCTAAGCAGATATATTATCAATAACCTCATTTTATTTTATCCCAATTTTCAACCTTTAGAATATCAGTGTTGATTTATACAAGTAATAATTCAGTAAAAATCATAAATTCAAGATGTGTTAATTACAAATATAGTTAAGAATGAAGATGTCAAAGCAGAAAATGAAAGTTCTAATTAATCAAGTATTCTTTATCAGGTTATACGACTCAAGGAGTTAATAAAATCTTAAAAACTTATGTATTAAAAGTTACAAGATATAAACATAAAATATATGATTAGTATTCTGGTAGTAGATATATCAAGGAAGATGAAAATAATTGACATAAACTAATGTATAGAAATGGCATAATCTATATTCATAACCTCTCAAAAATAAGTATTGCATGTGTATGTAAAAATGCTTTTCAAAGCATTGATGAAAGGGTATGAAATGGCTTCATAAGAACTGATTAAATCTGTATAACTTAACTCTTAAAGTTAATAATATTCAATCTAATTTAAACTCTTTACTAAATGTGTAGTAGATTTTTTGCCCTTATGAGTTATTTTCCAATGAATGATATCCAAAATACAACCAACAAGTTGCAGTTTGTGACTCCTACAGATAAGCACACAAAAAAATAAACAAATAAAATATAAACAATATTTGACAACACTATAAACAATAAAATCATTTGGAGTTCAAAGACAAAATAAAACACCATGGACTAGAATTGTCAATAACAGTGTTTTAAAATGGTTAGATTTTCGAAGGTTACTGAGGGATGGATTGGAGTATTTATAACACTTTTACAAAAGAGATGAACATAGTAGAAATGAGACTGGTGGCATAATAAAAACAGTTATCTAGTTTTTATTTTATTTTATTTTATTATCCCCCTTATAAGGAGACTAATTATTAGACTAGTGTAATTGGATCAATGTTTCAGAAAGTAAAATAATCAGGACCTTGAATACCTCATTTCAGAAGTCAAATTTTATCCTGAAGAAATGAATACATTGAAAATTTTAGTAGAAAAATATCCACAATGAACACTTCCTTGAGGATTATATATTCATTCCCTCTTTTTCTAATATCAATAGCCAAATTTTCCTAGGAAAACTACTATTCCTGCACTCTTAGACCACTGGTCCAAAGTAAATGTGGGGTTCATTTAATCTTCCAGGCTCCTGGTATAGGCATCAGTACCAATTAACGCATTGCAACTCCTTGGCCTACAATGAACTCTGGAGGCAGACAAGGCCGGTATGAAAGAGTGCAGTGAAATTAATAGAGAATCTCATTCTGCTAGGTTTTCTCAGCTATGAAGAGGAAAACTAACAGATTCCTGAGTCAGCAACACAACCTGCTTGAGAATGAGGACAACACAGAACAGAGCATAACTGAGACATGGGAAAAATAGCTTTCAGGTAACAGATTTTTGAGCACCTTGATACATCTGAGCCTGAATACAATTTTGCCACGGAGATGTTGAGTTATATCAACCAATAAATTCTCTTTTGGGTTTTATGGCAGTTTTCAGAATGTTTTCTGATTCTTGCAACCAAAAGAGTTCTTATTAACTCACTAATAAAATGAACACGTAGGATTGTGTCAAAAAACAAAATCTGTAACTATGGAAAGAGAACACCCTAAGTTACAAAGTGAGTATTACTCCAGTGATTTACCACTGAAAAAGGAAAGCACTTCCTCAGTGTGGCACTTTCCTGAGAGGGAATGAGGGGTGGAGTAGGAAAACTATGGAATAGAGAATTAGTTTAACAGACAGCATTGGAAAGCAAAATAAATGACTTCAGAAAATTACCGCTAAACATGAGGCCTGAGCCATGAGTCCAGGGAAAGTGGTCAGCCATAAATTTGTGGTAGAAACATGTAGTTTACTGTTAAAAAATATAGTTTTTAAATGTAGCAAACATGATTAGAATATAAAAGAAACCAAACAGACAAACATCTTGAATAAATATGTGTTCGGGAAATAATGTCGTTTTTTGCACACAAAACTGAAGTGTGAAATCCGTGGTTCAGAGCGTGAAAGCGGATGCAATGGCTTTACAATAATTGATTAAAATTCTTGTAAATATTGGAAAACTAGTATTTTACATCAAATATTTCTCCTATCCATTCTATAAACCAAGTACATAGAATTCACTCTAAGCTCAGCCTTTAAAAGGAGACTTTAAATGATAAATATAAATTGAAAAATTATTGTCAAAGGAATTTTGAAAAAAAAAATGACCACCTAAGCAGATTTCATGTGAGCATTTAACATGAAAAATTTTAACAAATTATCTTCCACTATGCTGCTGAAAAATTGCTATTTTGTCCAACACTAACCTAAGAAAGTAGGCAAGAACAACCCAATTTGGCCCCCAAAAAAAGCATAAATTGTTAAAAGCAACGAGATTACAAAGGAGAAGCAAACAAACAGTAAGACAAGAATATAAATGTCACTGAAGCTCTAGATAATTTGGTCCAATATTAAGACTGAGCCAAACATATTTATATCACTTAACTCTCTGGCTTAATTTAATTAGGACCAAAAAGAAAGAAGGAGAAGAATGGAAAAAATGGCGAAAGGAAGGAAAAAAGGGAAAGAAGGAGGGAAGAAAAGAAAAGAGAGGGAGTGGAGAATAAAGGAAGGAAGGAAGAAAGGAAGGAAGGAAAAAAGGAAGGAAGGAAGGAAGGGAGGGAGGGAGGGAGGAAGGGAGGGAAGGGAAGGAGGAAATTTCAATCCTTGCTTTGGAAAACCAAATAGATTTATTTACTTGCAAAACCTCTGAGTGAGAAAGGTGAGCTAAATTAAAAGGTAATTGTGTCTTTAAGGACACTATCCCTTCATCAGGCATAGTTGAAAGGTATTTACTAAATTAAGTTTTTCTCATTGCCTTCCACAGTACCCAATGCCAGAAGCTTCATAAAAGTATACAAAGGTATGAATTGAAGTGGGCTCTGGAAACTTTTTAAAGTAAATTTAGCTCCCCTTAGGGGTCAAAAAAATCTAAATTTTAACATATATAATATATATATCTACATGTATGTATAGATTCAGATACATACATGTAAAGATACATATTATGTATGTAAAAATATCTGTATATATATACATGTGTGACTATACAGATACATATTATGTATACATACATATACATCATATGCATACATAGATATGTATATGTAAGTACATACACATATTATGTATACATACACATATTTTTGTATATGTAAATATATACATTTTTGAATCATATACATATATGCATATGCACACATGTACCACACATGCATGTATGCATATACATATGTGTATGTATACATTCATACATACACATAATATGTATGTATATATGGATCAAAAAAAGAATAGCGATTTGTTCTAGAACAAGAAATAGAAAATGAAAAACCTCAAATAAGGAAGTTCATCCAAAAATGGATATTCTTTGTACCACGAGAATTTTGAATGACTGAGTAAAGGTGCCATGAAATCTTATGTCATTGCTGAGGAATAAAGTTAGTATTTTGTTCATTCATTTTGTTTCATTTTTAACATTTGCTTTGGTTTCTGTTTTGCCCATGCCAACTAAGGCAATAAGTTGGGGATGCCAGGGACAAGATAGTGAAAAGAGAGTGCTCCCTAGTCCAATCCCATGCATTTAGTTTTGAGCAGTTGAGAGATACCAGTCTTTTAAAAGAAGCTGAAAAAGTGGTATCATTTGGGATTTTAAAAGACAAAGATTAAGGAGCAAACAGAGCTGCTCTTGACCAAGTCAGCCACATAATTAAGAAGAGTGTTTTCCTTTCAGTTTCTGTGAGGAACATAACTTGGTTTGAACAAAGTGATTATATAAGAAAATGCACTTCTATATGTGAGTTCAAAGCTTTTGTGCTTTAGGAGTTTCCAAAAAGCTGAAACCCACAAAAAAAAAATGGGGGGAGAATTCTTACAAGGAAAAGATGCTCCCATGGCAGGGATGAGTCATATCTCCCACCAAAAATAGTTTCTGGGAAGCAGAAAAGGAGGTCAGAGTGAAAGAATAAGGAGGACCCTACTTGATCACACTTTAGACATGGTAGAGACTCCCAGGAATAATTAATCAGTCCTCGAGTGAAGACCCTACAAGGATGCAGTTGGGGACTACATAGCAGTAAAATGTGGATATTAGTGGCATGGCCCAAAGCCAGTGAATCTCAGAAAAATGTCTATTTTTTAATAGCCATTAGTTAACAAATCACAGTAAAATGTATAGTTACGCTTTGCATAGGAAAAGAAGTATTAATGGAATCAGATATCTTACACAAAGATTTGAACAAATGATAAACAACTAGAATGTACTGGAAAGATTTATTTTGGTAACTATATATATGAACAAACATAAGCATATTATTTATCTATCGTAGGTAACTGAAAAGTACAATCCATCCGTGCTTGTTTAAATTTAGTCTTCAGTAGATAGAAAGTTTACTTTCCTGACAACTCTGCATTTAGAAAAAGTTTGGCTTCATTGAAAACTGCTGACACTCTCTCAACCACCAACAATATATCTTCTGTAGAGAGTTATACCACAGACATACATATAAATGTAAGCAAAAATAAAATGCCAACTCAGACATGCCTTGAGTTTTTTAGTATTTTTCTGATGTATTTCAATGTATTCATCTTCAGAGTAAATTTTCTTTCCATATTTTAACCTTCACAGTTAAAGTCGAACTTCCAAAAATATTGGACTTATGAAACAATTCGCTCTAAGTGTGAATCATTTCTTGAAAAATTTTGATTAAACAGGAAATAAATTTTTAGGATTAAAACAGAACTCCTCTGCACATTTGACTCCCACTTTCTCCCCAAGGCAACAGTCAACTTAAGACCTTTTCTCTGTGTCAAGTCCAGCTAGAAATACAGATAGAGAAATCAGTAAGTAGCCAGGAGCTGTTTGAGCTTCAAAACTATTCTACATGCACTGTGAAACTGCCCATTCAACAAGCTAAATAGAGTCATTAAGGGAAAGGACTGTGGCATATTCTTATGCCCCCTTCAGTGTTAGAACACTAGCCTCTAATTTCCTTCCCTAGTTATGTGCAAATTTCAGATATTCAGGATATCTTGTTTCTAGTTAATAGAAAAATTTTGTTAATTAGACATAATCTAAGTTAAAAGCATTTAAATAACTCTTAAGTAATAAAAATATAGCTGACATTTTATCTTTACTTTTTACCAGATCTATAAAAAAGAAGAGGAAACATACATGGTTTAAGGTAGGAGAAACAAGCTAAAGAGGAAAAACAAAAATGACCATAGGAAGCCAGGCCAGAGTAAGAAGAGTCTGTTGTTTTTAACAGAGTTTCTCTATATTCCAGAAATGTGTATAGTACCCATATATCCCTTGCAAGATTGTTTTGGAGAAATTGTTCCAACTAAATAAATAAAAAATCAGTCAGAAATGGTTCTGCTTGCAGAATATGGGGTGAAAATTAGAGATAACATGCCTGAGAATAACCAGAACATATGTTTAAAAATATATTTAAAAATACATTTGAGTTCGTCAAAGAGATAATATGAGAAATAATTAAAGAGTTAAGATCAAGAAAGAAAGGTAACCTAGATCAATGAACTCAGATTTCAGGGCCAATTCTCCCATCACAGCACCTGGCATTTCTAGCAGAGGTGTGTGAAAAGCAGAGCAACGCAGCACCCAAAATGATCTTGAAACTACTCAGATAGAGTAATTCCTCGACTCAAAAATATACAGCATATTTCCGTGTCATTTAGAACAAAAGCCACAATTCTTAGAATAGTCTACAAGGTTTAACATAAGGGTGATGTCTTAGACTTTTCAACAGGTCACAAGGCTGGGAACATGGGAACTGGATTTGAGGGCAGGCTAAAGTGGGAGAAAGCTATAGTAACACGCATAGTCTTTGGGTTGAGACACAAAAGGTCTACCCCTAGGAATAAGCAGTAAAAAGTAAGAAATCGGCTGATCCTGGGAAGAACTGAAGACCACTTAAAATTAAATCTACATGACTCTACATCTGGGATGCTGGATTTCCTCACAGCCTTAGAGAGAAGTTGAGAACCAAACAAGTGAGCTTCATTCTCTACTTCTGGGAGTTGGATAATACGTATGTTAGTTCTGTTTACTTCATTCCTTATGTTTCTTTAGTCTTCTTCCGTATTTGCCTTTCTTTGATGTCTCAGTATTTCACATGATAGTTTCTAAGCTGATATTTACCCATCCTTAATCTCAGTTACTGTATTTTTCAGTTTTGAAATTCTAAATTTTTTATACAGTTTTTAGTCCCCTCTCCAACTTCTCAAGATTGTCATGTATTTTAGACACGTATGAATATTTTTATTTTAAAATTGTTGAGAACACCATTATCTGGATATACTATATGTTTATCTCTACATTTTTTCTCTCAATTTTAAAATATCATAAACAAAAACTATGGAGATAAACTAAGGTATAGACCTAACATGACCATTATCAAGCCAAAAATTTAATAAGCATTACAAACCACAAATATGAGAAATACAACATTATATTAAGACTAATAAAAACTAATAACAAAGAAAAATCTTAAAGTCAGACTGACAAAAAAGAAAACAAAACATATAACATTTTAACTTGTGTAAACCTAATAAGATAATCCTTCATGAAACAAAAATTTGCAGATCTAAAAGAGTAGGAGATTTTAATAGATCGCTCTCATTTGCTCATAAAGCCAGCAGGCATAAAAATCAGTGAGAATACAGACGACTTGAATAATATGATGAAACGATTAGATCTAATAACCATTGTCTATCACAATAATCCACTGAAGTAGGTGAGATTGCTTTTTTTCCTAAGTACAGCATTGACTTTGAACTCCCTCATAGCATGAAAGCAAGGTGCCTGCTTTGTCTACTCCCACTTATCCTTGAGATAACCACATACAAGGTCCTTCACAGAACAGAAGAAAGGTTTTACTTGGGGAAGTAAAAGAATATTTCACTAATACGGTGAAGGTGGTGTCTTAGCCTGATTTCTGCTGCTGTAACAGAACACCACAGACTAGGTAATTTATAAAGAAAAGTTCATTTGGCTCACAGTTCTGAAGTCTGAAAAGTCCAAAGGTATGACAAAGGCTTCTTGAAAGGGTTTTCATCCTGTATCATAACATGCAGAAAAGCAAAGGAATTAAAGAGACCACAAAAGCAAGCTAAGCTCACTGTTATAACATCCCTCTCTTGCAAAAAAAACGAACTCCCATAATAAAGGCGTTAATCCATTTATGAGGGCTCCACCCTCATGAACCTGTCACCTCTTAAAGACCCAACCTCTTAATCATGTTACATTGGCAATTAAGTTTCCAACAGTTGAGCTTATGGGGGACACATTCAAATCATAGTAGATGTATTAAATGTCTGTTTTAATTAAAGGTACTGCAGGAACATAGAATTAACAAGCAAAAATCCAGAAGGCAGCAAAAACCAAGCAGTGTGGCCGAATCATTAGACCGGCGAGAGGTGAGAAGAAACATACGAAAAAGGAAAAAAGAGGGGAAAAGACTGGAAACATTAATTGGGGTCATATTGATATCATATTGAGAAGTTTGAACATTTTCCTATAAACATTGGTTCCCAAATTATTCATAAATTAGGAGCCCTTTTTTCCCATCAGAAATAATTGTGAGCTTAGTGTGCTTATATTGCTCGGGCAGCATCCTCCCCTTTGGGTAGCTAACCTTTCCACTTTCTATTGGAAAAACCAAGCGACTTCATTCCTCCCATCCCTAATTACCAACCCCAGTATATATTCCATGATTAAAAAAGTAAACCAGACCCTTCTCTAGGCCTTTCCTTTTTTCTTTTCTTTTTTTTTTTTTTTCAAGCTGGAGCAGTAGTGAGGAAAAGTGCTCTCTTAAACTTGAATTAGAAGCTATAAGGACAATGTAAGCTGGAACTCTTTGCAACCATATTTCCAACCATATAAAGAAAGCCTTCTACACTAGGCCAGTGAAGACTGAGAAGCAGAGCTCAAATAAGGCAAGAGAGAGGCCTAAAGGCCAAACCTGAGGGTTTAAGCCTCTAAATTCAGCCATTATATAGAAGTCCTTTCTTATCTCTATTTGTGACAAAGTTTGGAAAATATATATAAGACATGTTGTTTTTCTGGTATAAATACAATGCTTGATATGCTTTCAAACTTTCATAATAAAATTATTATTCTTCATGGCATCAGTAGTCCATGTTTGGAATAGAAAAAAAAAATGGGAATCTAACAAAATTATAGAATAAAGTCAAATAAAATAGCTAGCTTTATTTCTAAGGCCAATATGTATTTTAACAAAGTAATTATGGTCCTTTTAATCCAAATTCAGTATTATCTGACTTCACTCCTTTTCTCTCAATTTTTGTCAGAAATATATTTATATATTTAACTTATTTATTGGCACAGAGCTGTAAGTGATGTTTAACTTAGTTCTCAATTATCCTGTCAAAAAAGAACTGATTTAGTTGAACTGCATAGACACACATCTTAATACAATTATTTTCAGTATGTTAAAAATGGAGAAGTTTTTTCAATAAAGCTAAAATCTATAGGGATGTGGTTGTAATTCACCCAGACCATTGCAAAATCATTGGTTTCATGTCAGTTTTTAACTACCTGATATTCTAAGCAATTTTTTAAATTCAAAGTCAACATTCTGTGAAATTATTCATTTTGAGAATCAAAAGTCATCCCTTGTCAGACGCTTGGTTTCTCGGGAAACGGAATGTTCAAGTTCTTTGATTTTGCCATCTTTAATTTCCTAAAGTGGAGCAGATGTTCTCTGGATATAATAGATATGTGTCTAAGTGAATCTTTCCTTTCTAAATATAAACTTCCAGAAGTATTTGTCTTTATGAACAAAAATAATTTTGCCATAATTGTTTTTCATAAGTATGAGGATGAAGCTTTGTCAACAAAGAGAAATTTGATTAAAGATTTAAAGTGTTACTGTTGTTACTGTTGACGTTGTATTTGTGATTACTTTGAGCCTATACCTTTAAATAATCATTATTATATCAAGGAGACGATGCTTAATTTTCTACGTTATTAATAAGAAGCCCTTGAAGACAATAAGCAAGGCGACAAAAGATATAAGATCAAGTCTCTGAGAAAACTGTTGCTTCAAAGATATCTATTTTGTCACCAAGTGCTATCAATTCTCTTTACATCATTCACAATTCACCTTTCATATTTTGCTCCCTATTCTTATTAAACTACCACTCCTATAGGTTGTCAGACATTTTCTATTTCATTGTCATCACTGCCACAGCATCCTCATTACTCATCCTGCCTATTCTCAACTTACTAAATACCGCAGCTCGATTCATCTTTCCCAAATACTGTTTTAATTGAATAAACTTTGCCACCACACAACATATTTCTAAAAGTACAAATTATTGGCTAGACACAGTGGCTCACGCCTGTAATCCTAGCAATTTGGGAGGCCGAAGCGGGTGGATCACCTGATGTCAGGAGTTTGAGACCAGCCTGGCCAACATGGTGAAACTCCATCTCTACTAAAAATACAAAAATAAATAAATAAATAAATTAGCCAGGTGTGGTGGCATAAGCCTGTAATCCCAGCTACTCGGGAGGCTGAGGCAGGAGAATCGCTTGAACCTCAGAGGCAGAGGTTGCAGTGAGCCAAGATCGCACCACAGCACTCCGGCCTGGGCAACAGAGCAAGACTCTGCCTCAGAAAAAAAAAAAAAAAGTAAATTTCCTCCTACTCTCTTATTTGAAGACTTCCTCTAAATCATGTCAGTTTGTCACTTCTAAAAGATACATGTCCTTTTCCAGTGCTTTCTTCTTTCTTATTCCCTTCTTTTGCCACCCAACTGCTATCATCTCCACATATTGCATATCCAGTTATACTTTAGGGTTTAGGAAATATTAACCTTCTGCAGGACATTTAATCTCACTCTCTCCAGCTTTTATTGGCCATAGTTTTCTCATTACAGACTTTAAAAAAATATTTTGTAAATATTTGTGTAAATATCTCTTATTATGTGATAAGCTTTCAAATAATTCATTATAATTCTCATGGTATTAACACTTGTGTTCTATAAATATATCGAATTATTGAAACAAAGAACAGATGATCTTTCAATCTATGCATTAAGCTACTAGGAGAAAATAAGGTTTCCAAGCCAAATGTCACAACTTAAACCTTAATTAATTAGCTTCAAAATTTTGCTTTCAGTAATTTCCAGAAGGTACATATGTAATTTATCTTCTAAAAATATTATCAGAATGAATAGGTTTGGACAGATGTGCCAGACAAAATTATTTTCATGGTCATAGACATATCATGAATATTTCATTCCATTTATATGTCCCCATTTCAACTGTATGACTCAGAGAATTTGTTAAATCTATTTGCTATTTCTCTTACTTGTTTTAGTTCAGATGTAAATTACCAGATACCTTACAAAGCCATGAATAGCAGTATCCAAATAACGTAAAATGGGCAATTTGAGTTTCATATTCAAAACACTGTCATTTAGACCCCAACTCAATTATACTTCCTCTCACCTTGGTAGCTTAGAATTCCAGGTTTCCATTATCAAAAACTCCTTTAGTTTACCTATCACTGCAGATTCTGTCAACTGGCTTCAACTAAGGAACATTGATAATACTGACAAAAATCGTTTCCAACAGTTAATACTAAAGGCAAGGTTTTTAAAAATCCTTTTAAAGTCATTACAAAGCTGCCTTAATCCTTCTGGTGCAAGGTAGGATATAAATGAATTCATCTTGTTTGTTTCCTTAGGGAAGGAATGCATACAGATCATTTTCCCATAATTTGGAAAGTATATTACTTATTTATTTTCTCTTGAAGGGCTTTATCTTTCTCTGCTGGCAAAAATAGTTGAAGATACAACTTTCTTTGTAGCATACAAATTATGAAATCTGTATTCCTTCCTACAAACAGTAAAATATGGTTTGATATCACGATAGCACAAAAATAAAAATACATATCAGTGAGATGGCAAAGAGTGTGAAATTCCTAGAGAGGTACTAAGGGCCCTTAGGAGGCCCAAATTCAATTGATTGAACCGTTTTCCAACCCCTCACCAATGTTTTCTCCCATTAATTAATTTTGATGACTAGGCAACTGCAGCCCCATAGAGTAGTCACGTCCAACAAAATGGATCCAGGCTACAAAGCAGACAAGATCTCCTTAACTTTCCTCCATACAGGAAAGTCTGCCTTCCCAGTCATTTTCTCCAATTAGAAGAAGTAGAAAAGCCTTTGGCTTGGGAGAGATTTATTCTAGAGTTCCTGAAGAGGATCATATATGTGAAATGAATATTTTTTAAAAAGACAAAAAAATTAATTTTGAAGAGTCTTAATAAATTTGATATCTGAGACCTAACATCTTACAATCCAGCTGTCTGACAGGAACCAATGACTATCCATGTATCTATTCAATAAATATTTATTAAATGCCTAAAATGTTTCAGGCAATGTTCAGTGAATAAAGCAGAGGATGGTTCCTGATGACACAGAACTCAGTATTTAGCGGGAAAGATATTTCCCCGTATTAACACATCATCCCCTCCATTATCTGGGGCTCTTTCTCACATCTCAGATATTGAATTCTTTTACTGCCAGACACCTGTGTTCATTATATATCTCCCTCTTTCTCCTACTCTTACATCTTCTTAGCAATCAGCTTTTGTTGATCCTAACTCCTAAAGCTTCCTCTGTCTGTGCAAATAAATGACAATTGGGAGACTCCATATTCCCACCCCACATGAAATTGCTGGTACCTGGAACTAGATTTTAAAACAATACATATGCCTGTAGTCCCAGCTACTTGGGAGGCTGAGGCAGGAAAATCATTGAACCCGGGGTGCAGAGGTTGCAGTGAGCCGAGATTGCGCCACTGCATTCCAGCCTGGTGACAGAGACTCCAACAAAAAAAATAAAAATAAAAAATAAAGACAATACATAATCTGTTTTCTGACTACATACACACGTTTTAACTTGCACTCTTGTCAAGGCAGGGCAACATAAGATGAGTTTAACTTTCAGGAGATCTTGTGCCAATAGTTCTGCATTTTTCTTATCTCCTCCTTTTCTCTTTTTGCTAGGGTCTCATTTATTTTCTATAAATGCCTCCAGATTCTTTCCATTTTCCCTTGATTACAGAAGTCTTCTTTTCTCTGCCCTATTAGCCACACTACTTTAAACAAAGAGAAGAAATAATTTCCAGATGGAAACTGTGGCAGATTATGTTTTGTGTTCCTATGCCAATCACCACTTTGTATGCTTGTATACCCAAAGCCTATTTCAGCGTTCCTGAAATTTTAAAGCTAAAGAAAATAGACTCAACTCTAAAGTGAGTTTTGAGATAATGTACCAATGTATTGAAGAATTTTCACCAAGAACTCCCAAAAATATGGAGGGAAACAGAGCTCACTAGAGGGAAACCTAAGAATGGCGTAACTATACTGGGAAGTAGGCACTGTTTTTTCTTGCACAAATGCTTTATTGATTTGGTGTACCTGTGCATGCCAGGCACTGACAAAATAGAGGTAAAAAGCTCTTGTACTTTCATGTTCTAGTCTTGGAAACAACTGATAAATGTGTAAACATATACAAATGCCTATATTCTGTTTCCAAATTTAAAGTGCACTGAGTTTTTAATGTTTAAATAACCTACAAATTGTGTTTCTAGATAAAGACTTAAAGAAAATATTACCAATAAAAGGAGAAAAAGTTAACACTACGTATCTACTCTGTATCTACATTAAGTGTTTCATTTAATCTTCCCACCAATAACAAAAATAGTAATACCTGCTGATAAAAAAAATCGTATATTGGTTCTTTGAACTTTGTTGAAACTTATGTTAAGACCTAGGACCTGAACAATTTTGATAAATGTTTGTTTTCTAGGTTGACTTTACCTTAATGTTTTGCTCAATGATTTGTACTTTTGATAATATTTATATTTATTATATTATAAACTTAACCTATATTATATAGAAAAATATATTTTTAATGGTTGGTTATTTATAGGATGATCTAACAATGGGAATAATACATAAGAGTTATTAAACATAAAGTGAATTGGTCAGCTTCTCTTATACTTGTAACAAGTATTGTTAATACTTGCTTTGTGTACTTGGTGGTTATCTTATTAGGTTCACATAAGTTTAGCCTTTTCACCTGTGATCTTGGTTAAGTGACTTTAATTCCTTTGTCTCAGTTTCCTCCCCTATAACTTTGAGGTATTTGATTCTGCCAGGTGCCCAGGGCTACTATCATCCTAGATTCACTTTAAATTTTCTATTGGAGGTAGCTGAGGTCACAAAAATTAAGAGCCAAAATCCAAATAAATGCTGTCTTATTATGGCTAAGAAATCTCCAAGTACACATCTCCTCTGCCTTCAACCCTGTTCCACCAAGGACTCATGATCAGAGGTTTGTATCTTCATAGTCTCTTGCTCTGCTTTTTTATCAGATTCACCCACTGAAGGTATGATATTTGAGAACTGTGGAAGTGTTTCCAATCTGAGTTTCCACTCTGCTCAGTTCCTAGGACTTTTTACACTCTCCTCTTCCTGGGAGACTATCAATAGCCCATCTCTATGCCCTCTGATATTTGAAACTCACCAGCTCAGCTATTGATTAAGACTATTTTTTTTAATTGTGACATATTTGTGTATACATAGACACACACACACACACACACACATACGTGAAGTTATTTTTTGTATTGCCCCAAAACTTCTTGGTGTGTGCTATACAAGGAGAGTTTTTATTCTGAACAGCTAAGCTTCTATTGTCAAAAATGGAAGCTTTTTGCCTCTGTGCCCTGCTATCTTCTTACTCTTATCTGCTGCGCTGTAGGAAATGATTGATTGAAATTAATATAACTGTATCTAAGTATTAATTTATAGATTAGAATCTTATACTTTCTTCATTATAATTTTCACATTGTCTTTTGTTTTCTAACAAGTTATAACTTTTTTGTAATATTTTCTTTAAAAATAAAACATGACTACATGATCTCATTGGTATAGTATTTCCTTGACTTATGCAAGTTCCAATATAAAGTGAGCCTCTAACCCGATATTGTCTTTGACAAATATTTTGCTTATGCCATAAGTTTCCTAGTCACTAAAGTGTGTGTATGTGTGTGTGCATGTGTGTGTATAAGGAACATATGTGGTACAATGGGGTAAAGAAGTTTGGAGATTTGTAATCTACGGAATCTCTACTTCATTTACATTTATACACACACACAAACACACTTGCATACATATATACATAGATGGTGATGATAATGATGAAAACAATCATGGCAGCAACATTGGATGGGAATAATGCAAATGAAGAAAAAAATTGTTTTGCCCATAACACTTTGATAAATCATTAAAAAAAATTTCAAATGTCAACAGAATTTCCCAATGGAATAAATAATAAATGTCCATTACAGCTATTAGAGTCTTTCAGTAGGCCCATATAACTAAATACCAAAATGACATCTAATAATTTTTATTAAAATAATTTATAATGAATTATACATCATACAGTGAAGTCCTCCAGGTCTTTAAAATTTGCATATCTAATTTTCTGGATATTTAGTATCACCAAATTTGTGTACATGTATAGATAGATAGATGGATAGAGTATACTGTATTTAAGTGCATATGTATACACATAAATACACATGCGTATGTTTTAAATTATATATTACTCTTTACATATATGTATCTTAATTGTTTTTGTTTTATCATTTCTCTTGTTGCCAGGTCATTGACAATTATTTTATTAATGGTATGCCAGATCATAATCCTACGGATTTAATTAAGAACAACCAGATAACCATGATTTTTAGAATTATAAATAAGCCAGAGTAAATAAGGTATTTAGTGAGAAAATGTGAACTCTCCTTCGAGGGCAGTATCTAAGTTTTATTGCGTGGAATAGGTGAACATCTCTTTGGTTGTATGGAAGCCTCTATTACTTAAATTTTAGTTTTTGGAAAAACCTAAAAGTTTATTTGAATTCAATAGTAGTTTTTAAATCACTGTGTTTCTGTAAGTAGCAAATGACACACAGGAAAAGAAACAGAACAGCAAAAACCTTTTAATCAGCAAAATTTTCTGTTTACTGATAATTCATTGCCAGAAAATAAAATGTCCCTTGAAGATTAAGATAATAGCTTTACATTGATAGATGTCAGTAGATAATGGAATTGTGTACTCTCATTACCATTGCTCAAGCTGCTAAACCTTTAGCCAAAAATAAACAAAATGGCCTTTTGGTCATTTGTTAAATTGTAATGAAGGAAAAATTCTGTGAAAATTGTGTAAGACATTCCTTGGAATGGGGACATTTTCCCATTTTTCATTCCAAGATGTCAAAGCAATTAATATTATTTTCCACAGCTGAGACATGTTTTAATACATTAAAGGTTTCCAGTAGCAACAATTGATTGAAAAGTACTGAGGATATAAATAAAATGTAATTAATTTGGCAAAAAAAAAAAGCCTGAAAATGTTTGGAGATGTTGGAGATATGACTTTTACCAGTTTAGAAGAACAGTGTAAGTCTGGAGAGCAGAATGTTTGCTTATGAATTCCAGGCTCTAACTTCTTACACATTTATATCCAAGAAAATGTCAAGAAAACAAAACCCAAGATTTATGTACATTTCATTTTTGATATCACAAATTTTATCATTTTTATGAGGTATACCTCATAAAGTTTATCTTTTCATAACATTTAAAGCTCTCAATATAACTTTTCCTTAACTCATACAGATAAAATAAAATTATACTTAGAAATATTTCCTCCTTGCCTCACTCCAGAAAACCATGCTGGTGAGAGAGGAAAACATTTTACAGGTTTTCCAGGGATTGTGTTTAAAGTCACAGTTGAAAGGAAACAAACCTATTTTCCCAGCAACAATCTTCCAAGACATCCTAATTATTAAAGTATCTTATGCATTGTCACTGATAAATGAGGCTAACTGCTCAAAAGGCTAATTTTTAGACCTTCTCTCGTATTAAGATTTAAGGCAATAAATTATACATGTTATTTTCGCTATAAACAAATGTTAAATGGTACTAACTACATATAGTTCAAAATTGCTATTAATACAAATTTAAATTTTTTTTCTAAAACCATTAGATACATTTGATTATTCTGCACCATGTCTTATGAGAAAGAAAATAGCAAACACATAAAGGCATTCACCTTAAAATCCTACATTTTATCCCATGAAGTGTTCAACTAACATTGGAGTCTTGAAAATACTTGACTAGCTGTGATGGTTAATATTGTGTCAACTTGATTGGATTGAAGGATGCAAAGTATTGTTTCTGGGTGTGTCTGTGAGGGTGTTGCCAGAGGAGATTAACGTTTGAGTCAGAGGACTGGAGGAGGCAGACCCACCCTCAATTTGGGTGGGCACTATTCAATCGGCTGCAGGCAGAAGAAGATGGAATGAGCTGATTTGCTGAGTCTTCTGGCTTTCATCTTTTCCCTGTGCTGGATGCTTCCTGCCCTTGGACATCAGACTCCAGGTTCTTTGGCTTTTGGACTCCTAGATTTATGCCAGTGGTTTTCCAGGGGCTCTCAGGCCTTGGGCCACAGACTGAAGGCTGCACTCTGGGCTTCCCTACTTCTGATGTTTTGGGACTCAGACTGAGCCACTCCTGGCTTCCTTGCTCCTCAGCTTGCAGACAGCCTGTCATGGGACTTTACCTTGTGATCCTGTAGTCAATTCTCCTTAATAAACTCCCTTTCATATATACATATACCCCATTAGTTCTGTCCCTCTAGAGAACCCTGACTAACACACTGGCAAACTGCAAATTAATAGTAGGACAGTTGAGGCAAATATTTAAAGTAGACTTACTTAAGAAATTCCTCATCAAGTAATTGCATCGCTTGCAATTTAATCTAGAAGCACTGACTCAAAAACCCACAATTTGCTAGTCTACCACAATTCCACTTTAATTAGGTTAAAGAATGAAGAATCTCATTTTGCACACAACATTTTTCAAATTTTTATGTTTTACTATATTCTGTCTATATTTTTATCAATATTAAATTTTTAGAATAGGCTATTAATCTGAGATAATTTTGTTTAAGAGTTTTAGTTTATACAACAAGCCAATCTAGGAAAGAACTACCAGGCCAACATTTTAATTTTTAGATAACTGGGGACTGAGATGAGCAAGAATCAGAACATGATTAAACAGTGTGAAAGCTAATGCTTTCCTAAGTCACTTACAGTACCTCTCTTCTAGCTTTTCCAAGTGTGTTCTAAAGTAAAGAATCCATAAATACAGAACTTGTTCTGAATGTCAAGTAACTAAAACAAGGAGTCCTTTATCACTTCAGGGTTGGTAGAAGTTAGAGGAGAGAAATAAGTAGGCGGGATAAGTCAGGAACATTCATGAAGATAATGAAGCTCTAAGAAAAAAAGAGTGAAATTAAATTTGGTGAACAAAGAGAATTCAGGACCATAATTCTGCATAGAACCCAACAGACTAAGAATATGGTGAGTAGAGCCCTGTGGGTCGACTGGGTTAATCAAATGATATCCCAGATCCCAGAATGACACTTTTCCATCTAATATATTCCCTGAGTATATGTCAGTGGCCTTACATTCACTGGTCTTGGTAATTAATTAAATAATATCAAATATATTCTTATAAATTATACCCTTAACTGAGGTGGAACCAGATAGAGCAGGATTTCTACTTACTGTTTTTGAAAATTGCTTTTTAGTCAGAAATTTCATGTGCTCAAATCCTCTTATCTATTGCCCTACCCAAATAATTATCATTGTCATCAACTAGAAATATTAATAATTTGTTAGGTTTTTTCAAAAAATAAGTATGAAGAATTTAAGGAAGAAAAGATAATAGATTGACTTTGAAGAGGTTACTTTGTTTTGTTTATTTCTGAAACAATGCTTAAAATGTTTTCTTAAGTAGGAAGGGAAATAACAGGGGGACTTGGGCATATAAATTGTTCACATATGCACTAATATTAACAAATTTATATGAATTACATTTAAAAATATGAAGCAATCACTCATTTGTGAATCTTTCATGCAACAAATGTTTAATGAGCATCAACCATGTGTCAGGCACCATACTGAGCATCAATGATAGAACAAGAGTAGTTTCAGTCCTCCTCTGAGACTAGAAGCTCAGAGTCTAGTTCTGTGAGACAGAACAAATTTTCATACAAGTAATTAAAATTTCACTAACTGGCTGAAGCAATATAATCATTAATCATGTCATACATCAAAAGCTTCAAGATATACAGTTAATCCTTTGGTCCTGTGCTCCATCAATTCAATGTTTTCACCAGGTTTTCCATTCTGCTCCACTATCCTTATAGCATTGGCTTTTGGACCTAATGGGACTTCTTTTTTTTTTTTTTTTTTTTTTTTTTGAGACAGAGTCTCACACTGTCACCAGAGCTGGAGTGCAGTGGTGCGATCTTGGCTTACTGCAACCTCCGCCTCCCAGGCTCAAGCAATTCTCCTGCCTCAGCCTCCTGAGCAGCTGAGATTACAGGTGTCCACCACCCGCCCAGCTAATTTTTTGAACTTTTAGTAGAGATGAGGTTTCACCATGTTGGCCAGGCTGGTCTCAAACTCTTGACCTCATGATCTGCCCGCCTCAGCCTCCCAAAGTGCTGGGATTACAGGTGTGAGCCACCACGCCTAGCCATGGGACTTCTTACCATATTGTTGTACGGTTGTTGCAGAGGAGTAGCATAAGCTAGTACTTATACAGTACTTGAAAGAAAGCACACATTGAATAAATGTGGTCTCTGAGGTTCTATTAATGTTGTTCAATCCTGAGAACAATCTCCTGAGGTAGATACTATAATTCTGCACACTGAGGTCCAGCAAATTTAGATGTTTTAAAAGATGATTCAGTTACTAAGTTAATAAATGCACTAGAATTCATACCCAGGCTTTTCTGAATCCAGAATCTTTGCTTTTATTATTGTGCTATGATGTACGTCAAGTACTGTATAAGAACAATGCTATAAGTATCAATGTCCTATGATTGTTAGCTACTATTTTCAATAAGATTATTTTTTATGATTTCCATTTTCTCAGCAGGCCTGCTGCTACTATGATCCAAAATTGTTTTCTTTCCTCATTGTCAGAATTCCGGAAATTGAAGATATGAAAAAAATAACCTCAATAGATTCTGTCCTCATTAGTTTTGTCATTTATAAACTAAAATATTGTTTCAAGTTTAAAATAAAGGGTATGAAACTTTTGTAAGACATCTAAAGTTAACCAGGTGATAAATATGTGCAAATGTATGGTGGGATTTCATCTATACAATAGTAACAATTGTTCTTTAGATGCTCATTCATAAGCTACCTTGTGGTTTTCAAATATGCTCGTTTGTGAATATCATAGTTAAAATTTAGATAAAGTTACTAAAAGATGGGAATCCTTTTTGTTTATTATATATCTTTCAGCACCATATAATAGGTGCACAAATATTTGACTAAGGATTTATTCTATGTTCTTGTCAATAGCAGGCTTTCAGGGCTACTCTGTCAGTATGACCCCCCCCTACCATCAGGCTGTGCTGGCTCTGTAGGGCTAGCCAATATCCTTAAAAATCCATATTTGGTGAAATCTAGTAAAATAATTGATCTAGATACGAATAATATTCCCCACAGTATTTCACTGGCTGATTCCGGCCAATTCCAGTTATCAATAGAAGCTCCAAAGGCTGGAGAGAGTTCTGTGGCCCCCAAAAATGGGAAGAAGGGGTATAATCTTCACCTTCCCAAGCTCAAAGAAACCCCTGAACTAAATGGGAACTGAAAAACTTTACAATATCAAAAAAGGATATCATGATAAGCTTTAGAATATCAAAAAAGGATATCAAACTACTTCAGGTTCTTTGTTTCTTGGATCTTGATTCAAATCTTAGAACAGAATAAAAAAATGATATAGCCAGTGCCATTTGTACATGCTGTGGCCAGGGAAAATGAAATCCTAGTTTCGTCCCAATAATCAGTGATGATGAAGTGGTCAACTCATGGGGGAAAGTGAGAGTGCTGTTTAAAAGACCAAATGAATGTGAGGCAGCCAAAAACCAGGTAATGTCTACCTCTGTCTGATTTGATTTTAGATTTCTTCTTGTATAGCTATCAAACTAAAATTACGTAAAAGAATTACCATTCTAACATAGTTGTTACTACTTCTTTTCAAATAATTTTGCTACCTTTGCCTTGGACTCTCCAGAACTGTCATTATGGGTAAAATAAATACATTTCTTAATACCTCAATACCTCTAGCCTACCTATACTATGTGTTGAGGTAAGCTGTTTCCTCATGATACAGTTCAGACACTAAAATGCACACTGACTTATAATCCCATGCCATTCACCAGGATTTGAAACGAACACAATACCTTTTCAGTCAACCTTTCGCTAAGAGCAAGATCTAACTTCCTACTTCCAGAAGCATTTAAAAATTACACTGAAGAGGATAGAAATGTAAGTATGTGGAGAATGTGCAGATCCATTCAAATACAACAGGAATGTTTTCAAGCATATTTTAAATGTAATAGAGTTCCTATTCAAACTCAATAAAATCATTTATGACTATTAAGCTGAATGCTAACATTATTGCTTCCACAAACAAATCCAGTCAAATTTAGTAAAGAAACCTTACAGCAGGAGGGAAAAGGACTTACTGGGAAAATTTTAAATAGGTCAGTTTTACTGGAATAATACTGAATAGAATAATCTGCTTTTTCCCACTAAGAAATAGGTCTTATAAATAGCCTAAATGGCTTTATGAAAGATAGAATATTCAGACTAATGTGTCTCCTTATACTTGCCCAAGAAACTAGCAAATCAGTATAAACAGACCCAACAGAAAACATCCAATAGATGCATGATATGATTTTAACTGTCTCTGCAAACCACAGACATGTAAGTATTCACACTCAGCATAACAGAGCATTATTTCATATTTGTTTTACATTGAAAATGAACTGTTTTAGTGGGCTCGTTCATAAACACTGTTCCTATTAAACACACATATATACACTTAATATTTGGCAAAGTTTGCTTGTCTAATATATAAATGGAAACTTAAGACCAAAGTAACTGTTTTGTTTAATTTGTACTTTGTTATGTATTTACTTATCTTTGCAAATTAAATATATCAAAAGTTATTTTATGTTACCTTGAAGAAACAGGATATGGAACATTAACAATTGTTGTACTGAACTGTCACCCCAAATCATATTGTTTAGTTAAATGCACTACTTTTCATTCATTTCTCTCAAAATGCCTGTGTAAAATTTATATAGCTATCTAAAAATTCACATAAATAACATACCAGCCTTCATACAAAATTACTTATTGAATCAGTGGATGTTTTGACTTTCACACCACTTTCTGTTTCCTGAGATTATTACTCCTTTCTTTGGTTTTTTGAGTTCTTCCCCTAGTTATCTCATCACTGGAACCCTCTTTGCTCCATTCTCTGTTCTCTTCTCAGTCTGTGTAGATTCTGTGACAGCTCTCATGTTGCCGCTGTAGAACGATGACCTTTACACCAGTCTTCTGATCTCCACATCTCAAGAGCCAGCTGCCTTGTAGATGTTACCATTTAGGTGCCCCCAAACACGTCTGATCTCCACACATCCACAAAGAAGTCCTCATCTGCTTTCCTCACCCCACTCCCATTTGCCACCAGCATCATCACCCAATCAGGAACTCAGCTCATATTTTATCCCTTTCCTTATTTTATCCTCACATTCAATTCATAACAAAGTCCATCTAACTCTATCCTCCTAAGATCTTTCGATCTCCTCTCCTACCCCATTTTCATCCTCAAGACCTCCTTCATTTAGGCATCATTATTGTCACCTTGAATACTGTCTTTCCATGATTAAAATCAATAAACAGCTCCCCAAAGCCTTTTAAAACCATTTATGTTACTACAACTGGCTCACAAGTTTTCCTCAAGATGCACCCTACATGTACTTCTATCCTACTTTCCTGAAGCAGCTCACTTCACCTAATGCACATCAAGTCACTTGCTGATCCTCTACAAGGCGATTCTCTCTTGCCTGTCTTCCTTTGCTCATGCTACCTTCTCTTCATGAAAGACCCTTCCCGCATCTTCTTCTTGGCTAGACTAATTCTGACTCCTTCATTAAAAAGCAGGCTTGTAATAAATATCCTCTAATTATGCATTTGTCTATCTTGTCTTACTATAATTTTATGTCTTTGCTCTCATATCTTTGTTTTTGGCCCTTACCCACAGCAATTATTATGTAGTAAATATGTTATTTTAATGCTAAAAAATTCTACCCAAGTAGTCTGACTTGAGCAAATTGTTTCACCTCCCTTTGAATCAGTTTCCTTACTGGTAAAATAAGGATATTTAATAATATCTGTCTTATAGTGTCTTTGGGAAAAATAAACTCAGTTAACAGACATAAAGCATTTATAAACATACTTGGTACATAATAAGTTATAAAGTTATTAAATATTATCATTATTGTGAGAATTATTATTATTTCCTTGCTATTCCTTTTCAGCCCCTTCTTCTGGAGTCGTTCACTGAACACTTAGTGCATTGTTTCCCTTGCAGAACCTCCAACGCTCTCCTGTGTGGCTTTCCTCTTTAGAGCAGCACTAAACACCCTTAGCTTTCAGCAGTATTCAACGCTCTTTTCTAGCATCCCTAACCATGTTCAACTTCCTTTCTACTCTCAACATACCACTCATTTGAATAAACACTTCAACACTATAGCATAGATGATAAGAAAGCAGCTTCTACAGCCAGACAGGTTGGGTCTGAGTTCTGGCTTCTCCATTTTTAACTTTTTAATGAAAAAAGGTTGTTTAATTTCTCTATGCCATAGCTTTATTTATCAAATAGGGCTGAGAATAGTATTTACCTCATAAGATCACTGTAGGGTTAAATGAATTAGTAGTTTTTACTACTACCAAGTTTACTTAGAATATTACATGAGAATAGTATGCTCTTAATAAATCATAGTAGTAATACATCTATTCAAGTGGCACAGCTTACTCTATTAGGAAACATCATTGCCTTATATACCTTTAGAATATGGCCACTTATGCCAAGTTGCTCTTTCAAAACTACAGCATCAATAGAGTATATACTTTTTGTCAGAACACAAGACCTGCAAGGGACATGAGAAATAGAACTTCCAAGGCCTTGTTTGACAAAGAAATAAGGGCACATATTTATTAGTTAGCTCGCCTTGTTTAACTGAGCTAGTTCATAAGCTTCTATACCAGTCCTCAATGTCTGATCTTTGAATAGTGCTGGCAAATTTTATTGCACACAGAGAGAACACTGGCCTTCTGATACATACCAGACCATCACTGCACATAGGAAAGTGCTGGCTTTCTGGTGTCCATCAAACAATCATAGGTAATGCTGGCCTTCCACTGGGCACCAGACCAATACAGCACAAAGGAAGAAAGGCCAATAGAGGGAAGCAGTTAAAAGCACAGAGCCTGAAGCTGACTACCTGGGTGCAAGTCTAGGTTCTATCACTTCAGAGCCATCTGACCAGGGGCAACTTACCAAGTTCTCTGTGCCCCCATTTCTTCTTCATACAGAGGATATTAGAAGTGTGGAACCAATAGCTTGTGGAAGTTAAAATAAATTGATATGAATAATGAATTAATACATATAAAGACTTTGAACCACACTCTGCATGTAGTAGCAATATATGTTTTCCTTGCTATCACTGCAAACACATACAGCTACATGAACATTACTAAAATTTGTTATTACTTCAATGTCACCACTGTATATCTTGTACTAAAATTCAAAATACCTCCTCCCTTTCTTGAAGAACCATAGGAAACTAGCAACCAATGCCCTTTCTATTCTAAATAATTTAAAAATAAGTCTTATCATATTCATTCCTTATAAAAATGAAGATTAGTTTTACCTAGGTAGTTCATCTGCCTTAAGATTCTGGAAAGCAGTAAGTCACTTATCAAGGTAGTAGTACCAGAAAATATAATCACCACGAAGCTGATGAAGCTTAAATTTCTGAACCCTTCAATTTTACAGGCTCCTCTGAAATGCGGGAGAGTTTAAAAATATGTTCACTGAGTACCTTTTTTCAATTTTCAAGAGTTGTATATTTTATGTTCTCTTTTTAAAAAAAAATAAAACATACAAAATTATGTAAGGTGCATGTCCCAGAAAACATGGTTTTATTCTTAGATAATATTGACATCACTGGCATATCTCTACACAAGTGGGATAGGAGAAACTTCCATGGCAGTGATCCCTTCCACATAGAGAATATGGGAAGATTTTCATTTTTTGGTTTGAAGCCACAGCTATCATTTCAAGAAAATTCTTATCCTGGTACCTCAGATGGAGCCTCGTCGTCCTTGAGATAATCACAAGCCTTGTGCTTTGTGCATTGTTTTCCTGCAGCCTATAGATTTGGCAGACCGATTGAAGAGGTACTTTAGGTCAACTGCATTGTAGTTCTTTCGTGCATCCTGCCACCAATAGCCTACTATAGCTGCTGTTTGATTACCCTGTTTTCATGATGATTTTAGAGTCCTCAGATAAGTACCTGTCCCTGCAGGCATTTTCACAAGACAGTTGATCCTGAAGCCAAGAATTACATTTTACACAAACATGTGCAGACATACACATACATAGATAATTCACTGTGTTTTCCATTGCCTTTCTTTGAATTCTTTGTACTATGTAGAAAATATCCATCTACCCAACATATTTCTATTACCACTTCTGACACTGACACTACAATCTTTGAGCTGTTAAATTAAAGACAACCATCATGAAACATTCTATGCATTTGCAATGAAAAGTATGAGAAGTCTTAGTCCACAAGCTGTTATGTATTAAATTGAAGCTACACCTGTTTTCCTCTTGCCTGTACCAGGCATTAGAAAACTCAGAACCAGATGAAGGCCACTATTGCATTGTGAACTATTATTCTGTTCTGGCTATTAGTACTCAGATACTGTCAATCACACCATTGTAACAATCTTGCATCTGCAAAATTTGCTCCAGGGAAACATCAGCAATTCCATTACTGTGAAAGGTATTAGAAGATTGTTTGTGGTTAGCTGCCGGCTCCTGTTCAGCTGGTTATGTTCTCAGATTCTACAGGCCTCACAGAGAAAGTTTTTATTGCTGAATAAGAAACAAGGAATTTGTCATAACATAGGAAACAGAGGAGAAGGAGAATCATCTTGACTGAAAATTCTATTTCTTTAACGCTAGCCTATAGGCAATGTTATCATATGGAATCAATCCCTGAAACTTTGTCTTGCCCTTATGGAGCATTACATTATTGTTGAACTGAATGCCGTTACATGGTTTCTCCAAACTCAGGTAGCCACAAGTTAGAAAACACATTACTATCGATGTACCAAGAATGGTCTATAAACCAATTATTACCATGGTTCTGCTTAATTTAAAGAATTAGAGAATCAAGAAATATTTTTAGAAGTAAATTTTCCCGGCTGGGCGCAGTGGCTCACGCCTGTAATCCCAGCACTTTGGGAGGCCGAGGCAGGCAGATCACAAGGTCAGGAGTTCAAGATCAGCCTGAACAACATGTGAAACCCCGTCTCTACTAAAAATACAAAAATTAGTCAGGCATGGTGGCGCATGCCTGTAATCCCAGCTACTCAGGAGGCTGAGGCAGGAGAATCACTTGAACCTGGGAGGCAGAATTTAAAGTGAGCCCAGATCATGCCACTGAACTCCAGCCTGGGCAACAGAGCAAGACTCCATCAACAAAAAAAAAACAAAACAGAAATTTTCCCATATATTAATATTCATTGTAACTGTTAATTTTAAGTGTCAACTTGACTGAGCCACAGCGAACCCAGATATTTGGTCAAGCATTATTATCAGCATGTCTGATGATGGTGTTTCTGGATGAGATTAACATTTGAATCAGTAGACTGAGTAAAGCCTTCCTTAATGTAAGAGGTCCGCATTCAGTCAGCTGAGGGCCTAAAGAGAAAAAAAGGCTGATTTTCCCTCTGGTAAGAAGAAATTCCTCCTGCCTGATTGCCTTGAACTGGAACATCAGTTCTTGCCTGCTTTTGGACTCAAACTGAAACATCAGCTTTTTCTGAGTCTCAAGCCTGTTGGCATTTGAAATGTAACTACATCATCAGCTCTCCTGAATCTCCAGCTAACTGAATAAAGATCTTGGGTCTTTTCAGCTTCCATAACTACATCAGCTAATTCCATAAAATAAATCTCCTTACACACACATACACACACATATTCATAAATTCTGTTTCTCTGGTGAACTCTAATACACTCATATTTTCATAATTATCAGACTTTACTAATTCTTTGCAACAAAAGAAACCTTCTAGACATACAAAGAGAGAGACTAATGTGATAGATCAGCATGATCAAGCTTGTCTAATTTCCTTTGTATGTTCCCTTGTACACCTTTTTTAGGTCTAAATATCTAGAAACCTCATTGCTGCTACATGCATGCTCTACCATGGTGGCCCCTTGGGATTGCTAGGGATACATCTTTGTAACTTCAAAGAGCTATGAGAACACACTTAAGTTTGAGTTATTTCTGAATCTGGGGGGTCAAAGGTGTCCTGTACATATTAAAACACCATAAAATAGTGACTTGCCTTTTAAACTTTTAATGAAGTTTTCTCCTCTCACTTGAAGAACACTTTTACAATTAAAAAATTGTACCTCTACATAAGTCATATGCCTGGAAGTATATGATGTACATATATGTAATGCACAAATATTTTACATCTAAAATATTTATTTATTTATATTACACTTATATATTTAAATGCATTTATGAGAGATAAAATAACTATATATTCATATCAAATTTTATTGTTTATATTACTCTGTATTTATTATAATTTATATTATTAATATATGATGTATGTTATTAACATATAATATGTAGTATATTATATGTTACTAATATACTATGTCAGTATATGAATATGACCACTTTTCCCAGGGCCTGAGACTTGGCCAACCCAACTGATGCCATCACAACCGATACCCACCCACACGGGCTTATGTAAGCCTTCTGCTTACATAAAGCAGCAGTGTTACGACATCCAAGAAGAAGAGAGATACAAAGCTATCCATAGTGGGCTGAGTGATGAGGTTCTGCCCTGAAAGCATTCCCACAGAAAGCCGCAAAACCATTTCCAATGGCTCTCAATCACATTGTGGTCTGGAGAGAGACTACAGTGTGTGCCTGAACTAGCAATCATGTGCCCCTGGAACAGGGATGAGATAGAGAAACATATCACATTCCTGCCTGTCTAAAATGAAGGGCCAGTGCAGTTTACCTCCACTTCTGCCCATCCCTGCCCACCCCACGACATACACACACACACACACACACACACAGACCTTTTTCAGGGCTGGTGCCTGCACTTACCATTGGGGTATTCATGAGCAAGCTAGGGGCTCCAGCTCTCCCTAGCTGTGTCTCCTCACTTCTGTAGAACAGGAAGATCAGGCACCAATTAGCCCACTGTGCCACCAATCACTAGAAACCAAAAAGAGCACTTCATAGTAAACAAAGATCAGGTACCTATATATCTGCTGGTCTCACAGATGGCTTTTACCCATAATCACCATATACTGGCCTATAGATTGAATTGCAATATAGAACTGGATGAAAGTGTATAGGGCTATAGAAGCAAAGCCAAAAATCCCTACCCAATGTACACTATAGTCACATCCCCTCAGGAGGGAGGGAAGGGAAAGAAAAAGTAACTCCTATCACATTAAAATAATTACAAAACTTAAAAGTGCCAGCATCTTAAGATGAGAAGGAACCAGCATAAGAACTCTGGCACCACCAAAAAATCTGTATGTTATGATGCCACCAGAGAATCATACTAGCTCTTTAGCCATGGACCCTAAACAAAATGGAAACTCAGAAATGACAGATAAAGAATTCAAAGTATGGATAGCAAGGAAGTTCAAAGAGCTCCAAGGCAAAGTTGAAAATCAATATAAAGAAACTACTAAAGCAATACAGGAAATAAACAAAGAGATAAACATTTTTTAAAGTCAATCAAAACTACTGGAATTAAAAAACTCATTTAAGGAATTTCAAAATATAGTTGAAAGCTTTATAAATAGACTAGCCCAAGCAGAAGAAAGAATTCCAGAGTGTGAAGACTGCTTATTTGATCTAACCCAATTAAACATAGAAAATAATTTTTAAAAATAATAATCTTCAAGAAAATGAGATTATGTAAATCAACCAAACCTACAAATTATTGGATTTTCTGAAGGAGAAAGAGAACGGAAAAACAACATGGAAAACATATTTGAGGAAATAATTCAAAAAAAATCCCTAATCTCGTAGAGATATAGATATGTAGGTACAAGAAATCCAAAGTACACATGTGAGATAATTTGCAAGATGAACATCAGTAAGGCATATAGTCACCAGACTGTCCAAGATCAAAAAAACAAAACAATGACAACAACAAAAAAAACTTTAGGGCTGCTAGAGAAAAGGGTCAGATTACTTAAAAAGGGAACAACTTCAGGCTGAGAGTGGAATTCTCAGGAGAAACCTTCCAAGCCAGAAGAGACTGGGAGACTATTTTCAGCATTCCTAAAAAGAAAAATTTTCAACCAAGAATTGAGTGTCTCATCAAACCAAGCTTCATAAGCAAAGCAGGAATAAAATCTTTTCCAGATAAACAATTGCTAAGGAAATCTATTACCATTAGGCCAGTCCTACAAGAGATCCTTAAGGGAGTTATAAACATGGAAGTGAAAGAATAACAACTATTTCTACAAAAACACTCTTAAGTACGTAACCCACGTACCCTAAAAAGCAACTACACAATCTAGACTATAAAACAACCAGCTAACAACATCAGGATATGATCAGAATCCCACATATCAATATTAACATTTAATATAATGGTCTATACAACCCACTTCATAGGCACAGAGTGGAAAGTTAAATAAAACAACAATAACCATCTGTTGTATTCACGGGACCCCTCTCACAAGAAATGACACCCATAGGCTCAAATCAAGCATTGGAGAAATATCTATCACACACACAGAGAACAAAAAAGAGCAGCAGTCACTATCTGTATATCAGATAAGATGAACTTTAAATCAACAACAGTAAAAAAGGACAAACAAGAACATTATGTAATGATAAAGGATTCAATTCAACAAGAAGACTTAACTATGCTAACATACATACCCAACATGAGAGCACCCAGAATCATAAAACCAAAAGACTTACACAGTCACACAATAAAAGTAGGGAACCTTAGCACACCACTAACAGTTTTAGCTAGACCATCAGGGCAGAAAACCAACAAAGAAATTCTGGACTTAAAATTAACATTTGACCAATCAGACCTAATAGACATCTACAGAACACCCCAACAAATAACCACAGAATATACATTCTTCTCACCTGCCCAGGGAACATACTCTACAATCAACCACATGCTCAGACACAAAGCAAGTCTCAGCAAATTTTAAAACACTGAAATTATACCAAGCATACTCTCAGACAACAGTGGAATAAAAATGTAAATTAATACCAAGAAGATCTCTCAAATCCACACAATTACATGAAAATTAAGCAACTTGCTTTTGAAGGACTTTTGCATAAACAATGAAATTAAGGCAACAATCAAAAATTATTTGAAACCAATTATACAAAGACGCAACACACCAAAATCTCTGGGATGCAGCAAAAGCAGTGTTAAGAGGAAAGTATATAGCACTAAACGCCTAAAGAAGTTAAAAAGATCTCAGAGTAGCTACAAGGAATCATACCTAGAGGAACTAGAGACACAAGAAAAAGTGAACTCCAAAGCTAGGAGAAGAAAATAAATAATTAAAATTGGAGCAAAACTTAATATAATTGGCTGGGCATGGGGGCTCATACCTATAATCCCAGCACTTCGGGAGGCCAAGGCTGGTGGATCACCTGAGGTCAGGAGTTTGAGACGAGCCTGGCTAACATGGTGAAACCCTGCCTCTACTAAAAATAATAAAAAAAAATTTTTTATTATACTTTAAGTTTTAGGGTACACATGCACAACGTGCAGGTTTGTTACATATGTATACATGTGCCATGTTGGTGTGCTGCACCCATTAACTCGTCATTTACATTAGGTATATCTCCTAATGCTATCCCTCCCCCCACCCCTCAACAGGCCCGGTGTGTGATGTTCCCCTTCCTGTGTCCAAGTGTTCTCATTGTTCAATTCCCACCTATGAGTAAGAACATGCGGTGTTTGGTTTTTTGTCCTTGCAACAGTTTGCTGAGAATAATGGTTTCCAGCTTCATCCATGTCCCTACAAAGGACATGAGCTCATCATTTTTAATGGCTGCATAGTATTCCATGGTATATATGTACCACATTTTCTTAATCCAGTCTATCATTGTTGGACATTTGGGTTGGTTCCAAGTCTTTGCTATTGTGGATAGTGCTGCAATAAACATACGTGTGCATGTGTCTTCATAGCAGCATGATTTATAATAACAAAATTACAAATAATTAAAAAATAAAATCAACCAGGTGTGGTGGTGCATGCTTGTAATCCCAGCTACTCAGGAGGTTGAGGCAGGAGAATTGCTTGAACCTGGGAGGAGGAGGTTGCAGTGAGCTGAGATTGTGCCACTGCACTCCAGCCTGGGTGACAGAGGAGTGAAACTCCATCTCAAAAAAAAAAAAAAAAAATCTGAATATAATGGAGACCCAAAAATCCATACAAAGATCAATAAAGACAAAAGTTGGTGTTTTGAAAGGATAAATAAGATAAATAGACCACTGGCAAGATTAGCAAAGAAAAAAAGAGAAAATTCAAATAAGCTCAATCAGAAAAGGAAAAGGTGACATTACAACTGATATGACAAAAATATTAAAGATCTTCAGAGACTGTGATGAACTCATCTATGCACACAAAATAGAAAATCTAAAGAAAAAGTACAAATTCCTGAAAACACAGAACCATCTGAGATTGAATTAAGAAGAAATTGAAATCCTGAATAGACCAATAAGTTCCAAAATGGAATCAGTAATTAAAAACCTACCAACCAGAAAAAAGCCTTAGACCAAGTGGATTAACAGCTGAATTCTGTCAGATGTATAAAGAAGAGCTAATACTAATGCTAGTAAAACTATTGCAATAAATCGAAGAGGAGGGACTCCTCCCTAAGTCATTTTATGAAGCCAGCATCATTCTGACATCAAAACCTGGCAGACACTATACAGAAAACTTCAGGCCAATACCTCTGATGAGCATAGATGCCAAAATCCTCAACAACATATTAGCAAACCAAATTTAGTAGCATATTGAAATGTCAATTAATCATGATCAAGTAGACTTCATTCCTGAAATGAAGGTTGGTTCAACAAATGCAAATCAGTAAGTATGATTCGCCTCATAAACAGCATTAAAGGCAAAAACTGATGATAATCCTAATAGATGCAGAAAAAGCTTTCAATAAAATTCAACATATCTTCATGATAAAAACCCTCAACAAACCAGTCATCAAAGGAACAAATCCACAAATCTACAGCCAACATCATACTGAATGGGTAAAAGCTAGAAATATTCCCCTTAAAATATGGAACAAGACAAAGATGCCCACTCTCACCACTCCCAATCAACATAGTAATAAAAGCTCTATCCAGAGCAATCAGGCAAGGGAAAGAAATAAAAGGCAACTAAAGAGGAAGATAAGAAAACAACTTATCTCTCTTTACTGATGACATAATTCTTTATCTAGAAAACCCTAAAGACTCCATCAAAGGCCTCCCAGAGCTGATAAATGACTTCAGTAAAGTTTTAGGGTACAAAATCAATGTACAAAATTCAGTAGCTTTTTTTTTTTTTTTTTTGTCTTGCTCTGTCACCCAGGCTGGAGTGCAGTGGCATGATCTCAGCTCACTGCAGGCTCTGCCTTTCAGGGTTCCAGTGATTCTCCTGGCTCAGCCTCCCAGGTGGCTAGGATTACAGGCACGCACCACCACACCTGGCTAATTTTTGTATTTTCAGTAGCAACATGGTTTCACCCTGTTGGCCAGGCTGGTCTCGAACTCCTGACCTCAAGTGATCTGCCCGCCTTGGCCTCCCAAAGTGCTGGGACTACAGGCATGAGCCACTGAGCCTAGTCATAATTCAGTAGCATTTCTATATACCAATAATGTCCAAGCTGACAGCCAAATCAAGAACACGATATCATTTACAGTAGCCACACATGAAAATAAAATACCTAGACACATATAACTAAGATAGATCTAACCAAGGAGGTAAAACATCTCTACAAGGAAAGTTACAAAACCCTGCTGCAAGAAATCATATGTGGCCCAAACAAATGGAAAAACATTACATGCTCATGGATTGAAAGAATCAATATTATTAAAATGGTTTTATGGCCCAGTCTATAGATGTGATGCTATTCCTGTCAAACTACAAATGTCATTTTTTCACAGTTAGAAAAAAACTCTTCTAAAGTTCATATGGAACCAAAGAAGAGCCTGAGTAACAAAACAATCCTAAGCAAATAAAAGGGAAAAAAAAGCTGGAGGTATCACATTACCCAAATTCAAACTATATTACAAGGCTACAGTAACCAAAACAGCATTGCAGTGGTATGAAAACAGACACATAGACCAATGGAACAGAATACAGAACTCAAAGTAACTCCATACCTCTACAACCTTCTGATCTTCAACAAAGTCAACAAAAATAAGCAATGGGGAACGTATTTGGTTTTGATGTGTGTCTCCTCCAAATCACATGTTCAAATGTGATCCTCTATGTTGAAGGTAGGGCCTAGTGGGAGGTGTTGGATCATTCCCTTGGTGATTCCCTTGGTGATACATGAGTTGCTGCTCTATTAGTTCATGCAAGATCTGGTTGTATAAAAGAAGCCTGGAACCTCTTTCTCTCTTGTTTCCTCTCCCACTATGTGACATGCTGGCTTCCCTTCACCTTCTTCCATGAATGTAAGCTTCCTGAGGCCCTGACCGGAATCAGGCACTATGCTTCATGTACAGACTAAAGAACTATGAGCCAAATAAGCCTCATTTTTTCATAAATTACCCAGCTTCAGGTACTCCTTTCTAGCAATGCAAATGGATTAATACAGGAAATAACTCCCTATTCAATGAATGATACTGGGATAACTGATTATACAAATGCAGAAAAACAGAACCTCTACCTTTCATCACATGCAAAAACTAGCTCAAGATGGATTAAAGACTTAGATGTTAGATGTCAAACTATAAAATTCCTAGAATAAAAGTTAGGAAATACCTTTCCTGACTTCCTCCTTAGCAAAGAATTTATAATTAAGTTCTCAAAAGCAGTGCAACAAGAAATTTGGCAGTTGGGACCTAATTAAACTAAAGATAATCTACACAGCAAAAGAAACTATCAATAGAGTAAATAGACAACCTACAGAATGAGAGAAAATATTTGCAAACTATGCATCCAATAGAGGTCTAATTTCCAGAATCTAAGGAACATAAACAAATCAACAAGCAAAAACCAAATCACCCCATTAAAAAGTGAGCAAAGAACAGGAAGAGATATTTCTCAAAAGAAGACATATAAGCAGCTAACAAACATAAGAAAAAATGCTCATCACTAATCATCACAGAAATGCAAATCAAAACCACAATGAGATATCATCTCACACCAATCAGAATGGCTGTTATTAAAAAGTCAAAATATAACAAATGCTGGTAAGGTTGTGGAGAAAAGGAAATGCTATACACTGTTGGTGAGAATGTAAGTTAAGCCACTGTGGCTTAACTTTGGAGCCACAGTTTGGAGATTTCTTTAAAAACTAAAAATAGAACAACTACTTGACCCAGCAATCCCATTACTGAATATATATCCAAAGAACAATAAAGCATTCTGCCAAAAAGACACATGAATTCTTATGTTCATCCCAGCACTATTTACAATAGCAAAGACATGGAATCAACTTAGGTGCCCAACGAAAGTGGATTGGAGAAAGAAAAATTGCTATGTATACACCATGGAATACTATTCAGCTATAAAAAAGAATGAAATCATGTTCCTGGCAGCAACATAGATGGAGCTGGAGGCCATTATCCTAGGCAAATTAATGCAGAAACAGAAAACCCAAATAGTACATGTTCTCACTTAAGTGTGGGAGCTAAACATTGGGCACTTGTGGACATAAAACAATAGTATTTATGAAAACAATAGACACTGGGGACTGCAAGAATAGGGAGAGAGAAAAGGGTCCAGAAACTAACTGCTGAGTCCTATGCTTACTACCTGGGTAGCAAGATACCTTTGTAAGAAACATACTCATATATCCCTGAATTCAAAATAAAAGTTGAAGAAAAAAAGAAAACCCTTTTTAAAATCACAATATATTAATAATATATAAAATATCATTATATATGGCATCTTATTTACATTGAATAGTTTATATTTTATATATTTATTATATATATTTATTATATCAAATACAGTTTATATATTATTTATTACATATAATACATATTTATCATTATATACTAATATTATATATTATATTAATATTATGTAATATATAAAATAATATATATGCCATATTATAATGTTTATGAGAAAACACTGAAACCTTGAAAATAAGCAATTATCTCTGTTGTGTGCCATCTTAGTGAGCAGGAGATCTTGTACGAAAAGAAGGAAGTTAAAGGTCTAGTTGGGGTATTATCATGAGGACCTGTAAGATGAAAAAAGAAGGAAGCTGTGTTTAGAGGCTTAATTCCTGGTTATAAAGTTGGAAAAAGACAGAAGTGCTATTTCTTCTTATTTCCTATCTTTCTTTCCCTTTACTCTATCTGAAATAGTTCCCCCAAGACATTTGTTTCTTTCTATCTTCATACTTTGTTTTCTTTTTCTTTCTGATACCACTATCTAATCTACTTCATATTTTTTATTCATTCTTTGTTTGTTTGCCTGTCTGTCTTTGTTCCCTGGAGAACAAGCACTCTAAGAACAATGATTTCATTTTTATTTACTGCCGAATCTGTAGTGCCTTGCAGGGTGTTGGACACAGGTGCTGAATGAATGAATGAATGAATGAATGAATGAATGAATGAAATCCCTTACTCAGGTTGACTCAGCTGTAGCTTTCCTCCTACTTGGTTTTAGGTCCTGTGTTTGAAGAAATTGTGGTACACTTCCCAAAAGACAAACGTGAAATCTTCTAAACTCTCTCATTCCACTGATAGGTCAACAGGGTAAAATTCCCTCAGGTTTACCTTTTATGTCACCTTTGGAACATATGATTATTGGTGCTGGATCTGTCATATAAAATGATGTTATTGCCTTAGGGAGCTTTTCAAGGAAGTACTGAGTCACTAGATATTCATTTGATTTTAGGCCAATCACTTAGCTTAGCTATTTGCTTCAGATATTTTGTTAAGGTAGCACAAAATGGACTAAGACACCTGCTACTGTCCTTAAAATTCTTAACACAATTATTTTAGAGAACTTGGCCCTGTGGCTTAGACATTTCCCTCAAACCATGTCACTATGACTACAAAACAGTGAAAACCACACTAATTTCTCTGTCAAAAGAAAGAAAAGGAAAGCTCTATTTACTTTATAAATGCTTAATTATAGAAGCCTTGAGCCAGTCAAAGAATGTTGGTTTCTATATTAAACATAGCCCTCTTTGCCTTTTTCATTTATAAAGTAAAGATGCATTAGAATTTGCAAATATAGAAAGATTTGCAGGTCATTTTTTCTTACCTTACCAATGTCATGATAAATTAAAAATTAATTTTTAAATGCTAAGAATAAGCACTCTTTCATTTACTTTTAGCTTTATTCTGCTAGAAGCTTGACTTTATCACAAACTACTTAATAATAATATTATTTTCATTTGGGTTTTTTTTTTTTTAACTAAAGACAAGTCAATGTATTTAGCTACCCAGACCTAAACCAGCCTTTTAAGAAAACCCCAATATGCTCTATAACAGGTGATGTCACCTTTGCAACAAATAATTGGCTATGACTGTTAATGGCCTATAACAGGGTATACCCAAGAGGGACACAACATACTAGAAAGAAAGCTACCACCCTATTGGAACTACCTCTTGAGAGGCTTGAAGCGTGTGTGTGTGTGTGTGTGTGTGTGTGTGTGTGTGTGTAGAAAGAGAGAGAGGGGTCAATCTTTATCAACAGAGAGAGAAGTTTAGCTTTATTACCACAAGAAAGGCATGATAAAGCAAGAAGTGATGAGAATTTGTATTAGTCTGTTTTCTCCAGACAAACAGAACTAATAGGAGATCTATACATGTGTGTATGTGTGTGTATTATAAGGTATGGATTCTCCAGAGAAACAGAATAAGACACGTGTGTGTGTATACCAATCACTATACATATAAAGAGATTTATTATAAAGAATTTGCTCATATATGTAAAAAGATTTATTATAAGAAATTTTCTCATATGGTTATGCAGGCTGAGAATTCTCAAGATTTGTAGTTGGTGAGCTAAAATCCCCAGAAAGTCAATGGTTTAGTTTCTGAGTCCAAGTGCCTGAGAACTAAGAGACCAGGTGGTGCTAGGTCCAGTTTGTGTTCAAGTCCAAAGGCAGGAGGAGACCAATGTCCCAGACAGAAGGAGAGAATTATCTCTTAGTTAGTCTTTGTTTTATTCAGGCCTTGATGGATTAAATGAGACCCATCCATGTTGGGGAGGGCAATCTATTTTACTCAGTCTACTCATTCAAATGTTAATCTCATATAGAAATACCCTCAAAGACACAGCCAGAATAATGTTTAGCCAAATATCTAGGCATCCCATGGCACAGTGAAGTTGATATATAAAATTAACCATCACGACATCTAATGTTTTGAACAAAGATTATGACTAGGTGACAGAGCAGAAGCACCATTATATTGGACAGATACTGCTATTAAAGCTTCTTTTTAGCCCTATGCATTTTAAGAAATTTTTTTTTAACTATAAGCAGCCAGAAAAAGCAAACAGTAAAACACAAATAAAATGCTTGGGCACAAAGGAAGGTAGGGGAAAAGTTTCTTGTGTAACTGTCAAACATGACCTTTACACAATGGGCCCCAGTAAAACAATGGGTCTTAATAAGCACATTCTTTTCCTTCAGCTGCACTAAAATAGGAAAGCTAAGAGCAAACTGGGGGGGTATGCCTGAAGCTGCAGGAAAATGTATGGGAACAAACACGTAACTCTCCCTCCCAAATAAGCACAACAAAAAAACACAAAAGCAGTCCAAGCCTCTAATAAACTCTCCCTCCCAAATAAGCACAACAAAAAAAACACAAAAGCAGTCCAAGCCTCTAATAAACTCTCCCACCCTAAATCCTTAAAAACGTTTAGTCTGTGAAAAAGTGTGCCTCTAATCTAACTCGGTCAAAAGCTCCTCTCAGGTTTGTTTTCTCTAAAATAAACCTGTCTTAACTGGCAAGCCACCCTTTGTGTTTCTTTCCTCCTTCTTTAATTCTTTTTTCTTTTTTTTTGGAGAGGAATCTTGCTCTGTCACCCAGGCTGGAATGCAGTGGCGTGATCTCGGCTCACTGCAAGCTCCACCTCCCAGGTTCACGCCATTCTCCTGCCTCAGCCTCCCGAGTAGCTGGGACTACAGGTGCCCGCCACCATGCCCAGCTAATTTTTTGTATTTTTAGTAGAGATGGGGTTTCACTGTGTTAGCCAGGATGGTCTTGATCTCCTGACCTCGTGATCCACCTGCCTCGGCCTCCCAAAGCGCTGGGATTACAGGCATGAGCCACCGCGCCTGGCCCCACTTTAATTCTTACACTAGGTACCTGTGACCCTTGCTGGGCCATTCTACTCTCCATGTGTCCTAGTTGTGTGACTGGGTTAAATTATGTTTGTTAAGCTCATTTTCTATCCATTTATTAATTCAACTAATATCTATCAAGCAAATACTACATGCCATGTGTCTTATGGATAATGCAATAGTGATCAATAAAGATAAGTTCTCTACCCATATGAATTTGAGTGAAATGAAGGAAACAAACAATAAAACAGGAAATAATCTTTTTAATTGCTGTATTAGGGGAAATAAAATACCTCTGAGATAATATTATCCAGAAAGAAAATCTAGGTTACGGTCATTTATTAAGGGAGTAAGTTGTTTATACTTTTTATATTATATTTCCTATTAACTTTTTTTAAAAATTGTACATTTTTGTTTATTTTAGTGTGAAAAAGTTTACCTTTTAGGTGAGTATGTGAGTACAGTTCATATCTGTGGGTTCCACATCTGTAGATTAAACCAACCACAGATTAAAAATATTTTATAGAAATGATGGTTGCATCTGCACTAAACATGTACAGACTTTTTGTCTTGTCATTTTTCCTAAAAAATAAAGTATAACAACTATTTTACACAGCATTTTCATTGCACTAGGTGTTACAAGTAACTAGAGATGATTTGAAGTATACGGGAAAATGTGCATAGGTTATAAGAAAATACTACACCATTTTATATGAGGGACTTAACTTGAGCATCCATGGGTTTTGGCATCCACTGGAGTTCCTGGAATCAATCCCTCATGGATACCAAGAGACAACCGAATATATATATACACATTCACACATACACATATATATATACACACACATATATACACATGTATATATATACACATACATACAAAAACACACTGGAAATGTGTGTGTTTGTGTGTGTATATGCATATATATATATATATATATATACACGTGTGTGTTTGTGTGTAATTCTAAATCATCAAAGTTTTTGTTAGTACATAACCCACCACACAATGGGAATTTGAAAAAGAGAGAGGAAAGATTGCTACTCAATAATTGTATTTTAGATTTAACCTATAATGAAATGGAGCACAAATATGCAGCTACTGTAAGTAGAAGGAATAACTCTCGGACTGGAATAATATTTCTATAGCCTAATTGAACTTACTCATCATTCATAGCAAGGTTGTTTCCTATAGAAGTATGGTCTGCAGGGTCAGCAATAGAGGAGTGGAAAAGCTGAGTATATTAGTTTTCTATCGTTTCCATAACAAATAAATGAAAAACTTTGTAGCGTAAAACACAAATTTATCATCTTCCAGTTTAGATGTCCAGTATAGGTCCTCAGCAGGCCAAATCTAGTATATTGGCCACCTTTGTTCTATTCTGGAGGTTCTAAGAGAGAATCCTTTTTTTTTTTTTTTCTCTCATTCAGGTTGTTGGCAGAATTTAGAATATAGTTCCCTGTGGTTGTAGGACAGAGGTCCCCGTTTTTGTACTGGCTATCAGCTAAGAATCCTTCCCAGTTTCTAGAAGCCACCTACATTCCTTGGCTCATGGACCCCTTCCTCCATCTTCATATCCAGGAACAGCAGATTAAGTCCTTCTCATGTCATACTTGTATGAGCTACATTCTGCCTACCTTTTCCACTTTTAAGATACCATATGATTATATTAAGCCCACCCAGAAAATCCAGGATAATTTTCCCATCAGAGGATCAGCTGATTAACCTTAATTCCATCTGCAATCTGATTTCCCTTTTCCATGTAACATATATATTCACAGTCATAACACCAAGATGCAAAGACCATGGGAGCCCAAATCCTGCCCACCACATGGGAGAGAAAGATCTTGGCAGGTCTGTCAGACTCCTTCCTGGAAAGTTATATCTTTACAAGAAACAGTAACATTATGATTTTTCTGACAGGGCTATATTTCAGTGGATGAGAATGACTTAGCCTCCTTTTCTGAGAAGCACTTTATAAAATCATTTGACCTCTTCTGTTGTGTTTCCGACTTATCATGCTGCCTTCCAGCTTGTATCTGTAATTTTCCATACTACAAAGAAATTTGCTGGCCCTGACACATCGATTTTCCTCTGTAATCTTGTATTGTTCATTGTGAATTAATAGATTGTCATGCACCTAAGTGAGCAAGTCTACCCTCTGAGATATAGATAAAGTCTTACCATACTGACCAATGAAAAGTGAGGTTGCAAAGAATACAATGCTTAATATTCACTAACCTCTAGAGAAGGACTTCTCAAGCTTTAAATGTATACAGATATCACCATACGCTGCTACTGCTGCTGCTGCTCCGTAAGCCACGCAAGTCTTGAGAAACTCTTGACAAAGTGCAATCTTCAGTTGAGTAGCATCATCTGAGAACTTGTTAGAAATGCAGAAGCTTAGCCCTTACTCCAGATCAACTGATCAGTACAGCTGTAAGTGAGAAGCACTGCTCTAAGATCAGTAATTTTTAAAGGACCAGCAGTATTGGCATCATCTGGGAACTTGTTAGAAATGTAAATTCTCAAACCCCACTCCAGGTCTATTGAATCAGAATCCCTGGAAGGTTCTGATTCAATAGAATCAGTAGTCTGTGTTGTCACAGCCCTACAAATGATGCCGATGCAGGCTAAGTCAAGGAACTGCTGGTCTAGAGTAATGGCTCTCAAACTTTGTTGCACAATAGAATCAGCAGGACAGTTTTTAAAATTTCTGATAGCCATATCATGTCTTACAAATAACTCAAAATGCCTGAGGGTAGAAGACAGCCATCAGCACTTTTAAAAGATCCCAGGTGTTTTCAAAGTGCAGTCAAGTTTTGGAACTAATACTTAAATTCACCAATGCAAATGGCAACTCTGGCAGCTGTTCTCTGTTATCTCCATGTCAGAATCACCCAGCTGATGCCATGATCCCATTTCCAGAGATGCTGACTGAATAATTCTGGGTATCAAAATTATTTTTACCCTTAATGTTTTTTTATTTTACAAAAAGAAAAACTCACTATTTTTTATACACTGTTCTATGGGTCTTTATAAATGCATTGAGTCATGTTTCCACTTCCAGAGTCATGATGAAGAGAAGTTCCATCATTCACAAAACTTTCTCTTCACAGAACCTTTTTAGGTTAACCCTTCTCCCACCATCAGCCCATGCAACCCCTGATTTTTCTTTTTATATGTGATTTAGAATAATTTATATTGATTTATTGTCTAATTAACAGATTATTTCCTCATTTGCATCAGGTCCACTGAAGAGCCAAAGGCATTCTTTATCTCTATTACTGTCTCATATCTAGTGCTTCCATTTTGCTTCATTTCTATACTTCCCATCTCTCTGCTGAAAGCTCACATCTCATCTTGCATGTCATCCAAATTTAATATATTACACATTGTTATTTTAGATTCTGTGTCAGATAGTTTCAGTGTCTGTGACATACCTAACAATCACTGGGTTGACTGTTTTATTTCTTGGCAGTGTGTTTATTCTTCTTGCATTCTGTATTGTGAAAGTAAGTAATTCTAAATTTAAGCTGCTTGGAAATTTAAAATATTCTGAGCCTAAAAGGTGCCAGGGAAGACCTCTTTTCATTATTGATCTTCATTATAGATCTTCATTATAACTTTCTCCTTACCTTTCTTACATAAAGGCTTCATGATTATCACATTGCCTACAACGGAATGTTAAATACACTCATTTAAATTGGAAAGGAAATGAAAATAAGCTGTAAAGAAAACAAGCTGTAGAGAAAAGAAAACAAGCTCTAATTAATTAAATTGTAACTCATTGACCAGCCTTGGATAGAATTTCTTTTTTTCTGCCTATAGAAGCAAGACCTTAACTTTTAATTTCAGAGCACTAACCTATTTCTCTGAAGTCCATGTTTCCAGGATGGCCATAATCAGCTTTTTACCTGAATAAACTCTTTAAAACTGGATTCTGATCCTTTTGATTATTTTAGTTAGTCAGTATGCATCTCTTTTTTATTTAAAATGGCCAGTTGTGTATTATAGTGTAAGTACAGTAGACCCCTGAACAACATGGGTTTGAACATCATGGGTCCACTTATACTCAGATTTTCCTCTACCTCTGCTACCCCAAGACAACAAAACCAATCCCTCCTCTTCCTCTTCCTCCTCAGTTTCTTCAACATGAAGACGACAAAGATGAAGACCTTTATGATGATCCATTACCACTTAATAAATAGTAAATATATTTTCTCTTCTTTATGATTTTCTTAATAACATTGTCTTTTCTCTAGCATACTTTATTATACGAATACACTATATAATACATATAACATATATGTATTAGTTTATGTTATCAGTTAAGTCTTTCTGACAACAGTGGGCTATTAGTAATTTAGTTTTGGTGAAGTCAATGTTCAAGGGTCAATTGTACAGGCTCAGGTAAATAGGTTTTACACCTGGAAATGAGCACTCTTTTCCTTCTGTTAGGCCTTTAGTGTGGGGATTGTGTTAATCTAGTCAGAGGTTAGTCTGAGTTTAAGGTTTGTAGCTATGGTTACAACCCTCAGTGAACCTGTGATATTGTGATTTATAATACAAAATATATATTCGCTTTTTGTTCTTGTTTCCTGTTACACATCTCCTGAAGCACTTGGAATCTTCAAAGTGATGACTGGTGGCTTGTGGGTTCCTGGATAGCCCCAAGATGGGGGAAACTGGTTGCTGTGAGAATGAACCCTGTGATTACAAAGTTGTAATTTTCAACCCCATCCCCTGATCTCCAGGGAGAGGAGAGGAACTAAAGGTTGAGTAAATCATCAATAGTCAGTGATTCCATCAATCATGTCTACACAAAAAAGCCTCCATAAAAAAACAAAAGGACAGGGTTGAGAGAGCTTCTAGGTTGCTGAACACATGGAGGTTCTGGAAGGATGGTGCAGCCAGAGAAGACGTGGAAGCTCCACACCCGTCTTCTCATACCTTACACTCTGCATCTCTTCCATTTGGCTGTGCATCTTTATCCTTTGTAAAATGCTTTACAATAAATGAGCAAACATACGTGTTTCCTTGAGTTTTATAAGCCACTCTAGCAAATTAACCTGAGGAGGGGGATGCAGTAGTCTCTGATTTATGGCCAGTTAGTTAGAAGAACAGATCACAACCTGGGACTTGTGACTGGCATCTAAAGTGGGTGCAGTCTTGCAAGACTGAGCTCTGTGAGATCTGACATTATCCAGGTAGATCATGTCACAATTGAGTTAATACCAAGGTGGTATCTGCCAGAGAATTGCTGGGTTTATGGGGAAAAATTTCCACACATTTGGAGTCAAAAGCGTTCTGGAAGTATCGAGAATGATGAGTGGTGTGTGAAAATGGAAAAAAAACACTGTTTTATTTTCCTATTCTCACAGAACCATATACTTTAAATTTCTCTAGCAGTAACGTAAGAGTAAGAGCTGGTTTCCTAGAGGGTTTTCTCAGATCTTCTTCACCATCAGTTTTAAGTCTTCTCTTTATATTATGCCTTAGAGTGGCTGTGTTTTCAAATTCTTGTCTCACTCTCAGCAGTATTGCAGTCTTACATGTTACATGACCTTCTTAATCTGATTGTGCAGGACATGTAGAGAGTGTTTTGTTTTGTTCTAATTAAGAACAAAATAAAATGTCTTAGAACGGCACCGTGTCCCTGGGTTTTGGGGGTGTGGTCTTCTCAATGCTCCCACCTCACTCCCAACTGTGGTTTGGGGCCAAGTCGGAATTCCTGCCTCCTTTACCAGTGGCAGCATGTTTTTTTCTGTTCTTCAACCCCCATCTTCAATGGGTTGTCACCATGCTTCTGAGTAGATTAAACTCTTATTCTGTGAGGGACACAGGGGGCAGGAGTCCAGGTGAAATTTTGCACGATCACACAGTGGCTGTTGTTCCCTTCCTCCAGGCTTGCACTGTCAGAGATGCTTTATCAGAACTCTTGCCAGCCTTTATCGGTACCTGCTGGGATCCCTGGAGAAGAATATGCAAGGGAATAAGATTGTTCCTCTCCCTGTGACCTCCAGGGGCTTCATAATATTTTACCAACCCACATTTATGCTGCGCCAATTTGTTACCTGTTTTAGCTGAATTATTCTTTCTGGTATCTTCTCATAACATCTACCCAAAGAAAGTAGATGCTTGGGTCCGTCTATCCCTGCAGATGCCTGACTCTTTTTATATTTTATCCTTATTAGCCACCCTACAAGCTCAGCTCTCTGATGGGTTCAAGAAAAGCCATGAACTCATAGTTTGTTCATTTCTTTTTGCTCTAGAGGGTGTGTGTGATAACATTTCCAGCTTTCTACATTCCAAAGCAGAAACCAGAAGTCTGGATTTTTAAAAGCATTTCAGTTCATTTTAATGTGCATCCAATTTTGAAAACCATGGCCTTTTAGGAATAATCTTTGAAGGCAACGATATTCCTCAAGTCAGAAAATGTGTGCCTTGCCTTTTGCTGTTCATGTTATATTACTCAAAATATAAACAGGAGATCCTACTTTTAGTAGATTAATTAATGACACTAAGTTAATTTGCTTCTCAGTGTTTTCTTCCCATTTTACCTGTTTGGTTCAGGACCTTTTATGAGGCTATTAGCTTGATTTTATCACATTGACATTCCTGTATTTATTGCCAAACTAAGTGTATAGGTTTCTAGCTCCAAAACAAACAAACCAACACACAAAAGACAAAGAAAGGGAAAGATGAAGAAAAGATAATAACTGAAATGTACTCATACATTTTTCAAACCAGAGAATGATCAAACAAAAATAAATTAGTGGAAACTGAAGAAACAAATGAGAAGGGAATGAGTAGCACATATATTCTGTAATCAGCTTGTCATATACACATTTGAAGAAAGAATATGTCAGGTATATATTTTTCCAAGTCAATATACGAGACGTAAAATGAGAAATGGCCAACTTCATAAAATTACACATTTCTTTTCCATTATAAGAATACTGGAATAAAAATTAAAAGTTAGAATTACCTTATTTAAAACAAAAAAAAAACCAGAGATTCAAAATGAATGATCACTTAAAATACTCCTTATATTGTTCTACACTGTGTTTTACAAATAGAACTTCCAGTGTTAGTGATTCTTATTTCTTTGAAAATTGAGACCTAGGCCGAGCATGGTGGCTCATGCCTGTAATCCCAGCAGTTTGGGAGGCCAAGGCAGGAAGATGGTTTGAGGTCAAGAGTTCAAGACCAGCTTGGCCAACATGGCAAAACCCTATCTCTACTAAAAAATACAAAAATTAGCTGGGTATGGTGGCACGCACCTGTAATCCCAGCTACTCGGGATGCTGAGGCAGGAGAATCGCTTGAACCCGGGAGGCAGAGGTTGCAGTGAGCCAAGATAACACCACTGCACTCCAGCCTGGGCGAAAGAGCAAGACTCCGTCTCAACAAAAAAAAAAAAAAAAGAAAAAGGAAAAGAAAATTGAGACCTTTTAGTTAATTTCCTATAGAAATTATTTTTGAGAAATTACTAAAATTTCCCTTATTATTCTCCTTTCAGTATTTATATTAGTATATTAAAGGTACTATTTCTTAATACACTAACATTCTCAGTTTTAGAAACTTCACTTCCCAGATTCTTCTATCTTCACATATCTAATGTGAACTCAGAAAATTATCTGACAAACATCTAACCAGTATTGTAGGAGCATCTAAAGACACTAAAGAAGAATTACAAAACAAAAATCATAAGGATTTTTCTGACTTTTGATTCATTTTGCTTCTACCTCTATTCCTTTTCAATATAACACAGAAACACACACACACACACACAAATGCACACACACACACAGATGGCTACACACATTTATTTACAGATAACTGATTTATATCCCTGGAAGTATTTAAACATGAAATGTAACCTCTAATTTTATATACAGTACACTTTCTTCCTCCTGGATACTATTCTATTTCATATTCCAGATACACACCTAATCATGGTTGTATATGGAAAATTCATAACAAAGGGGAAGTATTAAAAATTCTGAAACATGTTTCTTTAATTCCAATTTCAACAAACCTCCATTTTCACCTAGCTGTCTAGTCATATGCTTACTATTTCAAAATTGGGCAATTGCTATAAAGTGTAATCTAGGCTGACTTAATACCAGGAGTCATTGATGTTGTGAACACAGCTTAAAATAACCTCCCAATTTAACAAAACACTGCTTAAATTACATGCGTTAAAAGTAGTACCTTTGGTAGGCTCATGCTTTAACTGATATCAACAATTGCCCGAGAATGTGGAAGTCAGTGAACCAAAAAAGGAGCATTGCCAATTAATGCTTTTACAATCTGTGAGCAATTTGGAAACAGGTCTCCAAATGTAGACAAGAACACTAAAAACATTCAAGAAACTGCTGATGAACAAACCCTGGGGTGTATAGCTACAGTTGGGAATTTACCATCATTGTCTGGTCACACTAGGTCCTCTCAGCCACAGAGAATTGAGGGATCATGTGAAAATATATACATTTTATTTTTGTTGATTAAAATTTTACTAGTTTGTATTAAGGTGGATTTATTAGGTGAAAATAAATAAAAATATATTTATCCAAAAGATGTATACATGAACACACATAGTTCTCTTTCTTTGTGTAAGCCAGTCAGTTGCATCTGGCTGACTGCATTCTAGAAATCAGAGTGCACCCAAAAGTTCACAGGCCTCCACAGAAGTAGGGGTTAAAAAGGCAATTCAATCTAGCTTCAAGTTGGCAGAGTCACATCAGTCCAAAGTTCTCTCAGTGATCCACATAAGTGAGAGATTGTAATAATACTGAGCTATGAACAAAGGTAGGAAGAATACAGAGAATAATTTTCTGTAGCCCACTTATACTGGTTCCAGATAACCACTGTGCACTTCTTCCTGACTGCATTGGGAGCTTGAATTCAGCTATGAAAGGAAGAATTTAGAACATGAAAAATAACAAATCAGGTTTGTTTATTTGTTTCTCCCAGAGAGCTAGTTTATTAGCATGTTTTTAGAATGTATGTTTACAATAAAAAATGACATGAATGTCAGTCAGTAAAACTTTTAGAGACATGCTGTGCATTTGTGTTCCAATTTTGGAGAAGCTTATGCTATGAAAAACTCAAGCCCCTTACTGAAGAAGAAATGCACTAGAAGGTCTATTTAAGGTGATATCCACAGACCAAAGCTTATTCTTATTTGCCCAGTATAACACAGTTTCTATTGATGAAGGTGCTCTATAAAATAGCTATATTTGCTAATTAACAGGTTGGCAACAATTTGCAATAAGAAGTAGAAAAGTACCTGAAATGATAGTGAAATTCAGTCCTTTTTAATTATCTTTTTTTCTACATCCTGAAGCACATTTTCTCCTTTCAAAATAAATGCGCTGCTCTTTGCCTGGAAGTACCAAACTATAAACCTGAAGGCCAGAAAATTTGTGGTTCAGATGAGAAAGTCTGGAAAAGCTGCCTAAGTGAACACTGTGTATTTTCTTTGCATGTGATGATAGAAACTTCATGTTTATCCTCCGATTTTCACTTTCTAGGCCAACACAATCTTGCAGTCTCTATTTTTCTTGATTCTTGTCCTGAATTAACCTCAAGGTGACTAAAGAAATCTTGGAATCTTATTATTGGAGTTATGCGTAATGTTCAGAACTAGGAAATATTCTGGTAACATTTGTGAGAGTTACCTTGATTTCAAGCTTTCCATTAATGTATCAGATGCGATACTAGAAAATGAATTCAGCCATTACAAAAACCTGCTGGAAAAAGTCAACTTTAATCTTAGAGAAAATCACTAGTGTTTCAACCACGCAGCAGCTGAAGTTAAAAGTGCACTGGAAATAAGAGACATCAGAGTTTCGTTTCAAGGACTCTGGAAATTTTTAGTATCCAGATAATAATCCACATTTTTAATATTTAGAATGTTAAAATTGATCAAAATTCAATTAGATGCTTTGAGTTTAGTAAGGCCGTAAACAAATAAAAATCATCAAAAACAAAAAACCAGAAAGCTTTTAGATGTTTAAAGTTTGTCCTTAAGGTGTAATTAGCAATGTTATTTATTAAATATTATGGCACAATTTTTCAAAGCAAATCATTCAGAATATTATTTTACACACTCTAAATCTTTGCTACACCTGAAGTTATGATATGAAAACAACACTAATAACACTTATGTATACCATACACATATTTTAGATAAATCATAAAGTGATGAATTACACTTTTGATTCCTACTATTAAACACATATATTAAAGTACTAGAAATGAAATAAATTGTTAACTTTGTAAATGTATGTGTAAAGTTTTTAGTTTTTGTAATTTTAAAAAATATATAATATTTCAAGTCAATTACTACACTTGAGCATGCTGTATATAACAGGAGTAGAGAAAGACAAAGGAGGGCTCCATCGTACACCCACAATGTATAACAGTGCATCTCTTACTCCTTAAAATCCCTATTTGTTGATGCCCAAATTTGGAAAAAAGTCTATGCAAAGTTTAAAAAAAATTCAATGAACTCCACTAGTGAACCAATATCCCCACTGAACCATTCTAGATGTCCACATGCCTAGTTGTCGCAGACATACCTGAGTCCAGAAATGCTAGAAGCTGCAAGAATTCTAGTCTGGGCATTGATAAAGAAAAGACTGCAAAAATATATTGTGGATTCCCTAGGGCCTACCTTTGAATGGACTTAGCCACAGACAAAGCTCTAGGTTCCTCTTTTAGCTTTTCCATATTGACTCCTGGGTTAGGGATAGTGAAAACTTACATCATAGAACTTATTTTAGAGAAGTAAAATTAGCAAAATTGGTGGAGTAAGACCTCTGAACATTCTCTCCTTTGTAAAAGCTTTGAGCAACTGGCAAAAAATAGCTTTGTCAGAAATCTGGAAATTAACCAAAGACTTGCAGTAATCTGGAGAGTATTTGGTGAGAAATATGGTTTAATCTCAATAAAAAGAGCAAGCTTTGTGACATTTTAACTTGCCCTATTTTCACCCCACTCTCCAGATCCATGGTTGCCTCAAAAATCAATAGCCCACAATTGCAATGAACACCAGCAGTCACGCAGCCCTCAGAGGAGGCAGAATGGGATTGGAGATCTGTCAAAGCCTCATTCTCAAAGGACTGTGGTACATTGGAAGATCTGATTTGCAATGTTGGGTTTATTTGATCTGTCTATGAACTCAGTCACAAAAAGACAAAAATAGCACAATTCCAAATCTATAGTAGTCAAACCATACTACTATGAATCTATCTAAAGTAGCGAAATTCATAGAAAGTAGTCAAATTCGTAGAAACAAGGTATATAATAGTGTATCAAGGGCTGGTGGCATGAGGAAAAGGGAAGTTGTTTAATTGGTATAGAATTTCAGATTTTCAAGATGACAAGTTCTGAAGACTTGTTTTATAACAATGTGAATATCCTTAACACTATTGAAATATATACTTAAAATGGTTAACATGGTAAATTTTATGTAATGTGTTTTTTCCCACAATAAGAAAAAAATAGGAAAAACTAATACCAGCTGGCTTTTTTTTTTTTGCAAAAATTAACAAGGTGATCCTTAAGAAAATGTGAAATAAAAAGAGACTCCAAAAAATCAAAACAATATTGATAAAGAACAAAGAGAACATACATATCCTGATTTCAAAACTTACTATGAGACTTTTGTAGTAAAGATAGTGTGATACTGGCATAAAGACAGCCATACACATCAATCAAATAGAAATAAGGGTCCAGAAATGAACCCCTATTTTTATTGGCAGCTGACTTCAACAATAGTGCTGAGACAATTCAATGTAGAAGGAAGAGTCTTTTCAATAACTACTACTGAGACAACGGGATATTCACATGCCAAAGAATGAAGTTGTATATCAATCTCATCCCTGTATAAAAATTAACCCAAAATGAATTAATGAATAAAAAAACCTAAAACTATAAAAATCTTAAAAGAAAACAGATATGTAAATCTTTGTGACCTTGGATTAGCTAATAGTATTTTAGATATGACACTTAAAACACAGAAACAAAAGAAAAAAAGAGACAAATTGGACTTCTTCAAAACTAAAAACCTTTAAGCATAAAAGGACACTATTGAGAAATTGAAAAACCAATCCACAGAATGGGGAAAAACATTTGCAAATATATATATATATATTTTTCATGTTATTCATGTTTTTTCCTCTCCCCAAGTGAGAAATATTAATTCCTTCATTAAAATTTTTGATCCTTTTTATCGACTATATGTCAATATAAATAATATGTCAATAAAAATGGTTCTATCAAGAACAATTAATTCTGTAATCCCAGCACTTTGGGAGGCCGAGGCAGGTGGATCACGAGGTCAGGAGATCGAGACCTGACCGACATGGTGAAACCACATCTCTACTAAAAATACAAAAATTAGCCGAGCATGGTGGCATGCACCTGTAGTCCCAGCTACTCAGGACCTAAGGCAGGAGAATCGCTTGAACCTGGGAGGCGGAAGTTGCAGTGAGCCGAGATTGTGCCCCTGCACTCCAGCCTAGGTGACAGAGTAAGACTGTCTCAAAAAAAAAAAAAATTAATTCACAGAAGAAGGGAAGAAGTTCATATATTTCATATACTATGAAATTCACCCATTTAAAGCATGCAATGCAATATTTTTAGTACATTCACAGAATTGTGGAACCATAACAAAACTCTAATTTTAGAAAGTTTTTATTTTTCCTAAAAGAAACACTTGTATTTATTATCAGTTATTCCTCAACTGCCCATCCAATTTACCCAACCCTAGTAATCTACTTTCTGTCTTTTTTCCTGAATATATATATGTATATATACTTGACAAGAGTTTAGTATAGAGAACATATAAATAACAAATCAATAAAAAAATTAATCCAATTTTAAAATGAGTAAATGATTTGAACAGACATTTCTACAAAGAAATATACAAAGGGACAATAAGCACATGAAATACACTCAACATCATTAGTCATTAGGGAAATGCAAATTCACACCACAATGAGATTCCAATTGACCCTCACTGGGTTGGCTGTAATTTTTTAAAAAGAAAAACAAGAAGTTTTGTTAGCGACACGGAGAAATTGGGACTCACACATTGCTGGTTCCTACAACATTGGAAAAATAAGGCAGTTGCTTTGGAAAATAGTTTGGCAGTTCCTCTGAAAGTTAAACACAGTTATCACATGATCCAGCAATTCCACCTTAAGGTATTTACCCGAGAACTGGAAACATATGTTCACACACAAAAAAATATGCAAATGTTCACAGTAGCATTATTCATAAGAGCCTAAAAGTGGAAACAACCCAAATGTCCATCAACTGATATATGGATAAATAAACTATGGTATATTCGTACAATGGAATAATATTCAGCCACAGAAAGAATGAAGTACTGAAACATGCTACAATGTGAATGAACGTTGAAAATTTCAATTAAGTGAAAGGAGCCCATCACAAAAGCCATGTAGTATATTAGTCCATTTATATAAAATTCCCAGAATAGAGGAATCAGGAAAAAAGACAAAAAGTAGATTAGTAGCGTTGGGTAAGTTGGGTAAGGAGTTGGGGAATGACTGATAATGGATACAAGTGCTTCTTTTAGGAAAAATGAAAATTTTCTAAAATTAGAGTTTTGTTATGGTTCCACAATTCTGTGAATATACTAAAAATCATTGAGTTGCATGCTTTAAATGGGTGAATTTTATAGTATATGAAATATATGAACTTATTCCCTTCTTCCATGAATTAATCATCTTTGATAGAACCATTTTTACTGACATATTGTATATATTGAAATATAGTCAGTAAAAATGATCAAAAATTTTAATGAAGAAACTAGTATTTCTCAAGTGGGGAGAGGAAAAAACATGAATAAGAAACAGAAAAGAAGTTGTTAGAAAGAATTGCAAAACTTAGCCTAAAGAAGAATAAGAATGAGAATCCATAGCTGACCCTAATATTTTGGTTGAACAAGTTATTCGAGGTCAGATATGAATCTCTCACTATTTTCAGGAGATAAATTTAGCTTTTGTAATCCCTTTTCCAAAAATTGGTTCTGCAATTTATCAATATTGATCTCCTTTGGCAGCCTGGAGTGAAGAACATGGAAAATCAGGAAAGCTGTCTAATCAAATACCAAAATGTACTGCAAGACTGAAATAGTTAAAACACTATGGTTTTGGTCAACATGGTGATCAATGAAAATAATAGAAAGAATGGACCTATGCATTTATGCTATTCCAACTCATGATAAAAAATTATAAGTAAATCGGCCGGGCGCGGTGGCTCACACCTGTAATCCCAGCACTTTGGGAGGCGAGGCGGGCGGATCACGAGGTCCAGCAGATTGAGACCATCCTGGCTAACACTGTGAAACCCCATCTCTATTAAAAATACGAAAAAAAAAAATGGCCCGACGCGGTGGCTCACGCCTGTAATCCCAGCACTTTGGGAGGCCGAGGCGGTGCGGATTACGAGGTCAGGAGATCGTAGCCATCCTGATTAACACGGTGAAACCCCGTCTCTACTAAAAATACAAAAAGAAATTAGCCGGGCGTGGTGGCGGGCGTCTGTAGTCCCAGCTACTCCGGAGGCTGGGACGGGAGAATGGCGTGAACCCGGGAGGCGGAGCTTGCAATGAGCCGAGATCGCGCCACTGCACTCCAGCCTGGGCGACAAAGCAAGACTCCGTCTCAAAAAAAATAAATAAATAAAAATAAAAATAAATTTAAAAAATAAATAATTAGCAGAGCATGGTGGCGGGTGGAGCCTATAGTCCCAGCTACTCCGAAGGCCGAGGCAGGAGAATGGCGTGAACCGGGAGGCGGAGCTTGCAGTGAGCCAAGACAGAGCGAGACTCCATCTCGGAAAAAAAAAAGAAAAAAAATTATAAGTAAATTAATCAATAAAGGATAAACTATTATATAAAGAGATTAGGACAATTGGCTCTTCATTAAAAGAGAAAGTATGTTTGATTTCTACCTTAGAGAAACACAAAAGTAATTCTAGCTGGCTTAGTAATAAAAATGTTTTTTTAAAAAAACTTGTTAAATTTAAATTTGCCTATTTCTGCATCACTCTGAGAAGTAGCTCTGGGAAGAAGGTAATCAGAAGATTTATGAAGATTTCCTCCTACTCCATACTTTTTCATAGGCCCTGAAACACACATTTCTAGTGAAGACTTACATGAATAGATCAAGGCCCTTGGGTTCATTCAAAACAATTAATTCATAGAAGATTTCAAAATTTAGAAGTTAAGATACATAATATGCTAGAGTGTTTCTTACAGAACTTAATATTAATATTAATATATACTAATCTGTAATTTAAATAATACTTTAGACTTTTCCAAAAAAAATAGTCTTTGCAAGGAATGTAACTCTCTCCTGAGCTTTTGCATAAGCGTCAATCTACATGGCTTTTTTAAAACTTTTATGTTAGGTTCAGGGGTACATGAGGAGGTTTGTTATGTAGGTAAATTGCATATCATGAGGGTTTAGTATACAAATTATTTCATCAGCAAGGTAATAAGCTTAGTAATCAATAGGGAACTTTATATGATTTGGCTCTGTGTCCCCACCCAAATCTCACCTCTAATTGTAATCCCCACCAGTTAAGGCAGGGACCTGGTGGCAGGTGATTGGCCCTGGTGGCAGTTTTCCCCATGCTGTTCTCATGATAGTTGTAGGGGTGTGGCCTTATTCTGGACATAGGAATGGACAAAGATTTTATGACGAAGACATCAAAAGCAATTGCTACAAAAGCAAAAATTGACAAATGGGATTTAATTACAGTAAAGAGCTTCGACACAGCAAAAGAAACTATCATCAGAGTGAATAGACAACCGACAGAATGGGAGAACAATTTTGCAATCTATTTATCTGACAAAGGTCTAATATCCAGAGTCTATAAGAAACTTAAACAAATTTACAAGAAAAAAATCATTAAAAAGTGGGCAAAGGACATGAACAGACACTTCCCAAAAGACATTCATGTGGCCAGCAAACACATAAAGAAAAGCTCAAAATCACTGATCATTAGAGAAACGCAAATCAAAACCACAAGATACCATCTCATGCCAATCAGAATGGTGATTATTAAAAAGTCAAGAAACTGCAGATACTGGAGAGGTTGAGGATAAAAAGGAATGCTTTGACACTGTTGGGAGTATAAATTAGTTCAATCATTGTAGAAGACAGTGTGGTGATTCCTCAAAGATCTAGAGGCAGAAGTACCATTTGACCTAGCAATCTCATTACTGGGTATATACCCAAAGGAATGTGAATTATTCTATTATAAAAACACATTCACTGTAGCAATATTCACAATAGCAAAGACATGAAATCAACCTAAATTTCCATCAATGGTAGACTGGATAAAGAAAATGTGGTACATATACATCATAGAATGCTATTCAGCCATAAAAAAGAATAAGATCACTTCCTGTGCAGCAACATGGATGGAGCTGGAGGCCATTTAGCAAACTATCGCACTAACAAAAAACCAAATCACGTATGTTCTTACTTATAAGTGGGAAGTAAATGATGAGAACACATGGACATAAAGAGGGGAACAACAGACACTGAGGTCTATCAGATGGTGGAGGTTGGGAGGAGAGAGAGGATCAGGAAAAATAACTAATGGGTACTAGGCTTAATATTTAGGTGATGAAATAATCTGTACAATAAACCCCCATGACACACGTTTACCCATATAACATACCTGCACGTGCATCCCTGAACTTAAAATAAAAGTTAAATAAATTTCAAAAGTTCTGTTTTTATCGATATATAATTCATATACCATAAAATTCACTATTTTAAACTGTACAAATCTGTGAATTTTAGTATATTTACAATATTGTGCAACCATCACCACCATTAATTTTAAAATGTTTCCACCAGCCAGTAAAGGAACTTCATACCAGTCAGTAGTCACTCAATTATCTCCTCACCCTGCCCCCTAGCATGTAACAACCACTAATCAAATTTCTGTCTCTACAGATTTGTCTATTCTGGACATTTCATATGAATGGAATAATACATTATGTGATATTTTGTGTCTGGCTTTTTTCACGTAGTGTAATACTTTCAGGTTCAACCATGTTTTAGCATGTGCCCATATTTCATTTCTTATTCTGGATCACAACTATTTTATTTCATTGTAATGAATACACATTTTGTTCATTCATTTATCAGTTTATGGACTTTTGAGTTATTTTTACTTTTTGGCTGTTATGAAAACATTTACTATGACAATTGCATAGAAGTTCTTGTTTGAATTTATGTTTTCAATTCTTTGGATATATGCCTAAGTGGGATTTTTCTGGGTCACATGGTAAATCCATGTTTAACATTTTGAGGAGCTGGCAAACTGTTTTTCAAAGCAGCTGCACCATTTTATGTTTCCACTAGCAATATATGAGGATTCCAATTTCTCCACATCCTCACTAGCACTTTTTATTTTCCTTTTTCTTTTTAATAGATATTAGTGGGTGTAAAGTGTTATAACATGGTTTTGGTTTACATTTTCCTAATGATTAGTGGCACTGACCATCATAATATGACCTTAACGTATTTTCAATATTTATATGATCTGTAATGATATTACTTTTTTCATATGTCAAATAGATACCTTGTGTTTTTCTCCCACTTTGCCATTATGAGTCTTGCTAGAGTGTTATCAACTTTTAAATCTTTTCAAAGAACACACTTTTAGCTTTCTCAATTTTCAGCTACGTATATTATACATATTTGCTTTAACTTTCATTATTTACTGCATTATCTTATTTCCTTTAGTTCAGTTTACTGATTTTATAGCTTCTTGAAATGTAAACCTAGGCCATTTATTTTTAAATTTTCCTATATTCTAATACAGGCATCATAGCTATAATTTTCCCCCAAAGCACTGATTCAACTACATCTTCTGCCCCAACTGATATATTGTATTAGCATTCAGTCAAAAATATTTTTTATTTCCATTTTGATTTTTGTTTTGACCCATGGGTTATCTGGAAGTTCACTGCTTAATCTAAATGTTTAGCTATTATCTAGTATTTTTCTGTTGTTTATTTCTAGTACATTTTCACTGTAGTCAGAAAACATACTGTATATGATTTAAATATTTGGAGACTTATTAAGACTTAAAGTTCCAAGTATAAATAGGTCTGCAAAAGATCTAGAAAGAGTGACACCTTTCCATTTCAAGGGTTGGACTTTTCTATTTTTGTTGTTGTTGTTGTTGTTGTTGTTCTTCACTGCTTTTGTAGCAGGACAAGCCTCAGACAAAACTCCTCAGACACCGAGTTAAAGAAGGAAGGGCTTTATTCGGCCGGGAGCTTCGGCAAGACTCACATCTCCAACAACTGAGCTCCCCGAGTGAGCAATTCTTGTCCCTTTTAAGGGCTCACAACTCTAAGGGGGTCTGCGTGAGAGGGTTGTGATCGATTGTGCAAGCAGGTGGTACATGACTGGGGGCTGCATTCACCGGTAATTAGAACAGAACTGAACAGGACAGGGATTTTCACAGTGCTTTTCTATACAATGTCTGTAATCTATAGATAACATAACCAATTAGGTCAGGGGTCAATCTTTAACTACCAGGCCCAGGGTGTGGCACCAGGCTGTCTGCTTGTGGATTTCATTTCTGCCTTTTAGTTTTTACTCCTTCTTTCTTTGGAGGCAGAAATTGGGCATAAGACAATATGAGGGGTGGACTCCTCCCTTACTTTTATATATATATTTTAATGAAAAATATTGCTTAAAAGTATAACCTTAAAGAAAACTGTTCATGAACTCTATGTATGAATATGTATATTACCATTATATAACAGGTATAATGTTTATATCACTTGGGAAAAATGAAGTTATTGAAAAGATGAATGCAGGTTATGCTCATTCAGCAATGTGATAAGCACATTTGACTTTTGGAAAGTAAGTGGAAATTTTTCCAACATGATGTAGCACTGCTTCAGATTCTGTCTCTGAGCTTCTTAGAGTTAAACACTGACAGTGAATTGGAATACGGATTTCTTATTGTACTTTGAAATTCCATTATTTTAAAATTCCATTTTTAAATGGAATTTTAGCCATTTAAATTCCATTATAGCCATCTCTTCACTCACAGAATGCATCTTCAGGCCCTCTGACTTGTCCGTCTTGTCAGCAGTTATTCTACTTGTTGATAACACACCACAACTTCAAATAACACAGAGCAATAAAGGGGTACAAGTAAAAGACAAAGTCATCCACACTCACTGGTTTTTATGTCTCTGAACAAGTTAACCAACACTCTAACCTTCAGATTCCTCATTTGGATGACAAAAATTTACATTGCAAAGACATCAAGTCTTCAAAGGAATACCTTAAGTAAAGTATGAAATAGATTGTCTTTCACTTGAGTAGTACTTACAAAACCTAAATTATTTTCTTTCTATCCATTCTGATATGTTTATATGTTAAACTGAGTTTATTTGTAGCTAAAGTGTACCCAAATGGGGCAAGCAATATTTAGAACTAATTTGCACATTCCAGATTAGGTTAGGTCCTGCTGCAATAACAAATGACACCAAAATCTCAAAGGCTTGAGATAATAAAGGTTATTTTTCTCTCTCACTACATGGTCAGCACAGATTGGCAAGGGGGATTTTGCTTAATGTATTTGCTCAAATCTAAGCTGATGGATATATGCTTCTAAATTTATACTGGCCATAGAAAAGAAATGTGGTGAATCATACGGGGGTTTTAAATTTCTTCTCGGAAATGACACACATCACTTGCGCCTACATTTTATTGCTAAAGTAAGTCACATGGCCACATCTAATATCAAAGGGTAGAGACAGAGAAGTGCACTTCTATAATGTGTCCAAAGGAGAAGGAGATTATAGGAGTATAAAATGTCATAATCACTTTGGAAAGCTGTTTGACAATTGCATAAAAAGTTGAATACACATCTACCCTTTGACACTGTCGTTACGTTCCAAGAGAATTGAAAATATATATCCACAAAAGTGCTGTTAAAGAATGTTCAACTAGATTTATTCATAATGGCCAAAATCAGCCTACATATCCATCAACAGGAAAATAGATAAACATGCTACCATATATTTATAAGATGAAAACTACTCACAATAAAAAGGAACAAACTACTTTTATATCCAACAATGTGGAGGACTATCAAAATATTTTGCTGGATGAAAGAAATCATGAAACAAACATTCTGTATAATCCATTTATATGCAGGTTTAGAATGGGCAAAACTAACACTTACACTAATACAAATAGTTCTAGCATCAAGGGTGGTATAAATTGGCCAGGAAGGAGCTTGATTGATAAAATTCCTCTGTGTCTTGAGTGAATGTATATATATGTATATATTTGTCAAAACTTACTGAACCATTCAGTCAATATTTGAGCATTTTACTCTATAGCAGTATCTTGATCTTTTAAATGAAAAATAACTTGGAGGACATTTCAGTCATATAATTTTTATAGCACTGTATTTGACTAACACTATTCATTAACCATTTCAGTACATTCAGGGCTCTTTTCAATTTTTAAGAGGAATTTTAATTTTTTAAAAAATTTTTGTGTGTACATGGTGTATATATTTATAGAATCTGCAAAATGTGCTAAAAAGGAATGAGATCTAGTCATTTGCAACAATATGGATGGAACTGGAGATCATTATGTTAAGTGAAATGAGCCAGGCACAGGAAGTTAAACATCGCATGACATTCATATTTTTAAGGTAATGTTTTACTTTACTCAAGAAGCATTGGAACACAAGTATACTGTAACAAACTGAATATTATCAAAAATATCAATGTTACTTTGATGCCATTCCAAGACAGTCACATTTTTATATGCCATGTCTTAAAGTCAATGAGTTTTAAGACTTTGGATAAGTTTGGTGAAATTTTAAAAATAAGAAAATTATATTGAAAAAAGAGCAGTGAATCACCTAGATCCTGACATCTGGTGGGCATTTCCATCCTGAATTTCACCAGTTACATAGCTATTTAACTATTTACCAGTATCACTTAAGACAAAGCTTGAGCTTGAGAGGACAGGTCTCGGTTCTTATCTGGATACACCATCTAACTAACTGTTGAACAAAATATAAAATTACCTTCAGCCGTTTTCTCACTTGCTAAACAATAATAACAGCATCTAGAATAGTGCCTGGCACATGATATGAAGCTAATAAATGTCAGTTTCATTCTTGCACATGGAGAACGGTGAATAAATGTGTTTTATTCCTCCTCCTTCCTCTCCTCCCTTTCTTCTTCCTCCCTCTATTCCTTATCTCCTCTATCTCCCTCCCTTCCCTATCCTCACTCTACTCCTCTTCCTGTCTCCTCTGTCTCCTCCTTTCCCTCCTCCTCTCTCTCCTCTCTCCCCTCCTCTCTTCTACCTCTGTTCCTTCACCTCTTCCTTTCTCTCCCCGCCTCCTTATATTTCTTTTCCCTCTCCTCCTCCCTCTCCTCATCTATTTTCTCCATCTCTCTCCTTCTCTTTCCTCCCTCTCCTCCTTTCTCTTCTCTCTCTCCTTCTTCACCCCCTCCTTCTCGCTCCTCCTTCACTTCCTCTTTCCTCCCTCACCTCCTCTCTCTTTGCTTCTTCCTCTCTCTCTCCATCTTCTCCTTTTCCTCTTCCTCCTCCTCCTCTGCCTCTTCCCCTCCTGTTCTTCTCCCTCTTATCTTGTTTCCCTTTGCTCTTCTCTTGTTTCTGCTCCTGGTCCCTCTTTTCTTATTTTTCTGGCCCTTTTTAAATACATACCCATGACAAGTAGTAGGGAGCCTTATTCATAAGACTTTGCAGACTGTCTTTTCTGATTGTCTTTAAATCTGTTACCTATGGTGTTTAGTATTAAAAATAGCAAAAAAAAGTAAAAATAATGAAAAATATATTTCTGTTACATAAATCAATTCTAAATAAATTTTAATCATTTAAATTTAAACCCAGAAGGCTTATTCAGATAGAGTTTGAATATTTTCTATAAATATGCAAGAATCTCAGATATTAACTTCTTGACTGAGGAAGAAACAAGAATCTCTGGACAGCTGCAAACACTACCATGGGGAAAATCTATCAGCTCCGACATATTGAATCTAATCTGACATACGCACTTGCTCTTTTTTTCATAGCAAATGAGAAAGTCAGGTTCTTGAGTAAATTTCCATTACAACTATCTTCTATTTTCAGTATTCTTTCAGGCTGTTTCATCTGAAGAAAATTACAACTGGGATCTAAGCCATTCTATGTATTTTTTCATGCACCTCCGTTTGGGATTTTTCTGATGTTGGCTCATGAGGAGAGCAAGGTTAGACATCTAGGGGAGCAATTTCACAAAAAGATACTGAGAGACAGGACTAGCTGGATTTCCTAGGCCGACTAAGAATCCCTAAGCCTAGCTGGGAAGGTGACCGCATCCACCTTTAAACACGGGGCTTGCAACTTAGCTCACACCCAACCAATCAGAGAGCTCACTAAAATGTTAATTAGGCAAAAACAGGAGGTAAAGAAATAGCCAATCATCTATTGCCTGAGAGCACAGCAGGAGGGACAAGGATTGGGATATAAACCCAGGCATTCGAGCCGGCAATGGCAACCCCCTTTGGGTCCCCTCCCCTTGTATGGGAGCTCTGTTTTCACTCTATTAAATCTTGCAACTGCACTCTTCTGGTCCATGTTTGTTACGGCTGGAGCTGAGCTTTCGCTCGCCCTCCACCACTGCTGTTTTGCGGCCGTGGCAGACTCGCCACTGACTTCCATTCTTCCGCATCCGGCAGGGTGTCCCCTGTGCTCCTGATCTAGCAAGGCACCCACTGCCATTCCGGATCGGGCTAAATTAGGCTCGCCATTGTTCCTGCATGGCTAAGTGCCTGGGTTCGTCCTAATCGAGCTGAACACTAGTCACTGGGTTCCACGGTTCTCTTCCGTGACCCACGGCTTCTAATAGAGCTATAACACTCACCCCATGGCCCAAGATTCCATTCCTTGGAATCCGTGAGGCCAAGAACCCCAGGTCAGAGAACACGAGGCTTGTCACCATCTTGGAAGCAGTCCACCGCCATCTTGGAAGCTGTGTGAGAAAGGACCCCCGGTAATGATGCTATGTTCTCATAATTCTATTAAGACACCCATGACTTTGAATTTTCCCATTATTGGAGTTCTTAACTTTGATCATTTGATTCAAGAGGGTACCTGCCAGGAAGTTTTACTCAGTGGTTGTTCTTTTGTCCATTATCAATAAGTATTTTGTGAGGAAATACTTAGAGACGTGTAAATATTTTGTTCCTCTTTAAATCTGCACCCACTTTTAGCATCCCCTGATATTTCTTGGCTGAATTTATTATTGTTACAATTGCTATCCAATTGTGATTTTCCTGCTTCTATTATTCTTCCACATTTGTTGACATTATATGAAGGAACACTATCTCTTCTTTGTTTCTTTCTTTATGCTAGTATAGACAGATGGATTATTTTATTTCATTGATTAAAATTTATTATTATGAATCGTTCATGAAATTGTCCCAAATTTGGTCAGTGGGAATCTCTTCAAGCTGGCTTTTGTGTCCTTTTGACATTGAGAGGAGGTGCCAGTGGGCTTCCTGGGTCTAGTAGGGGCTCAGAAAGCTGTGAAACTCACTCATTTCCTGCATCAGGACTTAACTTTGGTCCTGAATGAGTAATATTGAAGATAAGTGCTTAAAATATTCCTAACATCAGAATTTGTGCATGTGTTTTCTTCCGCAAGAAAGCTATAAACAGGGAAAATTTTGCTGCAAGCTTCCCTGTGTCCTCTCTCCCTCTCTCCCTTCCCCCTCCTCTGAAACTAAAAGGACTGCTAAAAGCCCATTTTTCTGTGACCAGCAGACCGTATCTACGCTCCCAATTCCAATTCTTTGTAAACACAATTTGTAAAATCCTGTGAGATCCTGTCTCCTTTGCCATGCCGCTGCAAGGTCATAAAGTAGATAAAACTTGAGTTACAATTCCGGTTTTCCTCAAGATCTGAGACGTGTTAATTGTCTTTGTTTCTCGCTCTGGTAGCATCTTCCTACCGCACGTATTTCCCGCCTTAAATAAAAGGTGATAGAAAAATCTAACACTGGTTACCTGCTCAGGACCCCTTCCACTCTGTGGAAGCTTTGTACTGTCACTCCGCTCAATAAAGCCTACAGCTGTTTTTCTCTCGGTCCGATCTGTGTCTCTCTCTCACCGCGGGCTGCCGCCACACCAAATCTTTGGCGTGGCTAAGGCGAGAACCTTTGGCATTACAACATGACCCTATCATTCTTTGATATCTCCATACTTTCTGATGCAAAATAATGGTCCAAGCTGCTTTCCCTTCTCCAGTTCTGGAAGCAGCCATTTATTTCCTCAAGGAGCCCTAGTTCCTTTAACGAAGAATGTTGGAGAGAAACCAGCATCTGCATGTTAGGCATGCTCATTATTATTTAAGAATTGTTATTCTCAGACAGTGTTGGGGAATATGTATTGTAAATGTACACACATTTTTAACCACATTTCCACATTGAAAACTGCCAGTTTAGATACAACTCAAATCCAATACCACAGGTTTTTTTGTTTTCGTTTTTTTTTTTTTTTTTTTTTTTTGAGATGGAGTCTTGCTCTTCTGCCCAGGCTGGAGTGCAGTGGTGCAATCTCTGCTCACTGCAAACTCCGCCTCCTGGATTCAAGCAATTCTTCTGCCTCAGTCTCCCGAGTAGCTGGAATTACAGGCGCCCACCACTATGCCCGGCTAATTTTTGTAATTTTAGTAGAGACAGGGTTTCATCATGTTGGCCATGATGAAAGTCCTGACGTCAGGTGATCTGCCGGCCTTGGCCCCCCAAAGTGCTGGGATTACAGGCGTGAGCCACCACGCTTGGCCTCAAGTTTCATATAATACTTTCCCTTTCCATAGTTGTAAGTTCCACCACTGAGAGTGAGAATTACAGCTGACATTATCCTAAATTAATTTTTTGTTTCAATCCTCCCAAATGCTATGAATCTACCATTGTCACCACTGTCCCTCTTCCCCAATGTCCCTCTTCTGACATGCCGAACCATTGCAAACACCACTGCCCTCCTCTCTTAGTGCTCTTCTCACCCTGCTCTGTCTCCAGCTCCCTGCACCAGGCTGAGGCCACCAGCACCCACAGTGCACCCTCCTCACACTGCTCCACACCCTGCTCTGATAATTATAACTCTCTCATTCAAAAATAAAAAAAAGCCAAGGGATTGCAAATCACTTATATTAGCTCAGGTCCTCCAAGAAGCAGGTGTTGAGAGTGGATAAAATATATATATAAGGATTTTATTCAAGGAAACATCCATGTGAGACAAAATAGGGAAGGGACCAGACAAGCCTGGGAGAACTGTCCAAGTACAAACAAGTCTAACTCCAAGTGGAAAAAAGAAGATGAGAGAGGTTGTGTGGAAGGAAAGTTTGGGAAAGAGTTCAGGGGTCCTCAAGCCAAAACAGGCTACCAGAAGTGTCTTATGACTCCCACAAATCTTTCTACTTCAGTATCCATCCCTGCCATGCTCAGTCATTGGATGAACAGCTCGTGGGAAGCATGGGGTGACTGCAAAAGAGTACGAAGCAGCCGAGGCCTCTTAGCAATTACACTCCCTGTAGTTGGAGGAGCGTCATCTACATTCCTGTGGCTGTCCAAAACTAATATTATTTTTCCCTGATTACAGGTGTTTAGTATCATAACTCAGAATAAAGTCAGCACCACATTAAAATAAACCTTCTTATGTAAATAACACTTAAGAGTATAACAAATAAGAAATGACTTGCCAAACCACTGGCCCTTTATTTTTTATCACAACTCAGAAACAAAGACAGCACCATATTAAGTTAAACCCTTTTCCCATAAAGAAGATTTTTATTTATCAAATTGCTAGACTGCCAGTCTGGTGTTACAAGATGCTGCTGAACATGGTAAATGAGCATAGATAATTTTTTTTTTTTAGCAAGTGTATCTCTTATTTGTGGCCCATAGCTTTTGAGAAAATTGATTTTTTATTTAGCATGTTTATGTTTCTTTATGATGTATCCAACTTTCTCAAATAAACAGGTATACCAAACAGGCAGATTGTTCACATTTTGGGAAATGCTAGATAAAAGTGTGGAAGTCATGGCAATAGAGAGCTATTTTACATTACAGAGCTTTATTGAGTAGTTGTAGACCTAACTCCTGCCCTTAGAGCTACAATTGAGCATTTTATACTCTCCTGGATATTACCTTTGAATTTAATCCTAACATTTTAGCATCAATTTGGGTGGAGGACATATGTTTAAGCTTCATAAACTCAGCTTAAATTTGGCGTAATGCTGAAAAGCCCTGTGGTCCCTAAATATGCAAAAATGTTGTACAGTGAATATAGCAAGAAATTTTAGATGTAGATATAAAACTAGACACCTTCAGCAAACAGATAAATATATGACAAAATAAGACACTTGTAATGGTTTTCTGAGGAAGTTTTGAAATCTAATTTTCACAAATATCTCTGAAATTTAGGTTAGATCTAAAGAAGTGGGAGAAATACACAGGAGGAAAGAATTAGAGAAGAAACAAAACATGATCCAAGCAGTATTAGTACGATAAAGGAGTTCAACTGTTTTAAAAACATTTATGGTTTACAGTTATTTAACATTTGACACATAATGTCAAATGCCTACTATGTGGCAGACACTGTCTTTACACGCGCTGTTCAGAATGGCAACCTCTAGTCACATGTATCTATGAAATACTTGAAATATGACTGGTTCACACGAGGATGTACTTGAAGTGTAAAATACACACCCAATTTCAAAGACATAGAATGAAAAAATCATACTAATAATTTACACTGATTATATGTTAAAATGATAATATTTTGGGTATAATTGGGTTAAATAAAATATATAATGAATACTAATTTAACCTACTTCTTTGTGCTTCCCTAATGTGGATACTAGATAATTTGAAATAACATAAATATAAATTTCATTATATTTCCACTGGGAAAAATTGTGACAAGAACTAATGCAGTAGATATTCATGATTTTGGTTAAATACATCTATCTTTTCATCTTCCTTGGTACCTGGTAGGATAGCACAGCCTCACTCACTTTGAAGTGAAACGTGGCCACCAGGAGGAGAAGTGTCACTTCCCTATAAAAGGGCTTTAAAAGCCAATGTGCTATTTAGTCCTAGCTGCTGTTACCACAGGAACAGATGTTGCAAAGAGGCCTCCATCTTCCTGGCTGCCAAATGACTAAGATTAGAGCCTTTCCACCTGGATTATGGGTATGTAGTTTGAGGCAGATATAAATTTGAATGAAAGTCTCTCCAAAAATGTCCAAAAGAAAATAATCAGCCACATACAAGCAAAAAGTAATTATTTTAAAATAATTGTATACCTTGTGCCAAGATCATGGTCTCCCACACCATGCTCCAATTTCTCTTTGAAGAAATGACTGATTCTAGGGCTGGTGCAGGATGCAGATCATCTTGTAGTATCAGAAAGTAAGAAAACGTGCAGAAGACAAAACAATGGTAATATGTCAAAAGGACACAGGAGCCAATTGAAAGAGCTCTGAATAGCCAAATTTGGAACAATTGGAGCAAAAAATAGAATAAAATAAAATAACATATTACTTCATTATATTTCTAAATATAAAACAAATATCCATGGGCCTATACTGATAAAAATAAATTATTGAAAAAATAAATAAGTTGGAGATAAAAGACAGATTTCCTCAACAGAAAAAATTTAAATCATTTATTTAGGCACTACTCTCTACCTGAGGAGGTGAAACTTAACTCCCCATCCCTTAAGTGTGGGCTTAGTGATTCATTTCCAAATAGCACAGTAGGGAGAGGCAAGTGGTAGGAACAGTTAATTTCACAGTGGAGAAGCCCAGGAAACACTATGTTTTCCAGGTGACCAATTTTAAAATCATCAGTGACAAGTCATGTAGATTAATATATAATGTTGAGAGTGGCACAAAATTTCTGTGGTTTTCTTCCCCAAACCATAACCCACTGATATGGTTTGGCTGTGTCCCCACCCAAATCTCATCTTGAATTGTAACTTCCACAGTTCCCATGTGTCATGGGAGGAACCAAGTAGGAGGTGATTGAATTATGGGAGCCGGTCTTTCCTGCACTGTTCCCATGATAGTGAATGAGTCTCATGAGATCTGATGGTTTTAAAAATAGGAGTTTCCCTGCACAAGCTCTCTCTTTGCCTGCAGCAATCCACAAAAGATGTGACTTGCTCTTCCTTGCCTTCTGTCATGATTGCGAGGCCTCCCCAGCCATGTGGAATTGTAAGTCCATTAAAACTCTTTTTCTTCCCAGTCTCAGGGATGTCTTTATCAACAGCATGAAAATGGACTAATACACCCACCTACCTGAGGAAAACATCAGACAAAACCGAATTGAGGAACATTGTACAAAATACCTGGCCAGTAGCCCCCCAAAGTGTAAAGGTCATGAATAAGCAAGGAAAGCCTGAAAAGGGGGCATAGCCCAGAGGAGCCTAAGGAGACACAACAGCTAAATGTAATCTACTGTCCTAGACAGGATCTGGAAACAGAAAAAGCCCATTAGAGAAAAGCTAATACAATTTAAATAAAGTTCAGTTAATAAGCAATATAGCAATACTAGTTCATGAGTTGTGACCGTATGCTATAGTAATAATGCCAGATGTTAATGAGGGAAACTGATTGTGGTGTGTATGGGAATTCTCTGTACTTTCTTTGAAAGTTTTCAGTAATTATAAAACTATTCTAAAATAAACATTTTATTTCAATTTTAAAAATATTGTAGCTACTTTAAAAATGTTCTTATTCCTTAATTGAGACATAGCTAAGCCAAGATTCAAGTCTTTCACTTTCTGAATAACCTCCTAGGAACTTTTCCTGACCTCAGAGTGCAGGTATGTCAATTAAAGAAGCTTTCTTCATAAAGACATGACAGGAGCCCTCACTCTTGTGAAATTTTTTGTGATCATATTGACATGGGTGGTTTTTATACTTAGATTTGAAAATCACTGAGATTCTGAGTTATAAGAAATAAGACTAAAATCAGTAAAAAGTAAACATATGAAATTATGTTTGTTACTCTTAGCCCTTCAGTTGGACTTATCCCTTCAGCTTTGAGTAGTCCTGCATCTCATCAAATCTGATTTCTACCTAGAAAAGTTAGTTTCAGTTTATGCCTCTGGGAACCAATTGGATGATGAAAATGGCTCCACTCAAAGGCATTAATTAGTATAAACACATATAGAGTGTGGAGGCCATGAATGGAAATTATGTTACAGGCTTAGTATTATATATACTTTTGAATCCACAGCCGTTATCCACTTGATGTTAGCCCAAAGGCTGAGAAGCAATTCCACAGCCATCCTCATGTACCAAATTCAAATTTCAATCTAATAACCTTTGAAAGGTGACCCACCATCTTTCCTTCTTCATCCAATTATCTTCTTCCTCTGACTATCTCTTTTTCTCAAATGTTGGTCTTTTTTCATATTTCTCCATGTCCTGGAAAGAAATCTGAAGACGGGAGGTACTCAAGGAAATAGGGTGCCAATAGCTGAGTGGAATGGGATGGGATGTGAAACCTACCCCTACCTCCTAATGTATTGCAGGGCCAGTTCATTGATGGCATTAACTCCGCTGTGTACTCACACAGCTGCAGAGTCATTGGAATGATACGTAGGCTCTATTGCTGCACATATTCAATTAGAATCCTTTATTAATGGACCAAGAATGGACAAGAAAATGGGGAAATTACTGTGCAAATTTTTTAATCCACCCTGTCCTCCTTCCCTTTCCCTTTCCTGATTAGTCTCAGAAATGTTTTCATTCTTTACATTTCCCCTCTCTTTAAAATCAATATCCCTTACTTTGTGTTTGATTCTACATTTATTTTCCTTTACAATATCATGCATAAATACACACACACACTTTTAAGTTGCAACTAATACTTTTTCCAGTGAAAGGCTTCTTTGTTTTACTATATACTAACCTCTGCATAAAATTTCTTTAAAAATGTTGTTTGATGCAGAGTTCTAGATGTCATAAGATTATTAAATATATATACTTTCTAAGGTGAGCATTCAGTGTTGGACTAAAATTTACAAAAATCATATAAGTGCTACTTGCTTCTAGGTAAGAGTTTTTAAATTAAAATCACCTTGTCAAATAGAGCTCTCTGCAGATATGTTAACAATGTCCATTTAGAAAATTACATGGGATTTCAATTATCATTATCATTATAAAGTTCCAAATGAAAAGTTAGATCTTTTTTAAAGCAAGTAACTAGAAAGAAAAACAAAACTGCTGACCATTTATCTAACATCCACTCTTTCTGATAAGGTTGAAGTGGTTCATCAGAAGTTCAGACCCAAGCCATTCTTCTTGGTTGTAAATAAGCAGAATATATTCCCTATAGATATTACTCAGACCTAAACTATGGTCTAAAGATTGTATGTCAGTAGTTTCTGCATTTGACTTTACAGTTACCCGCCCCTTTGCCATACATAAATGTTTCAGTCATCAATTATTTTCCAAATGTGTCACATATTTATGCTATTGGATTGTATATGATGGAACATACAGAGAATTGTAAGATATAATTTCCATCCTTCATGAGATTATAAATCATTTATTACACTACTATCTTATTTCAAAAACAAAAACTTCGCATCACAAATGTTAAGGCATGCAGGTAGATTTAAATAGTAAATTCTATAATGATGTTTATCATTGGTGCTCTTAACAATTCCCATCCACCTACATCCACCCAGAAGCATCACATTAAACAAAAGATACTGAGTAAATATTCAACATTGTGCATCAGCTATCCTAGTCTTTGATGCACTCCACTTTTAACCTAGAAGTGGTAATGAGAAGCAAGTCTGCTGGAGTGTGCCTGGTTCTGTCTCTTAGGAAGTTTTGTGAGCTCAAACACATTATTATTATTATTATTATTATTATTATTTTTTTTTTTTTTTTTTTTTTTTTTTTTTTGAGACGGAGTCTCGCTCTGTCACCCAGGCTGGAGTGCAGTGGGTGATCTCTGCTCACTGCAAGCTCCGCCTCCTGGGTTCACGCCATGCTCCTGCCTCAGCCTCCCGAGTAGCTGGGACTACAGGCGCCCACCACCACACCCGGCTAATTTTTTGTATTTTTAGTAGAGACGGGGTTTCATTGTGTTAGCCAGGATGGTCTCGATCTCCTGACCTCATGATCCACCCGCCTCAGCCTCCCAAAGTGCTGGGATTACAGGCATGAGCCACTATGCCCCACCAGACATTATTTAAACTTAAACTCACTCTGAAGCACATTTTGTCATATAGAAAATTATGTTAACAATAGAATTTATGCTATTGTTGTGAAGTTTTAAATAAACCAATAACAATATTTAGATTATAGTGTTTGGCATATAGTAAGCATCTAGTAAACATTAGCTATTATTGTTACTGACCCAGTCGTTAACTGGTTCTTTAGACTCAGGAACAACCCTGAGATGAGATACATCATGCTCCTATGGCCAGAATGTGCCTTAGCAATGTGCCTTAGCACAGCAACAAACAAACATTTATCACTATGTTCTAGTAAATGGAGATATATAAGTTCAGAGGAAGGACAAATTACTTTTTCAATCTAGGAAATTCTGATGTCTTCACAACACTACAGAATTTGCTACTTTCCCACAAAAACACATAATTATATTTAAATTATATTTATAATACTTGCTTCAATTATTCAAAATAGACTTCCTTCAGATACAGGTTAAAATGACAGTGTGCTATATTGGTCCATGATTCCTTTTATAGAAACAATTCTGACATATGAACCACTTTGATATCTTACAATTTGGCTGAAATTTAGTTTTGTCTTGTTCTTAATGTTAATAACTCGCTTTAAGACTGGGCACGGTGGCTCACGCCTATAATTCCAGCACTTTGGGAGGCCGAGGCAGGTGGATCACGAGGTCAGGAGTTCGAGACCAGCCTGACCAACATGGTGAAACCCTGTCTCTACTAAAAATACAAAAATTAGCCAGGTATGGTGGCGTGCGCCTGTAATCCCAGCTACTCAAGAGGCTGAGGCAGGAGAATCTCTTGAACCTGGGAAGCAGAGGTTGCAATGAGCTTAGATTGTGCCATTGCACTCCAGCCTGGGCAAAAATAAAAATAAATAAATAAGTAACTCGCTTTAAACATAACATTTAGTTAACTCTTTAAGAGCTTCATGATGGCATTTGGCTTTAAGAGCTTCATGATGGCATTTGGCTAAGGGCCACCTCAAATTCTGATCCAAAGAGAGGTGTCACAGAAGATGAGAAATCTGAACTGTAGGAATTCTTATCTTTTTAAGCAGAGGTATCATCAGCAAATCATGCATAAAAATATCAGAGTACTAGTCTATTTGTAAATAATTTAAGCTCATCCAACATCCAACATAAAGAAAAGCTGCACAGACAAGAATGCAGCCTTCTCAAATGAGACAGCAGTGGTTTGGCTTCAAGTGACAAGGATAATTTACATCAGTTTACAAATTAACTATCAGTATGACAAACATGAAGCCAGTCAGTATGTGACATGGGATATTATTAAATAACTGTCATCTTGTAATATATTTAGTTAATTTGTTTCAATTCATTAATTTTTAAATTAATCAGTTCTATACGTTCTTTTGAAAAAAAAATCTGGAAGGATTTTCCTAAAGCTCAACATTGCCCTCCTATGGATTAAAAGCCATCATATGGTATTTCCAATGTTTATAAAAGACATAGGAAAATTATACTTCTGTGGCATAGGTTTTAAAAGATGTAACTAGCTCTCAGAATTCTGAATAGCACTCACAACTGTCCCCAGTATCCCTAATATGACCATATCATATTTGATTTTCTCCTTCTATAGATCAGTTCTGCCCTGAAGACAGTTCACAACGTCAGACTACCCTTTGGTCTTGTGAGGCACAATCATTACAGAAAAATGAGCAACATCATGATGTGTCTGTAGTTATTTCATCGAGTCTGGCCGATACTTAACATTTCAAGGTACTTACTGGGCATTGTGTATTATCTAAGTTAAAAATTTACAAAGCCTGGTAGATATCTGGGAGTTATGTTGAGTTTAAAAATAAAGGAAATTTTCCATTCATTAAGAGAAGAATAAAAGTGTTTCTCAGTTTTATGGTCGAGGCTGCCAGATAGAAATAAGCCCCAAATTCTGCAAGGAATCCAGCTGGAGCCCCGGAAAGAGCTTGTGTTAAGTGATAGCCAAGCAGTTGGACAGAGTAGGAATAACTGGTGAGTCTGAAGATTCTACTTGTCCAGCTAGATTAAGCAGAAAGAAAATGGAAAGGAGTTGGGAAATTAATTTTTTAAGCTATTTGAGAATTTCACTGTACTTTTTGAAATGACCATATTAAGAAAATGTGTTTTGGCAAACGTGGTGAAAAATAAGTAATCCAATAGCAGTCATTTTCATACAATGTGTATAAAAAGAATATCCCTTAATCATTATAAAATAAATTGCAATTAAGTCTGGGGTAAGTTGTTTTAACCTCTCTGAGTCTCAGTTTCCTCATCTGAAAAACAGTATTATTATTACTATTTTGCAAGTTTGAGCATATGGATGAGAACTAACACAGGCAAAGTCCCTCACTTAGCATATCTTGAAAGAGAGTGGTGGCTCTACAAAGGGTGGATGACTGAAAAACAAGGCATAATTTTCAGTTTAGATTTTAGAGTCTGACATGCCCTTTCACATACATTACTTAATTTCATTTTTAAAAATATAGTACCATTATTGGGGTTCTTCTTCATATGGCATCCCTGGAGTCATCAAAGTAAAAATGAAAGAAATCAATCTAGCTTGGAAAATCTTAAGGAACTTAATAATTGTAGGAAACAAATTAAACATCTCGAGACCAACTTCCAAGAGCAGAAGCTTTCACCAAGATTTTCTGATAAAAATCCACATCCACAACTGAAGATAATTTCACTTGTCTCCCACTTTAGCTCCTTCTACTCACCATTTTAGAAATCTGCACTTAAAAATGGTTGAGATAGACATTTATAAGAGAAGCTGGAGAAGTGATTCTAAGAACTTCATTACAGGTCAAAGTGTTTGTTCTTAGGGATGTTTTCCAGAAATCTTAATCTTTCTCCTGTGGATTCTTAGTATGCTTGGATATGCAACTCCAGACTTTCTTTGGGCTTACCAGGTTTCAATCACCTTGACCCCAAATATATAGTTTATGTCATATCTATCCTCTTCAAGATACAGCACGTTTAGGCCATTCCAACACCAGCTTCAAGTGAAGATGGGGAAAGTACTTCAATTATTTAATTATGTTCCAATCACAGAAAGGAGACAAGCAAGTCTTCTGGGGCAGAAGTGAATGCAGCATGTTACCTGCAGCATTTACCATAGATAAATTAAAAATGTTATGGGTAGGATTAACTTTCTTAATGGACACTATCCAAGAAAATAGAATGTAAGCCAAACTATGAGGTGGTTTGATATAATGAAAGTTGATTTAATGAATCATAAGGCACCGTTCTAAGTCCTTCACATGAATTAACACATTTATTTTTGTTTTGTTTTGTTTTGTTCAACTGTTAAGTTCCAGGGTACATGTGTAAGATGTGCAGGTTTGTTACATAAGCAAATGTGTGCCATGGTGGTTTGCTGCACAGATCAACCCATCACCTAAGTATTAAGGCCAGCATCCATTAGCTATTCTTCCTGATGCTCTCCCTTCCCAGGGCCCCTGACAGGCACCAGTGTGTGTTGCTCCCGTCAATGTGTCCATGTCTTCTCATCATTCAGCTTCCACTAATAACTGAGAACATGCGGTGTTTGGTTTTCTGCTCCTGCATTTGTTTACTGAGGATAATGGCTTCCAGCTCAATCCACGTCCCTGCAAAGGACATAATCTTGTTTTTTGTTTTTTTGTTTTTATGGCTGCATAATATTCATGGTATAAATGTACCACATTTTCTTTATCCAATCTATCATTAATGGCCATTTGAGTTGATTCCATGTCTCTGCTATTGTGAATAGTGCTTCAGTGAACATACATGTACATGTATCTTCATAATGGAATGATTCATATTCCTTTGGGTATATACCCAGTAATGAGACTGCTGGGTCAAATGATAATTCTGCCTCTAGGTCTTTGAGGAATCGCCACACTGTCTTCCACAATGGGTGAACTAGTTTACACTTCCAACATGGCCTTCTTGACTTTTTAACAATCACCATTATGACTGATGGTATCTCATTGTGGTTTTGATTTGCATTTATCTAATGATCAGTGATATTGAGCTTTTTTTCATATGTTTATGGCCACATGAATGTCTTCTTTTGAGAAGTGTCTGTTCATGCCTTTTACCCACTTTTTAATGGGGTTGATTGTTTTATTCTTGTAAATTTGTTTAAGTCCCTTGTAGACTCTGGATATTAAATCTTTGTCAGATGGATAGATTGCAAAAGTTTTCCCCCATTCTGTAGGTTGTCTGTTCACCCTGATGACAGTTTCTTTTGCTGTGCAGAAGCCCTTTAGTTATTAGATCTTGTTTGTCAATTTTTGCTTATATTGCGATTATTTTTGGTGTTTTCTTCATGAAATCTTTGCCTGTGCCTATGTTTTGAATGGTGTTGCCTAGATTTTCTTCTAGGGTTTTTACAGTTTTGGGTTTTACATTTAAGTCTTGATCCATCTTGAGTTCATTTTTGTATAAGGTGTAAGAAGGGGTCAATTTTCAGTTTTCTGCATATGACTAGCCAGTTTTCCCAGCACCATTTATTAAATAGGGAATTCTTTTCCCATTGCTTGTTTTTGTCAGGTTTGTGGAAGAACAGATGGTTGCAGGTGTGCAGTCTCATTTTTGAGTTCCCTATTCTGTTCCATTGGTCCATGTGTTGGCTTTGGTACCATTACCATGCTGTTTTGGTTACTGTAGCTTTGTAGTATAGTTGGAAGTTAGGTAGCACGATGCCTCCAGCTTTGTTCTTTTTGCTCAGGATTATCTTGACTATACAGGCTCTCTTTTGGTTCCATATCAATTTTAAAATAGTTTTTTCTAATTCTATGGAGAATCTCCATGGTAGTTTATTAGGAATAACATTGAATCTATAAATTACTTTGGACAATATGGCCATTTTCATGATATTGATTCTAACCATGAGTTTGGAATATTTTCCCATTTGTTTGAGTCCTCTTTAATTTTGGGGGCAGTGGTTTGTAGTTCTCCTTGAAGATGTCCTTCACTTCCCACATAATCTGTATTCCTAGGAATTTTATTTTATTTGTAGCCATTGTTAGTAAGAGTTTATTCATGATTTGGCTCTCTGCTTGCCTATTGTTGGTATATATGAATGCTAGTGATTTTTGCACACTGATTTTTGCATCCTCAGACTTTGCTGAAGTTGCTTCTCAGCTTAAGAAGCTTTGGTGCTGAGAAGATGGGGTTTTCTAGATATAAGATCATGCCATCTGCAAATACAGATAATTTGACTTCCTCTCTTCCTATTTGAATACGCTTTCTTTCTTTCTCTTCCCTGATTGCTCTGGCCAGAACTTCCAATATTATGTTGAATAAGAGTGGTGAGAGAGGACATCTTTGTCTTCTGCCAGTTTTCAAGGGGAATGCTTCCAGATTTTCCCCATTCAGTATGATATTGGCTGTGGGTCTGTCATATATGGCCCTTATTATTTTAAGGTATGTTCCTTCAATACCTAGTTTATTGAGAGTTTTTAACACGAAGGAATGTTGAGTTTTATTGAATGCCTTTTCTGTGTATACTGAGATGATCATGTATTTTTTGTCTTTAGCTCTGTTAATGTGATGAATTTCATTTATTGATTTGTGTGTGCTGAGCTAACCTTGCATCCCGGGATGAAGCCAACTTGACCATAGTGAATAAGCTTTTTGATGTGCTGCTGGACTTGGTTTGCCAGTATTTTATTGAAGATTTTTGCATCAATATTCATCAGGGATATTGGCCTGAAGTTTTCTTTCTTTGTTGTTGTATCTCTGCCGGTATCAGGATGATGCTGGCCTCATAGAATGAGTTAAGGAGGAATCCCTCCTTTTTATTTGTTTGGAATAGTTTTAGTGGAAATGGTACTACCTCTTCTTCCTACCTCTGGTAGATTTGAGCTGTAAATTTGTATGGTCTTGAGCTTTTTTTGGTTGGTAGCCTATTTACTACTGCCTCAATTTCAGAACTCATTATTGGTCTATTCAGGGATTCAATTTCTTCCTGGTTCAACCTTGGGAGGGTGTATGTGTCCAGGAATTTATCGATTTCTTCTAGATTTTCTAGTTTTTGGGCATAGAGTTGTTTATAGTATTCTCTGATGGTTGTATTTCTCTGGTGTCAGTAGTGATGTCCCCCTTATCATTTCTGATTATGTCTATTTGATTCTTCTCTCTTTTCTTCTTTGTCTAGCTAGTTGTCTCTTTTATTAATTTTTTTCCATAAAACAGCCCTTAGAGTCATTCATCTTTTGAACAGTTTTTTATATCTCTCTCTCCTTCAGTTCCACTCTAATCTTGGTTATTTCTTGTCTTCTACTAGCCTTGTGGTTTGTTTGCTCTTGGTTCTCTAGTTCTTTTAGTTGAGATGTTATGTTGTTGATTTGAGATCTTTCTAGCTTTTGATGTGAGCATTTAATGCTGTAAATTTCTCTCTTAACACTGCTTTAGCTGTGTCCCAGAGATTCTGGCACATTGTCTCTTTGTCTCTTAGTTTCAAAGAACTTCCTTATTTCTGCCTTAATTTCATTATTTACCTAGAATTCATTCAAGCACAGGTTGTTTTCATGTAGTTGTGTGGTTTTGAGTGAGTTTCTTAATCTTGAGTTCTAATTTGTGTTGTTCTGCATTTTGCATTTGCTGAGGAGTATTTTGCTACAAATTATGTGACCAATTTTAGAGTAAGTGCCATGTACTGATGAGAAGAATGTATATTCTGTTGTTTTTGGTGGTCTGCTTTATCCAGACCTGAGTTCAGATCCTGAATATCTTTATTAATTTTATGTCTCAATAATCTATCTTATATTGTCAGTGGGGCGAAATCAGTACATTTAATCGTTACAGCAAACCTATGAAATATAAATGTAGTATTATCCGTATTTTACAAGTTAGAAAGCTGAAACCCACAGAGGACAGGTTCCTTAGTCAAGATTACACATTTCATAAGAGACTGAACCATATTAAAACCAAAAATGATCCCAATATTCAAATCAAAGTCATCTGGCTCTAGAACCTAGGCCCTTACTACTTCATGATAGTGCCTTTCCAAATTTTAAAAAATATGCAAGCATTTTTTTTCTCTTGACACACCACAAATTAATTGTCACTTTGCACTGGTTGGGAGACCTAGTAAGGTTTGTTAAATTCATCTCTCTATATAAGGTAAAGCTATAAGTCAATATAATTAGATTTGTAACTTATCAAGAAATGAGCCAATGAAAAATAACAACTTCTGCTTCGGGGAGAGAGGCTTGTGAAAACGGTTTTGTTTTTTATTTGTTTTGTCTGATGGGTAGAATCTGCATGAGAGCAAAATGGAAGCCCTGATCCTGATCGCAAACCAGAATTGCTGTAGACAGCCTTACATCATTCCAGATTAAATGCTGCCTGGAGACCCACATCTACTTTGTTATCCCTTTGATATATGAAAACGTATCCCTTTCCCACTGAGCCATGGCACTGGGGACACACTATCAGCACCTACAGAAATCAACACTTGTTCCAACAAAAAGAATGTCTCCACCCTAAAATTAACCTCTGCTAACATCAAAGTAGAAACAATAAGATCAGTATTCATCGTGCTTTTTTATTCATAACACCCAAATAGGCTTCTTTTCCTTTGCAGAAAATAGACTTCTTTCCCTAATGCATAAGTCCTATGCATTAAAATAAAGAGCAACATAGAAAATAGTAATTTACCTGACAAGGGGAAATGGTTGATTTTTACAATACTTCAAAGAATCACTCTTCAAAAACAAAGGAATGTCAGTCGTTTAGAGAATGTGAGCATAAATGCAATTAAACAAACTAGGAGCTCCCATAAGATTATCAGCCCTAAACACTAAGAAAATCTTTTCATCATAGTCTCCAAGATTCCTTCCATAGGTATATTTGAAAAATGTTAACAGAAAACTTCTTACCTTCAACAACACTTTTTGTAACTTCAATTTCACTTAAATCTATAATGTTGCAGAGAGCATTGTTTGGTTAAAACACACACACACACACACACACACACACAAATTTAAAACAAGTTAAATATCCCTGTGACACTGAACTTAACATAAAAAAACTATTTGAAAGCAGGTTCCATGTAAATGTTTTTTTGTTTCCTTTCTGTCCTCTGTCATTAAGGGAGATGAGAAGGCAAAATGGACCGAGTAGAGGCAGACAGGCCACAGTCATGGAGAAGGGGAGGTGTGTAGGAGTAAAAGGAAGGAAAATAAGGAAAAGGAAGGAGAGCAAGTGCATTGAGATGAAAACTGGGGGAGGATGTACAGTAATACATGGGAAGTGGAGTGAGGAAAAAAGAAAATCCTATTGAGGATTAGGAGATCATTTTAGGACTTATGTGAGCTGGAGTTGGTTAAATTTTCAAGCAATGGCATTGTGAGTTTCAAAGTTGCATATGTTGGCAGTTCAAAAGAAGAACCAGTTTTAAAGGAGGCCAGGAGGCCAGTTTTTTTAAGTACATCATCTGGTTATGAGGATATGATAGTTAAAAGGGAAAGCCAGCATTTCCAAAGAAGGATGTAGAAAGATACATGGTATAGAAATTCTGCCACCTACAAGGAAAATCTGGGGAAGAAATAATTTCTGGTTATGTTAATTAAGTCTGGTCTTGTTCTAAGGTTTTCCAGCTCATTTGCCTGGCTGCTGAAATGGTAATGTAAATAAGATATAATTATTGGTTTGCCCATTGAGAATTACAGGCTTATTGAGATGAAAGGAAGGCATCATAATGATCACAAAGCTTAAAATCCCTTAGGTCACAAAACCAAGTGCTTACTAAGGTCAGAGACATGAATGCTGAAGGGGACTCAGAGGGTACTGTGGCAATCAAGAGAGTTTCTGTCCCATGTAAAAGGGACAGCACCACTGAGTTTCAGTTGCTTTTGCCATTTGAGTACCCAGGCACTGAATCAGCAGATCTAATTTCTCATGAGGGGCTGGTTTAATGTTCAAGATTATTTGATTCAAAGCAAGAAGGAAGGAAAAAAGGAAGGAAGGGCAAGTGCTATGTGAATCAAATAAATCACATCTATGGGCTACCAGAGCTCTGATTCCATACATTTTAGAAGTGAGAAGCTTGGTTCAGGAAATGAAAGGAGCTTGGCCAAGGTCACACAGCTAGTTAGTGGTAGAGCCAAGAACATGTTAGGAGGCAGGCTTCCTCATTCCCAGATCAGTTGCCTGCCTGTCTTGTGAAGATTCTGATGTACTCACAGACACACTGATTTCTTCCTTTTCTCCAGAGTTTGGCAGTGGCCTTGCTTGTGTGCTTCCCTCTCCTTAGCAGCTTGGTTGAAAAGTTTCCAATAAACTCAAAAAAAAAAAATCCAAATCCAATGTTGCTCTGGTCCATTAAGTAAATCTTCTCGATCTGGGAAGCAAGTTGGAAAAGAAGGTTAAACACATTGGTGTTTCATGGAGTTTCTAAGAGTTGGAGTCAGCACAACTAAAATCTTCACTGCGCCCTGGGCCTAATGTTTTGAAATCTGTCTTTTCTTTCCATTTAAACATTTCCAAAGTGTTGGTGCTGCGCTGAATATAAAAGCAGCTCTAAAAATACAGATGTATTAAATACCTTTTTTTTTTTAAAAGTACTCTGACTTAACTTGTGTAGGTAAAATTTAGAATCAAAGATGCCATGAAAGTAGCAAACTTCTAAATAAGCAGTAGCATAAAGATGCTGCATAAAATGATTATAAAAGATAAAAGGGACAGAAAGTTTATTAAACATGAGAGAAGAAAGTCATATGCCAGGAATAAAGAAGGATATTCACACTATTAAGGAGTCACATTATTTTATTACACAATCATGCACCCCTTAAGGACATTTCAGTCAACCAAGGATTGCATATACATGGTGGTCCCGTAAGATTACAATGGAGCAGCCAGACACGGTGGCTGCACCTGTAATCCCAGCACTTTGGGAGGCCGAGGCGGGCAGATCACGACATCAGGAGTTCGAGACCAGCCTGGCCAATATGGTGACACCCCTCTCTACGAAAACTACAAAAATTAGCCTGGTGTGGTGGCGCGCCTGTAGTCCCAGCTGCTCGGGAGGCTGAGGCAGAAGAATCGCTTGAACTCAGGAGGTGGCGGTTGCAGTGAGCCGAGATCATGCCACTGCACTCCAGCCTGGGCGACACAGTGAGACTCCATCTGAAAAAAGAAAAAAAAAGATTACAATGTAGCAGAAAAACTTCTATTGCCTAGTGACTTAGTAGCCATGGTAACAACATATTGCAACACATTACTCACATATTTGTGATGATGCTGGTCTAAACAAACCTACTACACTGCCAGTCATTTAAAGTATAACACATACAAATGGGTACAGTACATGATACTTGATGATGATAATAAATGACTGTTACTGGCTTGTGTATTTACTATACTATATTTTATCATTATTTTAGAGTGTACTCCTTTTACTTAGTAAAAGAAATTAACTGTAAAACAGCCTCAGGCAGGTCCTTCAGAAGATATTCCAGAAGAAGTCATTGTTATCATACGAGAGGACAGACCCATGCATGTTATCGACCCTGAAGACCTTCCAGTGGGACAAGATGTGGAAGTGGAAGACAGTGATATTCATGATTATGACCCTGTGTAGGCCTAAACTAATGTGTGTGTTTGTGTCTTAGTTTAGTTTTTAATAAAAATTCAAAAAGTAAAATTTAAGTTAATTAATTAAAAAAAACAGCTTATAGATTAAGGATATAAAGAAAGAAAATGTTTTTGCACAGCTGTACAATGTGTTTGAGTTTTAAGCTATGTGTGATTACAAAAGTGTCCAAAGATTTTTAAAAATTAAAAGTTTATGAGGTAAAAACGTTAGAGTAACCTAAGTTTAATTTATTATTGGAGAAAAAACTTTTAAATTTAGTGTAGCCTATGTGCACAGTGTTTACAAAGTCTACAACAGTGTACAATAATGTTTTGGCCTTCACATTCACTTACCACTCACTGGCTCACCCAAATCAACTTCTAGTACTATAAACTTCATTCATGGGAGGTACCCTATGCAAGTGTACCTTTTTTATCTTTTATACCATATTTTTACTGTATCTCTTCTATGTTTAGATATGCAAATACTTACCACTGTAATACATTTCCCCATAGTATTCAGTACAGTAATATGCTGAACAGGTTTGCAGCCTAGACGTAATAGGCCACACCACATAGTCTGAGTGTGTAGTAGGATATACCATCTAGGTTTATGTATGATGTCCACACAAAAATGAGTCACTCAACAAGACATTTCTAAGAAGGTATCACTGTCATTGAGACACCTGACTGTACTGTAAATATGGCTTAAAAGGTATTTTGTAGTAAAGAGATCCCTCAAAACACCTTCAATCATACAGAGGAAAAGGAAGTTTTAACAAAGTATTTGAAAAGTAGTTATGTAATCATATTAAAAAAAAAGTTTTAAGACAGTATTTGAAAATAGTTATGTAAAATAAGTTTGCAGCTTCTTCAGTGTCAAAGCTCACTTATAATCACCCAACACCATATAAGTCTATTTTATACCCTAAAATTGGCTTCATGAATTTCTAGAGAAATCTCACACAATCATGATTATTGTGTGAATCATTACTAATATAAACTATAAATATTGAAATTATGTCTGCTTTCATACCAAAGATGTTTACTATTTACATACAAGAGGGAGTTGGAAAATATTTGTTAATACTGGAAAAGAATTGGTGATCCCTGGAAGCCCAGAGGCCTAGTTTCCTCTCGGGGGCTGATGTGATTATTGTCATCAGCAGTCTCCTCCAAAGGCTAAGAGGTTTTGGTAAAGGCAATAATGAGCTATGCATACATGGAAAATTCTTTCATGTGCTTTCAACCAACAGAATTTAATTAAATATGGTTCATATGTTTTGTATTTTTAAGCCAAATCTTCATAGTTGTATAATGTTACTGACAGCATCAGCAGACAAGACACAAAAGTTTTGGGAACAGGAAGTGTAGTAATTATAATTGAAATTGAGAAATAAAAAGAAAGGTCAAAGTAACAAGAAAATGGGGTTGAATTATTTTTCTCTACTAGTGTTATTTCTTGAAGATTCTGCTTTTCAATAATCAAATTCACTTCTAGAAGTATTATTACCATAGAAGAAATAATACATTACTGTATTTCAAAATGCAGAATATCTTATACCTCTCTAGAGAAGTCCTTTTTTTTTCTTTTTTTTTTTTTTTTTTTTGAGACAACAGTCCTGCTCTGTTGCCCAGGCTGTAGTGCAGTGGCACAATCTCAGCTCACCACAACTTCTGCCTTCCAGGTTCAAGCCATTCTTCTGCCTCAGCCTCCCAAGTAGCTGGGATTACAGGTTCGCACCACCATGCCTGGCTAATTTTTGTATTTTTAGTAGAGATGGGGTTTCACCATGTTGGTTAGGCTGGTGTCGAACTCCTGACCTCAAGTGATCTGCCTGCCTCGGCCTCCCAAATTGTTGGGATTACAGGTGTGAGCCATCGTGCCCGGCTAGTCCTTTCCTTTTGCTTGCATTCCTGTAAGAGAGCCTAAGCCTCAGCCTGTGTAGGAGCACAGAACTTTTTAAGATGACTCATATACATGAGGCCCTCCCCTCAGCTGTTCCATCATTGAGAAACTTGTTTCTCCATCCTACATTTTCTCAGCTTCTGTTATTAACCCTGATCCCATGGAGATGGAGACAGCTTCATTTCATTTCAGGCTCTAAAAGTCTTCCTGAGCTAGGGGGTCTCATCTAAGCCCGTGGCAGTAAATACCACATTTACACTAACAATTCCTACATCTATCTCTTTTTAGGTATAACCTCTCTGCTGACCTTAAGCCTCACACATCTAACTGCCTCTAAGGCACCTCAAATTCACCATACCCAGATAAGCTTATCATCTTCCCCTGAACACAAACATGCTTTTATCACAGTAGTAGAACTACTATGCACCCAGTTTCCCAAGACAGAAACCTAGTAAGTGTTGGCTCATCTCTCTCCCTCTCCATCTTCTCTCTATATTCAATCAATCATGCATTTCAGTTTTATTCAGCAATCTCATTTGCCTAAAATTTACCAGATTTTCTTCATACTCAAATTGGAGGACACCATACGTTTCCTGGATTATTGTCATATCTTCTTAACTGAGATAGCTTCGCCATTTTCAACCCTACACAATGAATTTGTTTCTTAGGGAGACTGATCCTTAGAAAATGTAATGCTGACCGCACTCATCTGGTAAAGCACTTCAATAACTCCCCATTGCTCTTAAGGTGAAGTCTAAGCCCTACATGGTTTTCCCAGTTTAAGTGTTTCTACTGAGCCTTCAGCTTCGGCTTCCCATGGACTACTTCCTCATTTCACTCCATTTGTTCCCTTCTCCCAACCTTAATTGTCTAATTTATTCATCAGAACTCAGCTTAGATATCACTTCCCTTGAAAGCTTTCTTCGACATTTCCTAAGTGCTTCACTGGCATAAAGTATTTTCCCTATCTTGGCACTTATAGCACTATAATGCAATTACATGTTTCTTTATTCAACAAAGATTTATTGAGTGTCTATTATATATGCCAAGTGTTGTTTTAGATGCTGGAAGTATGGTAGCGAACAAAACAGACAAGTTGTCACTCTCATGGGTTTATATTTCAACAAACACTATTGAATTAAGAAAGAAATACATGTTGGAGAGTAAGTGTCATGAAGTATGGAGAGGATAATGTGATAGAGTGTGACTGGGGCAAGAAGAAATCTTTAGTTCAAAGTGATGAGGGAAGGCTTCTCTGATAAGCCAACAGGGGAGCTGAGACACGAAAGTGAGAAAACAAGTCCTGTGAGTTTCTGAGGAAGAGGATTCCAAGCAGTAGAATACACACAAACACACTAAGATGGAAATGATCTTGGCATAATCCCGGACATGGAAAAGACAAGCAAGAGAAAGACTGATAGAATGAGGGCAAAGTGGTGAAGTGAGTGGCACAGTGGCACAATCATGGGGGACATGGACGCTCTGATGTAGACTTGGGGTTTAATTCTGCCTGGAATAGAAGCCATGGAGAGATGTGAATAGAGCTGTGATATGAACCAACTTAGAAGGATCACTCTGTCTGCTGTGTGGATAAAAGACTATAAGAAATAAGGTGGAGAAAGAGACCATTTAGAAGACTGTAGCAGTCAATAGTTCTGGCAAGAGATGATAGTGCCTGGGACTACTGTGCATATTAGATACTGTAGGAACTAGATGTTTTTGGAACATACTTTAAAAGTAAAGTGCAGATGAATTGAATATAGGATATGAGAGAAAGAAAGTAGTCAAGGATCATACCATATATTTTTGTCTGAGCAAGTAGTAAACTACAGTGATCATTATAGTATCCTCCTTTATCCACAGGTGATATGTTCCAAGACCCCCCAGTGAATATCTGAAAATGAATACTACCAGAATCTATACTATGTTTTCTCCTGTACATATATACGTATGATAAAGTTTAATTTATAAATTAGGTAAAGTAAGATATTAATAACAATAATAATAAGAGAACAAGTATAATAATATAGTGTAATGAAAGTTATATTAATGTGCTATCTCCCTGTCTCTCAACATATCTTATTTTGCTGTACTAACCCTTATGATGATGATGTGAAATGATACAATGCCTATGTATGTGATGAGCTGAAGTGAGGTGAATGGCAGGCATTTTGATGGAGCATTAGGCTGCTATTGAGCTTCTAATAAGTCAGAAAGAAGATCATCTGCTTCTGGTGATCTTGGATCATTCAGCCATGATTGGATGCCTGGAGCAGACAATGTGATGGTAGAGGATTCCATAATTGAAGTTTTTTGCCAAAATGTTTTGGAATAACATTATAACCATAATAAAAATTTGTTGTCTCTTTCTTTTTAACTCATCAAAGTGTTGCTGCCGAGGTTGTAATCCTTTGGTAATCATAATCATATGAGTGACTTTAATGCTGCATTTGATCCAAGGATTATATTCCATAATTTTGTCCTTTAATGTCTTTGCAGCTGAAAACATGTCAGCAAATTTTCGTAATGTCCACATTGCTGATTCTGCTTCTGTTTTTTATTCTTCTTCGTATCCCTATTCCTCTGTAGATGATTCAACAAGTTCTTCCAATTTCTTATTTGTTAATACTTCTTGATGGCCTTCAAAATGTTCTTCCACCTGAGCAAGTATGTTGGCAAATCCTTCTCCTTTGCTGCAGGAATTATTTTCCTAACTTTGCCATCAACCTTCAGGAAGCTTTCACAATTTCACTCCATATGTTCTTTCAGCAGACATTTGCAGTTTTGGTTTTAATTCACCAATTACAACTTGATTAATATTATTGTGACAGCAATAGTGAGTGATTTCCAGCACTCCATAATGTCCAGATTAGAGTCTGCATCAATTGCTAATTGAATTCAATCAAATACTGAGCAGGTTTATGTGGCCTTGACAGACTAGATGATAACCTGGTCAAGGGGCTGAAGCAATTAGGTTGTATTTGGAGGTAAAAATGCAACATCAACATTTTCATTTTTGTAGCAAATATTCAGGATGGTTCAGTGCATTCCCTATTATTAAAAAGACTTTAAATTCCAATCCTTTATCTTCCAAGTATTTTTCACTTCCAGGATGAAGCATTGGTGGAACCATTCCATAAACAATATGGCTATCATTCATGCATTCTGATTATGTTACCATAACATGGGCAAATAATTTTTGGTTTTGGCATTGGTTTTGGATCTTTGCTTTGTACACTATGCCCGGCTTTATCACATGCCTTGCAGTATTGCCACACAGTACCAGAGTTAATCTGTCCTTCCATGTTTTATCACCTGATGCCTTTTTTGGACTTTTATGAATGTAGGTGCTATTGGTCATCTTCTTCCAGCAGAGCCAGGTTTCATCACAATTGAAGATTTGCTTTGGATGGTATCCTTTCTCCTTAATCAATTCCTTTAAATCTGCTGGAAATGTGCAGCTTCTTCATCTGCAGATACAGCCTCTTCAGTAATTTTTATATTTTCAGGTTCAAACCTATTCCTGAATCTGTATAATTATCTCTTACTTGTAGTAAATGGCTTGGTGTCACTCATTTCAAAGAATCCCTTGCTGAAGTCTTTATATAGGCTGAATGGGCCCAAGTACAACAGGTTGCCTTCAATCAGTATATGTTTTATTTTTTGCTCATGACTTCCACCCACAATTTAAGGCCTTTTCCATCATAACTAAGCACTTATCATGCACTGTGCCCATAAATTTTTCAGTTTGAGTAGCAAGAGCAAAACTAGCACAATTTTCTTTTTTCTATTTCACGATTTCATGTATAGAAAATTTATTATTACTGTATTAGTCAGTTCTCAGGCTGCTGATAAAGAGATACCCAAGACTGGGAAGTAAAAGAGGTTTTATGGACTTACAGTTCTGCGGGGCTAGGGAGGCCTCACAATCATGGCAGAAAGCAAGAAGGAGCAAGTCACATTTTACGTGGATGGCTGCAGGCAAAGAGAGAGCTTGTGCAGGGAAATTCCCATTTTTAAAACCATCAGATCTCTTGAGACTCATTCACTATCACAAAAACAGTCCAAGAAAGACCTGCTCCCATAATTCAATCACCTCCCACCAGATTCCTCCCATGACACATGGGAATTGTGGGAGTAACAATTCAAGATGAGATTTGGGTGGGAACACAGCCAAACCATACCATTCCACCACAGGCCCTCCCAAATCTCATGTACCCACACTTCGAAACAAATCATGCCTTCCTAACAGCCTCCCAAAGTCTTAACTCATTTCAGCATTAACTCAAAAGTCCACAGTCCAGCGTCTCATCTGAGACAAGGCAAGTCCCTTCCACCTATGAGCCGGTAAAATCAAAAGCAAGTTAGTTAATTCCTAGTTACAATGTGGGTACAGGCACTGGGTAAATAGGGCCATTCCAAATGGAAGAAATTGGCCAAAGCAAAGGGGCTACAGGCCCCATGCAAGCCAAAAATCCAGTGGGACAGTCAAATATTAAAGCTCCAAAATGATCTCCTTTGACTCCGTGTTTCACGTCCAGGTCACGCTGATGCAAGAGGTGAGTGCCCATGGTCTTGGGCAGCTCTGCCCCTGTAGCTTTCCAGGATACAGCCTCCCTCCCAGCTGCTTTCACAGGGTGTGTGGCTGTGTGTGGCTTCTCCAGGCGCATAGTGCAAGCTATCAGTGGATCTACCATTCTGGGGTCTGGAGGATAGTGGCCCTTCTCTCACAGCTCCACTAGGCAGTGCCCCATTAGGAACTCTACGTGGAGGCTCTAACCACATATTTTCCTTCCACACTGCCCTAGCAGAGGTTCTCCAGGAGATCCCTGGCCCTGCAGCAACCTTCTGTCTTTATATAAATGTCTTTATATTCAGGCATTTCTATATATTCTCTGAAATCTAGACAGAGGTTCCCAAACCTCAATTCTTGACCTCTGTCCACCCAGAGGCTCAAAACCATGTGGAAGCTGCCAAGGCTTGAGACTAGCAGCCTCTGAAGCCATGGCAAAAGCTCTACATCAGCTCCTTTCAGCCACGGCCGGAGCGACTGGGAAGCAGGACACAAAGTCCCTAGGCTGCACACAGCATGGGGACTCTGGGCCTGGCCCACAAAACCACTTTTTCTTCCTAGGCCTCTGGGCTTGTGATGGGAGGGGCTGCTGTGAAGACCTCTGACATACCCTGGAGACATTTCCTCCTTTGTCTTTGGGATTATCATTCATCTCCTCGTTACTTCTGCAAATTTCTGCAACTGGCTTGAATTTCTCCTCAGAAAATGGAATTTTCTTTTCTATTGCATTATGAGGCTACAGATTTTCCAAATTTTTATGCTCTGTTTCCCTTTTAAAACTGAATGCCTTTACCAGCACCCAAGTAATATTTTGAATACATTGCTGCTTAGAAACTTCTTCCACCAGACACCCTAAATCATCTTTCTCAAGCTCAAAGTTCCACAAATCTCTAGGGTAGGGGCAAAATGCTGCCAGTCTCTTTGCTAAAACATAATGAGAATCGCCATTGTTCCAGTTCCAACAAGTTCCTCATTTCTATCTGAGACCACCTTAGCCTGGACTTTATTGTCCATATCGCTATCAGCATTTTGGGCAAAGCCATTCAAGAAGTCTCTAGGAAGTTCCAAACTTTCCCATATTTTTCTGTCTTCTTCTGAGCCCTCCAAACTCTTCCAACCTCTGCCTGTTACCCAGTTCCAAAGTCACTTCCACATTTTCTGGTATCTTTACAGCAATGCCCCACTCTACTGGTACCAATTTACTGTATTAGTCTGTTCTCATGCTGCTGATAAAGACATTCCCAAGACTGGGAAGAAAAAGAGTTTTAATGGACTTAGAGTTCCACATGGCTGAGGAGGCCACACAATCTTGGGGGAAAGCAAGGAGGAGCAAGTCATATCTTACGTGGTTGGTAGCAGACAAAGAGAGAGCTTGTGCAGGGAAACTCCTGTATTTAAAACCATCAGATCTCATGAGACTCATTCACTTTCATGAGAACAGCTCAGGAAAGACCCACTCCCATAATTCAATCACCTCCCACCAGGTTCCTCCCACAACATGTGAGAATTGTGGGAGTTACAATTCAAGATGAGATTTGGGTGGGGACACAGCCAAACCATGTTAATTACCTTAGATCTTACCAACCTCAGCATACAACTTTTTTCTTTTTTTTTTTCTTTTTTGCTTTCCTTAATTCAAGAGACTTCATCTTTTTACTTAAAGGAAGCACAATACAGTTTCTCTTTAGTGTATCCAAGTTGTCAGCATCATTACTCTTGTGCTTTGAGGCCATTATTAATTAAAATAAGGGCTAATTGAACAGAACACAGTGATACAGTGATACTCAACAAGCTGGGCAGTAAGTGACTAATAGGCAGGTGGTGTGCACAGCAAGAATATGCTGAACAAAGCAATGATTCACATTCCAGTTAGGACAGAGTGGGATGGTGTGAGATTTTATCACACAATTCAGAACTGTGTGCAATTTAAAACTTATGAAGTGGTATTATTAGCATTTTCCATTTAATATTTTCAGACCACAGTTTGCTGAAGGTATCTGAAACCACTGAAAGTGAGGCTATGGATAAGGGATACTACTGTATTATGAGACAAGGATGATTATCAAAAGGCCAGATTTAGAAGCAGAATATCAAGAATTCAATTGGGGATATGATAGGTTTGAGATGTCCATTGTAGATCTAAGTGGAGATGTGGAGTAACAGTTGAGTATATAAACTGAAATTTGAGCTAGGTGTAATCTCTTGCATTACTCCATTCTCAAATGGCTATAAAGAAATACCTGAGACTGGGTAGTTTATAAAGAAAAGAGGTTTAATTGACTTACAGTTCTGCAGATTGTAAAGGAGACATGGCTGGGAGACCTCAGGAAACTTAACAGTTACAGCAGAAGGAGAAGGAGAGGCAAGTATGTCTTACAATGGCAAAGCAGGAGAGAGAACAAAGGGGGAAAGGCTACACACTTTTAAACCACAAGATCTTGTGAAAACTCACTCAGTATCTTGAGAACGACAAGAGGAAAATCTGCCCCCATGATTCAATCACCTCCCATGAGACCCTCTCCTCTAAAACATGGGAATGACAATTTGACATGAGAATTGTGTGGGGACACAGAACCAAACCATATCATTCCACCATGGCTCCTCCCAAATCTCATGTCCTTCTCACATTTCAAAACAGAATCATGCCTTCCCAATAGTCCCCCAGGTCTTAACTCATTTCAGCATTAACTCAAAATCCAAGTCCAAAGTCTCATCTGAGACAAAGCAAGTCTCTTCTGCCTATGAGCCTGTAAAATAAAAAACAAGTTAGTTACTTCAAAGATACAAGGGGGGTAGAGGCATTGGGTAAATTTCTCCCATTCCAAAAGGGAGAAATTGGCCAAAACAAAGGGGTTACAGGCCCCATACAAGTCCAAAACCAAGCAGGAAACTCATTAAATCTTAAAGCTCCAAAATAATCTCCTTTCAGTCCATGTCTTACATCCAGGGCATGCTTATGTAAGGGGTGGGCTCCTACGGCCTTGGGCAGCTCTTCCCCTATGGCTCTTCAGGGTACAGCCACCACAGCTGCTTTCACAGGATGGTGTTCGGTGCGTATGGCTTTTCCAGACACATAGTGCAAGCTGTTGGTTGAACCATCATTCAGGAATCTGAAGGACAGTGGCTCTCTTCTCACAGCTCTACTAGGCACTGCCCCAGTGGGGAGTCTGCATGGAGGCTCCAACCTCACATTTCCCCTCTGCACTGCCCTAGTAGAGGTTCTTCATGAGGTCTCCACCCTTGCAGCAGATTTCTACCTGGATATGCAGGTGTTTCTGTACATCCTATGAAATCTAGGCAAAGGCTCCCAAACTCCAACTCTTGCCTTCTGCACACCACAGGCCCAACACCATGTGGAAGCTGCCAAGGCTTGGGACTTGCCCCCTCTGAAGTCATGACCCAAGCTGTACCTTGGTCCCTATTAGCCATAGCTGGAGTTGGAGTGGCTGGGACACAGGGTGCCATGTCCCAAGGCTGTACAGAGCAACGGGGCCTTGGGCCTGGCCCCAGAAAATGGGATTTTCTTTTCTACCACATGGTCAGGCTCTGTTTGTGAGCACATATAACTGAATGCTTTCAGCATCAACCAGGTCAACTCTTGAATGCTTTGCTGCTTAGAAATGTCTTCTACCAGATACCCTAAATCTTCTCTTTAAGTTCAAAGTTCCATAGATCCCTAAAGCAGGGGTACAATGCTGCCAGTCTCTTTGCTAAAGCATAGCAAGAGTGACCTTTACTCAAGTTCCCAATAAGTTCCCCATCTCCACCTAAGACCACCTCAGCCTAGACTTCACTGTCCATATCACTATTAGCATTATGGTCACAGCCATTCAACAAGTCTCCAGGAAGTTCCAAACATTTCCTCATCTTCCTGTCATTTTCTTATCTCTCTGAACTGTTCCAACACTTCCCCATTATCCAGTTCCAACGTCACTTCTACATTTTCAGGTGTCTTTATACTCCACTCTCGGTACAAATTTTCTGTAATAGTTCTTACTCACCTTGCTAAAAGAACTGTCTGAGACTGGGTAGTTTATAAAGAAAAGAGGTTTAATTGACTCACAATTCTGCAGGCTATGCAAGAAGCATGGCTGGGAGGCCTCAGAAAACTTACAAGAAAAGAGAAGGGGAAGCAAGCATGTCTTCTCATGGCAGGGCAGGAGAGAGAGCAAAGGGGAAAGTGCAACACACTATTTATTTATTTATTTATTTATTTATTTATTTATTTATTTGAGATGGAGTTTCACACTTGTTGCCCAGGCTGGAGTGCAATGGCATGATCTCAGCTCACCACAACCTCTGCCTCCCGGGTTCAAGTGATTCTCCTGCGTCAGCCTCCCAAATAGCTGGGATTACAGGTATGCCCCACCACGCCCTGCTAACTTTGTATTTTTAGTAGAGACGGGGTTTCTCCATGTTGGTCAGGCTGGTCTCGAGCTCTCGACCTCAGGTGATCCACCAGCCTCGGCCTCCCAAAGTGCTGGGATTACAGGCGTGAACCATCACGTCTGGCGTGCAACATACTTTTAAACAAGCAGATCTCATGAGAACTCACTCATTATCACAAGAACAGCAAGAGGGAAATCTACCACCAAGATTCAATCACCTCTCATCAGACCCCTCCTCCAACACATGGGAATTACAATTTGACATGAGATTTGGGTGAGGACATAGAGCCAAACCATATCATCTCTTAATCACAACTTAAAAATCAATCTGTGTGATCACAGATCCTGTTTTTTGTTTTGGTTCTGCTTAACTGTTAAATGTCTATGCCTAGCATGTGCCTGACACAGAGAAGGTATTCAATAATTGATATTTGGTGAATGAATGTACAAATTAATTTCTAGTTTCATGGTTTGAACAGGGCCTTGGGTATTTCTGATGATTTCTGAATTACCACCAATGACTATAATTTAAATTTTCAAACACAAATCAATGCGAATAGGGAATATGAGGAAATGTTGACTCTGGCCAAGTTATCTCTAAAACAACAACAAACGAAAAACAATTATTTTCCACTGGGAAAACCATTTGGATAACTGTTTAGTTAAACAAATTTTGTGTCCAGCTAAGATGTGGGTGTCTATAAACTTATATCCAAGACATACTTAATAGGCTTTGTTTCTAGAGTCCACCTTATGATGGCCTAATCATTTCTTCTTTGTAACCATAAAGAAATAGTGACAATTGCCTTCAGTCAATAGTCTAAGCAGAAATTTGAAAATTGCCCTCATAATATAAATCTGAGTTTCTTCTGTGTTGGCCTGAAGAAAGAAAAGTAACTGTCAGCAAATAACGAAATAATTTTACTTGTATTTGAATTTCTGCTTCTTTAAAAAATAATTTAAAAAATATAATATTAAGCAACCCTGCACCAGCCTTCAGGCAAGGCCCCAATTGGCTGACACTGAAGGGCTACTGTGACCTTAGGGTAACTGTGCACTCTTCTGCCACCATTGTTAAGTAATCTAATTAGTATTATGTTAGGCAAAGATTGCAGATAACCAAGAAATTCCTTCAGTAGTTAAAAAAAAATCAGTATTATATGAGGAAAACAATTTGCCTCCACCCATCCCTCACACCATACAGAAAAATTAATTTGTGATAGATTATAGATTTAAATGTAAAAAAAATAAAACTATAGAGTTGCTAGTAGAAAGCATAACAGAATGTCTTCATAAACTTTGGGTAGGCAAAGATTTCTAAAACAAGATCTAGAATTAATTATCCTAAACTATTAAAAATTAACATTTTTAACTATTGACTATTAAGCATTAAAATAATCGATACAATTGATGTCATCAAGGTTCACATTTCTGCTCATTAAAAGGTACTACTGAGAAATTGAATGGGAAAGCCGTAGAGTAGAAGAAAACATTTACACTACAGTCAGACCTCTTTATTCATCGGTTCTACATTCATGGAATCAACCAACCACAAGCCAAAAGAATTTTTTAATTGTATGTTTACTAAACATGTACAGATTTTTTTCTTATCATTATTCCCTATAAAATACAGTATAACAACTATTTCACAGCATTTACTCTCTATTAGATATTGTAAGTAATCCTGAGATGATTTAAAGTATACATGAAGATGTACATAGTTTATATGCACATACTATGCCATTTTATTTGAAGGACTTGAGCATTTGTGGATTTTGGTATCTGTGGGAAGTCCTGGATCTATTCATCCATGGATAGTCAGAGACAACTGTATATATGAGCAATTTCAACAACTCAATAATAAGAAAAAACACCCAATTTAAAAATTGGCAAAAGACTTACATAGGCACTTCACTGAGGAAGAAATACAAATGACTAATGAACACATTAAAGATATTCAATACCATTTGTTTCCTGGTAAATGCCAATTAAAGTCACAATGAAATGCCATTACATACCCACTAGCATGGCTAAAATTAAAAAATAAAAAAGACTGACAACACGAAATGTTGGCAAGAATGTGGAACAACTGGAAATCTCACACATTACTGAAATATAAATTGGTAAAGTTAGTTTGAAAATTGGTTTTGAAATGTTTTATAAAATTCAAGCTGTGCTGACTTTATAACCCACAAAATTCACCCCTAGTTATTTACTAAAGAGAAATGAAAAATATATGTTAACAAAAAAGTACGCAAGAATGTTCAGTCACTTTATTCATAGTAGCCAAAAACTAAAATTAATCAAATGTTCATCAACCGTGGATGGATAAATTGTGCTTTATACAATGAAATAGTATTAGTAGTAAACAGACAAATAAAAAACCTGCTCATACACAGTAACAGCATGGAAGAATCTTAAAAATATTATGCTGCAAAAGAAAACAGGCACAAAGGAGTATATCTTGTATGATTTTACTTGTATAAAGTTCTAGAGCAAGATATCTAAGCAATGGAATCATGAGTGGTTGCTTGAGGTAAAGGCAGTGACAAGGATTAACCTAAGAAGAATTTCTAGGATGCTAAGAATGTTTTATATCTTGATAGATTATGGATTATTTGGATGTATGCAAATATTCAAACTACAAATTTTGCATTTAAAATGTATGCATTTCACTGCATATTAGTTATTCCTCTATTAAAATATTTCTTTTTTATTGCTAAAAATATGCTATTAAAATCACTAAATGCAATTAATTACCTTTACCATGCGCTAAATAAAACACGAATCCCAGTTAGCAAACTTTTAAAGAAAATAATGCAGTTTTTTTTTCACTTTTTATCATTGCCTTGGTTAGCAATTTATTTTAATAAACCTCAGCAAATTTTCATTAAGCCATTATGTTGTTTTAATGAGCTTATACTTTGTACATTTTAGCTGTGTGAGAAAATCAAACTCTGACAGGTCCAGGTATATAAGCCAGCAATACCAGGCTTCAAAGAAGCCCCAAGATGCAAGAGATATCACATACTTCTGCTAAACATCAGAAATTCTTCTTCATTAGTATTTCCAGTTCTCAACTCCCATACCCTTTCTTCCCAATTGGTAGAAAATGACAGAACAGATTAGGATCACTCAGTGGCCCTCTGCATAAAAAGCCAACAAAGTAAACTTCCCCCAGGTGGAGATTTCCCTGAGGTTTTGCTGTGTATTTTTTTGTTTGATTTCTTGTTTTTTGTTTGTTTGTTTTTTGTTGTTGTTGTTGCTGTTGTTGTTTTTAGTGCCTAGGCTACCATAGCCTCAGATCTGATTTCTTAGGAAGCTTCTGAAATAAACTAAAGCTGAAGTGCAACAACACTTTTTATCTACTGCCCTGCAGAGTGAATTTAACAACCTGCAACTCTTAACAGCTTGCTTTCTGATGCAGCCACTTTCTGAAACAGCTTGTGTCTCTTATCACAGGTGTTACCTTTGAACAACAGTTTCAAACTAAAACTGAATTAGATTTTAAAAACAGATAAAAGTGGCTTTATAGTAAAAATTTTTGTTATATTTTTTATCTAAAAAATACAACTTTTTCTTGATTGCTTTAATCTTGAGAATTAAAAACATCATATTCTCTTTTTTTTCCATAGCACATAATCTAGGACATCTCCACAATCTTTTAAAATTCCATTTTTCAAAAATATAGACTTTAAATTCAGGGCTGATACGATGTCTTGCCCAGGGAAGACTGGAAATGGAATATTTTCACTTTTCAGCCTCAATAGTGGAAGTAGGTGAGAAATTTAAATGGCTTACAGGCAGCCAGAGGCCTACATCTGCCCATAAACTTTGACATTTAGATGACTTGATGAGGAGACAAATAATACATCACAACTTATTATCTAGAAATAAAAATATTCTTTACAAATAGGGAGAATATTAGCCTTTTCTAATGCAGTATTTCATAAATGTTTTAACCCGTTTACAATAAAAGAAAAAAAAGAACTATGTAAACTGTTTAAATTAGGGAAAAAAACGTGGAGTGTTTGCGCAATGCCTTAACATACTGTCCATAAAACGTTGTTCTTCAGAAAGTACAGTTGATCTCTCAATAACACAGGACAGATGTTGGTCAGATGCTAGATATATCCAGACTTGACCCCAAATGTGACATGTTACTGTGGTTAAGCTTGAATTACTACTCTTTATGCTTTATTTAACCAAAATGTGTAAATTTGCAAGAAACGGTAGTCTGTACTCTCAAAAATGCATGAATGGAAAACCCTAGGACTGTCTGGGTGGCATAAGACCACAAGCATTTAGGGGCTGATAAGTTTCTCCAGGAAGAAGTAGTTGCAAATAAGGGTCACAATTACAATTGGATTATAATGTGATTAAATTCATAATAATTATTTTTAAGTTGATTCTTGGTCAAAGTCCAGGACTTTTGTGAATGTAAATTCCTCTCTTTGCTTACCACCTTTTAGAGCATACATATAGATCAACATGTTGATAATTCAGTGACTCTTTTCCATAATTATTTGTCTTACTTGGTGAATGTGAAATTTTAAACTGATTTATGAGATAATGTCAATACTTAATTTTCAAGATGTTAAATTCATTGTCTAAAGTTATATTGTCTTCATTTTCTTGTCTATGAAGTATAGATTCTACTTGCACTTTTTCTTAGTATAAACTTATTTACACAAATATCTAGAAGAGATAAATCATTTTAAATGTTTCCCATTTTAACTTTTAAAGACAGGAAATAATTGGAAGTCCAACAAAGAAAGTGAGGTTAGATTTGTGAAACTTATTGTGTTATGTTTCTAAATTCTAAAAATTATTTTTAACTGAAAGAAGTAGGAAGTACAAATATATCAGGATTTAGATAAAACTTTTCTAAAGACATAAGTTTTATCTCTAGTATAAGAAATATACTGTAGCACAAATGTGCAGCCTGGATTTTTACTGTAGTACCAAATTTTAAGAATATCTCTTAACTACTATCACACTAATAAGCCATGGTTTGAAAAATGAAGCCACAGAACATATTTATTTGAATGAAACATCAGGAAGATATGCAGATATATAATATTTTGCTTTGCATCTGTGTGTTTCTTTAAAACCCTGTGTTACCTCCGAAATATCTTTTCTTTCTTTAGCCATATTTCTATCTATGAGCAAGGCTTGAAAGGTGACTTAAAGGGGGAGTAAAGGTTCTGCCAAAGCTTACAACATTCTTATTGATGTTAAATATGAAGAATTTTCTAGAATGCTTACAAAATAATCATTCTGCATTTATTTCTGTTTAAGAGACCAATAGAAGATAAAACAGCTGAGAGATAAATTCTGAAATCTGTTCAATTATATCTTGGGAATTCAAAATGCACATTAACCTATCAGAGACTTCAAGAAGTCTTGCAGTAAGTAAATCTGTTTAGCTTTGTTTATCGTAGGGTTTCCCAACTTTTCGGACAACATAATGGCAGTTACATAACATGGAAGTTTCTACTTGGGAAATTGCCAAGAATGATAAAGTTGAAATGGAAAAAATATATTCAAACTATGTGTATATATATTAAAAGGTCAATATATTACCACTATCACACAATTTATGAGATACTTCCAAATATGCCATTTTATTTTACTTCCATAAATATGTTGTGAGTTAGAAAGGGCAAGTATTAATCACATTCATTTTGAAGATGAAGTAACTTCAACTTAAGTGACAGTTTCAGATCCAAAGGAGATAAAGTAACTGAATTCTGTCTCAACTGAATGAAATCAAGAGCCCTTCACAGAATGCATGAAGCAGCTACTTGAGAACTCTGAAAAGTAAATGATAGCAGGGGGATTGAGCAAGAAATCCAGAACCCAAAGTACAAGCAATCCAGTGGGGAGTTTTCTTGTTTTCCTCTTTTTCCACCCATATCTCCTTGCCTTAGAGGATAATATCCCAGAATAGATAATGTACCAGGCACAGACAGGAAGAGCTCCAAGATACACTTTTTTAAAATTATGATTCTATTTATTTTGGTTTTGTGCATGGGAAGTAGAGTCTCTATGAAGCAGAAAAAGTTGGGGGAATTCCCCGAGCTTCTCTTGTCTCCTCAACTTTGCTTACAGCAACCCTCACTCCTGAATCTCCAACTTTGTGGTGGTAGTCATGGCAACCAGGCAGGTACCGAAAACTCTGAGAGAGGAGAGTTCGTCTCTCTAACCAAAAAAAAAAAAAAAAGCTATGGAAAAGAAAACCCTCCCTTTTCACCTCTTCTTCCTGCCACTTGGATCTGGAGGCAGAATGAGTCAAATAATGTACAAAGCAGGGTGAGGAGACGTAGCCAGGCAACCAAGAAGGAAGGACTCTGGGAGTGAGGCAATCTGGTGGAGACTGTGGGGATAAGGGGATTCAAGAAAGGAATCCCGAAAGTTTTATATGAACCCTTGCTCTCACATCTGAGTTGAATGGTGGATCTGATCCTAAACAGTATGCCTAACCGGCTTTGAGAACAAAAAATATGAGGGAGACTACCACACACATCTGAGACCTGCTCCATGGGTGGCACACATGCAGAAGAGCTGAACAACATTGAAAAGGCTTTGAAAATATACTGATATTTGAACTACAGTACACATAAAGTGTGTAAGAAATTGCAGCCAGCACCCAACTGAATCAATTCTCTACTAAAACAAACCTAACAACAATGAAATGTTATCCATATGATTTAATGTAGATCCAGACCCTCATAATTTAATACTCAAAATGTCCAGCATCCAATCCAAAATTACTCAACATATAAAAGAACTAGAAAAGTCTGACAAATTACCAAGAGAAATTAAAACCAACAGACACCAACCCAATACGAAACAGATGTAGAATTATCAAAGTTTAAAAAGCTTTTTTAGCATGCTCAAATAAGTCACAACAAACATTCTTTAAAAAATGGGAAGAAAAAAATGTCTCATCAGAGAGATGAACTTATAAAGGAGAACCAAATGGAAATTTTACAACTGAAAAATAAAACCACTAATGTTCTTTTAAATCCGTTAATTTAAAAAAAAATTCAGTAGATGGGTTCAATAGCAGAAGGAAGACAATAGAGGAAAGTAATTTTGTAGATAAATCAATAGAAAGTATTAAATTTGAATAATGGAATAAAAATATTGAAAAAAAGAACAGTCTTGGGAACTTGAGGGCAATATCAAAAAGTCTAACATTTGTATCATCAGAATTCCAGAAAGATAAGAGGAAGATGGTGGTACAGAAAAAAATTTTGAAGAAATAATGGTGGAAAACTTCCCAAATTTGTGTAAAGACATAAACCTACAAATTAAAGTTCATCAAACCCAAAAGAGAATGAACTCAAAGAAATACATGCCCATATACATTGTAATCAAGCTGATAGAAACCAAAAATAAAGAAAAAGTGTTTAAAGGAGCCAAAGCAAAATAATACATTCCATATAGGAGAATAACTATTCAAATTATTGTACATTTCTCATCAGAAAGAACACAGTGGAGTGAAAATTTTACTGTACTGAAAGAAAGGAGTTGTCAGCCTAGAACTATTATTCAGTAAAAATAACCTTCATTTACAAATGAAGATAAAAAATAAAGGGTACTCAAATTAGAAAGGAAGAAGTCAAATTATCCTTGTTTGCTGATGATATGATCTTACTTTTGGAAAAACTACCAAAAACTATTAGAACTGATAAACAAATTCAGTAAAGTTGCAGGATACATAATCAACATACAAAAATCAGTAGCATTTCTATATCTCAACATTAAACAATCTGAAAAAGAAATAAAAAAAGTAATCCAATTTACAATAGCTAAAAATAAGATAAAGAAATTAAAGAAGTAAATGATCCTTACAATGAAAACTATAAAATATTGAAAGAAATTAAAGAGGACACCAAAAACAGAAAATATTTTCATGTTCATGGATTGGAACAATCAATATTGTTAAAATTTTTGTACTACTCAAAGCAATCTACAGATTCAGCATAATCCCTGACAAAATACCAATAACATTCTTCACAGAAAAAAAAAAGAATCTTAAAATTTATATGGAACCACAAAAGATCCAGAACAGCCAAAGCTATCCTTAGCAAAAAGTATAAAACTGGAGGAACCACATCACTTGTCTTCAAGTTATTGTACAGAGCTATAGTAACCAAAACAGCATGTTTATGGCATGTGAACAGGTACACAGACCAATAGAACAGAATAGAGAACCCAGAAATAAATCCATACATCTACAGTGAGCTCAGTTCCAACAAAGGTGCCAAGGACTTAAGTTGAGGAAGAACAATATCTTCTATAAATGGTACTGGGAAAACTGGATGTCCATATGCAGAAGAATGAAAATAGACCCTTATGTCTTGCTATATATGACAATCAAATCAAAATGAATGAAATACTTTAACCCAAGAATTTATACTATGAAACTACTACAAGGCAACATTGGGGAAACTCTCCAGGACACTGGCCTGGACAAAGATTTCTTGAGTAGTATTTCACAAACACAGGTAACCAAAGCAAAAATGGACAAATGGGATCACATAAAGTTAAAACGCTTCTACACAGCGAAGAGAACAACCAACAAAGTGAAGAAACAGCACACAGAATGGGAGAAAATATTTGCGAGCTATATACCTGAAAAGGGATTAATAACCAGAATATATAAAGAGCTTAAACAAATCAATAGAAATAATCTAATAATCTGATTTTAAAATGGGCAAAGGATCTAAATAGACATTTCTTAAAAGAAGACATACAAATAGCAAAGAGTAATATGAAAAAGTGTTCAACATCACTGATCATCAGAAAAATGCAAATCAAATCTACAATGAGCTATCATCTCACCACAGTTAAAATGGCTTTTATCCAAAAGGCAGGCAATAACAAAATGCTGGTGAGGATGTGGAGAAAAGGAAACATTTGTACACCATTGGTATAAATGTAAATTAGTACAACCACTGTGGAGAACAGTTTGGAGGTTCCTCAAAAAACTGAAAATAAAGCTACCCATATGATCCAGCTATCTCACTACTAGAAATATACCCGAAAGAAAGGAAATTAGTATATTGAAGCAATATCGGCACTTCCACATTTATTGCAGCAGTATTCACAATAGCCAAGATTTGGAAGTAACGTTAAGTGTCCATCAGCAGATGAATGGATAAAGAAACTGTGGTACATATACACAATAAAATACTATTCAGCCATAAAAAAAGAGCGAGATCCTGTCATTAGCAACAATATAGATGGAAGTGTAGGTGCTTATGTTAACTGAAATAAGCCTGACACAAAAAAACAAAGTTCACATATTCTCATTTATTTTGTAGGAGCTAAACATTAAAACAATTGAATTCATAGACATAGGGAGTAGAATCATGGTTACCAGAAGCTGGGAAGGGTTATGGGGGTTCAGGGAGATTAGTCAATGGGAACAAAAATATAGATAGATACAATAAATAAGATCCAGTGTTTTATAGCACAACAGCATGACTATAGTCAACAAGAATTTACACAAATCTGTGCACTTTAAAATAACTAAGAGTATAATTGGATTGTTTGTAACACAAATAAAGGATAAATGTTCAAGGTGATAGATACTCCATTTATCCTGATGTGATTATTACGCATTGTATGTCTGTATCAAAAAACCTCACATACCTCATAAATATATACATCTATTATGTACCCACAAAAATTAAAACAATAGCAACAATAAAAAACAAAGATGAAATAAAGATGGTTTTGGATGAATGAAAACTAATAGAATTCATCAACAGCAAATCTACTATGAAATAAAATGCATAATTTTTTCAGGTGGAAGGGAAAAGGTACTAGAGGGAAACCTGAAAGAAGAGCAACACAAATGGTAACATCCACATGAATATTATAGACTGTTTTATGCCCAAGTTTTAAAAAGATGTATAATTGTTAAAAGCAAAAATTATAACATTTTGGATGGTTGTTTAATATACAGAGTTAATAAGTATTACAATTAAAACATGAAGGGGAATATTAATTCTAAGTAAACTGTGAAAAGTTAAGTATATATATAGAGAGAGAGAGAGGGAAAGAGAGAGAGAGTAATCTCTAGAGTAGCCACTGGGAAGATATTCAAAAATGTAATAGATAAAATGGAATTCTTAAAACATTCGAATAATCCAAAAAGGCACAAACAGTGGAATTAAAACAGAAGCTACTTACCATAGGATAGTATATCATTCTTAGCTATCTATTTTAGAGTAATGAAAATCTATAGTCACAATAAACATGTACATGAATGTTTCTAAAAATTTTGTTTGTAGTAATTACTCAAAACTGGAAACAACTCAAATGTCCTTTGGTAGGTAAATGGGTTAAATCTGTAATTTATCCATGTAATGGATTACTACTCTGCAATAAAAAGGAAAAATTTATCGATGCAATAGCACTGTTGATTCCCAAAGGTATTATACTGAGTGAAAGAAGCATTTTCAAAAGGTTACATACTGTATGATTCCATTTATATGCCAATCTAGAAAAGGCAAAACTATATAGAAGATCAGTTTAGTTGGTGTTATGAGGAAGGGGAAGTTTTAACTACAAAGGGGCAACAAAAAAAATTGTTTGGTGTGATTTGGCTGTTTATATTCTGATTATAGTGATTGTTACACAAATCTACCTTTATGTTAAAACTGTACACCAAAAAAAAAAAAGTTTTGTTGAGAAAAAAACTTAATTGCCCAAGATTATGTGAGTTTTATGTCAGAAGAAAAGGTAAATAGTCTTCTGACTGGGCCCTCAAGCATTTCTTGAAAGAAATGAATTGCTAAAGGAAAAATCATTTTACTGGTAGATGTTACAATGGTAATTTGGTAATACATTAACACATTATTTTTTATTTTTTATTTTTTTATTTTTTTTGGAACAGAGTCTTGCTCTGTCGCCAGGCTGGAGTACAGTGGTACCATCTCGGCAAACTGCAACCTCTGCCTCCCGGGTTCAAGCAAATCTCCTGCCTCAGCTTCCTGAGTAGCTGGGACTACAGGCGTGCACCACCATGCCCAGCTAATTTTCGTATTTTTAGTAGAGACAGAGTTTCACCATGTTGGCCAGAATGGTCTTGATCTCTTGACCTCATGATCCACCCACTCAGCCTCCCAAAATGTTGGGATTACAGGCATAAGCCACCGCACCCGGACAACACATTAATTTTTAAATTGAAATCACAAATTTTAATGTATTTAAATAACAATTTATATCCTCCAAAAACACTCCGAGGTTCAATATTTTCTGCCATATGACTTTACAGTTTCTCCTAGTAAAAGTTCCAAGAGTATTTCTCCATCACTCAATTTGGGTTCAGCTATATAACTTGTTTTAGCAAAAGAATAAAGTAGAAGTGATCATGTGCCAGTTTCAAGCCTAGACCTTAAGAGGCCTTGTATGTTTCTATTTGCCCCCTTTTACCTCTGAGGTTGTCATGAGGAAAACATTGCTGGGGTTAGCCCACTTGCCCTGGGAGGGAGATGAGAGATGTGTAATGGAGAAAATCTCGCTAAACTAAACCTAACTAACCCACAGATCAGTAAGATTAATTATCAGCATGTTAAAGCACTGTGTTTGGAGGTGGTTTGTTATGTAATCTTTTGCGTGTCAAAGGCTAATGGAAATCTTCATAAAGCAAAAACTGACCTTTTTAAATCCCTAATAGGACTTCAGTCTTATGGTAACAGCTATGAGAATCAAGATATCTAGGAAAGTGTTCCAACAAAAGGAACAAAACAAATCCAGTTCTAGTAAGTGGAATACACAGTTTATCCATTGGCTCAAAATAGATGTTAACAGATTTGAAAGAAAAAGTCAAAGCAAGGCAGGCATCGGTGTTAACTTGTTACTTGACCTACTGGAGGCCCTTAAGCACAGATAAGATTAGAACTCAGAGTTGAAAGCAAGACTGAATCTCTTGGTGAAGTTCTAATGTATACATAGAATAGATGAGGGTTAACTAAGAGGAATGCCTTTATGAAAATATAAGGAGGCCTCAAATACATAACCCATTGTGTTTCTTTTGAGCTGGCATCAAAAGAGCTTAATGATAGTTTTTTGTGTGTGTGTGCAATTACAATAAGCCTCTCAACTGCTTTGTCTCAGTGTTTTCTGACCTTTCTTGTCTTCGTTTTAATAGTATTTACATTATTCCTTTGGACTATCTCTAATTCATTTTGAGTGTGACAGATAGTATAAATATCAATGTATGATACTTTAGCCTATGAACCAGTGCCTTTAGAATTGTATATCATCTCACCAACAATGTATGCAATATTTCAAGAATAATGGGGGATACCATGAAGGTTGCTACTTGCCTTTTATGCAAATGGCTAATAACACTGATTTTTATAAAATTCTATTCACTATGCTGAAATACTCAGGCAATCTTAAAAACTTTGGGGGAAAAATGCCTTTGCCAAATGATCCAGGGTCACAAATTTAAATCATTGCAGTTGTTCCGGGTAACTCTTATTCAATACTGTGATTAATTTCAGATGAGAGAGACTGAAAGTTTTCTGTCAGGCTTTATGAAACAACACTCCTTTTAACAGCTGAAAGATATCTAAAGTCAAAGGAATAAAAAGTAGTTTATTTTGGTTATGTCTTAAAACCCAATGTTTTAAATAAAAAGAGAAGCAATGAGCATAGCATTAAAATTTGTTTTACTTGGAAAGTCCTTAAATTTGGAAAACCAATTTTGGATCCCATGCTTATGAGCTATGTCATTTGCTATCAATGATGATACAAGTTCACAATGTGATCTTAAAATACTTTTATTTATGATACATATTAACCAAATTATATTATGCATAAACCCAACAATATAAGAAATATTAACACTGTTAATCTTTTTCAAAATCCTTTTCAAACTTTTCTAAACATTTTGTGGACATAAACAGTAACGTAAGAGTTCTAACTTCATTGCAATCTTAAAGAATTGCATTTGAAAATTCTGGGACTACTATTATCAGAAAATTAAACTAGAACAGATCAAAAGCCTGATATTTACATTCAAACAACAACAAAATATTGTATTTACCTACAAATTGAGAGAAACCACATTTAAGGATAGAACTCACTTAGATGCATATTAGGGTCATTGAAGTACTTTTAAAAATCACTGTACCTGGGCCTTATCCCCAGAGATTCTGATTTAATTGATCAAGGGTAAAACAGGATATCGCTATATTTTTTCAAAGCTCTCCCAAGTGATTTTAATGTCCAGCCTGGCTTGAAAATCATTGATCTTTTAAATCAACGTGGTATGACCGCGGTAAAAATACATAAAATCTTGGGCTTCATTTCTAGAATACAATGACGAGATCAAAGGAGGCTATCAGAACCACTATTATAGCCAGGTTGTTCGATCTGCTATCCAGGTGACACATTGTGAAAGGTGATGTTGACAAAGGAGAGAAACAGGTGTCACCGAGGACAGGATGATGATATGGTTTTCAAAACTTGAAATCTTTTCTTGAAGAGCAGATTTAGGAAAATTACAATCCATCTGCATTGCTAACACAGGGAAAAGACAATCAACATAGTCTGTGTTCCTCCAGGAGGCAGAGCCAGAACCAATGGATAGAAGTTAGGATGGCAACTTTATCAGCTCAATAAAAGTAAGAGCATTTTGATAAGAGCTTTTCAGCCACAGATGAACAATCTGTAAAATACTGAAGCACAGGCCAGGTGATCTGTCATGAGTATGGGAAAGAGGTTGAACTATAGATATTTTCTTCCCCATTGTACAAATAACCTGAAAGAACACCTTGAGGCTTCATGAAATTTCTCAAATCACGTCCTAGTGGTTTAGAGGCTAAAACAGAGTGACTGAGGGGACTCAGACTATTGGGTAGAACCAAGCATGAGCTGCTTGTTCTTTGTGTGACCTCGGGAAGTCTACCATGCCCTCCTTAGCACTAGCCAAGTCTCTGGGTATAGCATACCCTCAAAGAGAAGTTGGTTTTTCTTTTTGTCTTTCCAGATAGAAATTTTAGTTATAGATTTCACTTAGATTGCTATTTAATGATTGATCAGACATTTTCCACTTAAGATAGCTCCATTAATATACTACAGTAAACTCAATATAGAAGTGTTATGTAGTGGTAGCACTATAACCTTTAAGTGCTAAGCTAGATCAGATTCTCCCAACCTGTGCTGCACATTAGAAGCACTTGGAGAACTTTTAAAATAACTGATGGCCTGGCTTCACCCCAGAGAATGGAATTTAATAGGTCTAGGTAGGGTCACAACATTAAATGCTTTTAATAGTTCCCAGATGATTTTAATAGGAGGCTAAGGCTGACAACCACTAAAAATCTCTAAGGTCATTCTCTAAAACTTCAGAATTCAATGCTTTATTTTCATTTAATTGCAAATAAGTATATTGTTTGTTGAAAAACAGAACAAGTTAAAAAAAAAAAAAAACCTGTAGCCATGATCAGACTTTCGATTATAAATTTATACAGAACACAGCAAGCCATTCAAATTTTGGTTCGTCTTTCTGAACAGTTTTGTAAATTACCAAGACTCAGTTGTCGAAAGCTAGCTCATCATTTTGGGTGGCACGAGCCCAAGAGGAGAATAACTTAATTATGTTGAGTGATAGAATTAGCTTTCACAAAGATTGAAACAGGCTAAAATTATAATTTAAAACCAATAAAATTTAATTTAATAGCATTCTATACTTGGCTCAAGAAAAATGTGAAAGTAAACTGAATCATGGCTTAACAGTGTTGTTATGAGAAGGAAAACAAAATTTTTCCTGACTGCAAATTATCAGCAGTACAATACAGTTGCCCATCCCTCACCAAAAGTAATTTGATACTTAATTTTATTAGCAAAAAATACAAAATATGAATGAGTCTTCTCTTTGCTTCTATACCACTTATACCTAGTACTACCTAGCATATTAAGTTCAGATCTGGCCACCACCCTTCCACAGCTATGTTGATAAACCATTCCAAATGTAGAGGAGAGTGATACTGATACTAGGACTTTGTAAAATCAGCAAGCCAGTCAGCTGGGAGGAGCAGTGAGGGTGGTCAGACAAAGACTAGTGAAGAATCTGGTATTTTTAAATGTGGAAAAGGTAATAAGGTGAGGCATAGAGGGGTGGTAGGTGGGAGGCAACTGTTGTGATTACGGCTGTTAAATATTTTATAAACCCATATTAAAAGGTATTAGGTTTTTCATATAATTTCCAAGTGTACCCACATAAACTTTACAAAGAAGTTACAAAAGACAGTCTTCATTACAGTTATGAGAAAAGCTTTGCTGTTTCTGTGTTAGAATGCAGTAAATTGCCTGTCACCAGATTGTAATGCAGGGTTGATATCTAAATCATGTTTGTAATTTCAGGTACATGGGCTTGTAACAGATACTCATGAACATTCACTAAATGAAGTTTTCAAGTAAACCTGGGTGATCAACAACCAGGAAAGCCTGAAAGATGATTTGTTTAGGGTAGAGGTAGGACAGACTTTGGACTATATAGCTTTTAACACTACTTCCAGTCCTCAGATTCTATTGTTCGATGACACAAATTAAATCACAAAATCCTAAGATAACTCTAGATTTTTATTATTTGTAAATCAACATAAACCTAAATTCATCTTCTCCTAATAAAGTGTATATCTTTTTCTCACACATGTGATTGTTGTTTTAGTCAGGTTAAAATAAGCGGTCTTGCAAGCCTTGAAACTTCAGTGGCTTAACATAGAAAACTTCATTTCTCTCTCGTATAAATCTGTTGTGGTCCTAGCAGCTATTAAGGACAACTTACTTCCAAATAGTGATTCAGAGATCCAGGCATCTCAATACATATGCTTCAAGGTCTCTAAAACGGGCTCATAAATGTGTGGCTTTGCAAGTAATCCACATAACTTCCATTCATTGGCCACTGGCCAAAAGCAGTTCCATAATCCCACCTAACTATTGGTAGGTAGGAAATCTGGGAAGCCCACGTATATTCAGCTAGCTATACATGTAACTGTCAACAAAAGTAAACCCTCAATGAAGATTAAGATTCAGGGCTACAAGCATCTGAGAGAGGACACTAATTAATTATGTAATACAGACAAGTACATGTTCTGTAATTCTTGTTCTGTCTTCATTTTAGAACTTAAAAAAATAATGTAACATTGGATTAAAAATTTGCAAGAAAATCTATTGGAGGATGAAACTGTCTAGAATACAGTGTAGATGATATTCTGTCCAAAAATAATAGATTAGAAAATTTAATGTCAAAACAAATGTCCCAAATTAGATGAAACCCCTCTAATCAATGGCAAGTTAGATGGCAAGTTAGATGTGTTTATGTTCATTCTCCACATACCTACTTGAAATATAATTAATCATAACTCCTGAATCTCATTGCTCCCTCTTAATTCTTATTACTTTATGCACTTAAATTTGCTCTTTGGTACCTTTTAAATATCTCAGATTGGGCAATTCACTTACCAATTTTAAAAATAGCTCCTCTATATTGATTAAAAAATAGGACTTCACAAGAACCTCAAGAGAGGTTCTAAGTTCTATTTTTTCTGACATCATCACAGTTATAACTTTCCTAAATAATTCATATTTTGAACAGAGTCCTACAGGTCCATAATTCTGAAATTATAAAGTTTTCATTCCATTATTTATCACATTTTTAAGACCAGACTGAATAGATGTTAAAATGACATTTGGTCAAAACCAAGAAAGGCCACACCCAATGGGCAATCGAATCTGTAACTGGGGTAACAACACTAGTTCCAGAGTCAGTACATATCAAAGCTACACTTTCCTTGGCATTTGAAAATCCACTGTCTTCACATATTTCTATTTTAGAACTATTTTCTAGTTTAAACTTAGAGGATAAGATATAGAATTTGTAGTCACTATATAAAATAACACTTTTTAAAGCACCTTTTAGAAAACTGCTTTAAGATGTATAAAAGTAAATTCAATTTGAAACACTTATTGAATGTTTAATACAAATACACACAGTAAGCATACACTAAGCAAATTACTCATAAACTGAACCCTCCCTCTCTCAGTCCTTTGGCCCAGAATGCTGAGGATAACAGTGATAGCAGTTTCCTTTTATACTGTCTTAGTGCATCACTGTATCCAACTTGAGGCCACCTACATATTCCTTTATTCAGGGACAAACTGTACAATATTTCACACATCTTTACTTCACACAACTACAGTACACATAGGTTTATTTTTTGGCTACCTCTTAAATTCAAAACACCTATTCCCCCTCAGGGATCATTTTGATTCAAATACAATAAAATTTCAGATATAAAACCAACTTCCAGTTAACACACAAATACCTACTATATGCCAGACTATATGCTAAAACTGAAAAGGTGGAATAAGACCCAGTCCTTGCCCTCAAGGAGCCCACGGCCTTATTGAGGAGAATGAAAGGTAAGTAACAATCCAGTATGCAAAGTGCTCTGAGAAGGAAAGCCTATTAGAGATACATTATAGGCAATTAATCCTGTTTCAGTTATCCATTTTTGTGTAACAAACCATGTGGAAACTTAGTGACTCAATAAATTATCATCTTTTATAGTTCTGTATGGGTTTGCTTAGCTCAGCTGGGTGTTTCTTGGCTGAGGGGTCTCACATGTGGTTGCAGGCAGATGTTGACAGGAGCTATATTCATCTGAACTGGGATTTGTCTGGGACTGATGTCCAAATAATTCACTCATGTGGTAGAAGTTGATGCAGGAGCTTGGTTTCAGCTGTTGGCCACAGTGCTTGCACATGGCCTTGCCATGTGGCATGGGCACAGCATGGTACCTGGATTCTACAGAGAATGCCCTAACAGTAAATGTTCCAAGAGCTCAAAACCACAAAGCTTCTCATAACTCAATGTGGAAATTAGGCAGTCACTTCTACTGCATTCTATTGGTTACAAAGGACCCACCTGGGTTCACAATGGTATGAGTACTGGGAGGCATGGTTCATTGAGGACCATCTTTGTCGACTTGCTATCACAGGCACAAAATCGTTTCAAAAACACATATTTTTAAAATTCCCTCTCCTCTTGGCTCATAGGTCAATGGGAAAGCTGTCTGAGACAATATGAAAATCAATGATGCCACTCTAGCATTAGCTGAAGATCCCCTTGATTTCATCCAGCAGCCAAGACACTAAGTGACCCAAAGGAAGAAAAGGGTGATCAGCGTGGCTGTGTGGTCAGTAAGTAAATGTGCAACAGCTGGAGTAAATTAGAACTAATTTAGTGCATAACTTCAGCAGGAATAAATTTTGTTAATCTTCAAAAAGTCAAAACAAGGATTGTAACTTTCACAGTATCTGAATCACCCAAATTTTACTACAAGACTCTTGTCCTCATTGTTGCACTTACCAGTTCCGTACTGATAATAAAGAAAAATTACTATTGACCTTTTCCTAACAAAGAACAATTTTTAAAATTTTGTTTTTACAATAGGACCCTATGGAGCTGTTGTTTTAATATTATGTAAATTAAGTAATTTTATCTACTCTAAACAAATTGCTTTATCAGTTGTAGTCGAATCTGACTACTCTTATGCTTATTTTATTATTAATCCAAGTAAATATTCTCTATTGAACATAGATTAGCAGTTTACAAATTAGATAAAAACAGAAAACAAATCACTTCAACAGTATTAACTAGAAATATGCTAGCTACTCCTTATTTCAGAATAAGGTGTCACAATTCTTCCTTTTAAAATGTTGTATTGTATCATACTTAAAAATATATAAATAATTCCTGAATAAAAGCATCCAATATTTATCATTTTATTAGTATTAGCCTTTGGGAAAAAATTTGATAGCATGATTTTATAAAGCTCTTGCATTTGCTTTAAATTTAGCTAACTATTTTGACCACAAGGTGGAGCTGTGATGTCACAATTTGGCAAGATTTGTAAGATACAAAAACTATGTAAATACAGACGAAAATAATTTAATAAAATAGGATAATCTCATCTTGCAAATATGCACTATTTAAAATTAATCAATTCTCCAAACATTAATTATCAGAAGAAAACTATCATTTAATTTGTCCAGTTCTCACTTAGCAGTTATTGAGCTTTATCATATATAAATTGTCTTCAGTAGATGCAGAATTATTCTGTCATTTCACATCACGATCCCAGATTTAGTGACTTTAAACCAGTGTTAAAATGTCTTTCAAAATTATTTTGTAATTAATCACAGAATAATTCATTAACCATTACAAAATGTAATGGTTACATTACATCCTTATTTTGTTATCCAATATTGACTAGAGGATCATCCATTATATCTTCTAAAATAATTCTTTCAGTTGATTATTTGTGTTTTGTATTGTTAAACAGGCAGAAACTTCTAATTTTCAAAAGAGAGTATTCAGATTTTGAGTCAACCAAATTTCAGTGAAGATAGACTAGCATGCTAAACTCATCGTCTCTTGAATTATTAAATAAACAAACATTACCACCACTTCAATAATATCTGTCAGGAATGAAACCACTTTTCCAAATGAATGTTTCCTGATCTATTTTAATATATTAAGAATAAAACAAAAATATATCCATACATCTGTGGATGGACATTTAGGCTGTCTCCAAATCTTACCTATTGTGAACAGTGCTGCAACAAACACAGGAGTGCAGATATTGCTTCGGCACACTGATTTCTTTTTCTTCTGGGTATATATCAAGCACTGGAATTGCTGTATCATATGGCAGCTCCATTTTTAGTTTTTTTGAGGAACCTCCAAACTGTACTCCATAGTGGTTGTAATTAATTACATTCTCAACAGCAGTGGTCCCAATGTGGAGGGGTCCCTTTTCTCCACATCCTCTCAAGCATTTGTTATTGCCTGTCTTTTGAATATAAGACATTCTAATTAGGGTGAGATAATATCTCACTGTAGTTTTGATTGGCATTTCTCTGATGAACAGTGATGTTGCGTACATTTTTAAATGCTATTAGAAAGATTTAAGACTTATAAAGTTCACAAATCCCTAGCCTGTTTACTTACATTCCCAGTCTAATTTATTTTATCAAAATAATGTAATTATGCAATACTTCACATTTTTAAAGCATTTCTACATGTACAATTTTCTCTTCTCATTATTTCTTAGTGTACTTCTATTTTAATCCAAAACTCATTGCATTAAAAAGTTTTATACATTTCCCTATTTTTCTTCCCAATGGCTTTTTGTTAATAATTATTCTTAAATAATGCTGTGGCTTGCTATTCTAAAAGACCACAAAACAAACAGTTCTGTTTGATACACTGCTTTCATGAAGTCTTGAAGACTTCAATATTCCGCAACAGTTAACCTCTAGTCTAGTCAGAGGGAGTTATTTACACAGACTCAATTATGACTAAAAATTCTACTGGGCTCTTCTGAAACTTTAAGACATCTGTTGAATAACCATTCCAAATTCCAAATGAATGACAAGTTACCAGCATGTCATGTAAAATGGGCTTTAGGGCATAAAAAGCAAATAAATCAAGACATACGTATGTCAGACAGGAAAACAGAAGTGAGTACATAAAGAGATTCTGTGACGAGGATGGACCACTCAACTCATATGTTCATTGTTTTCCACATTTCTATTCCATAGAAGGATATTTGACCTCTTAGTTAAGTTACCAATACAGATAAATTACTAGTGTTTTCAAAGATGAAGCAGAATGAAGATTAATGCACTGGATGACTACTGAAGTATCTATATTAAGGAAAATATTCATATTGATTCCTATGCGCATTAAGAATTAGAAAAAATTCTACCACGGTGAGCATTTAAAGCACCTTGGTAATGTATGTATACACATACACACACATGCGCACACACACACGGTTACTATTGACATCCATATGCTTCCATTTATTCAAATTAGTTACGTGAATGTCTCCTTTTCCTTCTAGTCTTTTTTTCTTTAAACAATCAATATACAAATATATTTCTATAATATTTCAAAAACACAAGTGTAAAACGTAAAAGGCATAAATCCTATTTACTCCTCCGTGATCTCATACCACTCTCCAGAGTTGTTCCTCTCTAGGAAATTTTCTGTAGGTTTATGCACACATATATAGTATTTTGTTTTTAACATAAATGGTATCATACTCTAAATAGTGTGACTTTATCAGGTTCATCTGTCAGAGATATCTGATTGTTGCAGATACACAATAAGCCCTTGGACTACATGTGCTTAAACTACGCGGGCTCATGTGTATGCCGGTTTTTTCTGTCTCTGCCACCCCTGAGACACCCTTCCTCTTCCCCTTCCTTCTCAGCCTACTCAGCGCGAAGACAACAAGGATGAAAACCTTTATGATGATCCACTTCCACTTAATGAATAGTAAATATATTTTATCTTTCTTTATAATTTTTTAAATAACGTTTTCTCTAGCTTATTGTAACAATACAGTGTATAATGCATATAACATATAAAATAAATGTTCATCAGCTGTTTATGTTATCAGTGAGGCTTCCAGTCAACAGTAGGTTATTAGTTGATAAGTGTTGAGGGAGTCAAAAGGTACATGTGGATTTTCGACTGCATGGGGATCAGTGCCTCTAACGCCCATATTATTCAGGGGATAATTGTTTATATATATGGGTGTGTGTGTGTATTTTTTTTAAAAAGCCTTTATTATATTGCATAAAATGAATGAATCAAACAATAGATGTACTTTCTGTATCTTCTGCTCTGTGTGTTTCAAGCTGTATTTTTCTCCATCCTTCCAATTCTACTCGTTTTCCGTTTTTCAAATTTTTTAATCTACTTATGGGAATTTTTCTAATTTTCTCTCAGTAATTATGAATCATCTTTTTAAAGCTACATTTTATATTATTTCATGGAATGTAGGATAAGAGGAAAGACAAAAAAACTGTGCTCAATAGACTACCTGGATCCCATTTCTGAAAACATGGCATGAGACTGAAATAGTTATGCTAAGTAACCACCCATGGATACCAAAATGGAAAATAACTAGTACCTGGGAGATGTCTTTGAACTGTACCACAAGAGATATTAAGCTGGCTTGCACTGGTAGGAACGAACCGATCTGCTTTTATAACCAGAGTCTGTTCCGATGAGTTGGCATCTACATCATACCAGGTGTTACATATTTTGAAAACCATTCCTGATGTACAGTAACATAATTCACAAATCATTACTAAAATGTCTCCTTATCCTAGTTGATGGATAGTAGAAATTTTCTTTGGGTATTAAGTGTCGCCAAAGAAGAGAACAGGAGTAGAACCAACTTCCTTATCTTTTTAAGTCCATCTCACAGTGACTATAATGTCTTCTTCATCAACATATCCTTGGTGCCTGGAACAGTGCCTGACCCATAATAGAGACCCAGAAAATATTAATAAACAAATAAACCTATATTGAATAACATTTGGCTTCTATTTTCTCACTTGGAAAACGAGTTAGATCAAATCCCTAGTCATCCTAAAATTGAAGATTTTATAATTTCATTTATAATTCAATAGTTTCGTATATCATTAAATCTACTAAGCAAAATGAAAAATCAAAGGCTTCATTCTTTCAGACAATTCCATCATGTATTCACGTTGGAAGATAAACACCAATAATAGAACAACAAAACTTTCTAAAATTATTTTATTTTTTATAATTTTCTAACACATGGTGTTAGAAAATGAATTTTGGCACCGTGATTAAGAATTTCTTTTCAAGTTTAACCTTTACATTAAAAACAGTAGCTACAATAAGGATATTTCAACCTTACTTAGAGAAGTGATAAAACATCAAGTCAACAAGTATTTTTGTTGGAGAATTTTTTTATAAGCGGGATAGAGGGAAGTTAACATAGACACTCAGAAGAATAAAATGGAAATTATGCCAGGAAGATAAAAAAGCAAATAACCCTCCCCCCAAAAAAAGAATAAGGAGCGAGACAAAGGGCAAAACGGAAGAAGCAAGGCTCAACAACTTTGTTTTCCTGATATAAAATTCAAGTACTTAAAAAGTTTTTTAAAAAATAATTAAATGCACTACTCATCTCAATGAAATTTTTCGTTTTCCTATTTTCTAGAACTTTCTAAAAAAGGAAACAAAGCAAAAACAACAACAAAAAAAACCTGTTTGACTTAAGGACACTTGCTGATCTTGACACTTGATAATACTTTAAGAAATGGAAAGGTTTTCCTAAATCTAATACCTGCTTAATATAATCCACTTTGGAAGATTCATCTGAAAGAAACATAGGGTTTGATTTTTAATACTAATATAAAATAATCTGCCTTCCAATCAAAACAAAAATGTTTTCAACTGTATACGCTCCTCGGTTGTGTTTTGTACCATTTTCTTGAGGAAAACGTTGTGTAATTCTTTGTGTGTTCCCTTAGTAACTACTGTAAATAAGACCTGCATAGGTGTTCAGAAAAATACTTAGTTGCATACAAATCCAGTTAGAATCTGATTTTCAAGGTTTTACAACATGGTAATTTTCATTTATATCCATTTTGTCTACATTTCCTCTATATTTTGATAAATAAAAATCTTCCCATGCTTTTTTTAAATAAGAAAATATTATTAGTCTTGTTATTTGTACCTAAATATTTTATCAATTTGAAACACAAATTCATAAATTGTCATTATTCTCAGAGGCAACAAAGCATAGAAATAAATATTTAAGTTTTTTCTTTCTTTTCTTCTTCAATCTGTGTTTTAAGGCTCAGAGCAGACATTAAGAAATATCAAACAATTTTTTATAAAAAGTTTTTCAAATGTTTGGCCCAAAGTGAAGTTGTTCTGTTGATGTTATTTAAATATTCCTCTCATCTTCTCAGCCACAACTTCAAAGACGTGTTCATGCCAGTCATTCATCCAAAATAAATTTCAATTCAATGAAAAGTAAATAACTTAGGGATCTATAAATGACACTGCAATGTATCTTGTTCCATTTTTAACAGGAAGTCCTTCATGCAAATGTGTGAGTCTCCCAGGATGCATGAAGCTCCAGCCTTTTCGTGGTGACTCAATAGAGCAATTGTACCTTAGAAATTTGCAACCACCTCCCTAAAAAAGTTAAAATGAAGAAATACATCAGATTATATTTAACCAGTGGCAAAATTCAAATTATGTCATTTGAGCAAAATTTAAAAAAGAAACTAAGGCCTAAGGCAAAGTCCTTTTCATAATGATATATTTCTTTTGAAAAATCTAAAAACACAAGAGTCATAATTACCTGAAAGTCTTCTCCCACGTTATTAAGTGCAATGTTTATGGTAAATGTAGAAGCATCATGATGAGGACGAAGAGAACGCTGTCGTTCAGGGGAGTATTTTACTACAAAATTCAGTAGTGCAAATCCCTGAAAAAGCAAAGTAAGCCAGTGGATTTGCTTATTAATAAAAACATTAAAAAGAACACCTGTGTAAAAATGGGTAAGAAATAGGCTGGAGGGGTGAGAGGATAACTACCTTCGTATAATAGCCTGCAAAGACCTTCAGTGTAACTGGTGCAATGAACTCCCGGATAAAATGAAGCCATACATTCTCCAGATCAACTTGCTTCATGTGGATATCATCAGTTGGGACATTTTCATAACCACCAGATATACGGCTATCCTAGAAACAACATTAATGACATAATAAGCTGTACTCCACGTGCAATTCCCATTTATATTATAGTATTTTTTTTCAACCACAGATCATAATAGACAATAAAAATAACAGTTGTTCCAATGTGGTATATCATCTGCTTTAACTGTAAAATTATCAAAATAACTTAGGTAACAGCTTTGTCAATGATACAATGACGAAACAAAGTAATGTAAGGTCAGTAGACTCCTTTCCTACTTCTTAAATGTATATGTGAAGTTTAGCTATAAAGTAAATAAAATTGACTTCCTAAGCCCTCACATCCTTTCTTAAAAATGAGTCTTTTTTTACAGTGACCCTTTAGGCAGTCTCAGCTGCTTGATGAGCATACACTTAGCATATCTGCTGTCTGTATTACCAAACACTAAAAACAAGCTTTCCCCGCCCTTCCTCACTTCTATTTGTAACACTCAAAAGTTTTTGAATGATTGCTTTTCATTATTTCATCACCCACTAACTTAAGTTCTTCCTTATACTTTAAGCTTCCCTCTCCCTTATCAGCTCATTACCTGGGGGACATAACCGTGCAGAGGCAGTAATATTCCAGAGTATTCTGCTAAAATGGCATGTCTGTTCTCAGAGGGAAAGAAACACATCTAACCACTGGCAGTAGTATTTCCTGCCAAGTCTTTGACACTGAATGCAAATGCAAAACTGAATTACACCTAAGGCACTCAGATCCCTCCTTCCTATCTTTACACACAAAAACAGTTTTCAGAGCCAGATAACATTTGCCTTAGAATTTTCACCACAGCTCACTGTGAAAACGCAAGGAATAAAAAGTGGCCTTGGAAAAGAGTGACATCACTCTGTAAAGACATGTGTTACCTAACAAACTCTGGCCTGAGGACATCGACCCTTAGGGAACATCCAGTGTAATTACATGCATAAATGAGAAACCCGCCCAAACTAATGAAATTACTTAAGTGTTAAAAAAATTGGTTGGTGGGAGAAGTAGACTGAAATCAGAGCCTTGGCTAGCCAATTTATCTAAGTCTAGAACTCAGAGACATATGAGAAAAAGTATATAACCCCTCCGAATTCTCTGAGTATCTACTTAACCCCCACATACATTTTAGTTCTTAGTGTGAAATTACAACTTACATGATGTTTTCCCCCAGACCATTTGCCGTAATGTTCCATTTCTTCTACCAATTCATCACAGGCTTTTTCAGAAAATATGGGGAACCAAAAGACATCTGGACAGGGCTATAAAATATGCATCATCGTTAGAAGACATAATAACTTCTGTGTCTTAATAGTCTAAAATAGTTATTTTAATATGTGTAAAATAAAAAATCCTGTATGACTAGGAAACATAGTTTTCTGTCATGGTTTATTGACAGTATTTTTTTTCTCATGGTACATAAATAATGGTGCACCTCAGAATTGATGACATCTTACATTCTCAAAAATTAGGTATTAACAATAGTTTTGAACACTAAGCTAAAAGAGAATTCATGTTTCAAAGATGTCTCTGAGAAAAGACTCTTCCAGAAAGACAGCCCAGTTTCTTCCAAAGATAAGCTTTCACTGCAAGAGTTCTACATCAGAGATCTGTCAACAGTTTCTATTTTTAGTGGTTTCAGAAAGCTATGACACATAGGAGCATGCTTTTTAAAAAGGCATGCTTTTAAAATGTTAATTTCTATGTTCTACATTTTACAACTGTATGTTCCTTAATGCTATTTAATCAGTAATTGAATCAAATAAATTTTACCTAAAAGGTAGTTTCTCCACTTTCACATCTTCTGTGAAAGTAGTATTAATAATATTTCTTCTGGAAAATAACAGCAAAATTTTCTATACTTTGTAATCATTAATACAAACCTGTTCAACTATATTTTCAGTGAAAATCTTTGAATAATCACGGTTTATATACTTTTCCTTCCAGTCCTATAAAAAGAAGTACATATTAAAACAAATATCTTTATAAATACTTCACTGAAAAGTATAAAGCATATGCATTTTAGAAATTATTCAACTTATAAATGATTATGTATAGTGGACAAAATAGTAATTTTCAGAAATCACAGTATATAGCCTAATCTTTGCCTGGTTCTGAATATGCTTATGTCATTCTATGAAATACAAAATTTTTATTTATGAAATATTGTACCTCAGGATTTTAAAACTTAAGTAATCTTACAGTGAATAGATTTACACATTTTACAGATGCTCCTTGACTCACGATGGGGTTATGTCCCAATAAACCCGTGGGAGGTTAAAAACACACAGTACCCCGATAAATCCAACATAAAGCTGAAAATTCCTAAGTAAAGCCACCGTAAGTTGGGGACCATCAGTATTTTAATATATACACAGAGTAGGTAAATAAAGGTGTGCTTAAAGGTAAAAGACAAGGAGCAAAATTCTACCAACAAGTATTTGTAAAAATGAATTAGTGAACTAATTAACTAGGGTCTGTCTTATATGTCTATAGTAAATTACTCTAAATTTGATTTTTTAAATGAGTTTTTAAAATTTCTGCCTTCACTTCAGTTATTAATATTTATCAAGGAATAATCATGAGTTTACTAGCACTTGCACTTCTTTCAGTTACTAAAATTAAGGGTTAGGGCTCTATATTAAAAAATGGTTTCTCTTTATTCTAATCCATGAATTTGATTCTTTTTGACCAATCTCTGGCATAAAATCCACACACAAAGATATCTCAACTTTTTTCAACAAAAGCTAAAGAATTATTTTATTGGGACAAGTTCTTTATTCAAATATGGATATTTACTAAAATATTATTAATACATGGAGTAATATAAATATCCAAAAAGATATCTTCTGAAATTTAGAATATTTCTAGAAATTATTAATTTTCTCTTTACAAAGTGCAAATACAGAGAGCCAGCAGGGAGGAAGTGAGACACAGACTCAAAATAATTCCAATCAAAAGATGTTTTAAAAGATATTTGCCTTAAATACATCTTTTGAGGCTAGATTTTAGGGGCTGAATATTTATACCATAATTTATGTCACTGGTTTTGCATATCTGTTTATATGTAACTCAAACATTTTTTATGTGGAGGAAACAAAGGTATCTTCAAAATTTTAATAAATTTCATGTTTATATAGTATATATGGATCAGATTTCTATATTATCTCATTATTCCCTCTAATATTAATTAGCTTTCTGATTCTAAAATGTGGCAAGAAATTGAATAATCATCCATAAGATTTAAGAACTTTTACCTATAGCATTTTTCCTGTGCATCAATACTGATTTTTCTTCAAGTTAAAGTAAAAAAAAAAATCCCCTAAGATTTTATTTTAGGGCATTAGTATTCACATTTCATTTTAGATCACCTTTCAAATCATTGAGCAAACTGTGACTTTATTAATTTCTTAGAAATTCTGATAATGGGATAATCAATAAGCATTTTGCTATGGGGTATCCCTCACTAGGCATATTAATCAGGCTGCTTTAACAAAGAAAGCCATGGAAAGAAAACTTGTTCCTACTCAGTTCTGATATTTTCATTGCTTACTTTCCAAAGACTTGAATTCTTACACAAATATCTACAATTCAGGATATAATTCAGGATATCTGACCAGGAACCTAATGTCACCCAAGAAATCAAATAATTCTATCCCTCAAGACACCAAGAGATTCAATGGTGAAGTGAAATATGGAATTCTACCCTCACGACTAGAAAACACCTCTTTTCAGCTTTATTTCTGTGAAAGAGGAAGGTATGTGGTTAAAATGGAACAAAAGTACTTTTAAAATAACAAAATGTCAAAAGATAATATTTTCCTATTCAGAATATTCAGAGACTACTACATTTACTATCCCCATATCTCAACTATTCCTACAAAATAAAGGACAATTCTCATCAGGTGGATTGAGTCTGCAATTTAAAACTTTTACTATTGGCAAGGGGAAAATCATTACAGCAGTGTTACAGGTTTGATTGTTGAAGACAGCATTTTCCCTTGAATAAGTGTGCCACTTGCCTAACAAAAAGATGTCCCTGTAAAACACAAAAGGAGCTAATTACTGTACCACTCAAATCTGTAAAAAAAAAAAAAAAAAAAAGAAGAAGAAAACAGATTTTAAAAGGAAATTGTTTCTTCAAGTTAAGACTCCATATGCTGAATCAATCAGCTTTCTCTGCAATTCTCTCTGGCTATCTTTGATGTACATTCACAAAATTGTCAAAAAATAATTTTAAAAAATGTATTTTCCTAAACAAAACTTTTTGAATTTTCTTCTAAAAAATCAAACTATTATAATATGTGAACTATTTGTAAACATGTTTCTAAAATTGTGATTAAAACTGGATGGTGCTTTTGAATACACAAAACAAAAATAATAGAATATTGAAAGAGAACAAATTGATAATTCCCTTCCCCAAAGCTAATAAGTGTCTTAATAAAAACAAGTTATTGGTCAAGTTTAGATCTACTCTATAGATCATGAAATACAATTAATTATGTCGTTTTAATTTTTTTCTTTTTATTTACTTTTTAAAAACAATTTCAGCTTTTGGATTCAGGGAGTATATGTGCAGGTTTGTTACAAGTGTATAATGCATGATGCTAAGGTTTAGGGTATGACTGATCCCATCACCAAGGTAGTGAGCACAGTACCCATTAGTTGGTTTTTCAACCCTTGTCCCCCTCCCTACTCCCTCACTCCTCTAGTGATCCCCAGGGTCTACTGTTCCTATATTTATGTTCACAAGTACCCAATGTTTAGCTCCCACTCATAAGTGAGAACATGCAGTATTTGGTTTTCTGTGCCATTAATTCACTTAGGGTAATGGCCTCCAGTTCTCTCCATGTTGCTGAAAATGACATAATATTGTTCTTTTTTATGGCTGTATAGTATTCTATGGTGTGTATGTAACACATTTTCTTTATCCAATCCACCATTAATGAACACCTAGTTTAAGTCCATGTCTTTGCTACTGTGAATAGTGCTGCAACGAACAGATACAGGTTCATGTGTGTTTTTGGTCAAATGACTTACTTTCTTTTGGCTATATACCCAGTAATGGAATTGCTGGGTCAAATGGTAGCTCTGTTTTAAGATCTTTGAGAAATCTTCAAACTGCTTTCCAAATTCATTCCGACCAACAACGTACAAGCATTCCCTTTTCTCCGTAGCCTCACCCATATCTGTTGTTTTTGACTTTTTAATAATAGCCATTCTGACTGGTGTGAGACAGTATCTCATTGTGGTTTTGATGTGCATTTCACCTTATGTCATTTTAAAAAGCCTCTAACCACATTTCATATTATTAACCAACTGATTTATAACCACTTACAGTTATAGAAAAATAATAAAGTTGAGTATGAAATACATACCACAGGATTTTCAAAAATCTGCCAGAGGTCATTGTTATAATGGGAAGTATTGTAATTAGCAGTGGATAATAGCCTTCCAAATTCATGTCTATTAGAAATGTACATAAATACACCCTATATGCCAGAAAATAACAGTATTAATCTTAGAGGTAGGTACAAAAGTAAATTTAATCATAGGAAAAATATATAGAAGATATTAATTTCTATCTTTATATTTCATTTATGAACATGCATTTTTAGTATTCATATAAAATGTGCATAGTTTAAAATAAAAAACTCAAATTTTGATTATGAATTCAGACACCACACAAAACTAGTAGATAGCACTGACACTCAACTGAAAAAAAGAAGAATGGACTGTTTTTGTCCCTTTCTCATTGATCCTAGATGTAGACATCGGGGAAAAAATTCCTGTTTGAAAGCAGAAATATTTTTGAGACACAGTGCAATGAATTATACCTCTTTTGGCTTCTTTCTCTTTCAAAGAAAGCATCACATTTTTAATCAAGAATTCACTGCCAGTTATATTTCACCAGTCTGTTTCATTCCTTTCTTTTTCTAATGTTTAAAGGCTAACACGCAAATGAGTCATACATTATAAAGGCAGATAAAGAAAACCAGTCTCATATTCTTGCCCCAAACCAGACAAATGTGGCAAACACCACTAGGTAATGTGTTTCTTTTTGGACCTGTTTTAATAGTAAAAGAGTTAGTGATTAATAACTCAATAAGGTGCACCTAAACCTTACTGTAATCAAATTCTATTTTATACCTACTTCTACCCTCTTCTCTCCCTTTAAAAAGAAATAAAAACCTAAAAAAAGAATGAAAGGGACTTAGGTTTAACTTTGTCACCTGTCAGCCATAAAATATAAATCAGCTCAAAGAACCAAGAGTTGACTATCACACAAGACCCATGCCCAAGTCACACAAAACACGCAAACACACAGATGACTGATGAAAATCAACATTTTACCAAGCTAAATGCAAATAAGGCCCTTAAAGAAACTTTACTACTAGGCAATATACTATATCAAATATTAAATAAACAAAAATAAATAAAATAAGTAAAAATAACACCTTTGGGGGGCTGAGCATTTGGAATGTTTCCGGAGTAGGGGAGTCTTTTTCCCTTTGTAAAGTCTAAAATGAAGAGAAGCATTGGGTAAGTTGACCTGTACACCCGCTCTCTCAGGTATTCTTTGGTAAATAAAAATAATAGCAGCTGTTGATCAAAAGCTAACATTCTGAAATGTCCTTCATAGACAACATGCAGAACAAGCAAAGCTTATAGCACACACAAAGAAACATCTCCAGCTCTTTCAGCCCTTCTTTTCTTTTCTTTTTGGGAGGTGTGGTGGGGTCAAACATAAGTCTAAGCTCATTCCTTAGCAGAACTTTCATTAGACACATAAGACAACGGAAAAAATGAGTAAGAGAGGCCATTCCATGATGCGCTGTTGAGTCAAATTAGCCAAACATGAGCACAAAATACTATCACAAGTACTGAGGATATTCAATAATAATGCACACAGGTTTGTAGAGAAAACAAACATATTCAAACAATACATGCTTTGTTAAACTAAGAAAAAAATACTTGCCAACTTTTCTGACTTTTCATCAAATCACAATTGCTTATATAAATTTGGAAATCGGAAATAAAATAGCCCCATCATTTCTAAAACCAAAAATCATATCAATATATTCTAAGCCATGTTTATGCATTTTGAAAAATTATTTTCTAGTCATTTTAAGTTTTATAATAAAAGTACATTTGTAGTGCAGCAAGGTATCATTAGTATTTTATTTAGAGTAAATACACTATGTATCTCAACACTTCTACTAGTTTGGTGGTAATAATCCTGCTTTCTAAGAATGTGAAGTTAATAATAATTTTAAAATTTTACCTAGTTAGAGAAAATGTGGACATTAATTTTAGAACAAAAATATTCTTAAATCTGGAAATATTGTTTCATCGAAGCTTATCTAATTAATTTTAATTAGGTCAAGTTTTCACTATAGAATTTCAAATTAAAGATGTATTCTTAAAAGAGCAAAGCTGATTTGTAACAAATACATCTTTATTACTGAAATCCAACTCGGTTGCCTATGAATTAGCCCGAGCACAAAAACTAACATTTTTCATACCATTTCTATAAGTAAATGTTAAATTATCTCCAAAATTACTCCCAAATTTTTTAACACAGAACCAAAAAAATTGGCTAGTACTTACAAATTAGCAAGACAAAGGGCATCAAAACACAGTGACACACCAACTGGTAAAGCAAGCCATCTTATAAGAACATTCAAGCAAGCCATCACTGCATATCTTACCATTTCTCTAGCATTTCGGCAAAGAGCCATATCAGGATCCAGTTTATCACGAACAAAATAGTTCCTTTCATTCATCTCTGATCGGAGTGTCTTTCCTTTAATTAAGTACACATTAGCCATATATGGGACATTCCATACTCCTCTGAAAGTAAAGAGAAGACATTCTTATATACCACAAATACAAACAATTTTAAGTTTCATTTTTACCTTTTTAAAATAAATGCTTTGTGTTTAGATTTTGTATACATAAATTATTGAATCAACATACAAATATATTCAATGATATATATATAAGATTACATTGTATACACTATATTTAATGAGATTTAGGAGATAAACCACTGCCCCTTTGGATACATTTCAATTTTGGGTTGGTATCTGTTTGGCATTTGTATTATAGCTATCATATCTCAATCAGTTGTTACAATTAGACTATTATAATCTATTGTATAGACGGTGTTTCTATTTAAAATTAAAGAATTTGATAGCATGAATCATAACATACAACCAGTGGTGCACTAGACCCAGCTCATACTGGCTCCCCAAAGTTAACTTTTTCTGCCAAGTCCATGTTCAGTAATTTCACATTGGAAACTTGAAATCAGCCATGGTAGAAGTATTTACACCAAACAAATGGGCAAGCACTTTAAATCAGGGAATCCTCCACCTCCAAAAGCCAGTTGTTACACATTTACCAAAATACCACTGAATATAGCCTAAAATTCTCCAAAATTATATTCTCTTACCATTCATTAAGCCATCTTAAATATTTTATAGAAAAAGGAAAACATGAAGAAATACAGCTGGGAGCACATGAACGTTGCATCCTTTCCCACATCTATATTCTCACTCTGAACATGACTGATTTCATAAAAACTGCAAAACAAGTTTTGCCCCTAAGACTGTGCGCCTTTCTTTTAGAGAACATCAAGGCAAGATCTTGACCAAGAAATGCAGTTAGATATTAACGGAAATATGATATTATGTCTTACTAGACTAGCCTCAAAGAAAAATGCCTTAAGGAGTACAGCAGTCCCCGCCTTATGTGAGGGTGATACATTCCATGACCCCAGTGGATGCTTGAAAGCAGATAGTAACAAACGCTACACATACACTACGTTTTTTCCTACACATATATACTTATAATAAAGTTTAATTTATACATAAAGTACAGTAAGACTAACAACAATAATAGAACAACTATAACAATATGCTGTAATAAAAGTTACATGAATGTTTACACTTTCTCTATCTCAACATATCTTCGTATTTTCAATCCACAGTAGACTTGAAACCATGGAAAGCAAAACCATAGATAAAGGGGAATTACTGTATACAACGTGTCAGCTAAATTCAGAAATTAATCTCTGGGGAATTATTCAGTGTTTCAACTTATACACACACACATACACACACACACACAGTTGCTCCTTCGTGTAGCTTTTGGACATGAAGTGTATTCCAGATCAAAAGCTTCTGCCATATTTTTTTCCTTATACTTTAGACAAGAATGACAGGAGGTTGGACAGAAAATCACCAATGCCTAAAGCAACTTGAAACAAATTTTCCATTCTACTTTCACAAACCCTCATTTGTGATGTGCCCAAAGATACAATCAGGTATATTGTCTATACAACTCACCCAGAGTCAATACAACTGCACAGAAACAACAGAATACGATCTTAATAGTCTTTTCTCCTCCACTGTGCATTTTAATTGCAGCTAACAAAAACCTTTATTGTATTTACATCATTCAGATTGAAGCTTTCCACACCAATTACTATTTCCACAAGCAACACATCTTTTTACCACTCAACTGTTTGAACAGAAACGTGTGCCTTTTTTTTTCTAAATGTAAGGGCACATCCTTTTAGTCCTGAGAGTATACTGCCCCTTTTTAATCAGGCTGACATGTTTGAGAACTAAGGCAAAGCATGTAATGTCTTAGTCACTCTGGTCCATCATATGTATGAAAAAAAGAATGACATTCTTCTCCAATATTACCTTAGCAAAACTATTTCAATTGTGATTATTTTTAGTAATCAACCATTGTCTCTGAAATAAATATAAATCATGCACACACTTTTCAGCAAATATATTCTTTTCAATCTCTAGAAGTGAAAATCTAATATTGGTAAAAAAAACTTGTATTTAAAGCAGAATAATAGCTATTTCACACAAAAAAACTCATGCAATCAGGAATACTGGAATGTTCTGGCTGTTAGTGTTACTGTTGGCTTAATTATAAATTTTAAAACCTATCAAAACAACCCTTAATTATAACCATTAAAAAGTTAGTAAACTAAATCCCCTTTCCAAGCTTTTAAATAAAGAGTATTACTCTTCTATCAACCATAATGTGAGTATGGTAAACATATATTATCTCTTAGTATTCCCCACAGCAATGAGCTTGTTCCTTTGAAGATTTGGGACTTTAAAAACATTTTTTTAAGATATTAGTTTTATACTAGTATTTCAGGATTCCAAGTGGTCTTGGGTTCTCAAATTCCCATTAACTATAAAGAAAAGAGATGAATGCAAAAAAAATTTCAAGTAATACTAACAAGACTACATCTTTAGATTATGGTATTTCACATTAAAATATTAAACCAAGTAACTTACACTCTATTCCCTTGAACAATATCCACATAATCTTCAGATCGTGCATAGTATCCATCAGGACTCAATGCTCCCCAGAAATTGGACCACAGCTTTCCATGACGAGTTACAAGAGGAGCAATGATCTTTCTAAAGACAGAGAGAGTGTGTGTGAGAGAGAGAAACCTATATAATTATTTATTTTTAAATTACCACAGAATTATGTATTTTGGGCTTAGTATGACATATAACACAAGAAAGCTCATTCAACAAACCTGTAGTTAATAAAAATAAAATAAGGATCTTCTTTCCCAACATCTTTTCTTAAGTAAGTATATTGCTAATTTTCAATCATATTTCTTAAAAAGAGTAACAAAGAAGGAAAAAGTAATTGAAAATGCTAATGAATACATAAAAATGACTTTTAAAAATGCCTTGCTTACATCCAACAGAGGGAAACTACTTTAGTTATTTAATTATATTTAAGTTTAACTAAAGTATTTCGGAACCTATATTAAATGAAACCAAATATTTTCATTGTCACTGGGTGAACAACAGCCCCTGGTGCATTTAAGATATTCAATGAATATTTGTTGAATTTGTAAAAAATGAATGAAGATGAACTGAGATGTTTGTAAACAGGCAAAGCTTTCCTGTAATTAAGTCTCAAATTACTTAAGTATGTTTCCAGTTTTCCATGACTTTAAAAAATGACTTGTGATTACAGTAAGCTAGTCCTGGCAACACTGAACTTTCCTTTAACTATTTTAGAAAGCAAATTTATGGAACAACTATTCTTTATATGAAAAAAGAAAACCTATTTCACCTCTATCTTGTGAAGACCAGCCGGGCCCTTTCTATTACATGCACAAAAGTGAAATAAATAAACACACATCGGGCCCGGCGCAGTGGCTCATGCCTGTAATCCCAGCACTTTGGGAAGCCGAGGCGGGCGGATCACAAGGTCAGGAGTTTGAGACCAGCCTGACCAACATGGTGAAATCCCATCTCTACTAATAATACCAAAAAAAGTTAGCCAGGCATGGTGGCACGCACCTATAATCCCAGCTAATCAAGAGGCTGACACAGGAGAATCGCTTGAACCCGGGAGGCGGAGGTTGCAGTGAGCCAAGATCATGCCACTGCACTCCAGCCTGGGCGACAGAGCAAGACTCCATCTCAAAAAAATAAATAAATAAAAATAAATACACATCATGCAAAATAATAAATTTTGGTTTATTCTTCCGAATTCCTACTAAACTATTAATCAGAAACACATGTTTTGTTTTGTTTTGAATACCTACAATACTGGAAATAATAACATGAATTAGAATCTACATACATTAATTTGGGAAATAATTCAATATGAATATCAAACATTTAATTTAAAAAGAACTTGTAATTTATAATCCCAGCTGCCTCCTGAAAAGGTTTAAACCAACAAATTTGGGAAACCAAAATTCATCTGCTGTATACCTCAATGTTTTTGTGAATAAAAATGTAAGGATGGCAGCTGAGGAATGATTCATATTATTATACAATTTAAGGAGTAAAATTTAGAGCAAGGGAGCAAATAGAGATAGGGAGAGAAGAGGAAAAAAGAGAGCTGATGAGAAGGTAGAAAGCCACATGCCCAAGATGTGTCAAATCTCTTTCTCTACTCTTCAGTCCAATCTACTAAATCTTGCAACATTCCTGGCATATGTCAATAGACTATAGAAACCACATGTCTAGATACAGAAGCAAGAACCATAGGTATTACATAAACCTAAACCTTTGATTAACTAACAGAATTCCATGGAGACACAGCCTGAGTTTTACTCTTTAAGGGGCAAGGGCCCCAGATGGCAGGTAAGTCTTTTTCTTTTTTTTTTTTTTTTTTTTTTGAGACGGAGTCTCGCTGTGTCGCCCAGGCTAGAGTGCAGTGGCGCAATCTTGGCTCACTGCCAGCTCCACCTCCTGGGTTCACACCATTCTCCTGCCTCAGCTTCCCGAGTAGCTGGGACTACAGGTGCCCGCTACCACGCCCGGCTAATTTTTTGTATTTTTAGTAGAGATGGCGTTTCACTGTGTTAGCCAGGATGATCTCGATCTCCTGACCTCGTGATCCACCCACCTTGGCCTCCCAAAGTGCTGGGATTACAGGCGTGAGCCACCACACCCGGCCGGGAATTTTTTTTCTTTTAGAAGATTTAAAATGTTTAATATTAAGAGGGATATATGTCAAATACATAGTGTAAATTCATTAAATAGTTCACTAAGAGAATAATTAATAAATATATAAATTATAGTCATAAAATGAAAATATCTAATTATTAAAAAGCATATGGGCATTACACACTATAGCATTTCAATCAAATTAAGAGAAAACAATGCAAATTCAAGAAAATAGTACTGAATTAAACTAGGTTTTAAGAGTTACAAATCATACACTATTTCATATCTCTAGGGTGTCACAACTGCTTTTCCTTGCCAAATGATCAAAACCTCATTCATATGCTTTGGAAAATTACCTACGATGTATATAGATAGTTAACTTAGATACTGAGTATCTATAACACAGCTATACAGTTGGGCTGTATATACAGGTTGCTACAGAGAGGTCTTAGATTTTTGAAGTAAGAACTAAATTCTCAAATTTACAAATTCTAGTGATATATATATATAGATAGATATTATATATAGGGTGGGTTAATAAAGCATACTACATTTCCCATGTATCTTACTTAACAAAATAAAAACAATCATTCTAACATTTCACCCGCTAAACATTCTATTTATTATGAGAAATAATTGTGTTAATACATGTACTTACAACAATACCTGGCACTTAATAAGCACTTGTTAAAGGTGAGGTCTTAGCAGGAGTAGTAAAAATGGTATTATTAGTATTAGCAGTAGTATTGACAAACAAACTTAGTATCATTGTAAGCTGATATACATGGTGTCTTTTTCCCATTTCAATTGAGTTAAATGAGCAAACAGACACTGTGAAGTGATAACTAGTTCAACAGTAAATAAAGCTACACATATGACTGTGGGATGATTTGTACCTCTGAAATTTCCTTCTGATACTAAGGACTACAACTCTGTATGCAATAACTATCTTGGTCAGAAGTTTTGTGAAATTCTACTTTAAAAATATCTATAGAGAATAAAACAACTCTAAATTTTAGTATCAGATGTATCATAATTTCACCTAGCTTTAAACAGAAAAATGGGCCAAGTAACTGTATTTGTGATTATAACTAATATTAAATAATTCCAGATGTATTCAGGTTGTTTTCTATGACTCCTTTAAATGAAAAATAATTAACTTGAATTGAAAGTTTATTAGCTGTAGAACATAACTAAGTTCCCTCAATTTACTAAATACACAATTACTACAGTATGTTCACATCAATATGAAAAATAATCATTTTAACAATAAATTGATATCGAATTTTAGAAAGTACCTGTTTTGTTCAATCAAAATTTTTAAAGTCCTTGGATTTGTCAAAACAACATCTGCATCCACACTAAAGTAATAATCACACTTTTCATCCTGACGGCAAAAGTCCCTAACAGTGAAAAAGAAAATGAAATGGGCATGACATAAAATAAATATCTGCTGACTGAAAAATGTTAATATATATATTCTTTTATGTAAAATATGGTTCTCTAGCATACTTTTCTGATCAAAATAGTGGAACAATATCTGAAACGATATATATATTGTCTTAAATTTCAAAATGGTCAATTTAACACGGATATTCACAGGGAGCTCACCTCTAAAATTTTAAGCCAGTTAAAATATATTTTCAAGCCAGTAAATATTTTAAGGCATAAAACATCCACAAATCAAAATGTTTCTGCATACATACATACATACATACACATGCACACAAATGCAACTTACATATCCCACAACTCAGTTTTAAATGAATGTTGGAGATGTAAGTATATGACTTTTCAGGTATTAATATTTTACAAACTTGATTTTCATCAAATTTTCTAAGATAGTTATTCCCCTGCCTTCTTACCAGGGGCAGTGACTATGTTTGCTTTCCCTGGTACAGTTTGTAACATTATCATCAGCAATATCAAGGAATGAACAACTGGAGATACCAGATGACATTTGGGTTATCAACTTCCCTCTGGGCTCCCCTCCCTCACTGTCGGTCCCAGTCAGCACTTTTTGCTGTTGTCAGTGTGTGTCTCCACACCATATTTGTTCGAAGCAACTATCAAACAAAATACCAGACAGAAGCACTAGGTACAATCATGAAAAATATTAAAGAAAATATGTTCTGAATGTGGACCCAGAGGATTCTCCAATGAATAAATTATGGAATCATTAGTAATAACATCAGTTTGGTTTTTCAGAGGCCTCTTTTCTGTCTATCCCTAGACCCCTAATCTAGTCAGAATCCATCCCTCTGGGACCTCAGCTTCTGCAGCACAGGCATGAGGGTTCGTAGTAGATAAGATTATTTCCTGATGAGAATGGATCATGTCTTCACCTTTTTATCACCTACTCTTAACACAGTTCCTGGCATATTCAATTAATATTCATTGAATACACGATTTTTTTTACTATTACTAGAGTTTTATTAGTAGAATGAAGCATTAACAGGGCTAAACAAAAGGCCTACAATGCCCGTTTCTTGGGATTACAGTATTATCTAGCTCAGTGACTAACTGGAGAGTAAGAGCACCTGTTTCCCCCACAGTCTAAATAAACACACTTTTACCACACACAACCTTCAGAGTGTACATTTAAATTTAAGTCACTGCTATGAAAGTCATACTATTCATTTATCTGCATTTAAAAAAAATTGATCTTACCTTGATTCATCATTTGATTAAATATGTGGACTCGTAGCCATTAAAAGAAAAACATAAGTAACTTCTACAGCCCTTTATGTATAAATACGTACAAACATAGACACAGTCTAAGTTGGCTACTGCATACGCAAACAAATAGTTTGAGACACCCAAATTTGGCATAACAATTTTAATTTAAAAGTTTATTTTTTCTTAACGTTTCCTTAGTAAAATAATTTAATTTAATTTTAATTTATTAAAACATACATTCCCATGTTTCTGGCTTCCGCTTGACTTAGATTTTCTTCTGGTCCTACTATTTTTATAGTTTTGATTTCATGCTTAGCTTTATCAAAAAATACCTTGATGTCCTTTTCATGATAAACTTCCTGTAACATATTTTAAAAATCAAAAATTAGAGAATAAGACAATCAGATGACTGAAGTATTCATATTAGAGAGTGCTTCACATTCAAGGTCATGAATTCTACAATTCAGATATTCAATTACATATAAAATAATAACCATATTAAACACGGTATATTTAAATATCACTTAAATGTCACATGAATAATCTTAAATACATATATATCAATATTCTTAAAGAGAAGATGCTTCAAAATTCTGTCAATATCTACTGCTAGACAAGTCTTTGTATAAATACTTAAATCTTTAATAGGTGTTTGCATAAATACTTAAATCCTTAGTAATATAAAATGTTTCCAACTGGAGAAGAAAAACACGGCCTGTAGCCTAGAAATCTTAGATATATGTTGTGAAATATCTAGAAAAAATGTCTACTAAGCATAATAGCCATCAATCTGAGTTATAAACTTAAATAATCACATTTTACAAAATACCCTTTGAAACCAGAGAGTAAAATAAATGGTCATATATAAAAAAATTTTACTTAACAAAAAAAGGAAAAATTTAACAAAATTCTATGGACAGATTAATGGGAAAACCATCAACATAAAGGTTACCAATTTTAGTGTGATTCGACTGTGCTAAAATTCAGGTAAGATTATCTGTCTCCATCATTAGAGCATTTCAGAGATTTTTATTTGTCAAGTCTCTAAGTTTTCTGAAAAGCTGTTGCTTTTTGCAGATTTTTAAAATAACTTATCACATAAAAGCAACATAGAGTTAATACTAAATAACCAAAGATAAGACAAAAACGTCCGCCATCAAGGATTTTAAGGCCCCATGAAAGCAGGGAAAATATAAACAAAAGACAATACATAAAAACAAAATACTTTAGTGAAAGTATATATATTACAACATATTTTACAAAGCAAATGCTCAATTTTTCACCATTTTAAATCCATTTAAGCTAGTTTTCTGCAGTTAAAATATTCTCTGGACAATGTGAATGGTTAGCTGACATTTACATTAGGAAAAAGGAACAATGGTAAACAAACAGTATTAGGACAGAAGAGAGAAAATCGCACACTTCACAGCTATTGAGTTTTTCTAGACAATGTTAAATACCAGTGGTTTTAGTAGACAAGAAATAACTGTAAAAATACTGAGGAAAAATATTTTCAAGTTTGGATAATATGTAGGAGGTATGTAGGGGGCTCTGAATATTTTTGAAGAAAATGACAGTATCAAAATCCTTTGGGGAATGGCATGCCCTTGTGTAATTAATCAAAACAGTACTCTATCTGGAAACTGTTTCAAGTTCTTATATGTTATTGTCTTAAATCACAAACAATTTAATGACCAATTCTATAGAAGAAAGTACCAGAACTAACCCAAAGGCAAAGGGATTTAAGGCCCTTTGAATCTCCTTGATTATATATTAATTTAAGCTATATGATGATGGCTAATATTCAGCCATTTTTGATCTACAGAAACTGGCAGTTTCATGTGGCTCATATCAATATTGTGGTGCTAGTCTCTAGAATCTAAAATCCTTAGGTCCTAAAAAGGCAGGGCTGTAATTACTCCAAAAATCCTCCACTGAACTTAACCCAATGAATTTTATTTGACATAAATAACAAATAGTTCCAAAAAAGACCAAAAATAGTTTTGACATAAAATATTCATTTCTCAAATACTTACTTTGTTATGAATAAAAAGTTTAAGTGCTTCTTTTGGGTAATCCAGTGTCAACAATATGTCCAGAAACCGAGGTAGAAAAGGGGTTGGTTGCTCAATAAAAACACCTATTGATACGTTTGGATGGACCTTTGTTTTACACCAAACATAAAAATAAAATTATCATTAGTATGGTTTTGTTTTAAATTTTATTCAAATGTTAATCAGCATGACATAAAAAATACTAGAATATCAATTCAACATAATCTGCTAAATTTGAATTGCTCCATGGCAGTTCTCTAACACTTGAAACAAATTTTTGTGGCCCCCCCAATCAAAGTGATTTTACTGAATCCCATCTTGGTTATGAGTTAGGTTTAAAGATGAAATTATCCTATTTATTACATGAATGTAATTCATGGTACTGCCTACACTACTAGTCAGTGCTTCCTTTAAAATAGCCCTTGCAGAAACTTCTTCACATCTGAAAGCTATTTTGAAAGTTTCGTCTAAGAAACCAAATACTAATTGTGTTTCTCTTTTTGTTTCCTCGGCTTAAAGTTCAGGGCTTAATTTTGAGCACATAAAAAGCAATCATGGGAGACCTGAGACTTTATCCTTTTATTTCCTTTCATTATTATATTATGTATAAGGAGAGCTATTTTCTTTCATTAATGTTAATATATCTTATCTTAATGTATATATTTTAATATATTTTCTTAAGTTCTCTTTAGATATGTTTTGGTGTGGAGTTTATCCTTCATTAATTGCACAAACAATTCTGAAATAGCCATTATACATTCCAATCCACAAGATGGGCAATATTTGGCAAAAGGAATGAAAGTTCCTGGCTTGAAAGACTTACAAGTAGATGGGGAAGACAGGAACATAAGTAAACACCCATGTAACAGTGTCATGACCAGAAATCTATGGAAGACTTGTTTATAATGTCTTACTAAAGCCATGTCTTAAAGTCTGAACAAAAGAATTACAAATATTTTTAAATACCTTATACATTAAGTGCTGAATTAGCAACCTTCTTCCATTTTTTCATACACGGTACCTCACACATTACTCCATTATCTGTATAATAACATATGCTCACATAAAAGTACACCTTGTACACTATCATATTTCTTCATCTATTCATTCACTTGCCCAAATATTTATTATTAAATGAATAAACAAATACAAAGAACACAAAATATCTACTCTCCAGTAGTTCTCAATTTAATAGGAAAAATAATTTTAAAAGTAGGTCACAACTCTCCTTTATCAAATGAGATGATGCGTTTCATTTAATTTACATAAAAGCCTTAGAGGTTATTTTCCCAAATATGCACATGAGGAAAATGAGATTTAGAGAAATTTAAGTAACCCAGAACACATATATTTGAGGGTAAAGTGCTGGGTTTCAATCCACTACATCACCATTATTAACCTAAGTTCATGTTTATATAACAACAACATTATAACAGTTAACATTTATTGAATACTGACCACTTTGTGTATGTATATTAAATTTATACAAATAGAATATCATTTATATATTTGTTATGTATATTCATATATATATGTGGGTAAAATTTCATTTAACATTCCTACCAACACTCTGAGATAATCACTATGACTTTACATATAAAGAAACTTGCCTATGGCCCACATCTAACATTATGATAGGCTTGGGATTTAACTACCTACACAATTTTAATTTTTATATCCCTATTGAAAAACAGCTGTATATAGCACGTAATTTTATTATGCATAATGGAATGAATAGTTTTCCTTTCTATCACATTTTAACAAGCTGTAAGACAAAACAGCTTAAGTATTAAATTACATACTCCTACATGCAAAAAGAAAAAATGTTAATATAAATATTTTTCTATCTTTGCACCAGAAAGTTTATACAAAAGGAAACGAAACAGATAAAAAGTATTAACTCGCCCTCCAGAAGACAACACTACTTTCGGCAAAAAAAGATCAGGATAAATTTTTAAACATCTTCATGATGCAGCTTCATTCAGAAATATTCTGGCATTCTTTGCAGATAGGAAACAGTTTGCTATCTGAGAGACTGGCCAAAAACCTTACTTTCAAGTAAAATAGGGCTCTATTCATAAGCTCCTACATGTACACAAGTTACTCTTTATACTCCTTTCAGACAATGATAAGAATAGAAACTATTTAATTCAGGAGCTTGAACATATTACAGTAAAAGTATTTTGCATTTGCATGGGTTCAGGAGTTAGTAGTACTATATTCCTAAGAGCTTTATTTTTGCCTATATTGCTTCTACGTTTCTGGCTGCTGTAGATACTCAATGAACTTACAGTGAATGAAGGAAAAAATCAGTCTTAATGACAAAACTCCCTAGAATCAATGCTTCATACATATAATCTTCCATGTTATGTCAGCAATTTTTTGGAATAAAAATGTTGTTGTAAGATATCAGCTCTGGCTGATGTTAGAACAAAGATACATAAAAATGTTTTATAGATTAATAATGAATATTTTCAACTCTTTGTTCACCCTCAAAACATGAATGATAAAATATAACTATCTATGAAATACATACAAGTAGCAACATGCCTAGAATATACACATCACACAGGTAAAAATGCACAGTGTCAAGAACATACAGTAGTCTGGAGCCAGACTCCCTATATTCAAATCCCAACTCCAACACTTAAAATTGTGTGCCCTTAAACACGTTACTTACATTTATGCACCTCAGTTTTCTCGTCTGTAAAACTGAGTCAATTGTACTACCTATTTTAGGAGTTTTGTGAAGTTTAAATGAGTTATTATATGTAAAGTAGTTAAAACAGTCGTTTGTTATATAATCAGGTAGTATTAATTTTTACATATCAACTTTGAAAATCCAGCACAGATAAAATTAGTCAATAAAAATGCTGAAGCCTTGTAATGATTTTTTCTCAATGCTTTGACTAAGCTAACAGAATAAACACAAGAGCACTCAATCGTAGTAAGCTATTAAATATTAACCACAGGACTCTTTCATTAGGTTCAATTATTAGCTGGTTTTTCTGTCAAAAAACAGTTCTGAAACACAAATCTAGCAAATGGCTGAATCATCATGTTTTAACACTATATCCCCATTATCTATCATAAAATCAAAACTATAAAATAATTTGCCTTTTTTCCTATAAATCACAGTATTTCATGACAATGTACTTTCTATTACTACATTTCACACATAATCAATTCCACTTACATCTACTGCAGACAAGTCGACTGTATCGAATTCACAAAGAGTGCAGCCATTATCCTGTGTCCATGAATTGGGTACATAGTTTCCAAAATAATTCAGGAGAATCTTGTAAATGAAGGAAAAGGTTATTAATGAAAGCAGGCCTCTCATCGGTGTGGTTTCATTCTATAATCATCTAATTTAAAAGCATGTTTTCTGCAGCAGGTATATTCCTTTAGTAATTCTACTAATATATCATCTGTAGGTGCACACTGAATAGTCTTCTCCAGAATATGAATTGTAAAGCAGGACAAAGTATGTCTAGAAATGTCAAAAAAAAAGTCTTATAAATCATAAAGGTCATTTTATTTCATATTATATTAGATATAATACCGGAAAGGATGATCAAAAAAGAAAAAGCAAACAATGAAATAGAGTTTTAAATGGGATAGTGAGACTTATTAGGAAAAATACAAATAAGAGTCACATGAATAGTAATTTAGTAATAAGATAAACCTGTTTAAAGGCTGAGCACAGACACCTACAGTAAATGGGGCAGTAGTAATGTGACCTCTAACTAACACAACGCCACACAAAATAAATACTAAGTAAGCTTTGTCACCAAAAGACACTAAGCTCTTCCAGGAAACTATGCTACTATAAGCTAAGCTTCTGGGCAGTGATTCAGGGGTACTGATTCAGGAAAAGAGAGCTTGCAGATCAAAACAGATCTAGGGCAACCACTAATAACAGTCATCTGACAAATCCTAGTGACAGTAAGCTAAAGTACAATATTATTTCTCTACCCATTTTCTTTCAGATCTCTCTGAGTATCCCCTTTGTGAGGTATCTGTTCTTAAACAGCTATTGGTATTCATTTTAACTGTAAAAAAAAAATTCTGTGCTCTTCTGTGTGTTTTGGGGAGGGGTGGTGTGAAGGAAGAAGGATAGGTGACAGAGGTAGACACACTTAGATTTGCTCTGAACCCTCAAACAAAATTTTTAATATCCCTAGAATTTGAACATGTTAGGGAAGATCCTGCTGAGTAAACAGCAAGTGAAATTACTACATCTTCTGCAATTTTAATACCCAGTAGTGGTATGAGCATTCATATTAATAGGCTTTTTAAATTTTCTTTCCACAAACTATAATTTTGCCTCATGCTATTTAAAAGCACCTAAAATCCCTATTATCATTATATGATCAATAATTTTTCATTGGAAAGGTAAAATGAAATCAAAAGAAAAAAGTCCATGTTAAACATGGGGATCAAAAAATGTACCAAAGTGTCAACTAGAGTTTTCTAGCTTCTTAAAGTCCTAAAGGGGATGTTAAAGTGTGGAATACATGAAGTAGTTGGGTACCATTTTGCCAGATTCCTCTCAAATATTTGGGATCCTGTTCAAATATTCTTATTGTACTGAAACACTGAAACAAACACTGCTGAAACAAGAACTTTAAAATGGGAAAAACTTTGTGTTGTACAGATATTATAGATATAGCTACATTTAATCTCTACAGCAAAATTAGAAGACATGGACAAGTAAGCCATTCACATTTCTTCTGGACTACAGGATAATTCAGGAAACAAATTACAAGGCAGGAAAGATGTAGTCATGATATTAACGACATTTCAAGAGTCAATGTGGTCATTTTAATGTGTCTTGATAATAAAAACAGAAATAAATATTTTACTGTTGTCAAATGACAAAGGCAAACATTAATCATTTGTGTTCTACAAAATATGGTTTTGAAGGAAAAATATCTATGTGGAAATGTATCCCCTATTTAGCATTATTTCTTAAAAAGATAAAGAATATGCAAGGGTGAAAAGCATAGTTTTATTTAAAATATCCTGAGAAAAAGTTTTTTTAAAAGACAGAAAAAATTTCCCAAATATTTGGCCATGTCTAAAATCTCTATTATATATAAAGACTGGTATTTCCACCATCTCAGAAATCTTATTAAAAATGTAAAATTTATTTCATGAGTTATTGATCAGTCTACTAGAATCCCTATATGAATATTAAAATGATCACTAGTTTTAAAATGTTAGAGCATAAAAGACAGCACTTTTAGTTTTCGGAATTAAACTTGTCACTTTCCTACCCTCTGCTTTTTATCTCAATTTGTTTCCTAGATAACTAAGATATTTTAGAAACATTACTTTTGACTAGAAACTTCCCTCTTTTGGACCTCTCACCACACAGGCAGAGGTTATCCACCATCACCACCCCCCATTTACATCTGTTTTCCTCATGAAAACTAGAGACATTTTTGCTGGCAGCTCTAGACGGTGCAGAAGGCTGTTTATGCAGTTAGGCTGCTCTGGGCACTCCTGGGCTACTAGGTGATAGTATTTTCCTGATTCTTCTTTCACAATATCAAAATGTTTCCAAGTATGATGTCATTTTCATTGACAGAGAAACTTTTCCGCCCAAATCCTTTCCTCTTTCTTCCTTTTAAAAATCATATCCAATTATTCAAGGTCACAGTGACCCAAGTACTACAGCTTTTATGCACAAAATTCACATCTCTATTTTTATTACAAATCAAATTAGTTTCAGAAATGAGTTATGTTCATGTGTAGATCAGGTGATTAGCTCTTCCCCTGTTTATCTTTTGTAATCAGTGTGCAAAAATTGCAAGCATTCCTATACACCAATAATAGACAGAGAGCCAAATTATGAGTGAACTTCCATTCACAACTGCTACAAAGAAAATAAAATACCTAGGAATACAACATACGAGGGACGTGAAGGATCTCTTCAAGGAGAATTACAAACCACTGCTCAAGGAAATAAGAGAGAACACAAACGAATGGAAAAACATTCCATGCTCATAATAACGTGAAAATGGCCAAACTGTCCAAAGTAATTTATAGATTCAATGTTATTCCCATCAAGCTACCATTGACTTTATTCACAAAACTAGAAAAAACTACTTTAAATTTCATATGGAACCAAAAAAGAGCCCGTATAGCCAAGACAATCCTAAGTAAAAAGAACAAAGCTGGAGGCATCATGCTACCTGACTTCAAACTATACTACAAGGCTAGAGTAACCAAAACAGCAAGGTACTGGTAACAAAACAGATATATAGACCAATGGAACAGAACAGAGGCCTCAGAAATAACACCACACATCTACAACCATCTGATCTTCGACAAACCTGACAAAAACAAGCAATGGGGAAAGGATTCCCTATTTAATATGTAGTGCTGGGAAAACTGGCTAGCCATATGCAGAAAACAGAAACTGGACCTCTTCCTCACACCTTATAAAAAATCAACTCAAGATGGATTAAAGGCAAACCTAAAACCTAAAACTATAAAAACCCTAGATGAAAACCTAGGCAATATCATTCAGGACACAGGCATGGGCAAAGACTTCACGACTAAAACACCAGAAACAATTGCAACAAAAGCCAAAATTGGCAAATGGGATCTAATTAAACTAAGGAACTTCTGCTCTGCAAAAGAAACCATCATCAGAGTGAACAGGCAACCTACAGAATGGGAAAAAAATTTTGCTATCTATCCATCCAATATCCAGAATCTACAAGGAACTTAAACAAATTTACAAGAAAAAAAAAAAAACCACTCCATCAAAAAGTGGTCGAAGGATATGAACAGATACTTCTCAAAAGAAGACATTTATGTGGCCAACAAACATGAAAAAAAAGCTCATCATCACTGGTCATCAGAGAAATGCAAATCAAAACCACAATGAGATACCATCTCATGCCAGTTAGAATGGCAATCGCTAAAGTCTGGAAATAACGGATGCTGGTGAGGATACGGAGAAATAGGAACGCTTTTACGCTGCTGGTGGGAGTGTAAATTATTTCAACCATTGTGGAAGAGAGTGTAGTGATTCCTCAAGGATCTAGAACCAGAAATACCATTTGACCCAGTAATCTCATTACAGGGTATATATCCAAAGGATTCTAAGTCATTCTACTATAAAGACATATGCACATGTATGTTTATTGCAGCACTATTTACAATAGCAAAGACTTGGAACCAACCCAAATGCCCATCAATGATAGACTGGATAAAGAAAATGTGGCATATACCCTCTCCCCTCTCCCCTCTCCCCTCTCCCCTCTCCCCTCTCCCCCCTCCCCCCTCTCCCTCCACAGTCTCCCTCTGATGCCGAGCCAAAGCTGGACGGTACTGCTGCCATCTCGGCTCACTGCAACCTCCCTGCCTGATTCTCCTGCCTCAGCCTGCCGAGTGCCTGCGATTGCAGGCGCGCGCCGCCACGCCTGACTGGTTTTCGTTTTTTTTTGGTGGAGACGGGGTTTCGCTGTGTTGGCCGGGCTGGTCTCCAGCTCCTAACTGCGAGTGATCCGCCAGCCTCGGCCTCCCGAGGTGCCGGGATTGCAGATGGAGTCTCGTTCACTCAGTGCTCAATGGTGCCCAGGCTGGAGTGCAGTGGCGTGATCTCGGCTCGCTACAACCACCTCCCAGCTGCCTGCCTTGGCCTCCCAAAAAGCCGAGATTGCAGCCTCTGCCCGGCCGCCACCCCGTCTGGGAAGTGAGGAGCGTCTCTGCTTGGCCACCCATCGTCTGGGATATGAGGAGCCCCTCTGCCTGGCTGCCCAGTCTGGAAAGTGAGGAGCGTCTCTGCCCGGCCGCCATCCCATCTAGGAAGCGAGGAGCGCCTCTTCCCCGCCGCCATCCCATCTAGGAAGTGAGGAGCGTCTCTGCCCGGCCGCCCATCGTCTGAGATGTGGGGAGCACCTCTGCCCCACCGCCCTGTCTGGGATGTGAGGAGCGCCTCTGCTGGGCCGCAACCCTGTCTGGGAGGTGAGGAGTGTCTCTGCCCGGCCGCTCCGTCTGAGAAGTGAGGAAACCCTCTGCCTGGCAACCGCCCCGTCTGAGAAGTGAGGAGCCCCTCCGTCCGGCAACCACCCTGTCTGGGAAGTGAGGAGCGTCTCCGCCCGGAAGCCACCCCGTCCGGGAGGGAGGTGGGGGGGGTCAGCCCCCCGCCCAGCCAGCCACCCCGTCCGGGAGGTGAGGGGCTCCTCTGCCCGGCCGCCCCTACTGGGAAGTGAGGAGCCCCTCTGCCCGGCCAGCTGCCCCGTCCGGGAGGGAGGTGGGGGGGGGGAGTCGGCCAGCCGCCCCGTCCAGGAGGTGAGGGGCGCCTCTGCCCGGCCGCCCCTACTGGGAAGTGAGGACCCCTCTGCCCGGCCAGCCGCCCCGGCCGGGAGGGAGGTGGGGGGGTCAGCCCCCCGCCCGGCCAGCCGCCCCGTCCGGGAGGTGAGGGGCTCCTCTGCCCGGCCGCCCCTACTGGGAAGTGAGGAGCCCCTCTGCCCGGCCAGTCGCCCTGTCCAGGAGGGAGGTGGGGGGGTCAGCCCCCCGCCCGGCCAGCCGCCCAGTCCGGGAGGGAGGTGGGGGGTCAGCCCCCCGCCCGGCCAGCCGCCCCATCCGGGAGGTGAGGGGCGCTTCTGCCGGGCCGCCCCTACTGGGAAGTGAGGAGCCCCTCTGCCCAGCCACGACCCCGTCTGGGAGGTGTGCCCAGCGGCTCATTGGGGATGGGCCATGATGACAATGGCGGTTTTGTGGAATAGAAAGGCGGGAAGGGTGGGGAAAAAATTGAGAAATCTGATGGTTGCCGGGTCTGTGTGGATAGAAGTAGACATGGGAGACTTTTCATTTTGTTCTGTACTAAGAAAAATTCTTCTGCCTTGGGATCCTGTTGATCTGTGACCTTATCCCCAACCCTGTGCTCTCTGAAACATGTGCTGTGTCCACTCAGGGTTAAATGGATTAAGGGCGGTGCAAGATGTGCTTTGTTAAACAGATGCTTGAAGGCAGCATGCTCGTTAAGAGTCATCACCACTCCCTAATCTTAAGTACCCAGGGACACAAACACTGCGGAAGGCCGCAGGGTCCTCTGCCTAGGAAAACCAGAGACCTTTGTTCACTTGTTTATCTGCTGACCTTCCCTCCACTATTGTCCTATGACCCTGCCAAATCCCCCTCTGCGAGAAACACCCAAGAATGATCAATAAAAAAAAAATAATAATAATAATAATAATAAAAAAAGAAAATGTGGCATATATACACCATGAAATACTATGCAGCCATGAAAAAGAATGAGTTCATGTCCTTTGCAGAGACAAGGATGAAGCTGGAAACCATCATCCTCACCAAACTAACACAGAAACGGGAAACAAACACTGCATGTTCTCACTCATAAGTGGGAGCTGAACAATGAGAACTCGTGGACACAGGGAGGGGAACATCACACACTGGAGCCTGTTGAGGGGTGGAGGGAAAGGGGAGGGAGGGCATTAGGACAAATACATAATGCATGCAGAGTTAAAAACCTAGATGACGGATTGACAGGTGCAGCAAACCACCACAGCACATGCATACCTATGTACAACAAACCTGCACGTTCAGCACATGTATCCAAGAACTTAAAGTAAAATTTTAAAAAGCTACCAAATTCATAATTAAGATGTATATTGTTTGATATTTAAAAGAAAAGGCTGAACATTAAAATATGCATCTTATACATTACTAACAATAAATGGGTTTCAAGAAAAAGTAAACCTTCAAATTAGAAACCAGTTTCTATCTAAAAATTGATTCATATTAGATTTATACAGACCAAGTATGAAAATAATTATTTAAAATACCTAAATATGTTTTAAATAAAATGTTAATTAAGAAACACAAAATTGTTTATATACTACTATGAAAACAAAGGAAAATATAAATGTTCATAGATATATACTGAGGAGACATAAAAACTGAAAACAGCTATGAATTAAAACCATATGGGAGGGCAGTATAAATGATTTTTAAAATTACTTAAAATTGTTAATATTTTTTCCAATGGCATAAAATTTGGAGAAAGTAGGAAATAAGCTCATTTTTTATACTTTAGTATCATCAACATACTATAATCACTTCACCACTTATAGATTATATACATTTTTAATGAAAAAACTGCTTAAATGTTTAGTTCAATATTATGGCTCAAAACCACTATCATTATAAACATCCATTACTAAACAAAATAATAAGTAAAACTAACTTACAAAAAATCATACCAAAAAATCCTTCCACCTTTTATAAAGGTTAAAAAATGTTTGTAATAATCAGCCTTCTTTCCCCATCAGCCTGGATAAGAAGAATACGTGACATACTCATTTGAATTTATTTAACTTTAACCTAATATTATAAAGTATTAGTGTTAAATGTTTACATATTCAAATTTTCTCGAGTTTTTGTATTATACCAAATATAATATCTATAATAAAACTTCATATTTTATTGTCTAATAGAATAACAAAATGAACTAGATATGATAATATCAGAGAAAACATAATAGGAGCATCACATAGCTTGAAATGCCAGAAACAGTGATAGTGCAAACTGAAAATGTTTCCAAGAAGACTTAATATTTCTTAGTACACCTAGGTCTTTCTAAATGATTAAGGATTAGTGCTCCTTTTCTTGTGATATGTCCTTTAGTCACTTTTTAAAGCTCCAGTCAGCATCATCCTGGAAATTTGGAAGGAATTGGTGATCACGTTGAAATCACTGAACATAAGGCCTTATCCATAATCACTAAATTCTCAGGACCAAAATCACTCCTCAAAGACATTTAAATTTTTGAGACACAATCTCGCTTTGTCGCCCAGGCTGGAGTGCAATGGCCCGATCTTGGCTGACTGCAACCTCTGCCTCCCAGGTTTAAGCGATTCTCGTGCCTCAGCCTGCCAAGTAGCTGAGATTACAAGCAGCTGCCTAATTTTTTTTCTTTTTTTTTTCTTTGTATTTTTAGTAGAGACAGGGTTTCACCATGCTGGCCAGTCTCGAACTCCTGGCCTCAAGTGATCTGCCTGCCTCAGCCTCCTAACGTGACATGAGGTGTGAACCACCGCACCAGCCTAAATTTGATTAAAATATTATATTACCAAGGAGGAACAGAACACTATGTAGTTATGGGAAAAGTGGGGTTCTACCAGCTCTTGACTAACTGGCACTGACAGTATCACAGACAGCTAAAACAGTGACTACACACACATAGTAAAGGGATTCATCTATTAAATTTGCCTAGGGAAAGTTACAGTGACCAACTTTTTTTTTTTTTTTTTTTGAGACAGAGTTTTGTTCTTGTTGCCCAGGCTGGAGAGTAATGGCGTGATCTTGGCTCACTGCAACCTGTCTCCCGGGTTGAAGCGATTCTCCTGCCTCAGCCCTCTACAGTAGCTGGGATTAAAGGCATGTGCCACCAACCCCGGCTAATTTTGTATTTTTAGTAGAGACGGGGTTTCACCATGTTGGTCAGGCTGGTCTTGAACTCCTGCCCTCAAGTGATCCACCCACCTAAGCCTTGCAAAGTGCTGGGATTACAGGTGTGAGCCACCATGCCCAGCCAACCAATAGTAATTTGATAATGCTTTTGCCCTGCCAGAAAATAATCTGCCTTACTACTCCCAAGAATAATGCTAGGTCATTAGATTATTGACTCTAACATTCAATTAAGATTTGTTGAAAGCGTAGTATTCGCTACACATGTGCTGGACCCTGGGGAAACAAAAGTAAACAAGACAGATAAGGTTTCTGTAATTCCTAGACCAAAGGCCTAGTAAGAGAGACCAGAAAACAGGCAAATATCATTCCTGTCCAGTGTGTGATACATACTGTAACAGAAGTAGCTCCAGAGATTACAAAAGCATACAAGAGACCCAAAAAGTAAAGACTACACTGACACCTAAAAGATAAGAAGGACTTAGCAGGTAGAGATGCAGCAGGTGGGAATTAGGGGGAGAGGATTCCAGGATATATAAAAAGCATGTATGTACAGAAGATTTGTAGACACAGCAACATGAAACTTCTGCAAAGTTGAAAGTAATGTAGTATTGCTGAGCGGAGAGGGAGAAAGGAGAAGAAATTGAATGTGAAGAGGGTGTGCATGTGTAGGGTTGGGAGTGGGAGAGTGAATGGGGTGGTAGATTGGTGGCCACTAAAGCAGGAGCAACATAAAGAGCCTTGTATGACAAGTTGAGGATTTTCAACTTCATACCTAAGTTCACAGAAAATCATTATATAGGTGAGTAGAGTGACAGGGTTTCTGCTTTGGCAGAATACTCTAGTTCCAGGCTGCTGGGGGTGTGATTGCTACTAGAAGGAGGTTGCAGGTGGCCTGAACTAAGAAAGTTGCTATGGCCACTGAGAAAATCAGATAAAACCAGCATGCACAGGAGTTAGAACAGAGGGCTTTTGGAGTGGGAAGTGCCTAGAGCCAAAACAAAACCCAGGTTCTGGTTAACCACTGGGTTATAAGGGGAGGTAATGCTGCAAGTCTTAATCTCTGGGTATATGTAACACAGAAATCTACCACTTGAGTATTCTGACCTGGAGCTTAGGAAAGACACAGGAGTTAGAGGAAGGATTTGAAAACCACCAGCATTGAGAGAATTCACTGATGAGGAAATGACTCAAATTACCCAACAATGTATATGGAAAAGAAAAGGAAGAGGCCCCAGACAGGCCCCTGTGAACATTTACTAAAACAGTAAGGATGAGGGTCACTACATGCACACAAACTGAGCTGTAAAATTTTTAAAATAAATATTTTGAAGAACCATAGAGATTGAAGAGGAAAGCCCAGAAAATAAATAGACAAAGCAGCAGAGCATCGTGGAAGCAAAGGGAAGGAGCATTCAAGTAGGACCAAACGAAATCAATGAATTGTCAGATGCTGTCTTTAGGTGAAATAAAAATAAGGGCTGAACAATGTCCACTACTCAACAAAGATTTCACAATGGACCTTAACAGGAGCATTTCTTACTGTGATGGGAAGAGGTGGAGTAGTGACAGCGAGTTATCTATATTTTAAGAAACTTTGGCTGTGAAGGGGAGGAGAAAAGCCAGGTGCAGCCTGGAAGGCAGTGTGGATTGAAGAGGATGTTCTACCTTGTGTTGGCTTGGTTTGGTTTCATTTGTAAGATGGAGGAGACTTACTGGTCTTTAAAATGCTAATGAGGAGATGACAGAGCTGGGGAAACTGATTATAAGATAGAGACTGAAGGAGGGCACAAGATAGAGATTGCTTTGTAGGAAGGCTGGAATGGGATGAAAACCAAAGGGGAAAGATTAACTAGAAGAGACGGGAATCTACTTCTTTCAGTTTGATGGAGCAGAAGTTGCCAGCATGCGTTTTCCTTGCATTTCTTTCCATTCACATAGCTTTTCCTGGAATTCAGATCACTCACTCCTCTGGAACAGAAGCCCACATCCCCCAGTATTTTCTTCCCACAACAAAAATCTGTTAATCCCTTTTCTAGGTACTTAAACCAGGCATTTCAGCATGTCAGAAGGTTGTTGTAAGCACAGTATTACTATATTTTTTCAATGCAATTTATGTTCCAGCTTGATTGGACCCAAGCAAAACAAACTTTTCATCTATAAATTTTGCAGTCAATAACATTTTTAGCAAGCTCAATTATACACATTTGAAACAGAAAGGCATCCAAAATTTTATTGGTCAAATTATGTCACTTTCATTAACTGTAGTTAATGAAATAAGAGAAAGAGGAAGCTTTCTGGCCATATTGTAATACCCCAATCTTAACAGTGTTGTTAACTTAGAAAACGGCAAGTCAGGTGAAACAAATGATCTCTTAATGTCCTGAGCAATTCCTAATGAGAAAGGATACCCAGTATGAGAGAAATGTGGCTCACTCCCAAGTTAGTTGTTATTATTTAATAAAACGCCAAATGTGCTGTAAATAGAATAAAAGGCTATCACTCTGCTGAGGAAAAATCAGTTTGATTAATTAATTAGTATAAAACCAGATGATATACTGTGTAAAAGATGAAGTCTTTATTTTAGCACCAAAATAAAGTCTTTGAAAGAAATTTTTAAAAATAAAATAGATGACATTCCACATATCAATCCATAGTCTATCTCCAAGAATTGGCCAAATAAAAGTAACTGTTACTTACCTTGGTGGGTCCATTTCCATTAATTGCCACTGGTAATGTTTCATAAAATGTATTCTTAGCTCTGGCTTTGCCATTTTCAAATTTTAAAACAACTTCATCTGGGTTAAAAAGAGAAAATAGGCTTTAGTAATTTAAAATACGTGTGTGTGTGTCTGTATTCGTGTGTCTGTGTGTGTATGTGTGTGTATCATCATTACAAAATTTCTCATGGATGTAATATTCCAAGTGCTACAACACTTCTAGTAACTTCATCTACTCCAAGCCAGCAGATACCCAAAATGAAGGATGACAGTGACAACAGATACAGATACCAAACTCACTCCAACCTGGCACCAGTAAAGTGATTGAGGTGCTAAGCCAGTGAGCTGTCTGTCAGAATAATTCATCTTGCAATCCTGCCTTTGCCCCTTCATAGTATTGTTATTCTTGCCAAGTTAAATTAGTAACTCAGTTTAGTCATCTATCAAATGGTATCCACGTCTGTCTTTTAGGGTTATTATGAAGATAATAACAATATATGCATGGTGAGTAGAATATTGTCTGGCATAAGCAAGGGTTCTACAATTGGCTACCAATGATAATATTTCCAGTTCTTAAAAATCAGACTTAGCACATTAAGCAAGATAAAACTCAAGTCAGAGAGGAGCAGAGCCATCGTCTTAAAATTTCCTGAGCACTCCAAACTAAACATTTTGCATTGTGGGAATTTTTTTTTTTTTTTTAGAGACTGGGTCTCACTTTCTGGCCCCGGCTGGAGTGCAAGGACACAATCACAGGTCATTGCAGCCTCGAACTCCTGGGATCAATCAATCCTCAGCCTCTCATATAGCTGGGACTATAGGCACGCACCACCATGCCTGACTAGATTTTAAGAATCTTTTTACTAAATGGACTGACTTGAAGTATTGATTGAATTGCAATATATTCTCAATTTTTATATGTATATTTAAAAGTATTTATGTGTTAATAAATTATATTTTAAATTTTACTGTATTGATTAGTTTTAATGTATTTTATCAAGATATATGTATCTATAATACACAGGCACATATGCATATCCACACGAGCATGTACACACACACACACACACACACACACACACACACACACACACTCTTCCCCAGTCTACTGTCTAGTTGTCACCAGTTATCTTTCAGCTGGGTCAAAAGGATCTACTCTAATACTCTGGGTAATTCGTAATACAAAGAATTTCACTAGAAAATGTGTAATAATAAAGTGTAATTAATTTATAAACTTATCTAAAATTCCCAAATGGTGAGACACTAAATTTTAAGTTACCTAAAGCCAGAAGCTTATCTTTTTCACACTAGTCATAGGAAATGATTTTAATTTAATGTACTGATGTTAAGTTCAAGTCTAGTATTTTTGTTAAGTTACAATAATTACAATATTTACACTGTCGACCTTAGTCACAGCCCCCAAATGGACATAACAAAGGAAAGATAGTTGAAAACACAGGTGTTTGTTTGTATACGTAAGCAATCCGGTATTTAGGAAGCATACCTACAGCTCCATTTAAGGTCTGGAAAATTTTGCATTTGTGATCCAATGTGATGTTAATAGCTTCCTAAAACATAAGAATAGAAATGATATTGAAAATGACAACAAAAACAGCAAACATTCCTATCATATTAATATAGTTTGTTCTTTGAGGGAATTTAAAGTTTAATATTCTTATATCTTAAGTGTCTAATCAAAATATTTAGATGACTAAAGTATTTAGCTAAAAGGTAGAAACTGCGATAGTTGCAACTCATTGCAAAATACACTTAAAGAAAATCTTGTTTCCTAATGACAGCAACTACAAACACACAAGTAACTTTTATATCTGTATCCAATATATACAGTAAATTTATTAAATATCAACTTATATTGGTAAATATGATAAAAGTATTCTCAAATTAGAAAATCTTGCTTTACTGTACTCCAGAGTTTCACTCACATCAATTTCAGGAATATTCTCTCTAGGGTCTATGGAAGACTGCTTATTGTACCCAACATTCCCTCAACTCCCCAATAAGGGAACTCAGATTTCAGGAGCATATATCTGCTTAAAATAAAAAAACAGATTTTCCTTTGGGTATTATGAGTGGGCACATACATACGTTCTGATCAAAGTATGAGAAACTATTTGGTAAGACTTCTAGAAAGGCAACTTAAAGAGAGTGATGAAACTGAGATGGCCTGTTTTTACTACCGTGCCTCTCTTAGCTGCCCAGAATACGAATGCAACGACTGAAACTCAAGTAGCAATTTTGGACAAGGAAGTAAGATTAAAACTGGGAGCTATGGACCAATGGTGGAGCAACAAAAGAGCTATCCCTCTTGACAGCATAAAGCCTCCCTAACAGCCTTGTGCTCCCTACTTCTTAATTACTTTCAATGTGACAGAAGGAAAAAACTTAAATAAAACATATTTCTTATTTAGACCACTGCTATTTTGAGTTGCTTTATTTATTACAGTTTAAGTGTTCTTATGAATAAAAGACAAAAGCCTGTGTCTATAGCACAGTCCCGTGGATCCTCAGGCTCTAACCTCTTAGGGATTTCATTATCATCTCTTTGAATCTTCAGGCTCCAAATTCTCAAATATTTGAAATCCACAAATTGGCTATAAAGTCTCCTAAAAAGGATCACACCCATCCTTACAGGCTCTATCCACTCTGGGCCACCAAACACTTGAACAATGACCAGGGCTTTTGGCTTCAATGTTTTCTCAACACCCATAATCTCCAGGCTCCAAATCTCAGAGGAAGGTCTCTGTCCTCAAGGGTATCACAGGTAATTTTCAAATTAAAAACTGTCTTTTGAGTGGCTTTATTCACATGTCATTTCAAAATACCAGAAAATGTGTTCTTTTAAAATTGTAGCCAATTAAACACATAAAGTCTATGTTATCATCATATGAAACAGAAAAAAAGTCCAGATTTTGGTTTTCAGGGAACCAAGGATCCAGTCCCTACAATGTCACAGACTATGTGGTCTCAGTTTCTCTACTGATAAAGTGTGGATACAGAGTCTAGCCTCTAGCCTATCTAGGATCAAAGAAGCTCAGAGAGGTACAAAGGGCTTTGCAAGGCTAAAGACTACAAATGAGAATACACTGCATTTTTTTAAACTGCAAAAGTTCACTCTGGTATCAAATGGCTTTGGTGTAGCTTCTGAGAAAACAATTATAGCTGCCAAGATGGAGTGAATACAAGAATACACATTTCTAATGCTCTATGTTAATAAATGACAGTTATTTATTCAAGAATATAAAAGAAGACATTGTCTAGAATCTTTAGGATTTCATTATTGTCTCTTTAAATCTCCAAGCTCAGAAGTTTTGATAATGTAACCTATTCTGTTATTTTAAGGCAGCCTAAGTGAGTATGCAGTGGAGGTAGGGCCATGACAGTGGTGTGAGGGCTGCCATTTCATTTTAGTATCAAGTCATTTCAATATGTGTTTCAATACATATAGCACTGCATTATATAGTTCTTCTTTCCTTCTGCCTGATCCAACCAAGTTCGGCAAGTTTGCCAACTTGGCCACAAAAGAGAAGCCATAAAGACATACTAAGCTAGTGCTGATATCCAGCCAGGTGACATAAACCAATCTCACCTATTAAAATATGTTTTCAACATTTTGAAATTCAGTTTACCATTTGCCATACTATCATAAAACCTTTGTTTCTGACCACTCCACATTAACACAATATAACACACAAAACAACCAAATCAATAAAACAAAAAAATTGCAGCTGTTACACACCCTTTTCAGTGGATCAATGTAAACTTTAGTGTAAAAGAGCTGATCATCATCATTATCCTGGAGATTCCATTGTTGAACTATACGGTTGACATATGGAGCATAGCCAATAAATCCTGCAACACAGCAGAGAGAAAGTAGATAATTTAGGATTCAAAGACCAAAACTGGTGTCATGTTAATTTCACTGACCAGTTGAACAGAGTTGTGAAGTCATGAAGCCTAATTCTTAGGCTGGAATTTCACAGCTCACCATGAAAGAAATATGAATTATTGAGTGCCCCTTGTTTTATATATAAACTCCAATAGAGTGTTTGCTACCAACTGCAAAACAGAAAATAACCAAACTCTTTTTAAATAAATGTGTCTCCAAAAGTAATTGACAAAAGAGGGAGAACTAATGTTTTCCAAGGCTCCTAAGGGAAACAGATTTACTAGGAAAAGAATAGACTGAGACAAGAATTTTTTCTCTGACCTTCTAAAAAGCTCTTCTTGGATTCTCTGCGGAGAACTCACTCTTTCTTACAGAATAAAATCTCTACTACAGTGGTTTTACTGTCAGTGCCAGAGATGCTAATGCAATCAAACGAATGCTGGATTTGTCACTAACTGCAAACATCCCAAAGAAATTTTATATCTAAGACATTTTGGAAATGTTTCCATTACTTTGGCCAGTCATTATTGTGCCTGCTAAACCATTTTCTGGCTAGGTTTTTTGTGTCATAGTCTGGAAAAAGGAAGTCTAAAATTGGATTGTTCTCCTTGGCCTTAAAGCATAAGCATTAAGACCGCCAATAACATTTGTCTATTAAAGACACGAACGGAATCATTTTTCTTGTCTGAATCTTCCTCTGAATTATGGAAATGCAGCCAAGCTGCTATGTTTCATTGACATTCAATACTTTTAAAAAGGAACCAATGTTACTCCTGTGAGTTGAAGAAAAATCTATTTTTTAACTGTCAAAATTAAAATTTTCTTAAAAGAATTAAAAAAATAGGTCCAGGGAAATTACTGTTATTGGAGAAAAAAGAAAAAATGAAAACATGACCAAAACCAATCAATGGTTGCTCATTTTTTGGTTCTTGCCATATAAATTTTTTTTTTTTTTTTTTTTTTTTTTTTTTTGGAGACAGAGTCTCGCTCTGTCACCCAGGCTGGAGTGCAAAGGCACAATCTTGGCTCACTGCAACCTATGCCTCCCGAGTTCCCCTCCGCCTTCCACCTCCTGCCTCAGCCTCTCAAGTAGTTGGGATTACAGGCACCCATCACCATGCCCGACTAATTTTTGTATTTTTAGTAGAGATGGGGTTTCGCCATGTTGGTCAGACTGGTCTCGAACTCCTGACCTCAGGTGATCTGCCCGCCTCAGCCTCCCAAAGTGCTGAGATTAGAGGCGTGAGCCACCATGCCTGGCATCAAATAAAAAAATTCTGGGGAGAAGACAATACATTTTTTAAATCCCATGGCCAATTTTCTGTGATGAAAAATGTACCACACAGAGACACTCAACATTTTCCAATGGTTTATATTACTGTTCTTCAAAAATTGTTTCCTTATTTTACAGACCCCAAATGTCCTCAATAAATGAAAAAAAAACATCTATTTTCACATTACATATTTTATGTGATTTATATTTTTCTATTAAAAACTCTTTTTGTTGTTGTTTTTGGAGATGGGGCTCTCACTCTGCCACCCAGGCTAGAGTGCAATGGTGCACTCATGGCTCACTGCAGCCTCGACCTCCTGGGCTCAAACAATCTCCTCACCTCAGTCTCCAAAGTAGCTAGGACCACAGCCATGTGCCACCATGCCCAGATAATTTAAAAAAAAATTTTAGTAGAAATGGGATTTCCCTACGTTGCACAGCCTGGCCTGAACACCTGGGCTCAAGTCACCTTCCTGTCTAGGCCTCCCAAAGTGCTGGGATTACAGGTTTGAGACACCGTGCCTGGCCAAAAACTATTTTTAAAAACTAAATAGTATGCCCACAAACAACTCATGTCCCTTAAATAACTGTAAATATGTGATCTATGAAATTATTCAAACTTTTATTAAACATATTTATATTTTCTGCCCTTCTCTAATTATTTTGACTACAGAAAGCATAAGGATGATGCTTCGATGTCCTTTTATGATTACTTTCCCACTTAAAACACCTTTTCCTTAATTAAACTGACTTACAACTGCACTTGCTTGCTAATTTCTTGCTGCTTCCAAAGCACTGTGAGTCTGTCTGAAACCTAACCACCTGAGTACATACATCACTATTTGAAATAAATTTACGAGATTTCACTATGCAAGTCATCTTCAGAAAAATTTCAACAAGTATAAAATAAAACATGTCTCAGAGTCCCATGGCTACATACTTCCTTTAAAAAATTGGTTTTAAACAATGGAGGACTTAGAATAAGTTGCAAGATTAGCCATATATTACTGAGGTCTTGACAGTATGGAGGCCATGATGTGGAAGCAGCACCCATCCATGAGCCGCATGCTCAAGCAGAGAAGTGATGGTGGGTAGCCATATTAGGGAGAGGCTTTGACGGTTCACAAGCTGGAAATCTAACAGAGAAAGACTGCTAAGGCAAGAAGCACAGAGTAACCAATATGATAAACCTTGGGTTCTCACTTGAATATGGAAGTTAAATCCAAAGGTGGTAGATAGATTTGGAGAAAAGAAAATGGTCAAGAGATCCCAGAAAGCATTATCTGTAGAAATATTGAGACGAAGAGGAAAAGAGATTTCAAACCAGGCAGTGCAAACTGGAATTTAAGGTTTCAAAAGTACAAAATCTATATGAGCTATCAAAGTTCCAAGGTACAACTGTGGGAATATGTTGATAAAATAAAGTGCAGGTGCAAAGAGCTGAAATTGAGGCATTACCAAGAAACTAAATCACTTCCTAGTGGCTAAGCAAAGCCTAGAACCCAGATATGCTGCTACCTGAAGCAGCACTTATTTTAACTAGCCTGGATAGTACTGGTTATATACACGTAGATCACCCCCAAAATCCATTTTTCCAATGTGGTTTGCAATTTGTACCCAATTTGTTTCTCTAACATGTCCTTCATCCTATTTGGTTATGTCTTTTGTCCCTATGTTTACATTAATCTCAAACTAGTAAAAATAAATTTGTAGCCATTATAATTTCCAAGGTCAAATTTTATTTAATTTTCTAAAGGCTGGACTGAGGAATGTGGTAATTCATTCCTTTAATCCGTGGTAGCACAGCTAATGCAATATTTTAAGTATACCCAGACACTCAATGTTAGATATTTTTCACTACTGGGTTCAAGACAAATCATTTATTTAATCCCATAATGTTTAAAATCAGATAATATTAAGTAATACCTATTCTTAAAAGCTACTTGATTGCGGACTGAGAATAATTTTTTTTCAAGTAAGGAAGCTTACTAAACTTATTATCCTAGAGCAAGAAAATTCTCAATGTGTCATAATTAAAGGAACTGGATCCATACTTTTCTTCCTTTAACAACAGAATATCTCTAGAAGTCACTTAAATTTGAAAAACATGAGTTTCCTCACTTATAATTTGGTAATTATAACATTTATATTACCTAGTGTTTTTAGGAACACCAACTCACATAATACATGGGAAAATGCTTTGTCAATATACTAATAATAAAATAAGGGTTATTTAAAACTTCATATCTAAAGTTACTACATCTACAAAAATGGTTGTTTCATTAGTCTTTATAACTTGCATTAAACTTTTCTTCCAGTATCTAACTCACCTCCTGAATTCAGATAGCGTTTCCCAATGTGCACAACAGGATACTTGTCTGCTAGTCTTTTATCTGGCCACAAAATTCCATCTGCTGCAAAGACCACTTTGTGGTTTGCCTTTTGGAATTTTTTTAGAACTTCTTCTGGACCACCAGCAAATATGACATCAAAGCTGTTCAATGAGGAAAAAATGTGTTTTAAAATACACTTGTCAGAATCTAGGCACATAAACCATGAAAAGTTCTCTAACAAAAGTCAGAATCAAGAATACAATGCAAGATTAATACCTGTGCCAACTATTTACACAGAACACCAAACAAAATTTCTCTCAACTTAAATTATATGAATTGTATTGAATTATTAGTTTACATTAGCAAATGAAGTCCAAATAAAAGTCAGCTTTTTTAGTGTTAGCCTTAATTTTTTTTTCAGGAATCACTTATTCCCAAATTGAAATTCTGAAACAGCATTAAAATGTTAGAAATACAGTTACTTGTTGTATAACTTTATAATACAGATAGAATCATTTACGGAAGTTGCCATAACTGCCTAATATTTCAAGTAAATTTGTACCAGTCCATTAGTTTCTGAAGAATTATTTTTGACAAAATGTGTTTAACTGCTAAATGTCATCAATGTATGTTTAATATCTGAATGACTGTTTAGCATGGAATCTTAAAATAAGTGCGTTCAGACAACTGCAGGTTTTTAAAGCTCAATACACTTGGGAGAAAATTTTTGTAAAAACTGACACTATAATTTAATTTTTGTAAAAACTGACACTATAATTTAATTAATATAATATAATTTCATTGATTTTTCTGATGACTTTCTTCCTCATGGTTCATTCACAGAATCACAATGACTTAACAAAATGTGAAGTATAACAGCCACTATCTAAAATTTTTCTACTCTGCAATAAGTTCTTTATTCATTACAATCACAAATTATTTTACATTTTTTTACATCAGTGCACCTTAAGACCAAAGGTTTCCAATGATGATAAATTAATGACTTACCATCCCAGGTAGCTAACAGCATAATTGTAAAGTCACTCACAGCATACAATTTGAAGTCTGCCAGGTGGGTTTCTAATCCCACCTCTGCCACTTGATATGAGAATAACCTTAGGACAAGTCACTTAACCTCTTTACACTTAAGTGTAAAGTATAAAATGGAGGGAAAAGTAGTATCTATATCCTCAAGTTATAATTTAAAAAAATTAAAAATAACTCCTGGCACACTGTAAACACTGAACAAAGTTAAAAATTAACATGAAAGGGACTACAGTAAAGGGAGAGACAGAGGAAAACTCACTTCAAAGTTTTTACAAATGTGTATGTTAAAAAATTTTATTTTTAGCCAAATACTTGTACTTTTGAAACTGAACTTTAAGTTACAATAAAATTTTTCTGACTGAAACCTCAAACTTTGCCCTGTTTATTAAAAAAAAAACTGATTAATCTGACATTACAAAACACAACACTGTACTTTTTCTGCTAAGTACAACTGATTTCCTCAACCGGATTTAACGGTGATATTTTCCTCAAGACTATAAGTTGTTGATAATTTTTTTTTTTAATAATGAAGACTGGGAAATAAGACCAGTTTTATGGGTAATTAGGCCATGAGAAGTGAGGCAAATAAACTAAAGTCTCTGAAAGAGCGACTACCATGCGAGTGATAAACAGACCCTTTGTGCATTGCCTGGAGATGGGGAAAAATAGCTTGTGATGTCAGAGCATCTTACGATTGGAGACTCTGACTAAACTGAGTCTGAAATTTTGCAGGTAGCAGCATGCATACAGTGTGGCAATTCCTCAAAGATCTAGAATCAGAAATGCCATTTGACCCAGCAATCCCATTGCTGGGTATAAACCCAAACAATTACAAATCATTCTTCTATAAAGTTACATGCACACATATGTCTACTGCAGCATTATTTACAATAGCAAAGACTTGGAACCAACCCAAATGCCCATTAATGATAAACTGGAAAAAGAAAATGTGACACATATACAACATGGAATACTATTCAGCCATAAAAAGAATGAGTTCATGTCCTTTGCAGGGACATGGATGAAGGTGGAATCCCATAATTCTCAGCAAACTAACACAGAAACAGAAAACCAAACACCACGTGTTCTCACTCATAAGTGGGAGCTGAACAATGAGAATACATGGACACAGAGAGGGGAACATCACACAGTGGAGTTTGTCGGTGGGCGGGGGGCAAGGAGAGGGAGAGCATTAGGACAAATACCTAATTCATGCAGGGCTTAAAACCTAGATGAGGCCGGGCACAGTGGCTCATGCCTGCAATCCCAGCACTTTGGGAGGTCAAGGCGGGCGGATCATGAGGTCAAGAGATCAAGACCATCCTGGCCAACATAGTGAAAACCCATCTCTACTAAAAATACAAAAATTAGCTGTGCGTGGTGATGTGCGCCTGTAATCCCAGCTACTTGGGAGGCTAAGGCAGGAGAATTGCTTGAACCCGAGAGGTGGAGGTTGCAGTGAGCTGAGATCATGCCACTGCACTCCAGCCTGGTGACAGAGTGAGACTTGGTCTCAAAAAAAAAAAAAAACAAAACTCTAGATGATGGGGTAATAGGTGCGGCAAACCACCATGGCACATGTATACCTATGTAACAAACCTGCACGTTCTGCACATATATCCCAGAACTTGAAGTAAAATAATAATAAAATTTAAAAATTAAAAAAAGTTATAAATGCACTTTTGGAATGTGAGTGAATATTTTTTGTCTTTGAAACCCTAATGATGGATACAGATTATATAAACAGTATAGCTCAAACTATTAATAAATGTCAGTTGTTTGAAAAAGAGTTATGGCAACTTTTATAATTTAGCGTTTTATAAGCCTGTATTATCTTTATAACAAAACACAATTATTTTAAAGCAAAAAGTTAAGACAAAAGTTATCACATAATTGCCTTTGAAGAAAAATTTCACGTTGCTGAAACCTTTCCTATCTCATTCGAGTAGCACTGCTATTTCTGTGTTTAAATACTTTAGAAAAGTTATTTGAACTTACTTAAAACTTCTCAAAGGGCAAGGAAGGTTTCCTACTTAAATTTATTTTGGCTGTAAAAAGTCAAATTGTCAAATTTAAAAAAATGCACACAGGTGTTGCGGGAAGTCAGGGACCCCAAATGGAGGGACCGGCTGAAGCCATGGCAGAAGAACATAAATTGTGAAGATTTCATGGACATTTATTAGTTCCCCAAATTAATACTTTTATAATTTCTTATGCCTGTCTTTACTGCAATCTCTGAACATAAATTATGAAGATTTCATGGACATTTATCACTTCCCTAATCAATACTCTTGTGATTTCCTATGCCTGTCTTTACTTTAATCTCTTAATCCCGTCATCTTCGTAAGCTGAGGATGTGCGTAGCCTTAGGACCCTGTGATGATTGCATTAACTGTGCAAATCGTTAGTAAATCATGTGTGTTTAAACAATATGAAATCTGGGCACCTTGAAAAAAGAACAGGATAACAGCGATGTTCAGGGAACAAGGGAGGTAACCATCAGGTCTGACTGCCTGAGAGCCGGGCGGAACAGAGCCATATTTCTCTTCTTACAAAAGCGAATAGGAGAAATATCGCTGAATTCTTTTTCTCAGTAAGGAACAGCCCTGAGAAAGAAAATGCTTTCCTAGGGGTAGGTCTCTAAAATGGCCGCTCTAGGAATGTCTGTCTTACACGGTTGCAGATAAGGGATGAAATAGCCCCAGTCTCTGGTAGCACTCCCAGGCCTATTAGGACGAGGAAATTCCTGCCTAGTAAATTTTAGTCAGACCAGTTGTCTGCTCTCAAACCCTGTCTCCTGATAAGACGTTATCAATGACAATGCATACCCGAAATTTCATTAGCAATTTTAATTTCGCCCCGGTCCTGTGATCTCGCTTTGCCCCCATTTGCCTTGTGATATTTTATTGCCTCTGTGTGCCTCTGTGACCCACACCCTATTCATACACTGCCTCCCCTTTGAAAATCACTAATAAAAACTTGCTGGTTTTCAAGGCAATGTAGTGCCCTGAAAACCAAGTACGTCTCAGGTATTTCTTATAGCAGCGTGAAAATGGACTAATACAGCAAAAGAAACCCAAATTATCCTCGAAGAGATGACCTGTAGATAAGCAAAAGTATCCAGCCAACAGTCCCAGCTAACAACCAGACATACTCTCAGTGGAGCAGCCAGATTACTGCAGCCACAAAAGTGACCCCAGGAAAAATCAGTAGAAGAACACAGATGAATCCAACCAAACTGCATAATCATAAGCATTGATCCAACAAGCATTCCTAATAAGCCTCCCACACACTAATTTCCACCTAAGATTCTACTTTCTGGAGAACCCAATCTGCAAAATTTGGTACGAAGAGTGGGGAAAAGGAAAGTAGAGGTAGCTACTGGAGAACGTGCTCCACCAAATTAAGGGAATAAACTAAGAAAGAGGAAGACATGAAAAACAGGGCACAGAAGAATCCACACAGGGTAGAGTCACAGAGGATTCCCATATGATGGTGAAGGGAAGTCCCTGCAGGCCTAGAGACGCATCAATCCCAACTGCGGAACAGCACAGGCTCTGAGAGGGATGTCTTCATTAAAATCGACAAACTATCAATGTATTGACTACACTGAGAAGAATTCCAGGATTCTGTAGAAAACTTGGGGGGGATGAATTAATAAAATGAATATAGAAAACAAAACAAAACAAAAAAACTTGCTGGTTTTGCGGCTTGGGGGGCAGCACGGAACCTGCCAACATGTGATGTCTCCCCCGGACACCCAGCTTTAAAATTTCTCTCTTTTGTACTCTTTCCCTTTATTTCTCAGACCGGCCAACACTTAGGGAAATAGGAAAGAACCTACGTTGAAATATTGGGGGTGGTTCCCCCGATACACAGGTCATAAAAATATTCTCACAGAAATTGAGTCGATCTACATGTGAAGAAAATAAAATTTTCCACATATAACTGTGGTAAGTATGCCTGGGTCCTGAAAAAACCATAAGATTCTACCTGATGTGGTCATACTGAGTCCCCTGCCAGACATGTCAGTGTTCTATCTCAATAGATGATTGAGATTTTCTAAGTGTTTTTCCTTTTTGTCCTTCTGTGTTCCCTACTTCTGTGACAACATCAACCACATAGTCACCTAGGTTGAAAATCTTTCATTCACCCTTCACTCCTCTCTTTCCATGGCCTATCTCATGGAATCTTTTCCTTAATCCTATTGATTCCATCTACTTAATTTATTTTGCATTCAAATCCTCTCCACTCCCACTAGAAGGCACAAGGCTAGATTAATTTTAAAACCCTAGAGACCTCTACATTACCCATCTCTTCCTCACTCATAAATAAGACTGTCTGACAAACTATTTTAAAAATGATTCTGTGCCAGTTCCCAGACTGTATCAATGGTTCTCAACTATGGCCTAAAGCGGGAGTCAGTAAATATTTACTCTCTGGCCTTTTACAGAAAATATTTTAGGTCCTGATGACCATATTGTCTGTCACAGTGACTGAACTCTGTCACTGTGTTGCAAAAGCCACCACAGACAATATGTAAACAAATGAGCACAGCTGCATTTCAATAAAACTTTTTACAAAAACAGGCAGTGGTACAAGCCACAGAATCCATCATCTTGAGTCTCAACAAGAAGCAAAAGCTCCCATATAGCCAAAAAAGAAAGCAACAGAAGTGTTCCCTAACCTTGTCATTTAGCCCCAATCCTTTATCATTATTGGCATAAACTTCAGCAAAAATTATAATCATCCAAACTATTAGCAGCACAGAAGTAGCTTCACACCTGATAATTCTTTCATCATATCTTCACCTGAAGCATATGTCTATATTTCCAGAGATAATTAACATCACAAACCAATACTATGGATCCACTCCTAACCACCCACCCTCAAAACACACAGACACAGACACACAGACACAGACACACAGACACACACACGCACACACACAGTTAAAAACACCCACGTACCCAGTTGACTTTGCACAACAGATTATGATAAAATCACAATAAAATGATTAAAATTATTTTATAAATTTTGGAGGGAGGGAAAGGGAGTTAGTTGGCATAAAACAAATACAATTTTAACAGATAAATATTGAACCATCCTGGCATTCCTGGGATAAATCCCACTTGATCATGGGGGATATTTTTGTTGTGCTGTTGGAAAGAAAATAAGTATATCAATGGGATACCTATACTTCCATGTTTACTGCAACACTACTTATAATAGTAAATATATGGAACAAATCTAAGTATGTATCAACAGATGAATGGATAAAGGAAATACGGAGTACACACATAATGGAATATTATTCACCCATAAAAAAGAAGGAAATCCTGTTATTTGCAACAATAAAATGGTTACAACTGGAGGTTACTAGGTTAATGATATAAGCCATGCACAAAAAGACAGTATCAGATGGTCTCACTCATATATGGATATCTTCAGTTTTCCTTTTGTTCTGAGAATAACCTAAAACCTTGCCAAATATCTAAATTTTTTTATCTAAATTAAATATAATAAATCTTACCCTACAGATTATAAAGAGCCAGTTTCTAATTTTAAACGTTCATCCAAAAGTAAGTTTAGAATACATATTCCATGGAAGGAATGCGACAAAATTGTTTCTAAATTAATTCAGGCTTTTTAGCATGTCTAAATGGAATACGGGATAATTATGGGGTATTGGAAACATTCTAAAATTGCATAATGGGGATGACTGCACGACTCTGTAAATTTAATTAAATTCATTGAATTTTACACTTACAAATGTTTATGGCATGTTATATAAATTATGCCCTAACAAAGCTGTGTTTCTTAAAAGGCTCATCTAAACCACTAAGTATATACATCTGTGTATATTTTCATATGATAGTGACCTATGCTTCCATAAAACAGTTGAGTTGTCCTTAAAAATACCACATAAAAAATAAGAATGTTTTGCTTTATTAAAATGAACATATCCTGAATTCTGGACCTTTACCAGAGCTAACCTTAATTAAGAGTTTAGGAATTGTGTTACAGAATGGGCATCATATTTCAAACCATTTACAAACAGTTTAATTCATTCTCCCAGGCCCTAGATTACAATTTTCAACTAGATTCATTACTCTGTATAAACTTTTTAAAAAGGGTGTTGTTTTTAAAAAATAAGAAGGGTAAAAAAAATTTCTTATGTGGCTTCAATTGCTCATCCCTCTTTAACCTCCTGGTTACTTTCTCATGACCCCTAGGTTTTTTCCACAGGATAGTCATGGTAGGTAATGATGCAGAAAATGTTAATGACTCTTCTTAGACAACAACTTGGCTGAGTGGGCACCCATGTTTTCAGTTAGCTGGCTGTTCTCACAGGAGATGTCAGAAATTTTATCTGTTTGTTTCCATTATATATCCCAAACACTAACAGTGCCTGGAAGACACTGTGTCTTCCATTAAAATTTTATTATCTTTTCTGTCAAGCTGGGTCCTAAAGTATCATCTAAATCAACAAACTCAACCTCAAGCAGGCTTTAGGTATATCACAGTGTCCTTCTTCTCATGAGAAAAAAATAGGTCCCTCACTATACCAGTTGTCCACAAGGACAAATATTAGATAGGGGGCCGGAGGTGGGGGATGGTGATGCGAGAGTGATGGTAGAGAAAAGTTCTTCCTAAAACCCAAAAGGAAGCTTGAGGATGTAAAATCATTTCTGACTCACATGTAGTAACTCTTACAAGGAGAATCTGCCTCAGAGCCAAAGTGAAAATGTACATGTGGCAAGTTTAAGCTGACTAATATGGTTGTTTGAAATCCATGGTAATTTTAAACCAAAACATACCCAGTATTTATTCTACAGAGCTATTTTAATGAACTTGGTATTCTTTTTCTAAGTGTAAAAAAAATAACAAATGCTGTAGAAAAATTCCCAGTACACTATGGCTAACACTTGCCTTACCATACTTCATCTTGCAAAATAGGTAACCACAAGCAGAACTTAATATTTTGTGTAAAATATAACAGGAAAATTTTACAGATGCAAGTGTTATGTATCTTTTGAAAATTTTTAAGTGTGTACGGCACTGGGACTTCATTATATTAACATCTATTTTCATTTCATAATTTATAACTTTCTTATTTATACTAATGCATAAAAATATTACTCTTATTTTCATCTGCAAATAATTTGTGTCTTTATATTTTCAAATTGAGAAAAAATATGTAAAAAGACCTTCCTAAGTTAGAGGGGAAAATTCATGGGGACTTAAAATGAGCAATCAATAACAAAAACAAATAAGACACAGAAAATAAAATAAAGGAAGTAGTAACTAATAACTCATGACAATTTGATGTTATTATAAAATTATAAGAAGATGGCAAAAAAGAGTGGATATTTTAATTAGGAGAGTGAAATATTACACAAAATACATTTACATTAAAAAGGTTCTTCTTTCTTAGTAACACAGGCTTTCTAATGTCTCACTTGTATTTATAACTTTGCGTGGTCTTTTTTCTTCTGTTTAACCAGAATCCATTAAGTTACCCGTCTCAATAGTAAAGCTCACTATGATCTTTATTCTTAACTCAAGACTAAAGTATGAATTTCACAAAAACGTTAGCTCTTGCCATGTTGTCTCATTAGTGTTTATGGTAATTCATCATCTTTAATTACATCATCTCAGACCATAGTTGATATAATTTGAATCTACGTCCCCACCCACATCTCATGTTGAAACGTAACCCTCAGTGCTGGAGGTGGGGTTGGGTGGGAGGTGATTGGATCATGAGGGCAGTTTCTAATGGTTTAGCACCATCACCCTAGTGATGTTCTCATTATAGAGTTCTCATGAGATCTGATTGTTTAAAAGCATGTAGCACATCCCCTCACTTCCTCCTGCTCCAATCATGTGAGACCTTCATTCCTCCTTTGCCTTCTGCCATGATCCTAAGTTTCCTGAGGCCTCTCCAGAAGCCAAGCAGCTGGCCAGCATCATGTTTCCTGTACAGCCTGTGAAATTGTGAGCCAACTAAATCTCTTTTCTTTATAAATTATGCAGTCTCAGGAATTTGTAGCAGCACAAGAACTGATTAATACAATAGTTTTATAACTAGTAATATCTACTTTTGCCTCTTTTTTTTTATTATACTTTAAGTTTTAGGGTACATGTGCACAACGTGCAGGTTAGTTACATATGTATACATGTGCCATGTTGGTGTGCTGCACCCAGTAACTTGTCATTTAACATTAGGTATATCTCCTAATGCTATCCCTCCCCCATTCCCCCACTCCACAACAGGCCCCCGTGTGTGATGTTCCCCTTCCTGTGTCCATGTGATCTCATTGTTCAATTCCCACCTATGAGTGAGAATATGCGGTGTTTGGTTTTTTGTCCTTGCGATAGTTTGCTGAGAATGATGGTTTCCAGCTTCATCCATGTCCCTACAAAGGACATGAACTCATCATTTTTTATGGCTGCATAGTATTCCATGGTGTGTATGTGCCACATTTTCTTAATCCAGTCTATCATTGTTGGACATCTGGGTTGGTTCCAAGTCTTTGCTATCGTGAATAGTGCCGCGATAAACATACCTGTGCATGTGTCTTTATAGCAGCATGATTTATAATCCTTTGGGTATATACCCAGTAATGGGATGGCTGGGTCAAATGGTATTTCTAGTTCTAGATCCCTGAGGAATCACCACACTGACTTCCACAATGGTTGAACTAGTTTACAGTCCCACCAACAGTGTAAAAGTGTTCCTATTTCTCCACATCCTCTCCAGCACCTGTTGTTTCCTGATTTTTTAATGATCGCCATTCTAACTCGTGTGAGATGGTATCTCATTGTGGTTTTGATTTGCATTTCTCTGATGGCCAGTGATGATGAGCATTTTTTCATGTGTATTTTGGCTGCATAAATGTCTTCTTTTGAGAAGTGTCTGTTCACATCCTTCACACACTTTTTGATGGCCCTATTTGTTTTTTTCTTGTAAATTTGTTTGAGTTCATTGTAGATTCTGGATATTAGCCCTTTGTCAGATGAGTAGATTGCAAAAATTTTCTCCCTTTCTGTATGGTGCTGGGAAAACTGGCTAGCCATATGTAGAAAGCTGAAACTTGATCCCTTCCTTACACCTTACACAAAAATTAATTCAAGATGGATTAAAGACTTAAATGTTAGACCTGAAACCATAAAAGCCCTAGAAGAAAACCTAGGCAATACCATTCAGGACATAGGCATGGGCAAGGACTTCATGTCTAAAACACCAAAAGTAATGGCAACAAAAGCCAAAATTGACAAATGGGATCTAATTAAGCTAAAGAGCTTCTGCACAGCAAAAGAAACTACCATCAGAGCGAACGGGCAACCTACAGAATAGTAATATCTACTTTTTAAAACAATAATTCCTTGTCAATAATTTTTTTTTGAAATGGAGTCTTGCTCTGTTGCCAGGATGGAGTAGAGTGGCGCAATCTCGGCTCACTGCAACCTTGCTCCTGGGTTCAAGCAATTCTCTGCCTCAGCCTCCCAAGTAGCTGTGATTACAGGCACCTGCCACCACGCCCGGCTAATTTTTTGTATTTTTAGTAGAGACAGGGTTTCACCATCTTGGCCAGGCTGGTCTTGAACTCCTGACCTTGTGATCCAGCTGCCTAGGCCTCCCAAAGTGCTAGGATTACAGGCGTGAGCCACCGTGCCCAACCATATTTTAATACATCATCTACAAATATAAATCTCAGCTCTTTAAAAAGTAATTGAATATAGATTTTAAAATCCACAGGGTGTTTCTCCTACCATTCAGTAAACATGACAACCAGATCATCTTGATCAGCATAGTGTTCCATGACTTCTTTCATTAATCTCACTTTCTGGCCCCCTCCAATACTATTAATTCCATCACCACCTCTCCATTCTTCTCCTTGACCAAGGACCTATAAACAAAATCAACATTTCATTCCTGAGCAAAACTCAAATTATGAAAGTACTATGAAAAACTTAAAGACATCATCAACTTGAACAGTACTGTACCGTAACCACTCTTCTAATGTTTCATGGAATCATGATTCTAGAAAAAAAAATCTAGATGCCTAAATCAGATCATAATTCTTCAATGTTATCCATCCCCAAAATGCCCTTCTCAATTTTTACCATCTCAAAAGTTGTGAGTCTAATCCAAGGAAGTAGACCCAGAAAGTATTTCTCACATTACATCATTTTATTCCTATTTGTTTAGACCATAAAGAAGAAAAATGAATAAATTTCCCATATCACTTTTTTTTCAATCTGGCAGGAAATCTTTATGATCAACATTGAAGCTCAGTGACTCCTTGATGAGGGGCCTTTAAGCAATTTTCCTACTGAACCAAAATGGGTTTTTCAGGGAATTGCAGAGGGCATCAAGAAAAAAATCACCTTCTTTACCTTATACATCTTAAACTTATGTAATTGTCTAAAGCTTAATAAGGATTTTTCAATGCAAGATATTGCCTAAGTATGATTAATTTAAATTTGATTTTAATTACCCTGTACCCTTTCTCTTCACTATTTGCTTGAGCCTCAGCAGCTGCTCCCTGAATTGGAAATGCATGATGACACACTGACTCTAAGGGAACAGAAAGTGCAATACACGTCCCTTCCCCCACACAACACACACCTTTTCTCTTCATTTCATCAAAACAAAGTCTGAAGTTGCCATTATAATGATCTACTAAGAGATCTGGGAAATTAATGGAGAATGAAATTAAAAATAAACACACAAGAAAAGGATAAAATAAAATTTAATAATAAATACCACTAGTTCTAACTTTACTTAATACTGAGCCGGAGATAAATCTTGCTGGCAAAGCCTGTGGGGCTCCCAGCCTCAAATGTCCTGTTATAACTTATCACTTCCTATGTGGCAGGTTGAGGGAAAAACACAACCCAAGAAAACTCAAGCTGTTTTGGATCTGGATTCAAACTAGGCTAATCTAGAAGCATTAATAGTACTTGCTCTAAAAATTGGCCTCCTCTGGCCCTGAGATTTGTTCCACAACCCATCTGGAATCCCTAATCCTAATGCAACATTGGACCCAACGACATCTGAGAGTCTACTCTGTGCAATACACCATGTTAAGCACCACCCTCTATGTTCTTTCCACTACACTAGTGGTTGTCAAATTTCAGTGTGCATCTGAATCTCATGGAAGCCTTGTTCAAACACAGACTTCAGGGTATCACTCCCAGGATTTGTAATTCAGTCGGTCTGAGGGGGAGCCTGATTATTTTTTCTTTCTTATCAGTAGCCAGGCAATGCAGATGTTGGTGGTCTGGGGTCCACACTTTGGGAACCACTGCATTACATGAGGAGAGAGCAAAAGGATCATAAACTCCAGTAAGTTAAGTGGGGATGGGGTCCAAGATCTGATATTATACTTTATATAGTTATTTGCCTTGGGACAAGTTTTCCTCATCCAGAAATAAAGTAGTATCTACCTTACATGGTTCATATAGTGACTTAACAGCATATCATATATAAAGTTCCTTACAAGGTGCCTTGCACATAAGAAACATTCTACTCTCTCTCCATTCTGAACCCTAACGATTCCCCAACTAGATTTCAGCATTATTTTATCCTAATTTTATTTCCACAGTGTCTCCTATCAGTGCATACTGCTACATTTTCCATCTATCATAGTAACATATTTCTAACATGTTTTTCATTTATCCTATATTAAACATCTAGTTGTTACCACTACATCTCTTTTTCAGCAAAGTTTAGCTGTTTATTAGCTGTTCTATATTAACACTTAGCTGTTCTATATTTACATCTATACTTAGTATTCCAGTGGTTATTTAATAAAAACTACCTTTTTAATATACTACATACTCAAATGGATCAGTTTTTCTCCAAAAAGTAATCTTTCTTCTTTTTTAAAAAAAAAGTTTTTTGCTTTTTGTGTTCCTACCTAGGTATCTCCTTGTTCTCCTCTTATTTGTAGAAAAGACTTGGCTGACAGATCCTTCTTTCTATTAAAAAAAACAAGTAAGTAAATAAAATGGCAGGCCTCTCATAGCTGAGTTTAATAGTTCTATCAATTTCCCCAAGTTTCCTCTGATCACTTGTCAATGAGATGTTCACCTGGAGATAAGTTTTCTAAAATGCTTTGGTTAAAAATACATTAACAATCCTCCCAAATACCTCTAAATGAAAACAAACAAACAAACAAAAAAAGCAAAAACAAAAGCAATTCTCAATAATAGACAGAAAAGGCACCCTCTTCACATTTGTTTCTAATTCCCTGCAAACAAAGAATCATCCTACGATAGCAAAACCCATTACAGAAAAAATTATGCAGTCAGTGAAAAAAATCCCTGCCAAATCTTATTTACATTGTATTTGTACATGACCTGCCAGAAAGAAATTATATATATATATGCAAATACATATTAACTTTTTTTTGCTGTTTTATAGAGTATATTTATACAAAGCATTGGCAAAAATTCAGAAATTATTGTTTGAGTGGCACAGCATTATTTTATCTTAATTATTACAGGTGCATAATAGTTGCATATTTATGGGGTACATGTGATATTTTGATACAGGCATATAATGTGTAATGATCAAATCAGAATACTTTGGCTATCCCCTCACCTCAAGCATTTACCACCATTTCTTTGTGTTAGGAAATATTAATAAAGCCAAAAACTACATGAACTAACAGTAATTATGTAACCAAATGCTATCTTCCTTGTGAGGATTACAGATTGTACTGCTGTTATGAAAAACATACTTTAGGCACACATTATAGGATCTTCATAGGTTAAAGGATATACCATACCTTCACAGTATAATTGAAATATTTGGCTGACTGCATAAATCGATGGAATCCATCACTTTCTTTTGTTGCTACAGTTATGACTAATAATTTATCTGCAAAGACAAAAGGAAACAAAAGAAGGTTTACCAAGATATCAAATGCTCACATTTTACAACTCACTACAGTAATTGAGACCTCACTAAACCCGTGGGAATATTCTGGTTTACTTATCTACACAAGACTAAACAAAGAGCTGTCGAAAAAATAGATGACTCAAATTGGTTGTATTACTGCCAAATGATGAACCTTCAAATGACAATTATTTCAACGCAAAAAAGTATATTGATGATTAAGAAAAATCATGCCATCAATAAAGTATTTCAATATTGAGAAAAACTTCCATAAAATGAACTTTATAATCCATGATTAAGATTCTCTGACATTATCTAATCAACAAACTTCAACATCATCGATAAATCATTCCTGATTTATGACATCACCAGTGAGGAGATCAGCAAATTACATTCATCAAAATAATGACATACACAAAAAAAACAGATACAATCATTAAATCTGATTCTAATTTTCTAAAATAAATTGTGACAACTGGGAGCAAATATTTAAAACAAAATCTTAATTTTTTTCTCCTATCCGGGATTGCTTTTTCATGAAAATTCTTACAAGCGACAACATTATTTATTGTGTTTTGGTTTCTCTTTAAAGAATAAATGGAATCAAAATAACCACTGCCCTAGTAAATATACAACTATTAGCTACCATTTTATAATGAAATATTACTTTCAATCCAACATAACACTTCTTTTTAGTAAAATTAGATAGATTTAAGGAATTGTCTCAAAACACCTACATAAGCTACTACAGATAATGATTATTTTTAATAGGAAAAGGCATGTTGGAAAAATGCACAAAAGAAACAAGTGCATCAACAAATGCCAAAAGGGCTGGAACATTTTTTTTTAACTGAAGATTTAGAAGGACCTACACACTAAGAAAGCAAAACTAACATCTTTTCAATATTCTCTGAGTAACATCATTTGTTTCTCACTTGCCCTCTATTTATAAGAAAAGAATTCAGGTTTTGAGTATCCCCTAAGCAACAATCACCAAACATGGCAATAATGCATTATAGGAATCAGTTAAAAATTATAGCAGATGAACCAATGTATCTATCTGTCAAATTTTGAAAGTAACTACAATAAAATATAAGTAAGTACAATATACAAAGAAATACTAAATTCAAACATTCAATAGTCAACCAAAAAAAATAATTTCCATGAAGATAAACATCAACATTCTTAGATTTTTTTCTAAGAAAAAGGTATTTCTTGGCCAGGCACGGTAGGTCATGCCTGTAATCTCAGCACTTTGGGAGGCCGAGGTGAGCATATCACTTGAGAGCAGCAGTTTGAGACCAGCCTGGTCAACATGGTGAAACCTCATCTCTACTGAAAATACAAAAATTAGTCGGGTATGGTGGCACACACTTGTAATCCCAGCTACTTAAGAGGCTGAGATAGGAGAATCGCTTGAACTCGGGGGGCGGAGATGGTAGTGAGCCAAGATCACACGGCTGCACTCCAGCCTAGGTGATGAGGCCCTAGTAAATGTATTTTAAGAATACTTTTTAAAATTAACTATTTAAAAAAGTTTTCATTTATAAAGTTTCAAACAGAGCTTAACTGATTATGAAAATTTAACATTATTCAGAGTAAATTTCAAAATAGGGAATACCACATTTTATTTTATAAGAACAAAGAGCTTTTTAAAGTCTATCTGTAATAAAATTACTCTATTTAAAGTTACATTTCTTAAATTTGTCTATATAAATCATAAGAATTAACTACAAGTTTCAGTTTTTACTGGATGGATTTTCACACTTACAATTCCAGTATAAAGTTAACAGCAAGGATTTCATCATCCTTAATAGGAAAAGTAAAGTTGGCCAGACCCTTGAGTAGACAAAAATGTTACCAAATCCAATGACTCAGAAGGCAAAGCTTAATCATGTGTAGTCTGACCATGTCCAGCAATCCTATGCCAAATAAGAACTCCTACTGTTTCAGTACTATTGCTCTTTATAAATAACCTCAACCAAATCACAAATACATAATTTTGTTAAAGAAAGGTCTGGTTAGTAATATTACACATGAACAGCTGTTTCCTCTAAGTTGCTATTCAGTATCATGACTATGATAAGAAAAAAATCTTAGTTGGAGAAAAAAAATAGTGTTGACATGTATCACCCACATGCTTTTTTTTAACCAATTCAAGAATTCAACCATCTCACCATTTATGAAGTATTACTGTTAGAAAACGTAACCTAAACTGGATACGTACTTTTCAGATTTCACTACCATTTATGCTACAAATTTACCAGAAATAAAGAGACAAAGATATGGTGACAGGAAAGAGATGTCAGCAATAAAATTCAGAACATGAGAAATTCTATAGGACAAATGATTTATGTAATCGATGGCAAAAGACAGAAAAGGGAAGGGAAATATATAGAATATTAACATAAGAGACATTTCAAACAAATGTTAGTCACGGACCTGAGTTGGGACCTGATTTGTAAAAGCTATAAAAAAGCATTTGTGAGAAAATTAGAGAAATTTGAACACTAATTAGGTATTTGGTGATGTTGAGAAATTAGTTAATTTTTTAGCATGCTAATTTCATTTACTTTTTTTTAAAAAAGAGTCCTTATAATTTAGAGACACATACTGAAGTAATACCCTATCAAATGATATCATGCCTGCAATCTGTTTTAAAGTTAATTGGGGTAGATAGATTAAAACAAGACTGGCCATATGTGATAAATACTGAAACTGCATTTTTTGTTATGTTTAAAAATCCCTATAATTACTATTTTTCCATCTATTCATTCACTTATTCAGTCAACACATATTTTCCAAGTCCCTCGTTCAGTTACTCATTGTTGCATACAAACACAAAATTCAGTGTTAAAAAACATAAAACTTTATTTTCGTATGGTTCAGCAATATGAGCTCAGCTGAATAGTTCTTTTTATTATTTATTTAAATTTCATTTTAGATTCAGAGGATACAGGAGCGTGTTTGTTACATAGGTATATTGCATATTGGTGGGGATTTGGCTTCTAGTATATCCATTACCCACATAGTGAACACTGTACCCAACAGGTAACTTTTCAACCCTTTTCAACCCTCTCCCAACCTCCTGCTTTTTGGAGTCCCCAGTGTCTATTTTTTCCATCTTTATGTCCATGTGTACCCATTGTTTAGCTCCCACTTATAAGCGAGAACACGTGGCATTCGGTTTTCCAAGTTAGCTCACATAGGATAATGGCCTCCAGCTCCATTCATCCTGCTGCAAAGGACAGGATTTCATTTTTTTTTAATAGCTGTGTCATATCCCATCGTATATATATATATCACATTTTCTTTATCCAGTCAACCACTGATGGACTTTTAGGTTGGTTCCATGACTTTGTTGTTGTGAATAGTGCTGCAATAAACTTATGAGTATAGGCGTCTTTTTTATGTAATGACTTCTTTCCCTTTGAGTAGATACCCAGTACTGCGATGGCTGAAGAGATACTTCTCAAACGAAGAAATACGAGTGGCCAAGAAATATATGAACAAATCCTCAACATCACTAATCATCAGAGAAGTGAAAATCAAAGCCACAATGAGATACCATTTCACACCAGTCAGAATGGCTATTGTTAACAGGTCAAAAAACAACAGATGTTGGCATGGATGCAAAGAAAAGGGAACACTTACACATTGCTTGTGGGAATGTAAATTAGTTCAACCTCCATGGAAAATAGTATGGAAAGTTATCAAATAACTAAAAATATAGAATTCCTATAAAGACAGAGTACAACTTTATGTAAAATCTCTAAACTTCCAATCAAAAGAAAGATAGAAAATTATGCAATGTAAATCTTTTAGCAGACTGACACATCTAAGGATAAGGAAAGATAAAATGTACAGAGTTCTTTAACCAAACAGTATTATAATTTAAATAACTATAATTAATACCTTTTCCAATCCACCCTCCACAAGCCAAATGAATGATACAGTGAGATGACTAAGGAATGGTGCTTCAATAACAGGCACCTGCCAACCACTAATACCACCAATCTATAACAGCAAAAGCTATCTCATTTTCTTCGTTTCAGCAAGATACCTGGCACCATGAGGTTAAAAAAACAAGCAAATGGAAGCTCATCAGTAGCCAAATGTAACCTCTATTGCCACCTTTGGACTCTATTAGATAACAGATCAATACAGTTTCCATGAATAAGAAACAGGTGATGCATCTATACAGTGTGGTAGATTTGAACAACAACTTACCAAATGAAAATCAGTGGCAGACTATGTAATCATCTTTACATAATCCTCCAAAATGCCTATCACTACAGTAAGATTTAATAAATATTTGTTAAATGGCTGTATATTTTGCTCTGTCTGAAAATTCAGATGAATTTCATAATTTCCCCAAAAATCAAGAAGTCAATTTGTTTAGAAAGGCCAAAACATGCTATGTCCTCAAAGCTCTAGAAGAAAAAAAAAATGCATTGTTGGAGTCATTTTTTTCTCCAAATAGCTGTTGATATCTGAACACAATTTACCAATATTCAGTGGTGACACAATTTTTCTATTCAAAAACAAACCATGGTTTTAAAACAGAAAGTGTTTTTGCTAATATATCCTGTCACCAAATGCTAAAGCAGCTTCTGAAGTCCATCTGAAATCCTTTTTTTTTTTTTTTTTTTTTTTTTTTTTGAGACGGAGTCTCAGTGGCACTGAAATCAATTTTCTTAATGAGGGCATCACAGTTAAATAACAGCACTAGCCCAGCTGCCTTTTATCCATATCTTCTCAAGTAACTTTAAACACAGTTCTTAATTTTAAACTGGCAACAATAAAAAAAAATTATTGTGCCACAGAAGTAACTGTGAGTACACTGTTCTCATTCTACAACTAACTGATTTTATGACCAGACATGTCTTTTATCTGTAAAGATTACTGTTTCTCAACTTTCTACTAAAGAAAAATGTTTTCGTAGTAAAAGCATAATAGAGATGTTGAGAAACTTCTTCTGCAAAAGGTCAAATAGTAAATATTTCAGGCCTTATGGGCCACATACACTGTCTAATACAATTTGATTTTTTCCTTATTTTTTTACAACCTTTTAAAAATGTAAAAAACATTTGTAGTTGTCTGGCTGGCTGTGCAAAAACAGCCAAGGGCCAGAATTGGCCTAAGGGTCATAAGTTTGCTACTTATCCATATAGTTGGCCATATGGATCTGAAGGCAAAGTAAAGCTTAAATCCCAGCTCTATTATTTCTTCTTGGTTTTGACTTGGTCAGTTACTTAAACTCTGCGTCTCAACTGTAATATGTCTGTAATAGCATCTACCTGACAGTATTTCCATGAGAGTAAAATGAGTTAGTATATATAAAGCAGTCGACACAAACTCCTACATATGTGTTAGGCAGCATCTCACACATATATTCAAAGGATGCATGTGCAAGATAGACTGTAGGTGATGTGCAAAACTCAGCGAGTTATAACTCCCATCCCTTTCTCTACCAGAGATGCTATCCAGATTGTTTTTAAAAATTATGGAAAAATAGTCGTGAAGCTGTTTATTCAAACAGTTTAGCAAGTAACTCTAGATACGCCTTCTCAAATCTTTACATTCCTCTCCATCTCCCAGCAAGCTATAATAACTCTAACTCAAGTTATAATCAGCACTAGCTCAGGTTTCTGCAATCGTCTCTTAGGCCAACTTTGTACACTCTAAACCTCTGTTTACAAAGCAGCTAGAGTGATCATTTCAAAACAGTTAGATATCTGACCATGTCACTTCATTGGTAAATACCCTCTTAGGATAGTAGAGAAACTCCATTACCACAATGTGGTCCTAGGTTACTTCTCTCCTCTCCAATCTCATCCACTTTCTCTCTCCACTTTGTTCTCTCTTCTCCAACCACATTGGCCTGTATTTTTATTTTCTAATAATGCCTGCACCCTCCCATTCAAAGAGAAGAGCCTTTTCAAGACCATTATCTAATATTCCTCCCTGACATCTTGATGTGGCCACTGCCTAGGTAAACCTGAGATTCTTACACATATGCTATTTCCTTAGAGAGACCCTCTCTGACCTACTAGAGTAGGCCAGTACCCATGTTTTCACTGCACTTTCTACCTTTCTTTCAGGGCACTCACCACAAATTGTAATTACATATTAATTTGCATAATCTCAAATTATGAATAATCTCAAATTATGTGAGATTAAAGTCTCTCTCTCCAATGAGACTGTAAGTTACAGAAAGGCAGAGAACATTCTTTTGCTCACAATTAGACCTCCAGAGCTTATCACAATATTAAGCACACAGTAGGTTCTTAAAAAACATTTCAGAATGAGTGGACTCAGGGGCAAGTAATATCATATGTCTTGCATGTAGGTGTGAATGAAATAATTTAACAAAATCCCTATGTAGTTAGCATAATCATCTCAAATTCACAGGTGGTTAAACTCCAGTAAAGTAATCGACTTAGCCAAAGTCACCTAACAAATTACTAGTAGGGCCAGAAGTAGAACTTCAGAGTTATTCCTCAATGTCATGTGGCCTCCCCTGGTGACAACAGGTTAAGGGCTGAAGCAATCATTGAGTTTTATTATGTTCAGAAAAGAGATAGCAACTTAAGACTTCTATCCTTAGAAAGATCTGCTTGTAAGGTTGGTCCTTGGCAGGCATCTGAAAAGTTGGATTCCATATGGTTTCCAGATGGTCTTCCAATGGGAAGGGTTCCCATCATTCCTAGATAAGATGGCTCACTGTGGCTAAATTATACAAACAATGCGGTTTATGCTGAACACCTGCCTTCCTTCTGGGTGCTTGAAATTTTGGTACAGAGGCTGCCTATGTGACCATTCTCCAGAAAAGTTATGGGCACTGAATCTCTAATGAGCTTCCATGGTAGGTAAACATTTCACACATGTTGTCACAACCAGTTAGTTGCTTGGAGAATTAAGCAGATCTTGTGTGACTTCACTGGAAAAGAACTGTTAGAAGCTTATTCCTGGTTTCCCTGGACCTCACCCATGTGTTTTTTCTCATTGCTGATTTTGCTTTGTATCCTTTCACAATAATAAGTCATAGACATGAGTACAACCATATGCTGAATCCTGTAGGTCCTCCTGGTGAATCACTGAACCCGCAGGTGGTCTTGGGGATGTCCGACATATTATCCTAGCTACAGTCAGAAAGTCTTATCTGAAAGAGGTACTATGGGGATAGTGCATTATGCTGTGTTCTGTACTCAGAGGCGAAGCTAGAGAGATATAAAAATGACTCCAAATGGATTCCAGAAAATAAGTATTTGGTACATAAAGTAATCATACCCTGCTCTTCCACTGACTGAAAGTCATTTCCTTTAATGTGAATTATGACCTCAGGGTCAGTCTAGCAAAGCCCACTTCTTTCATGAAGGAGGAAACCATAATCTAAAGAGAAAACAAGACTTATCCAGGATCCTGCAGTTAAGTGGTAACCAATCTAAGACAACTCGGGATTCACAGTTACTAAAAAACTTGGTTTTCCTAGGTTTCATTGCACACAATTTTGTTGCTTTGTTAAGTACTGAGTCACCAAAAACTATGACGAACTGAAGGCACGAAGTCTAATTTTATTTTGTGGAATTGTTGAAGAGAATTAATTTTATTTTGCAGAACTGTTGAAAAAAATTCAAGACAAAAATTCCTCAAGAGTAATTCACGTCACAATTTCAACAAGAAAAAAAAAACCTAAAAAGGATGTGTCAAGAGACATCCAATGATTTCCTACCATTTTTGTAGAAAAAGAGGGGCAATGGTATGCTTAAAGAAAAAAGTCACTTCCAACCTCTAATGCTACATAGAGGGCATCTTCACACACACTAGCTTTCACATGGATGCCTGGGCTTCCACAGCCCACTCTGGACAATGAACAGACAAACCACAAATTAAGAGAAGTGCTGAAAAGTGGAGGGTAGTATGCAGAATGACTCACCATCCCAGTATGCCCAGGGCTGAGGAGATTCCAGAAATACAGGGCTTTCAGTTTTAAAACTGGAAAAGTCCTAGGCAAACTGGAATGAGTTGGTCACCATAGCAGTATGTGCAGTGGGATGGAGAGGGCAAGTATCGCCAGTTATTTACAGAAAGGCTGTAAGACAAATGGTCCTGGATAGGAGTCATGAAGTTAAAAATAAACTCTTCTAGAACCATAAGGTCCAATACTAACTAGATACCAAATGTAGAAGGATAGATCAAGACTTCCAGAGATAATAGATATGTGAAAGACCAAGGTGCACCGAGACCATCCCCATCCTTTATAGATACTTCAAACCAAACCATGATATATCTTTATCATTCTTTTCAAATAAAAATTTTATACATGCCAACATTAAGAACTTTTTTTTTTAGGTTTCCTGATCATCCCTTTGGATACTCATTTTTTCCAGTGATATACCCACATGTGTGCTTTGGTCTGTTAGGTAACCCAATAGTGAATGTTTGACAAATTTCAAGACAGAACTCAAAGGAATATTATGATCAAGAATTTCTAGTAGCTAGTAACTTTCAAAATGCTATGAAAGCTTCAAGACATTTTTTAAAACATACAGATTATACTGCAAAAAAAATCAAAATTTGTATATTTATGGTCAATAAAACTTGAATAAATATTAGACAAAGATTTGAATTTTAAAATAAAAGCCTGGCTGGATCCGGTAGCTCATGCCTGTAATCCCAGCACTTTGGGAGGCCAAGGTGGGCGGATCATGAGGTCAGGAGATCGAGACCATCCTGGCTATGGTGAAACCCGGTCTCTACTAAAAATACAAAAAAATTAGCCGGGTGTGGTGGCTGGCACCTGTAGTCCCAGCTACTTGGGAAGCTGAGGCAGGAGAATGGCGTGAACCCAGGAGGCGGAGCTTGCAGTGAGCGGAGATCACGCCACTGCATTCCGGCCTGGGCGACAGAGCAAGATTCCGTCTCAAAAAAATAAAAATAAAAGGCTCCATTTTCCTAGTATGAGGTGTAATTTTTAATATAAAATATTGTGGGCTACTCTATAACCATGTTATAGCAACAACTGATCAAGAAAATTATGAGAAAACCTTGAAATAAATACAGTGACATTTAAATAAATTTACATTCTCACAATCTCAAAAGTATCCATATACTTCAGAAAGTCATTAATACATACATATGAACCATATAATTTTTCCAATCTGTACAAAAAAACACTTTACTTAGAACTGCTTGCAATAACTCCCTTCAGTAAATCCCACAGGCCCTCATCACCCCTATACCTCTCTACTTCTGCGTCTCAACAATTGTCCATGACCTAAAAGGTAAGAACTCAACCTAAACATGATAAGCAGTTAAAAAAGGTGGGAGCTGCTCCTCCACATGTATGCCAATCCCTTCCCAGAAACAGAGAGATGAAATGAAAGGGCTGGATTGCAGCCAAGGACTATACACTGAGTTTCAGCAAATTCTTTCCAGAGTTCAGAAGGGAAAAGTAAAATTCAAACAGCAAAGAATGATCACACAGGGCGGGGAGGAGGTTCAATCAGAGTAAAACTTGACTTTAAAAAGTTGGGGGAAAAAAGTGTGTTATGGGCCTTACTTGAATACAAACTCAAAAATGAGCCAAAATGTGAGATGGCTGACCAAACCAAACAAACAAAAACAAAAGCTATCTTAACAAGAGAAGTGATGATTACACTGTAATCTGTATAGCCCATCTGTGGAAAATTATAAGAGCTTGGGATGCTAAATTAAGGAGAATTTTGACAAATAAGGAGTTTAACCAGTAGGTTCAGGGGTCTAGCAATCACATCATTACTGAATAGTTGAGGGATTGAGAATTTTTCTACATGAAAAAAAGAAGAAAGATTCACTATCTCCCCACCAACTCATTACATTTGAAGAGAAAACAATACTAGATTTTCTCTATATGATTTTAGTGGAAAGAACTGGCTGGGGTGGAAATAGAGAAGGGAATTAATGAGGAGTGCGGATTACATATCAATACAAAGTACAATAAACAATATCCAAAATGAAAAGATTATCTTGGAAAAGCAGTATGTTTCCTATCTTTATAAAAATTAAAACAAAGAGTATAGGACCATTTTCCAGAATTTATGACTTGGAAAACACATTTGATCCCTTCAAATGTTATAAAAATGTATATACTAGATATAATTTTAATGTCAAAGGAAAATGGATCTGCCCCTTCACAAATAGAGCGGACTTTAATCTGCTGAATTCCAAGGGTTCAAAGGTTTCAGCAACCTCCACAAATGAATGAGAAACCTTCTTTGAGTGGGATGGGGTAACCCATCTGCTAGCCAAATGCTTTATTAGAGAATATGAACTGCCTGCCAGAAATCTGATACCAAGGTTATGTAGCTTGCTGAAACACATATGATCTGTTACTGTTTATTTCATATTTTACACAGACACTAAAAATATTTTCAATGCTTATATGAAAAGGGGATCAATAGTAAAGTCAGGAACCAGGACAAACCAGCACAGGCTGAGGTAATACATTCCTGCCAATTCGCATATGAATAAGGAGAGTTGCCCTGGAGCAGAAAGCTTGAGTTAGGCTTATGCTTAGGCAAGCCATGCTCTAAGAGAAAGTTGTAAGGGTGAGGTGCCTGAATCAAGATAACATTTTATTCTTCATAACGGAAAATAAACAGCCTTTATGTACAAGTCTGCCGAAATTAAAGCAATGAAAATAAATGGATGAGTTACACAAAATTAAAAGCAGACCTGATAAAGCGTGGTGTGACTGAAACAGGAACAAAAATGGACAGAAGTCATAACTTTCATTTACCATCTTCAATTATAGTGAAATATTTGCTTACTTTACTCCACATTGCCATGAACACATAATAACATGATTTTTATAGTTGATTTTATATCTTCCATTGCATCTACCTTGCATAAAATGAATACATTTAAATTGAGGAGCAGCCCATCCTCATACTGTCTTGAAAGTTTTATAGCATCAGTTTTGGCAGCTCAGAATCCTCCCCTAACAAGTTGCTGAAGTTCTCCACATTGTTCTACGAGTTGAAGTTGCTATATAAGATATTACTAGAAAATTGAATCTGTATATTATGTATTTTCAGTACATAAAATTAAATGATGATTTGATGAAGACAACTACAAATATCATCTTCTATGGAATTACCACAAGACTCCAAAAAAGTTTATTATTCACTCTGTGTTGAAAACTGTCATAAATTCTCATCTTTATGTAAGGAGGTATCTTTTTATGGAGTATATCCCAGAAAATACAAGAAACATTCTAGCATTCACCGTGCCAAGTTGGAGATCTAAAAAATATATTTATATATGTGACTGATCTTTCCTTATTTGTAATTTAAATTTTGGACTAGGTGACGTAGAAAGTGATAATCTTTACCAGATATTTAACTGACTTCCCTTCAGAAAATATCAATAAAACTGGTTCTGATGTATGCTTTAAGAGATATTTTAATGCATGCACAAGTGGATACTTCTCATACACGTGCATACTCTCTATTCCACTCGGCATCTTTTTAAAATTTTTGTATTTCTTCGAGATATTTCCAAATAGAGTACAGACATATAATATTCTGTTGTATGAATGAACCATTATTTAACCAGCATGCTGGTAAAAATTTAAGCTGTTTCCATTGCACTGCTGTCCAAAAAAAAAAATTAAATATCAAAAAACTGCAATTGATAAAGATGGTCACAAGTAATTTCTTACATGTAAGATTGTATCTCTACAATAAATTCCAAGTAAACCTTGTGGGTTGAACATTTTCTCCCCACTTACCATTTATCTTTGAACTTTGTTTTGATTGTATGATTTTTTTTCCAGATAGAATTTTTATTTTTCTATGACTTTTTAAAATCGGCCATTAATTCTTACATCTTCTGGGTTTTGTTTCTCACACTTCAGAAATGCCTTCTACATGTTGCAATTATAAAATAATTATTCATATTTTCTTCCAGTACTTTTATAGTTTCATTTTTTACACTGATATCTTGTCATATGCATAGTGCTGAATAAATGAAATACTGAACCTGATGAGACTTTACCAATTCATATTACAGGTTGAGCATTCCTAGCCCAGAAATCCAAAATTCAAACTAAAACTTTTTGAGTGCTGAAAGACCACAAGTGTAAAATTCTACACCTGACCTAATGTGAGGAGGACAGCGAAAACTTTACTTCTTGCATAAAATTATTTAAAACATTATATAATATTGCATTATATGTAAAAGGTATATATGAAACATACACGAATTTCATGTTGAGACTTGGGTCCCATCCCCAAGATATCTCATTATGTGTATATAAATACAGTAATGTGCCACATGATGTTCCCATCAATGATGAGCCACATATACAACACTGGTCCCATAATATTACAATGGAGCTGAAAAATTCCTGTCATCTAGTGATATAGTAGCAGTCATAGCACAATGGGTTGCCTTTTTTATGTTTAGATATATTTAGATACACAAATACCATTGTGTGACAACTACCTAAATATTCGGTACAGTAACATTCCTTACAGGTTTGTAGTGTAGAAACAGTAGTGTAAACTATATTGTCTAGGTGTGGTAAGCTACACCATCTAGGTTTACATAGGTACACTCTATGATGTTTCTACAATGACGAAATTGCCTAATGACTCAATTCTCAGAAGGTATCTTTGTCGTTATGCAACAGATGATTGTATTCCAAAATCTGTAAAAACTGGAAATCTGAAACACTTCTGGTCCCAAGCATTTTGCATAAGGGATATCCAACCTGTATTCCAAACAATGAAGTTCTTTGGTTCCATTCTGAATTACCAAACTTATGATGAACTGACATGTTAATGCTTTAATGAGAAATACTATTTATTTCAACTATGATTCCAAGATGACCTGCGATTTTTTAAAAAAGATGGAATTGACTAAAAGGTATTTTCCATATATCAAAGCATAAAAATTCTGAAAATAACAGGAATACAGCTCCATAATGTTGCTTCTAAATAATTGGCTTTATAGCACCATTTTGATGCAGTAAGAAGCTCTATCTGCCACATTCACAAAAACTCTCCTAAGACGTAATGACCTCTGATTCAATTAGCTCCCACTGTTTAAGTGTGATACTCCCACCTCAGCCTCCTGAGTAGCTGGGACTACAGGTGCTCACCACCAAACCCCGCTAATAAATTTGTATTTCTGGTAGACATAGGGTTTTACTATGTTGGTCAGGCTGGTCTATAACTCCTGGTCTCAAGTGATCTGCCTGCCTTGGGCTCCCCAAGTGCTGGGATTACAGACATGAGCCACAGCACTGGCCCCAACTGGACCCTTAATCTCAGATATTCCCAGTCTGGAAACTGGACCATCATGCCAATGTCCTTGCTCAGTGCTTTTCAAGCATTAGCATGGACTAGAACAACTACCCAAATACTTGTATAAACAAGAGATTGTTGGGTCACACCCCAAGAGTTTCTGATTCAGTTTGTATGGGGAGCTCCTGGGGAATAAATTCCGAGTACCAGGTATCATCATGAAGAGATGCGGATGACGCTCAACAGGGATCACACTAAAAAAAATACCATCCTAGGTATGCCAAATAATAAAAAAATTGGTATTTCTGATTCTAGATAACAGCCCTATGAGGAGGTTAAACAATGAAGGGCAACGATAAATCACAGGAGGAAGAAATCAAGACAAGTTGAGGTAATACCGCAGGGGGAAGAAACAGTTAAGTGGGTCTCAAAGACATGAGAATATTTTGCTAGTCAGAAATGGAGAGGGATTCGTGTTTTCATTATTCAAAAGACAGGAAATGGTTAATTGCAAATTACCATTTAGAATTAAGAGTGGACAGCTGGAAGCCAAGATGGAGCAGATCACAGACCACAGGGGGCACAGCTAAGAGAATACTGGGTATACATGGGAAAGATGATACCACATGAGGTTGTGAGCAGAGAATTAACCAGGTGCCATAAGTTCACTAATTCCTTCAATGTTACTGTGTGCCTACTATGTGCCACTGTTCTAGAGACTCAGCATTCAAGACAGGACAAGAGACCAAAAATAAGCCTCTGCCATCATGGAGTTTATATTCCAATACAGGGAACCAAAAAAAAAAACAAACAAAAATTTGCATTTAACTTTCAGGGCTAAAGATAAAGAACGAAGTGTCATAGAGTGTCGCAGGGAGTCTTGAATGGGTTGCTATCTTGGATGACATAACCAAGTTTCACTGAGAGGGTGACCTGAAGCAAAGGAAGTGAGCTATGCAGATATTTGAGGGACATCTTTCCAGTAAAAGGAAACAACAAATACAGAGAATATGACTGGGCTGGGTTCAGGCCTCATACATTGGCAGTGGAAGAAAAGGGAGGACAGCAGGCATCCAGAATGGCCAGAAGAGACTATGCAAGGGAAAATGAGATGAGTTCAGAAGTCAGAATGAATAGACTGTGCAGGGCCTAGGAGGTCATTGTAAAGATTCTGGTTTTTACTTCAAATGTAATAGCAAGCTAGTAGAGGATTCTGAGTAAAGAGATGATATAATAGCTACTAAAATAACAGTAATAACAATACAATAATAACAATGTCTACCATATAGATACTATTAATTCATTTAATCCAAGTATTACTGCTCTTCCAATATTACATTTAACTGTGTTGCCCAACTTTAAATATATGGTAAGTGGCAGAGCTCATATTTGAACCGAGAAAGACTAGCTCCAGAGGCTGTGCTCTTAACTGCTATGCAATACTGCATCTCATAATCTGACTCAAGTTTAACAGGATTACCCTGGTTGCTATCACAGGAGAGGCCAAGGACAAAATTAGGAAATCTGTTGAAGAGTGTTCTGAACAGTGTTCTAGGTTAGAGACCATGGTGATACAGACAAGGAACGGTAGTAAAGGAGGTAAAAAGTCATCCATTTGAATATGTTTCTAAGGCAGACTAAACAACATTGATGGACAGATTAAACAGGGTTTGTGAAAAAGAGCAGTGAAGAAGGATTCCAAGTTATTTCATAAGACTAATCTTAAAAGATGAGTCTCCTGCATCAATAAAATTTTAAGAAAATGTTTAAAGTAGTGAAGGACTCCAAATTATCTCATAAATCTAACCTGAAAAGATGAGTCTGTTACATAAATAAAATTTTAAGAAATGTTTAAAGTATCTTCTGTGACTTTCTAAACAATAAGAATTCTAAATGCCACATTCCCTATCCTGAAGGAACACAAATCTCCACAATTTATCTTGATAAATGCTCACCCCGGTAGCGTTATAAACGCCAACTATCAAACAACCTAAATGTTGGATTAAGGGTTTTATTATGATGCAGGAAAAAGATAATAATGCAGCTCATCCTAAAGTGTAAAGCTTTTCTGCACATCCAATATTTTACTGAGATTTCCACTGGACTTAAGCAGAAATGAATATTCAGAGGATTTTCTCTCTTTTTCAAACCAGTTTGTAAAATAAAATCAAGCCAACAGTTACACATTCCTGTACAAATGCCATCACTTTAAGTCATTAGCAAGAAATTTATTACAAGGCTTAGAATATACACATTGAAACAGCACTAGGGAAGAAATATCAGCTGCTGGCAAAAAATACTGTTGAAGAATGTCACTGTGGAAAAGCTGGTCTTTCCCTGCCTTCCTCCCTTTCTCTTTCCTCACCTCGTATACAGTCAAATTCAACTAATTCCTAGCTACAACACATTAGAAATGAATGGTTCGCCACCTGGTTCTTCAAGACTGCTCCACAAAAACATAGCAAGGCATTAATTAGTCATAAGCAAGATGCATATTTAAGGTAGATGTTCATAAAATAGCTCTCTTTTGAACGCAATTTAAATTTTCTCAGCAGTATAAATCCATACAGGGTCAGGATACTCCAGTATGACCCAGTGCACTGGGTCAGGTTATGTCTGAAAGAGTCAATGTTTCATTTGGGGAATTTATGTAGCAGGAAATAAGAATCCCTTGTTAGAAAGCTGAGCCAATGCTATATGGGGTCAGTTCTTATGACAATTCATCAAAAGTCCAGCCTCTCAAGATGCCTCTACATTACAGAGACAAACACAGAGACATTCCCATTTCTGAAAGGATTCATGACATTCCTCATCAGAAAACTGCTCCCCAGTGAAGTCTGATTTCACTGTGACCTAGAAACGAGGGTAAGCATTCAGTGTTTTGTCAGCTTCAACGACCTCTCCCCAACAATCCTCACTCATTCTTAATTCCAGAATTTCTCAAAGTAGAAGGAACTCAGTAATTTCATAAACTAGTATATAATTAGAAGTATATACAGCTCAGAGAGTCTGAATTAAACTATACTATGTGTGCTTTTTCAGAAATACACAATACGCTTTAATAAAGAATAGGATCAGTTCCTGAAAATTCACAAACTACTCTCTGCATTTTTAGTCATAAAGCATTCCAGTCAATTAAACCATGGTGCCTTTCAACTTTCTCTAAACACTTTCTATTAATAATGTTAATAATGCAAATCATTCTGTCAAATGTGATAATTAAGCAAAGAATACCAAACAAATATAACCTCTTCTTGAGGACTCATGATCACTTACCATATTTTCCAATGATAGGGTACTTCCCCAGAACATCTAAATCTACAGAGCTGTTTATTCCTATAATAAGTGGCCCCAGACAGAATGTTTTCCACATGCTGCTTCTGATCTTTAATTTCCTGGTCTCCATTTTAATGTCTGAGTGTCCATGTACCTGCTCTGTCAAGAACACAACATGTTTCTTCATTTACTGCCCCCTAATAAGTTTTATTATGAGGTTTTATTAAGTTTTATTATGTACTCTCAGTACATAAACTAGATAAATAATAAATCAGATAATTGAATACACAGTATGAACAAATGAGTTATCTAATGGCTTTCCTACCTTTAATTATAAGTAACATAAATAGCTGGATGTTTAGATTAATTACAACCCCAAAAAAGGACAAAGTTAACTACATTACAATTTAAATTGCTGTATTCTATTAATGTGGACCGCTAATAAAATGATCACTACTGCATTAACTCTTCTGTGATTTATCTTGCAGTTTACTTAAACTGCATACATTCCCCAGACGCAGTTTACAAAATGGATCTAACACTAAGGAAGTTCTCGTTTTTATTGAAAGAAAAGTTAGAACAGGGACAGTTGGAAATTTCAGATTGAGATGGGGAAAGAAATCCCCAACCTCAGGAGAAGTTCATGTTCCTCAACTACAGATTTAACCCCTGACTCCACACCACATTTGAGCCCTGCAAATACTCCTCAAAGGGCTTTCATCTTTATTCTTTCAACAGATACTGACATTCACTGTTTATCAGGCACTGTGCTACATGTTGGAGACATAATGGTAAACGAAGTAAATGCTGGAATTGAAGAGAATGTAAACCTAATAGATCCCCAAATCCTAGTTGATACACAGTAGGCACTCAATAAATATTTTTGGAAGGAAGTCACTCAATAAACATTTTTGGAAAAATCAATCCCTGTCTTCATGGGTCTTACAATACAGTTGTGAGGGGAGACAGTGGCAAATAATTCCACAAACAATTTAAAATGGAAACTGCAGTAAAACTAAGAATAAGTTCAACAACACGAAGAGGATGAAAGGTTTTAACAGAGAAAGTTATTTTAAATTGGAAGTTTATGAAAAAAATTGTGAGGAATTCGCCCTAAAACTGAGGACAAATGAGTTCACCAGGTGAAGAAATGTGTGTAACAGGGGAATGGGATTCAACATTCTCCACTTCTGTTCCCAGAGAGTTAGAAAATTGGCAAAAACATCATTTACTGTATCTAACCATACATCTACTGTATGTAACCAAATGTTCCTGTCAGAAAACAATTGCCAAATTATAACTTTCAAAAAGATGAGAAAAGTATTTATCCCTTGAAAGTATCTCTAAATAAACTACAAGTAAAGCTATTATCTACTGATATTTAATGTCCTTTATTAAAAGGAACTAGTTTTTTTATTCAGATTTTTGTCATCAAGAAAAATAATGCCTAAATTAATACGAATGCAGTGTTTTCTTTTTTAATAGAAATTTATGTAATCCAACAAGTTTTAAGTTAGCAAAACAAATCAGTGCAAAATTCACCATCCAGCTGTATGAATCTACCCCTCCTGGTGCTTCTCTCTACTGTTTTTTCCATCTCTCTGCCTATTCATTCTCAGTCTGTCACTTTTTCTTCCTTTACCTATTTCCAAAAACTAAGGGTGGTACATAGAAAAGTTATCAGGGATCTTTTTCCAGCTACATGGTAGATGTACTTTCATGTAAAGGTTGGTCAATAAAAACACTACAAACCTGAAACCTTTCATATTACAAGATTAATTGCCCACTGACCTAAATGGAAAGTGGAGGCAGAGTAGGGTCTGTTCCAGGCACACAAATCTCCAGTTCTTGCCCTTAAACAAAGTTTAAGCACACAAATATCCCAGTGCTTGCCTTTAAACATAATTTAAGTACAATAAATAACAAACGATAAAAGCTACATTCAAAATAAAGCTTTGTAATATACTGCCTAAGATTATAAGAAAGGGGCATTGTCAGCACATTCCAATCTCTTGTCAAACCAAATACACTTGATGCCTTGGTACAAACCAAAGCTGACTCAGGGACTCTCTGCAGCAGCACTGATCTTACAGTCATGTAGCCAGATTTCCCCTGCCATTTGTTCCCATCTTCCATGCTTTGGTTATAACACAATTTCTGTAAACTGAAAAATCTGCTTCAAGCAGCTCTGCTATTTTTCAATGCTATCGGCTGACATTTTGCAGAATGCTTTTTCCCAAACTCACTGCTCAGTGCATCACAGCAGCTATTTTGGCCTACTTCCTAGAGTTAAACACTCCGACCGCCCTTGTAAAAATATTTTTAGGGTCCTGTTTTCCACCACTAGCATTCTGCTGAATAAACATTTAGATAACATTACAGACACAAAGAAGACTATAAGTTTTAATAGTAAGTATTAAAATAAGAGTAAAGCAGTCACCAGAGTAACTCGTGTTTACAATCTATGTAAACATGAGTGAGAATATAAAAAAAAAGCATGTAGAGTATATACTCAATTGGTGTTAAGACTTAAACAAATTAAAACTTCTAAGATGCAAAATTTTAAGAATAAAATTTGGAGTCATCCTTAACTCCTGTTTTTCTCTCACATTCCCCATCTAAGTTGACCACAAATTCTATCAGCATTACAGGATCCAGCCTCTCCTAACCATCTTTTCTGTGAGTAGTCTAAACCTAGGCACCATCCTCTTCTCCCTAGACTACTGAAATCATCTCTTAAAGAATTTCCCTGTATCTACCCTGGCCATTGTCAATCCCTTCTTTCTACTGGCCGGAATGATATAGCTGTAACTCTATCAATTCAGGGCCACAATGTATATAGTTTAGCAACTGTACTATATAATACAGCCACCCTTTAGAGAGGCTAAAGGGGAAAATGGGGCTGAAATCAGCCTGTACTACATTCACCAACCAAAAGTCCAGATAAAATAACCTATTCTAATTCACACACATATCTTGCGTTTCTCTCCAAATTTTTTTAAGGGTTTACCTCTTGTTCTCAATAAAATCCAAACTCCTTACCCTAGTCCACACTCCAAGTACCTAAGAGATCTGGTCTTGACTGTCAATCTGATCTCTTCCATCACTATCCCCTCCTTGTCCCTAATGCAGGCACACTGTTCTCCTGGCTGCTCTGCAGACACATCAAACACATCCTCAGCTAAGAGCGTTTATACTGTGGTCCCCGCTGCCTGTAATCCTCCTCTCTCAGAAAGCCTCCACCCTTCTATGCTCAAATGTAACCAAAGATAAAAAGCATCTCCTGAAAACAGTACTTATAATGGTATTCTTCAACCTAATCACTCTAATCTCATTTTATTTTTCTTTTTAAGATTTATACCTTCCCAATACATTTGTTTACCGTCCTTTCTAACTCCACTAGAATGTACACACCACTGATACGAATATGCAACTCACATAAGAAACAGAAGTGGCAAAAAATATTTTAGCAAGTAAATAAATCACTATAAATTTAAGAAATAAAAAAGGAGGATAAAGAGAATCAGACACTATTTTCCCCTAAAACCTTGAAGAAAGTATTTTGAAAAGTAATGCTTGCCAAGATTTCCATACCCTTTTGTACACTGCTCGTGGAAGTGAAAATCCATAAAACCTTCTGGAAATCAACTCCACAATATGTAACAAGAGACAGAAAGAGTACATATCTTTTTATTTAAATATTTTGTTTCATGAACTTTTCCTATAAAAATAGGTAAAAATGGAAACCAAAACTTATTTTCAATAATACCCTTACAATATTATTTTTGTTAGTGTCAAATGGCAAACAAGCTATATATCGAATAAGGTAATGGTTATAAAACTTATGGTATAATCCCGTGACAGATATAAAAATGTTACTTAAAAATCATGGCTTGAAGAATATTCAATGCCATGGGAAATGCTTAAAATATACTATTTTGTAAATAAGACAAATACAAAACTGTGGCTTTATTGTTTATCAATATGTATGTATATCTTGATTTTATAAAGAAAATACATGAAGATATACAAACAAAAAAATGAATACTATCACAGTGTTTTACATTGTTTACTAATTGATAGTGTGTTCATGGACAAATTTAAATTTATTCTTAACTATCTCTGTTTTCAGTTACAAGCATTTATTGTCATTGTAACCGAAAATACAACTCTTAAACGAAGTTATGCCATCTTCATTAGATCTACCATATCCTAGTTCTTACTGATTTCTACTGGTGCTTCAACATTTCTTATAGGAGCTCTGTCATTTCTTACTAGAGCTTTCAGAATAATTTAGATGACAAACGTCATTTGAAGGGCTAAACTGACTACATCCTAGGCATATCACCAAAACAAATCCAGATTCCCCAAATATTTTTGTCTTCATCAAAATAAAAGCAAATGTTTTTAGCTGTATCATTTTAAACACACACATACAAAACCAAAAACTAAAACTGCTATGGTGACATAATAAACCTAGATAGGCATGTATTAATCTAATCCAGCCATTCCCAATCTAGTTTTGTCTATGTGTTAATTTGAACACTAAGGTACATCTACCTACCACCTGAAATTATCACAATGAGCAAAACAAATGAAATTTTAAAATAAATAAATACCATGTGTAGTTGGGGTGTCCCAACTCCAAATAATGTGAGGAAGATCAACATTCTAATTTGAATGCAAGATACTCCTCTGTAGATTTGTTCAGCAGGAGTTTCAGCCATAAGCTTAACTATAGTTACTGTTACGAGCAAAGAAACTACAAAAGTAAAAAACAATTACATAAAAACCAAACTTTCAAATAAAAATTGTGAAACATAAATTTACAATTAGAAAGTACAGTTATGGTAGTCCACAAAGTTTTCTTTTGTACTTTTGTTATCATGAATTTTTAAAAGGCTGAGTCAAATTAAATCCTTCCTTCCTTAATGAGCCAGAATTTTATTACTGACATTATCAAAATCCAGAAGCTGTGAGTAAGCCCCACTTTTATCTCAGAAAAGTGACACTAGTCAGCTAAGAATTTACTGAAAGTTATAGGGTGCTGTATAAAATAAGAGCACTAGTAAATAAGAAATGAATGAATAAGTCAAACAAATATCATAAAATTGTAATTAGGATTAAGTTGTACCATGCCGTCTCTTCCATAAAAGTTACAATCCACTGGCCTCAAAACAATAAGGATGGTGAGGGGACATAAATTTCTATTACTTAGTTGCCTCTATTTCATAAGTTTCTTTTTTTCCCATGACTTTATTAGAAATTGGTCTTCTTAAAAGCTGACAAAGTATTCAACATGCTTAGAACTTTATAATAGAGCTCCACGTTAAAAAGCATGTATTTCATGTAATGCTAAGCCCTTACTTGGGTCCCTATTGTCAAAAACATCCATAAAAATTTAAAATAATTTAATGCTTTGCCAAGCTTCAGGAAGAACAATTACTGAAAAAGTCATGAGAAAATCAAATATTAAAGGTGCATTTCTCCAAGTTCTTTGGAGCTAAACATTTGGATGTAAATTATACCCCTCCTCTAAGATGTATTCCTGTGAGATTTGAAAAACAGATGGTCCTATCCCTATCACTTTTGGCCATTTCCATTGGTAAGCATGGTCAGAAGGATACGGTTTACCCTACACCAGTGTTCTAGGGTCAATCTCACACTTTGTGGGAACTGGGGAGGAGGGCGGGTGGACGGAGAGGGAGAGAAAGAGAGAGAGAGGCAGAGAGACAGACAGACATATGGACAGCAGCAAAGGCTGTGGCTGAATTCTGCATTGTTGGTATAGTCACTGCCTCATGGGCATAAGGAATCAACAGAGACAGCTTCTCCATCCCTGGGTTACATTTATGGAAGCCTATTTCTGAATTCAATACTTCCAATGGTGGGCTCCTGATTCCCCGCTGGGACAGAGGTAGTAGCCTCCTAGTTTGGTCAGCTATTTCTGCTATTCTAGAAGTCACTGCTGAAAGTTTTGCTAAAGCCCATTCTTCCAGGCTTTCCAGTAATTGTATAAGCTTGTAATTACTTTTGTTAAATCTGTTTTTGCTCAAGATATCTAAAATGGGTTCTTCGTTTGAATAGAACCCTGACCAACATAGGGTTCCTGCTTATCTTGTTAGTTGTGACTAGGGCAAGCCATGGGTTAATGGACTATCCCTCTGTAAGGCCTATAGGCAGAGAAGCTTCCGAGGTTGGGAGTTCTAAGGCACAGCAATTCAAGAGATACGATCTCTATCCTCTTGCAGGTTAAAATCCAACTAAGAATGTAAAGTTAGTTCATATGAAAAGACTGAGAATAACATACTAAATACTAATTTAAATCACAGATTATATATTTGCAGAGAATACTGTAGGAGTTCAACATTGAAGGAACAATAAAAATCTACAAAAAAATCACTAGAATATAAGACTTAATATATCTATGTTCAGGCCTTAAAAAATGACAGACAGTATTTTCACAGTCAAGGAACCTGGAAATATAATCCCCCCTCCTCCAAAAGATGTGTAAAAGCATGATCTCTTGACTGGATAGTGAGGAATCCAGTATGAACAGAGTGCAAATTGGGAAATGATAATAAATACATTTGGAAATAGAGAAGACACTAGAAGCGGGGCAGTGAAATTAGAAGTGTGCCATCAGACTGTAGCAGAGTTTCCCAACTTCAGCACTATTGACATTTGGGGCCAGATAATTCTTTCTTGGGGTGGGGCTGGGAGAGAGTGATGGGGTCATGCTGTGTAATGCAGGACACTTTAGCAGGGTCCCTGGACTCAACCGACAGGATGCAAGTAGCACCCACTGCTCAAAACAAAATGTCTCTAGACGTTACCAAATATTCCAGGGGGGACAAAACCACTGGACCATAGGCTGAAAGTCATAGCATGCGAAGAGTCACTGGACTTAAGAAAGATGAGACAAGAAAAATAATTTCAGAAACAATGATAATTATCTAATTCAGTGATGTATACAGAGAGGGGGCTGCAAACACATCAGTGAAGAGGCCAGGCACCTGCTATGGTGACTGGAGTGCACAAGCACCCCATCCAAGGAGAGGACTTCTCAGAGTCAGCCAGCTGTTGTTGCCATACGGGAAGGAAAACCCAGGGTTTCCAGGCCTTCTTTTCCTTTTTTCTCCTCCAAAACAAGAAAGATTCTGATTTTTAAGTAAAATTTCCTGAAACATAGAACTTAATTTGAGGCTTTTGAAAAACAATATTTAGGCTAGATTTGACCCTGAAGCTACCAGAGTCCTGCAGTGTAGACTAAGGTAAGTGACAGCTTGGAAGGTGTTTAGGAAGATAAATTTATGGATCCGGATCAAACAAACCAACTATAAAAAGACATACTTGAGAAAAAGAGGCAAAGGTGAATTTGGATAGGTATTAAATAACATTAAGGAATCACTGTTGAATGCAATAACAATATTAAGATCATGTTAAAAATAATCTTTACCCGTTTCAAATATCTAATAGATATCTAATTATTTATACAGGCAGGCAGGCAGGCAGGCACGCACACACACACACACACACACACACACACACTTTTCACTACAGATGAAACAAACAAAAAAAGACAGAGACAAAATAATGAGCAAAGCACTATACCTAAATACGAAGAATAAATCAGAGGAATGAGAAAAAAATGACTTCAAAGTTTTGAAGTTCAAAGTTAGAGGTCTCTAGTCTCCTTGTATAGTGAGCGCCCTCTGGCTATATCAAGAAAGCAAACACTCCTCTGTACTGTTTCTGCATTTACCCTAGTATTTTAAAAACATCATCCTCAAATTCTTTGTAATACACTTAATCATAATAAAAGAGGAAATAACACAACTCTCCAATAATTCAAAGCACAACAGACTTGTACCTCAATTTATCAGAAATACCAAGTGATATAAAACACATCCATGGTTGCATAATATTACAACATCTATATTTCTGAATCTCTGCTGATTACTGAAGTAACCAGCTGACTTCCTGAAACCAAATAAAAAACAAATTCAGCACTATACACTGTCTCAGTGTATATGTTGCAAGAGGGTCCATGCACACTGGACCATAGGCTGAAAGTCATAGCATGCAAAGAATGGCTGGGATATTCCATTTGTTACGGTTAATATGAAATGCTACAACCACAATAAGCATAATCCACAGAAATAAATCCCAAGGATGAAACTACCCAAACCAAATTTCTGTTCAGGGAAGAATTCAGTGTCACATTTTACATAAGCATAATTTCCCTTGCCAGCACTCAGCAGTGGCTTCTAGTTCAGATTTTTCTGAATTAATTGTGAACTCATTCAAGTCACATATTTTGTAATTTTGTACCACACTTAAAAGCAACTTCCCTTCCTCTATTTCACTGACCCTCTCACTCCCATCACCTCTTCAAACTGAATAGGACTCTTTTTCGAAAGAAGTTTCTACAAACCAAATATGCTTTTAAACTAATTTAAGTGTGGGATATTCTGAGAATTATTAAGAAAAATTCATGTCTTGCATCAATAAAGAATTTAAATCTGGTTATAGAAAATCAGATATAATTATCAATTATAGTTATTTTTTAAGTTTGTGTCTATGGTTCAAAAGTAGACTTCTTAGTTTATCTTTTATCTCAACATGAAAAAAAAATCTCACTTATCCACTCTGCCATAACCCATGGAGCTGACAGTACTGGTGTAACACAGCCATTCAGTGAGAAGGAGCCCGGTTTTTTAGGATATTTACTTGCTGTTTAAAATGTAATACTTCATTTTTTAAAAAAATATGTTTATGCTTGAGGAACATAAAATATCAAGTGATATTAATAAGATAAAAGTTTATCATTTTAATAAACCAAATTTTTCTTCAACCTAATATACTGTACAAAAGACTCAGCTACTGGTATTTATTTGCTTATTCAATAAATAACAGTTAATTTCCAAAACCAACACCCAGGCTAAATACTTCTGTTAATATTTGCTAATCTTACACGTAAAAAACAACTGTATAAGTAACTATATATGTTTTTAAAATTAAGTCACACTCTTTCCCTTCCAGTTGTTCTGCTTGAACTGCTTCCTTCAATTTACATAAAATCCACCTGGAAACAGTAGGAAAAATAGCCAGAAAAAAAAGCAGTGCACACCACCATCTTCTCCAAGGATTAAGTCTCAGAGTGTACCACTCACTAGATATGCTCCATTCTAAAGATGCAAACACATGTAGAACAAATGCTGCTGTGACAATGACCTAGCAAGATATCAAAGAAGTCCAGATTAAAATGTATTCATACTTTCTATTCCTTTCTTAAGGCTCAACAATAACCTCCATGGCTAGTAAACACAAATGTGTACATACACATATACACATATACGTATGCACATAAATACTTTGCTCCCACAAACTGATTTCGTTTTTATTTGCCATGTTTTCAGTTCACTAAATGCAATCATATTTTAAAGATAATTAATGAATCCAAAAGTTGAATCTAGGTATTCTGATGACTATTTATGTAACAAGTTAGAAAAGGGTCCCCAATTTTTAAGTAGCACATACCATAAAACTTCGTTTTAACTTCTACGTAGCCATTAAAAAAAAAATGAGATCATGTTTTTTGCGAGAACATGGATGGAGCTGGAGGCTATTATCCTTAGCAAACTAACACAGGAACAGAAATCCAAATACCGAATATTCTCACTTATATGTGGAAGCTAAATGATGAGAACTCATAAACACAAAGAAAGGAACAACAGATACTGGGCTCAACTTAAGGGTGACAGTGAGAGGAGACAGAGGAGCAAAGAAGATAACTACTGAGTACTGGGCTTAATACCTGGGTGATGAAATAGTCTGTACAACAAACTCCCATTACATGAGTTCACCTGTGTAACAAACCGTCACATGTACCCCTGAACCCTAAATAAAAGTTAAAAAAAAAAGTTACCAGCATAATTGTTATTAATTTATTTGACTTAAAGGTCAGGACTGAAACAGATGAATATAAGTTTATTTTTTTAACAGCATACAATATTTAAATGTACTGAAGAGGATACGGTTCCTCTCTGAAAACAGAAAATAGCTTCATAAAAACACCAGACTTGTTTTCTCTTCTCATATAAAAACACTTGGAACCTTTTTAAATGTAAATTTAATTCTAGTTATTCTTGGCCTACTGTCCTGCATCTAAATCAAAAGCTAATTAAGAGAAAAAAGCAACACCAAGTCCTGGCCAAGTCCAGATCTTGATACAACAACCAGTAGAAAAAGTAGAATTTAAAACACAAAACAACCTTATATCTATGCCTTCTTTGGCCTAACAAATAATAGTAAGTTTTCTTGAGACCTCTTTTCTGATTCCTGCAGCACTCTGTCTCTACCACCATTCTGACACTTAAAAGTCAAGAGACATTGGCCAAGCACGGTGGCTCACGCCTGTAATCCCAGCACTTCAAGAGGCTGAGGTGGGCGGATCACCTGAGGTTGGGAGTTCAAGACCAGCCTGACAAAAATAGAGAAACCCGGTCTCTTCTAAAAATACAAAATTAGCAGGGCATAGTAGCGCATGCCTGTAATCCCAGCAACTGAGGAGGCTGAGGCAGAAGAATCGCTTGAACCCGAGAGGCGGAGGTTGCAGTGAGCCAAGATCGCGCCATTGCACTCCAGCCTGGACAAGAAGAACGAAACTCCGTTTCAAAAAAAAAAAAGTCAAGAGACATCAAATCACAGCACTGTAAGGATCACAAATTACAAGTAAAATCTGACGAGGCTCAAGAATCGGCTCAAGGTTGGTGAGTGGAAGGATGAGAACTTAGATGTAGGTTTCCTGATGCCAGATGTGTGTGTTCTTCCCTGCAGCCCAGGTTGCTTACCCGTAAGTGCTTCTCAGATTTGCTCCGTTTTATACATACATTATTTTCCCTGTAAGAATCTTAGAATTTCAATACAGAACAGGAACTGAGCCTTGTGTGGTTTTTGTTTGTTCATTCTGGTTTGTTTTTTCTGTTTTTCCTTCACACAAAGCAACAGAACACAGACTAGCCAGTCAATAAATACTCCAATTATTTTTTAAAATATTAATTACCAAAATTTCACAGTATTACACAATGGGAATTATTGTTGGCATACATTTGCATCTAAAAATTTACAATGCTGTTAGTTACCTCTAAAAAAGTTGTATTATGAGGGAATTTGTAAAGCTTAGCTAAATAAACTAATGTAGATTTACTAAATTATATAGGTTTATAAAAGCATACACAAACTGCTACTAAAATCAAGAATTAAAGCAATACAAAAATAGTCATGGGCAACAGCATAAAAATTTTCTACCTATTGGCCAGGTGCAGTGGCTCATGCCTGTAATCCCAGCACTTTGGGAGGCTGAGGCAGGTGGATCATCTGAGGTCAGGAGTTTAAGACCAGCCTGACCAATATGGTGAAACCCCCGTTTCTACTAAATATACAAAAATTACCTGGCCGTGGTGGCACGCACCTGTAATGCCAGCTACTCAGGAGGCTGAGGCAGGAGCATCGCTTGAACCCGGGAGGCAGAGGTTGCAGTGAGCCGAGATTGCACCACTCCACTCCAGTCTGGACGACAGAGCAAGACTCCGTCTCAAAAAAAAAAAATTCTATCTAGTGAAGAAAATTAAGTGTCCAATGGCTACAGTTATGCTAATATGTAATGTAATATGTCCCTAAGAAATGACAAATATACCTAGACCATCTATTACCACTTGTCTACCCATGGATCTCATGGACTCCAATCATGGAGAAGAGTCATCTGTGTAAAAGAAAGTGGTAGGAAGAAGTGAGGAATGAGAGTGAAGAGGGGAGAAAGAAACGCTGGACAAGGACACAGAATTCATGAACCCTCAAAATGTGCTGGGTGTGCAGGTATCCAGGTTGCTTACCCATAAGTGCTTCTTTGATTTGCTCAGTTTTATATATACATTATTTTCCCTGCAAGAATCTTAGAATTTCAATACAGAACTATACCAAAGTCAGAGAAGAGTAAGAACTCTGAATCTCTGCTTTGTAAGTCTGTTCATTTCTTTGCTTCGGTGATTTTCCAGTGTGAGGTTTTGTTTTGTTTTGCCCTTGGTTACTTAGTAAAGTCACTGTTTAAAAAATTCCAACCTTGTCTAAACTAAACTAAGAAGAAAAGGAGGATTGTCCTTCTCTAGACGTGGCCGGCAGGAATTCCAGAGGCCCTGGACCAGCAGGGCATTCTGGTCACCACTGTGGTGCCAGCTGGAGGCCAGGAAAGAACCAGCATAGCCAGAGCAGGAGAAGAGGCCTCTGAAGACAAGGTGCCTCAGAGCTGGCTTGGACAAGACCGGAAAATCCCATCAAAGAACCCATCCGCCCTCTTCATAACAACAGCGCTCTAAGACTTCCCCAGGTGATCACATTATGGAGATCATTTTAGTCTACCAGCAAACTGTTAGCTGGTTCCTTTTTTCAAAAAGAAATAATTTAAATTCTGTATTTGCAGAATTTTTAAAGATGAGATAGCTGTTGGTGTTTAGTACATTGCTAGAAACAGGAAGGAAAGATTTAAATGTTTAAAGAACCTGTTAGAGAATGCATTTTAAAAGACCTAAATGTTACTGGCCCCCTTCTTAGCCCTGTGTGCAGCATCTGTTAAGTATTTCGCACCTGAAAGCCCACAAAAGTTGTGGCTTCAAACCATTTAAAACAGAATAGTCAATGACAGAGCAGCCTTGCCTATGAGACACTGTGTGCTGGGGCTCTGGAATAAAGTATAGCTTCTGGAGCTTTTCTTCTCCCAGGCCAGATCGATGCCCTAGCATCACAAAGCCAAGGTTGCCAAAATCCACATATCTATTTCGCTTGTTGCTGTGCCTGTGGGAGGGTCAAGCTGTGGAGCATGATGCATATTCAGTATCTCCTTACTGCACTTGAGTGTCCGAGACTGACCAGGAGTACTGTCAAGAACAATAAAAATTATGTGTACTTGAAAATTCCTTTGTTCCATAAAGAATTTTTACCTGTCCACAGCACAAAAAAAAAAAAAAAGATAAGAAAAACAGCATTTAAATCAGAGGAAAGTCCTATCTCTCACCTACCGTTTGGAAGGAACCCTAAAATAGGTTAGCAGTAACTAGAAAGCAAATGAGAAAGTTCTTTGTAAAAATTTGAGAATATAACCCCAAATTAAATGAGCAGATGATTAGTTAATGCACCAGGATGTCTTATGCACACAAGATAATAAAAGCAATATTAAAATCAATAAACTATCAGTGTAACAAATGATATTTAATTTCAACTCTGGCCCATTTTTGAAAATTCACCAATGTTTATATGAAACACTTTTCCTGACCACTTTCCTGCCTCAAGTAGCCCCTCATTTTAGCCATATGTTCACCAAGACTTTTATTTGTATTAAAAGTCTATTGAGTATATTTACAGTAATAATCATGTTCTTTATTGTATTCAAACTTGAAATACGGTTTTTTCTTTAAACTTCTGGTGTAGATTTTTATTATAAATACAGTAGTTCTTCAACCAAAAAAGGAAAGGACACTCCAATGTAGTATACCTTGTCACTTCTGTATTGATAATGCCTGGGGAGTATCCCCATCACTCATGAACTTGCACAGAAACTGATACTCCCTTGTGAGAAGACTAATAATAAAAAAGAACAGCAAAAAAAAAAAAAAGTTAGTGTTAATTGCTCTTGAAATGAAGAGCAAAGGTTATCCAGTTGCTATTTATAGATTTTTTCCTGGTTAAAATTTAATTACAAACCTATACAAACTAAACTTTAAACCTAATTTCTTATAGCGGAAAAGAAATTGTAAACATGAAGCATATTTCCACACTAACAAATTAAGCATTTTCTCACTTAATCACATCTCCTTTAAGAAATAAATTCAAGAAAGGGGGAGTATATCCATATTTTAATAGAAATTTTAAAATGATTTTTATTTTCCTAAATCTGCCACAATGTGCTACTAAAACAATCAAGGCCTGAAAAAAATGCATGAGTCAATCAGTAACTAAGTATGTAAATGCATAAACCTGATTGTATTGTTTTGAAGAAAACCAAATTAAAATTAACAAAAGTACACTTCCCTCTTTTAATACACAAAAGAAAATCTGTAATGAAAATCTTCCTTTTGTGTATAAAAACGATGTATCTTTGCTCTTTGAATTGCTTGTAAAGTTACTCTGAAAACAAAAACTTATTTGAAGATACTACATTTTTAAATTATAAACTATTTTTTGAAGAGGTATCTTTGTGACACAGTCGGGCAGTAATCAATTCTGTACTGCTGCACCATCTTTAGTAGTGTAATTACCAAATATGGGTTGCAACATGTAGGCTTTAAGGTGGTAAGCAGAATAAAGATAACAACAACAGAGTTGCAGTCCCAGCTACTTGGGAGGCTGAGGTGATAAGCAGGATCATCTGAGCCCAGCAGTTTCAGGCTGTAGTGAGCTATGATAGCGTCACTGCATTCTAGCCTGACCTACAGAGTGAGACCCTGTCTATAAATAAATTAATTAATTAATTAATTAAATAACAGTCTCTATAATTCTACTATTCTAGATAACTATTTTTAACTGCAATCTCAATAGCTTTGAAAATTAGTTTCATTGGCCAGGCGCGGTGGCTCACACCTGCAATCCCAGCAGTTTGGGAAGCCGAGGGGGTTGGATCACGAGGTCAGGAGTTCAAGACCAGCCTAGCCAAGATGGTGAAACCCCATCTCTACTAAAAAAAAAATACAAAAATTAGCTGGGCATGGTGGCGGGCACCTGTAATCCCAGCTTCTCAGGAGGCTGAGGCAGACAATTGCTTGAACCCGGGAGGCAGAGGTTGCAGTGAGCCGAGATCACGCCACTGCACTCCAGCCTGGGCGACAGAACGAGACTCTGTCTCAAAAAAAAAAAAAAAAAAGAAAAAAGAAAGAAAATTAGTTCTGTTCAGTTCAGTTTGGGGAGGCAAGCATTCTACAACAAATGCAAATGAGTAAGATGTAAATTAAAAAGAATATGTCATTTTAAAAGCCACCAAATTCTCAGTTTAGCCTAATTTATAGCAATGATTAAAGAAAAATAAAAATACTCATTGATAAACGTGCTAATTATTTCCTCCCAGGAGCTCAGCCACAAATTCATAACCAGGTTTCTAGAACAAATTTCTAGAATATACTCAAGCTCTGAAGAAGAAATATGCATCTCCTTTCCAACTAGCCATCAGTGTTTTTAATTCATTTTTGATCATGAGAACACTACTTACACCAAAGAACATGTCTTGATAGCTTCAAGTGCTGTGTTTAAAAAGATGTAACAGAGAAACTCTATGTTTGAACGCAAAACACCACAGGAATCACCGGCAAATTCTAAAATGAAAAACAGGTCTCTGAAATGCCCAGAGCCAGCTGCTACTGTCCAGAAGCCAGCTCCTTCCCACAGAGCAGCAGATCGGCATGAGCCACAACTTAAGTGGGAATGTCATCTCCTAAGGCAAGGTTCGGCAAAGTTTTTCTGTACAGGACCAGCTAGTCAATATCTCAGACTTTGCAGGCCTCATAGTCTCTGTAACTACTACTCAGCTCTGCCTTGTAGCACCAAAGCAGCCAGACAATAAGTAAACAAATGAATGTGGCTGAGAGCCAATAAAACTTTAATTTCATATAATTTTCATGTTTCATAATATATTATTCTCCTTTTGATATTTTTCAACCATTTAAAAATGTAAACATCTCTGTTAGTTCACAGACCACACAAACACAGGTAGCTGTTTGGGGTCTGCTAGATTTGGCCTATGGGCCATAATTTACCACTCTGGCCTAGGGCCCAGTTTTCCTTCAGCCTGTGCCTACTCCTTTCTCCTCCTTTTACATAACCTGCAAATTATGCCTTTTCCCTTTTAGCAAAGCTTTCCTTTTGTTTCTCTAAGTCACTGATGGCCAGTTTCTGTTTCTTTCTCATAGGTCCCAAAAGTCCAAGAGAACAATTATGAGGTCAGGAAAGACAAGCACAGCCTGAAGAAGGGGCACAGGCCCCTCTTCTACTGCTTTCCACCTATGTGAGCTTGTGCAAGGTATGTAACCATCCCAAATCTCCATTTCACCACCAATAAAAAAAATTATGGCACCCAACTACCTGAAAGTAATAGTGAAGGTGCCACTTTGTATTGAGTAAAGCAGGTAAAGCGGGAAATACAACCCGTGGAGAAGGGTTGCCAAACATGGTTCAGAAACAAGGCAGCAGATATTTCACTTCTAAGCTGTTAAATCATGTAGCATATGGGTTCCCAAGCAGAGAAAGGAAGCTCAGTGAATTCAGATAAAGTTCTGGGGGAAGAAGAAACTAGCAACCTCATTGACTGCACGCTACTTTTCATAATTCTCAGAACAGGCCAGAAACTCAGTAAGCAAAACCTGAGAATGTCTGTGGCAAAACAACAGTGTAGATACTGAAGAGCATAAAAATGAATAAAACTCAGCCCTTCACTTTGAAGAGTTTACAATTTATTAAACATAAGGACCTATAGTACAAAGTAAATATGATTTGTATAAACCAGCTACATTAAGAAGTTAAAAATAAAAAGAACCAAACAAAAATAGCCAGGAGAAGAATTTCCTAGGAGCTAGACTTAAACAATAAACAGGATTTCAAAAAACTAAAAAGGAAGGAACAGAAATTTGAGAGTGCTATTCATGCACATATCTAGGATTACAGGACATGCGGATTCTCAATTCCAGTAGATATTATTAAATTGTTCTCCAAAGACACTGTGCTTCCATCAACGGTCAATTCCCATCCTGACATTTGGTACAATCAGAGTTTATTTTAAGATGCTTTGTCCCATGTGTTGGATAGAAAAGGGTAGCTCAATTTAATTTTCATTTCTTGTCTTCACATTCTCTATAGTAGTTTTATATGTCTGTTGTCATGTGAAATAAAAGGCACAGTCTGTTTATGGATGATATGTCATTCTGTGTGGCTGAAGCACAGAATACAGAAAGTACAGAGGACAAGACCCTCTCTCTTCCAGAGGTTTCTCCAGGCCCTTGCTCTTTTCCTCTCCACCCCATAAATTGCTGGTTTGCATCAGTAGATAGGGACAAACCTTTCCTTTTTTCCTTGAATGTACCACAGTAAATTAGAGAGTTTATAAATGAATGAATGTGGTACAAAAATACTGGTCTTGACAGAAACATTTGAAACCATTTCCTTTGTTTTTGCCCAAAACTTGGTTTCTGCCCAGTTTGGATCATAGAATAGTAAGGTGCCTCAGAAAACACACACAAATTTTATCCAGGTCTGGAGACATGACGGCAAAGACTTGGCAGGAATACATCCACCTTCTCCTTATCCCATCTAGAAGGCAGAAAGGGCAGGAAAGATAAATCAGGGTATGAACCTGATTTACTGGCACTGATTAAGAAGGTTCTGCCTCTGAAAGCTCCCATAAGGATATAATTTTCAGGTAACAATTCCTATACGTTATTTTCAGAGAAAATGATTATTTTAGCCAAAATCTTATTTAGTCTTTCCATGCTAAGAATAAAGTGGCAACCAAAAGGAATCAATACAGCACACAGAACTCTCAAAAATTTAACAAAAATCTATGTTCTCAACTCTGGTCAACAAAGCACCAGAGCTAGGAAAAACTACACTCCAAAAATTGATGAATGTGTATCACATTCCCAACTACAGTGGGTAAACTGAAAATCACTATAAATATTTGTTTTCAAAAATAATTTGCTGTTATCATTCCAGTAACACTATAATGCCATATTGCCTCAAATACAAATAGATTAGTCTAATCCAGGGATTCTTAACCCTGGGCAATTTTGTCCCTCTGGGGACATTAGGCCTTTTTTGTTTTTTTGGTGCTCAGATTAGAAAGGTTATACTACTGGCATCTAGTGCACAGAGGTTAAGGATACTGCTAAACATCAATGCACAGGATAGTCCCTCAAAGCAAAGAAGTGTCTGGCTCAAAATGTCAATAGGGCCAAGAAATTGTGATTTAAACCATTTCTTCTTGGTTAGCTGGGACATGTTGACAAATATACAGGGTTAGAGATGATAAGCACTCTTCTTAAAGAACTATTAAGCTAGACAATTTAGGGTCCTATAGAAGATCTTGATATTTATGTCAACGAATAAGCTTCTATTTAGTAATTTTCAGTTGAAACTTGTAAAGAATAAAATAGACCACAGTCCATGATTCTGCCCACTTTATCAAGCAGTTTACCTCTACATTTATTAGTTTATCACATAACCTATGAGAACACCTACCTACACCGAAATTTGTAATCAAACTGACTACTGCTGGCTTCACCTATCACAAATTAGTATTTTCCCACATTTCGACCCTAACCGAATTCTCCATGCCTGCTTACCAAGTGACCAGTCCTCAGATTTAAACAGTGGGTTTCATGTGGTCGTTTCCTGAGGAAACTTTCATACCTAAAATTCTCTTTCTCTGATATCACAATCCATTAAAAGTTTACTGTCCAGTTCCATGAAATTTAAAATCCAGAGTGAGAAGGGAATTTGATTTTGACTATAAATATAAAGGCAGATACAAAGGGATGTCCTCTATTAAAAAGTTAGGGGTGTTGGCAATGAAGTGGAATAAAATATACAAAGGCCAAAGAGGCCTCTCTAAATATTACAAAGTCCTTAGAGGTTATTTTATTTCCCAGTTAAAGTCTCCTTGGGTGTTTCAACAAAGAAAGACATTTTTCTGGGGAAGGCTTTTTGTTCTGTTTTTCCTTTTTAAATTTCTCTACTTCCAAATTTGCTGAAAGTATTTACTTTCTACTTTCCAGATATTATGTTAGAAGAAATATTTTTAAATTATGCAAAAGTTTAGTTCAAATTTAGAGGAATCACACGGGTTCAGAAATCCATTTTTAAATGGTCACATATACCTAACAGAAAGAAAAGCATCCTGTAACTGATAGAAATCCATCTGAATGCTGAAGTTTCTCAAGCTAACAAAGCAAGCACTGTTTTGTAGAAAGATAGGCAGTTCAGCCTGCTGACGCTTTCTGAAACACTTAAAGATGAAGACAAAACTATCGCTACATGGATTAGCTGGACTGCAAACCAAATGTCACTTTCTGAATGTAACTCTGAAATAGAAATTTCTGTCCTTAGGCTTAAGAAAAGTTCAAGTAGAAAAGCACTCTATTATAAACTTGGGGGAAAAAATGGTGCCAAGATGACTTAACAAAAAACAAAACAAAACAAAAAGGACATTAGAAGGTCATTTAAATGCAAGATCTAATTTCAGAGAGTTGAGCACAAAGAGCACAAATGTGGAAAACTCCAAGGATTTTTCATGTGCCACAAAAGGCAGCAAAGCATGTTTAGACAGACGTGGTGAAACTCTCTTTAATCTGGCTAAATATAAAACGTTTTGTTTTACACAGCTTCTGAAAACGAGAGACAGCACCGGGCTCAAGAAAAGGGTAGGTAAGGGGAGCAGCTGTGTGTCCACAGCTTCCCCTTCAGATCCCAAAGGAAGAAAGCTGCCGCCTGGAGGTACTGGGTAGCCAGGCAGCCTTACTGAAAACAACTAAGGTTTTCGAGCGAGCGTTGTTTTTGGCAAGAGGGAGGTGTTACCGGCTGCTTCCTGGGGTGCTGGAAGGAATGTGTCACCATCAATTAGAAAGTACACTAAGCCCCGTGTTTAGGTCACAGAAGGAGTACTGCCTCGTCCATCAAGGATAAATCCATGCCAACTCTCGGAAAGGAGGGGAAAGGAGAGCTGCAGGAAAGGTGTTGGTGCCCATGACCTGCAAGTCCAAAAGGAAACTCCAACTTGTTCTGCAGGGAAATTCGGGCACGCTGAGTTCACCGAGAACTCCAAGGAGTCAACGAGGGCGGGTGCCCCTACACTTCCCCAGGGACCAGCGCCGCCCGACCGCAATTCTGGGGAAGACCCCGGCGGTCCTGGAGAGGAGGGACAGGCCCCCACTACTCACCTGGCCAGCCCCGCGGAAGGGCTGGTGGATGAATGAACTGCCCCCCCGCCGGCCGAGCCTCGCGGGACAGCGGCGGACCGCGGGGTGCTCACCTGTGGGGATGCTCGAGGGCTTCTCCGAGTCCGCACCCAGACAGGGATTCCAGGGGTGGAGGACGAGCGCCAGGAGCAGCAGCTGAGGCTTCACCGTGCATCCCCCCATATTCGGCCCTCGAGGGCCGCGCGGGCTCAGGCGCCCACGGCCCCGCAGCGCCGCGCTTCTCGCGAGAACGCAGAGACCCGGGTCCGCCCTGAGCCGCCGATTGCGGGCGGGAGCCGGCGGGCAAGGCGCGCGGCCGGCAGCCGGAGCGGCGCGTAACGCAGCTGAGTGAGGTCGTCGGTGGAGGCACGGAGCAGCAGGCGCCCGGGGCGCTGCGGAGGCCTTATAGGCTCCCCGAGGGGAGGCGACGGGGCGGGCCGCGCCCTGGCTATTGGCCGCCGGCTGACCCGCCGCCGCTGCGCGCCCGGTGCGGTCGCCTCAGCTCGCCCTCCTGGGCCCCACGTCTGGACTGTTTGCTCAGCGCGGACGCTATTTAAGGAGCTGCCTGCGGCTACGTGTGGAGGCTCACGCAGCGCTTCTGGCTGGAACGGGGAAGCCTGCACTTAGCTTTGGGAGTGGGTTTGGGAGAGGGAGGAGGAGCCGCCGGGAGTCTGGCGGGAGGGCGGTGTTCCCGTCTGGGTTCCTCTCTGCTGTCCCAGCCCCGGTAGCTTCCACAGCAGCCTCGAAGGGTGAGAATTTGCTCTTCTATGGACTTGGATACTCCACCCAGTCTGAAGTGACTGCAAATCTGCGGCAATCTTGGCTGACTGGGACCTCGCCAGACTCTTAAGCCATGGAAATGGATCGCCCCTCATTAATTCAGGGGCAGGTTCATCACCCTGTAAAAGGAAGGCCGTGATTTTATTTTACTCCGTAAACCGAAAGTTTTATTGTCCAGTGAACATTTCTTGCTCCGCCGCTTGTGCCAAGAGAGCCTTAGACTCTTTCCAGTAATGAGGCTTGTAAATCCTGCGGAATCGGAGCCCAACGTGTGTAATGCCGGGGCTGTGCTTACAAGATCGTGCTCCAGTCCGCATGGAAAATTACTCCCAAAGACGTGGTCGGAGAGGTCGAGATCTCTGAGCCTTGGCCCCCACTGCTTCCACTTTTGACTGATGTCTAAGAAAATTCCCTTTTTTCTGTTCTCACATTTTAACTAGCCAAGGGTTTAACTTGTTGGAATGAGTGGGAGCAAAAGCACAATTAAGAAAAAAGCTTGACAGTTTTGCCTCATACATTTAATGACATAAGCTATTTTATAGGAGAAAGAGAACCAAACTGCTACCATTCTGGAATCTCCTGCCTAAATTTTCGTGAAATTAGAAAAAAACAGAATCGAGACAACACCCGTTATAACTCTGGGCCTTTGAAATTAAGACAGAAAATTATGGAAAAATGTGTTCCATTATGATCACGTTTTGTCTAAAATTAACATATCAAGATAACATGAACTTAATGCTTTCATCTTGATAGCATTAAAAACAGGTGGAAAACCCTGCAAAGAAATCTTGCCTGGGATGTGACATTTTAGAAAGAATCATTTCCTGTGCCCAGAACTAAGCCAGTTATTACTCTGTTTTGAAGGTTTGGTCTCAGTTTTTTAAAAGAAGAGGAAAACTGGAGAAAGTTCTGAGAAGAGTAACAAATAATTAAAGAAGTGGAAACTATGACCTGTGAGAAGAATGAAATAAGGTTTATTTAGTCTGAAGGGGAAAAAAAAAGCTAAAAGATGGATTCCTTAATAACAGCCTTTCATGTGTGGCAAGTACAGCTTCATAAAACTAGGCACAAAGCAAACAGCATCAGTCCTCTGAGTCCAAGGACTCTGCTAGGAATGGCTGGTGTTTTGGCCAGATCTGTCTCCAGAAAGCCAAACCTGCAATTGCCAAACTCCTTGAACTTGACTTCTTGCTTCCTTGGTTCTCCAGTATCTTTAAGAACTTGGAGAGCTACAACCTGGCTTCCTGCCCTCCCAAACCCCCGTTCCCCTCATGAATGCTTACCGGCTTCTCTGCATCACAGGTGTGTGTGTGTGTTTAAACTCCAAAAGTCCACTAATAATTTCAGGTTATTTTGACATTCTTCCTTCTCTGTTAAGAGTCACAACATCTGTGCTGTGAGACTCGTATAAAGCAAGTGTTGGGATTTTCAAATACCTAGACATTTCTAACAGTCTGAAAGAGCCCCAATTCTCAAACCAAATCCTTCCTGCTTTCTTACATTTCCAGCCATCTGCTGAACATTTCTACTTGGATGTTCCATTGGCAAAAACTCGATATGTCTTTTTTTTTTTTTTTTGAGACAGTCTCGCTCTTTTGCCTAGGCTAGAGTGCGGTGGTGCGATATCCCCTCACTGCAAGCTCCCTCCGCCTCCCGGGTTCACACCATTCTCCTGCCTCAGCCTCCTGAGTAGCTGGGACTACAGGCGCTCGCCACCAGGCCCGGCTAATTTTTTTTTTTTTTTTTTGTATTTTTAGTCGAAACGGGGTTTCACCGTGTTAGCCAGGATGGTCTCGATCTCCTGACCTCGTGATCCGCCCGCCTCGGCCTCCCAAAGTGTTGGGATTACAGGCGTGAGCCACCAAGCCCGGCCTGATATGTCTTTTAACTCATCAAATCCAGATCCCACTCGGCTCCCTCATCTCTGTTGATACTACTGCTCTCTAACTCATATGGCCTCAGACATTTTTACTTCTCTCTTTCCATCCCCCACACCCGCCAACTCACAGAGCCGGACTCCAAATCTTGTCATTTTTTCCCTTCATGTTCTCTCTTCATCTATTCCTTTCCATTCTCACTGCTACCTCACTAACTAATGCACTCTTGAGTGTATCCTATGCCATTTCCTGTAGACTTTCCCTACCACCAGTGTAATACCACTATATACCACAACTAGATTAATCATACTCAGATATCCTTTTGATTGCTTCATCCCCAAACAGATTTCATAACAGATTTGGAAACAATCCACATTCCCTAACCTAGTATTCAGATTCCTTCATGCCAAACTAAACCCAACCAACGTAGTTTGCTTTATTATCTCCTAAAGCAGACCAAATACTTTGTCACTTTAATTCTCTAAAGTTTAGGTAGGAATCATTTGGGTTCCTCTGAAGCCCAAGCATGAGCCCAAATTCAGTGACTAGCGGTTTGTGGAGAGTTTTGAGAAAACCAGATAGGTGAAGCTAAAATGACACAGGAAAGGGAAAATATCCAATTAAATCAACCACAGTGGGTAATGGGAGCTTAATCCCACAAAATTGATGTACTATATATCACTCAAAAATATCCTGGTCAATGGGTCAGAGAACTGGGATATATATTCCCAACACCTATCAGTCATTGACTTAAGGGCTGAGGGACACTCATTAATTCCCAGGCATTCCCAACCTGCTATGGTAGCAGCCACTCTGATGATGTAACTCTTGATCATAAGAAGTCAGGGTGACATGCTCAGAAATGGTAAGGAAATTTGAGGAGAAATGAGAGAAGCAGCATTTGCTCAGCAACCATACCTTTGTTCATGTTATCCCTATATCTAAAAAAAAAAAGGATGACAAAACCTGTCCTCCTTCCTTCATTGGGCTAATGTCTGTCAAGCTCAAGTGCCACCTCCTACAGGAAGCCCAACTGGGGTAACTTACCCTACCTCAGGATGGGTTTAGATGTCCCTGTTCCATGATTTCTAACTTCTGAAGCAAACCTCTCTCATTTGTGACAGGGTCTTTTCTTAGAATTATTATTAGACAGTGTGTCTGTTAAGGTCAGGATTCAATTATTTTTCATCATCAAAGAGTAAGTACCATAGTAGCACATTTGTTTATTCATTGATTCATTCAAAAAATATTCCATGACTACTATATCTCAGGCATTGTTCTAGATAGATATTGGTAAAAACAAATTTATTAGTGACAGAAAAAACAAAAATCTACTGTGCTTTAGTTTCAGGTGAAACAGAGATAAACATATAAGGTAATAAGTGGTAGAGAGAAAGTAAATCAGGAAAGGTAACTGGGAAGGACCAATAAGGAGGGGAGGTATACCAAAACCTTAGTAAGGGATCCTGGGAAAGCCCCACTGAGAAGACGATTCTTGAGCAAAGACCTGAAAGTGGTGAGAAAAAGAGGGGGCCAGGATGTACAGGGGACCTGTGTTCCAGGCAGAAGAAACAGGAAGTGCAAGGACTGTGAGACCAGAAATACCTGGAGTGTTGTGAGGAAGCAAGAGGGCAATTGAATGTTCAGTGACTGTGCATAAGAATAGTAGGAGATGAAGCCTGAGAAGGTAACAAGCAGGGCGGAGGCAAGCAGATAAACAGACAGTGTGATAAGGGTAGAACCTAGTAACAGCTTTGTCCTTTACCCTGGATGAATTGAAAAGCCATTTGGATGGTTCTAAGCAGAGCAGTGACATGATCTGAAGTAGGATTTAAAAAGGATCACAGAGTCCACAGCTGCCACATTAGAGGAAGATAAGGGAGAGTGAGTGGAGAAATAAAACAGAAAGTCTGTAGACCTGTAGACCAACTTGAAAGCTAATGCAGTGGTCCAGGAGAGAGATGACGGAGGCTTTAAGCAAGTCAGTAGCAGTAAATGAAGGTCAATTTCCAGATAGATTTGAATGTAGAGTCAACAAAATTTGATGTCTGAATGTGGGCGTAGGAGAGAAAAAGGAGTCAACGAATATTTATTCAATGAATATTTGTGGAGTGAATAAGAAGTAAAGCTTTGGGAATTCGCGGAATAACCCTGGAGGTACAGAGGAAGGGGGATGTTAAATGAATTAGAGGACAAAGAAAAACCACCAGACATCCAAGAGCTGAAACTCAGAGAGGGCGGACCCTTTTGAGGAAAGAGGAAAAAAGAAATCAGCAAAGGAGACTGTTAAAGTCAGATAAATAGGAAAAGTATTACAGAAGAGAGACTGGGGAATAGGAGGAAGCCTCAGAGAGGTCATTGATTATAGCATTGGGAAACACAAGTTTAAGATCAGAACTTAGATGGGAGTAGAAACTACAGTGAATATAAGATATAAACTGGAGATGAGGGCTTAGAGAATACCATGAAGCAGAACTTTTGTGCTGTGACTCTTCATTCTAAATCAGGTCTCTGCTGCAGATGTCAGGGGATGACCTCTCTAATTTTAGGATGATCAAGTTGCCACAAATCTGAAGCTCCCCTTTATATATGAGAGGTTTGCAGTATAGTCCGTGGGCCCCAGCAGTTTTCCCTTTTAATTCTTTAAGCTGTAATTTGACAGGAATGATTTACCAGGTGACTTTTTCAAGGCTGAACGTCCTTTCAAACAAAGCCTATATGAGACCAACTACATTTTAAGAAGTTAAAAATAAAAAGAACCAAACAAAAATAGTAAAGGGAAGAATTTCCTAGGAGCTAGACTTAAACAATAAATGACCTGCTTAACACAAAAGTAAAACAGGTTTCCTCGTGCAACAAAAACAGTAATTTATCACAGGGAAAATGAGCATGGTTTATTTTCTGAGGTGTTTTATTTCTTTCATTTCTTATTTGTCTTCAAGAGAAGATAAGGACACTTTAAAGTATATTTTTTAAATAACACTAATTCTACGTTTTAGTCATCTTAGTGTGCTTATCTGGAATCTTCTTTCTGTGGATATGAGTTGTGAAACCCTTGTACCTAGCAAAATGATGTCAGATGTAAAACTAAGCTCAGCCAAGTTCAAAGTAAGAAGAGCATGCCAGGATAGGAAAGAATGCCAGCAAACACAAGTATTTTGAAGATGATTCTAGCAGATGTTTGTGACTAGTCAAAATGATTGGGCAGAACTGTCTAGGCCGTGAATCATCCTTCAGGGTCAGCAATCACTGTGGCATTCACATTCAGTCTTCCAAATATGTTTGACCAAAGTTCCACACGATGACCTACGTGTTGGCATAGGTAACACCAGATTAGCATTAATTATGATTAATCACCGTGTATAGTCAACATTTTCTTGTTCAACAGTAGTTTCTAATGATTTTTTTTTTTTTTTAACTGACTCTCTGCCCTTATAATCTCTCATTCTCCTGCTTCTCGGGACCATTTAGCTCCTTTCTCTGACATCTGCTCTGCCCAGAGGCAGATTTACCCTGAAACTATTGAAGCTTAAATGTCAATGCCCCTCACTTGCAAAGGCCCCTGTAAGTGCTAGGAGTGTCTGGGAGTTGTACGATATGCTAGGCTGGAAGGGAAGCCAAGCTGTAATCAGGAACAATCACTAAGAAAACACTTCTTGGAAACGGCCTGGGGAAATCTTAGAAAAAAGGGCCCTGAGCTCCAAGGATTCTCTAAATTATTGGGCTTTCTTTTCTTATTCTAAATAAGTACTCACTTCTTTATTTTATTTTATACTTGTAACTCACATAATCTTTTTTAAAAAGATCTCTAATGTTTTAGACCCCCATAAATTTTGACTGGCTTCTTGTCCTACCCCTAGAATCTAAAACCAATCCTTTCCGTAAGAATTGAGAACACAAGGAGTCTATGATCAATAATTCTTGGGCTCAGCATGCAATTGAATCTTTCTAAGTCAGTTCTGATTGTATGCTATACTCAATTTCTGATAATGATATTGTTACTTTATTCCTCTATGATTAAGCATGCCCTTATATACCTTGGTTCAAGTATTTTAGTCACTATTTTGGATCCCTGTCTGATTGCCTAATTCATCTCAGACTGAGATCTTTCCTGATCTTCTTCTAAGTTTTCCAGAAAATGGAGTTCTGTCACTTAATTGAATCTCTGAACCTCCTCAAGGCCTCCTGCCTGCATTGTCTTACCATCTGCTATTAGGTATTTCTTTACCTGTCTTTCCCATGGCTCTTAGTCTGCTGGTTCTGATCATCCCTATTCTGGCAGAGCTTTTTATGACGGACATGAGATTAACATACATTGATTACAAGTGTTTGATTCAACCAGAAACTTTCAGTTAAATAATTGTATTATAATTCTACTTGGTGAGATCTCTAAGGATGCTATCTTGAAATGAAGTATAGTCTACCTAAGAAAATATTGAGATCTATTATGTAATAGAAACAGTTGTAAAACTCTAATGTTAGATGTTATTTTGTTAAAGATGTAAATAACTCTAATATTAGATGTTATATAAAGAACAGAGAGCATAAAATCATAGAAAATTATAAAACTTTGGTCTTAGGGAAGTGGATATCCTTCAGAAATATGGCATAAAAGTACAAATGGTATTCCTAATCTGCCATTCTTAAAATCTGGGTAATGCATTATGTGGCTTTTTTTTTCCAAAAAAGGAAACATTTTTGCAATAGAACTGAAAGTAAGGAGAATTTACTTTAAAGCATATACCAATAGAGAAAAGCATGGCATTGGCCAGTGTGCCACACCATGCCCAGTCTCACTGCAGCACCTTAGAATTATAAGTGTTGTCTTCTTTAAGAGTATTTTTTCATTACAGGTTTCTAAAAGGGATGGTTTACATCAGGTATAATTTTCTGTATTATAGACACAGATCACAATGCACAGAGCCACTTCATCCTTTTTGAAGATCACTATAATGATCATGCAGCCCATTTGCTGAATGCATGTGAAATGGTCGGTGAACTCCCTGCAGACATCTTATTTTGCAAAGTTCTCTAACATTACATCACACCACTCTGATATTGAAAGGTAACCATTTGGTTACTGCCCTCTAATTATCTTTTACTTCAACCACAGTATTTTTCTTAATTACTGTTGCAGTGTTACTTTGTTAATGTCTGTGGGCCCTCTTTTTTTTTTTTCCAGCTGTTAATATGGTTCTTAAAAATTGGAATTCAGAGACTATTGACACCAATTTTATCCTAAAAACATTATTTAAGTGCAAAGGATTATCAGTATTTACCAAAAAAGGTTTTAGCTATAATAAAAGACAAATACTTATTTGAACAAGTTATTAAATAAAAATTTTTTCCTTAAACATTTTAAATTTCAAGAAATGAGAAATATTATCAAATCAACTACTTTAATGCCTTCTTTGAATTCTTCAGTTTTTCAATAATTATAATTTATTGCCTAAATCAAAATAAATAAATGATACAATTAGTAGCCACACAGCAAATTTGGCCAAAATCAATCCCAAAAGTCAAAAATCTCATTTTATCTTTATTCCACTTATGATTTTCTTAAAGTAGATGCACAGTTTTTCATTCAACAAATAGTTTTAGTGCAGGGACCACATTCCAGACACTGCTCTTTGTCTTTCAGCTTTCAAAATGAATTAGATCCTGCTTTCTCTTTGAATACCTACATACAAAAGCAAATCACTCTGCTAAATAATAAATTAAATTGTTATAACTTGATTTAGTCTGTAATATATCAAAATTAAAACATATTAAAGAAAAAATAAATTTTCTGAATTTGGGAAACTGGATTATTTTGAATATATTATAGTGTCCCAGATAAAATAATAATTTGAATTATCTTTTTAAGGTAATAGTTTGTTGTCATTTGTTGTTGATATCGCTAAGGTGTATTTGACAATGGTCTATAATTAAGTAATTAAAGTTACATAATTATTTCATAGTCAAGAAACTAATCAATTTTGACATTGCAGCCACCTAAAACCAAAAATACCACTTTTATTGTGAGAATAAAACAATAGAAGGTAAGTTACTAGAGTTTATTTGTAGTCTTTATTGTTGACAATAGGGCACATCCCCTCACTTTCACACGCACTAATTTCTTTCTCTATCACAAATTTGATTTCCATTTTTAAGAGGATGCTTTAAAGACTGCTCAACAATGACAGTATGAAATTATGTTGACCTCAAGTCTTTGACTCAGGCCAATCTGGGTTCCAATCCTGATTTTGCCACTTATCATCTATGAAACCCTGGGCTGTTTCTTAGCCTCTTGATTTGGCTGAAATTAAATAAAACTTATTATTGCACATATGAAGTTGTCCAGAGACAGGGAAGTCCCCAGGCACAGTCTATTAGGTCTCTGCCTCTCTTTCTCTCTGATGTTATTGGCCTGCCCTCCTATGGTTCTTGTACTGGTAACAACATGTTTGCAGAAGTCCTGGGCATTATGTTGACAGGAAGTTACCCAGAAAAAGAAAAAGAAGTGCTGATATTTCTGTCTTTACCCAGAAACTGCCTAGAAGACATCCCCTTGTGTCACTGGCCAGAATTAGGTCATGTGGCCATTTTTAAACCAATCGTGCCAGAGGAAAATGATTGCCATTCATGTTTAGCTTCATATCTATCCCTAGAGCTGTAGATGATGTCAGCTCTCTCTGAATCACACAGGAGACAGTTTGATTTGGAAACTTAAACAAAATTTAGGCCCCATGAGCAAGAATTATGAATGGTTGGGTAACCAACATAGTCCATTACCTATTAGTTGACTGCCTACCAAGGAAGATGGTAGATTGGCAGAAGTCTCTTTTCTCTCTCTGTCTTTCTGTTTCTCTATCTCTCTCTCTCTGTCTCTCTCCCCCCCCCAACACACACACACATACATACACACATTCACACTCACAAACATACCATCGCCAATCCTCTGCATGTGTGTCACAATTTTAGTTAGATTAATAGTGTTTGCATGATTGTGGTTGTATAAATAATATTTATTGTTAAGCTAAGTAATCTACCATAATTCAGTTTCCTTTCTTGTATGTTTTCTGCTTTTCCTGGAATTAATAATTGCCTTTTAAATTTATTTACTGTGTACTAAACTATCATTAAATTCTTTATTCAGTTGCTTAGTTTTCTATGTGCCACCACTACATTTTAATTCTTTGGGATAAGCTGTAAAACTTCAACCAATGGGGTCAGTCACATCCAGCAATTTCTTTGTCTTTTGTCTTGGAGATGACTCTCTTAGAGGAAACCTTCATCCTTCTCCTACCTGGATTGATGGAGCTGAAATTCCCATGGGATTTCTCATCATTGTAATCATTGGAATCCCTTAACTTCTCTCCTTTATTAGATCCTCATTCCTGTGATTCATTCCATTGTTTTGGTGGAACACATCCTCCAGTAACTTTCTGAGAAAAAGTTCATGAAATGTAAATGTTTTGAAACTTTTCATGCCTAAAAATCTACTCATTCCACTCTTATAAGTTAAATGCTAGTTTCAGCGAATATAGAACTTTAGATTGTTTTTCACTTTCCTTCAGTATTTCAGATTGTTTTATTGTTACAATGACTTCTGATCAAGCTTGTGTTTACCATCTGTATCTCTTCTCTCTCTCTCTGTCTCCCTCCCTCCCTCTATAATCTTTTGTATTCACAGTATTCTAAAATTCACAGTGACATAATGATGCATTTTGGGGTAAATCTTCTGTCATTCATTGTTTTGTGTATTCAGTGAACCATTTTTTGAAAAATTTTCCACTCCATTTTCTCTATTCTCTCTCCTATATTGATCCTCTAATTTCCTTACCTTCTCTGATTTTTCATTTATTTGCCTTTTTATTCTATTTAGAATATTATTTAAATGTATCTGCCTCTTTCAAATTTTTATTTCATAATTTGAATTTTAGAAGCCGTTTCTTATTTTCTGAATGTTCATCTTTAAATGTCAGTCCATTGTTTTATGAATACACTGTCTTTTAATTCTTCAAGTATAATAGAGTGGTTTTTTTAATCGTTTTCTTCAATTTCATGCCTGCGCTCTGTTTTCTTCAGTTCCTTTGTTTTGGCCACTATATTTATGTGAAAGCTTGCCTCATATGGTCCACTTATCCTTGACTTTCTAGTCAGAAAAGGTGTTTAAAAGATGACAGCTCTATGTGCAAAGGTGGGGTTTGTCAACTGGCGTACATTTTGTAAGGTGATGAGAGAAGAGAACATCTAAACATTTTGTTTGGGGAAGGCTCCCAATGTCAGTATCTTTTGACGCTACCTTTTTTTTTTTTTTTGAGTCAGAGTCTCTCTCTGTCACTCAGGCTGGAGTGCAGTGGCGTGATCTCAGCTCACTGCAGCCTCTGCTTCCTGGGTTCAAGCAATCCTCCTGTCTCAGCCTCCTTAGTAGCTGGGACTACAAGCATGCACCACCACACCCAGCTAATTTTTGTATTTTTAGTAGAAGGGGGTTACACCATGTTGGCCAGGCTGGTCTTGAACTCCTGACCTCAGGTGATCTGCCTACCTTGGCCTCCCAAAGTGCTGGGATTACAGGCATGAGCCACTGCGCCCAGCCTTGATGCAACTTCTCTATAGAAGAAAACTTCGATCTCCTGAATGTAGGGGAAGTATGGCCTTTAAGTTTGGCTGTTATATTCTAGTTCTTGAATAGGGTGGGCTAAAATAATCATGTGGGTCTTACTACTCAGAATGTAGAGATTCATTTAGCTGCCATAATTTTAGTGTGTTACTTTATGTTATATTCATCTTAGGTGAGTTCCTTAGTCAATTCCTTCTATCCTACATACTGCAGACAATAATTCCCCATTTCACTGAAGAGTTGAAGTCAAAGGAGGAATAGTTTTCTGTCTATGCCAGGAGAGACAGAGGATCTGAGGCACAGAGACTTCCTATAAAGACTTTATATTTGGCTTGTGGCCCTATCACATAACTTCACATTCCAACATACATACTAGCTCCAAATTATGAGTCTTTTTCTAACAAGAACTGCTTTGTTTCTTACTGAAATTTTCATCTGCAGGCATACAAATTTCAGCTTCTTGAAACTTGTATATAAAGTCTGAATGATCAACATATTAAACATATATTCTTTAAAAACTGTATCATCAAAATGAACTTAATCACTAAAGAGTGAGCTTGATGGTGTCAACATTCCATAACATATATTTATTTTACTGTATCTATATAATTACACCTCAATAAAATTTGAACTTGACCTGTGGGAATGAGGTGATCTGGAGGAAAATGTTTTAAGGGTTCTTTGTAGAAAGTCTGTGTTTGTTTCATCTGCTGATAAGGACATACTTGTGATTCCAACTAAACTACTCTGCTTTATTCATGCTTCTGTTTGAAGAAATAAAATGTGCTAAGTTAGGTACTTTAAATCAATAGATGCAGCTCTCAGGGACTGGATGAAAATGTCTTTTATGAAACTATTTTGATGCTTTATTAAATAAAAAATGTATTGATTCATCTGTAGAACTTTGGGCACCGTGTACATCATGTGTACTGGGAATAGAGTGTGTTGGGAACAGAAACATTTCCAGTCCTTTGGGAACCTGCAATCTAGCATAGGGAATGATGATGAAAAAATAATTAAAAGTGTTGTAAATGTGATGAAAGGAAGAAGTACAAAGTGTGTGGATGTGGGCTGGTATGGAGGGTTAACATAGTCAGGGAAGGGTTTCATAAGAAAATGTTTAAATGAAGACCGAAATTGTAAGACTCACTAGATGAAGGAGGAGTTAGGGAGAGAGTATTGTAGGGATTTGAAAATCATAAAGCATGAAGACAAACACAAATTGCTCACCAGTAGTGAGCAAGGTGTGTGAGAGGAGGTGGAACTGAAGAGGCAGGGTGGAGTTGGAAGAACGTTTGGTGGAAGAGAGTTGGCTTTTATGGGAATGTCAATTGGAAGTTGTTGAAGAGTTTGAAATGCAAGGGAAACATAATCAGATTTGCTGTTGAAAAATATCTTTCCAACTGCCATGTAAAAAATGGATTGGAGGTGACTCTACCTTTTGGGTATGGTCCAAAGAGAGCTCAATTTCATCCTTTTTTTTCCATAAAGTGAATAGAATTAAAATAACACCTGAGGTCAGGAGTTCGAGACCAGCCTGGCCAACATGGCAAAACCCTGTCTCTACTAAAAATACAAAAATTAGCTGGGCGTGATTGCAGGCACCTGTAATCCCAGCTACTTGGGAGGCTGAGACAGGAGAATCACTTGAATCCGGAAGGTGGAGGTTGCAGTGAGCCAAGATCGTGCCACTTCATTCTAGCCTGGTCGACACAGCCATACTCTGTCTCAAAAAAACAAAACAAAAAAGAAATAATTAAGTATTATACACATAAAAACTAGAAAGATTTTAAATTGAACTATAGCCCTGTTAAGATTGCTTTTAATAAGATTTTGCATAAAGTAAAATTTAAAAGCTTGATTATGAAATAATTTAAATCCTTTCAAAAACTTCCATAAACAAACTGGAACCTCCAATTGTTCATGTAAAACATGAACAATATGTAAACATGTAAAACAATATGCCTAGCAAGCTTTCTAGACAGCACATGATTTGTAACTGCATTTGTATATTCTGAAACCTTTGTAGTATATTTAAATTATTTTAAATATAAATTCAGTTTAGCATTAAGTCAAAAAAATTTAAACGAAAGTTAAAGCTATCAAAGTAGTTCAAATTCAATATCAGTTTTAATAAAAACTCTCAAAACATATAATCTTTACAACCAAGACAAATTAGTTTTTCATTTTTCTAAACTCAATCCAGTGTTTTTCCTATAATGATTTTAAGCACTAATGCAAGAGAGAAGGTCCACAAAACATCTGCTATTTTATTTTGCATTAATTTGTTCTTTGCAGTAATTTGAGAAAATACATTCAAAAATTAAACAAAGTTCAATTTTCAACGTAACTAAGAAACCAATTGTATTCAAATTATAAAATAAATCTGTGGATGATCTGCAGTACTAGAGTAACATAACTCTGAGAATCAAGTACTCATAGATACTAAGGTCACCATCAAGACAATCTAAATCAATATTGTTCCCTTCATATCAAATGTTGCTGAGGCTTTCATATGCCCACCTACAAAAGGAATTTTATTGACTTTTTTAGTGCATCATTTGAAGAAAGTTTGGTCTTGGTCTCATGACAGAGTGAAGAGGTAGCTATGGAACGTGAGGCATAGGTTTTACATTTCCCTGAGTTGCCACAAGGATCTGCTAATACAATTTGGCATCATTCATAGTGCCAGTAATCACTGTGTGCATTTCAGAGATAAAACATTTAGCCTCTTTCAAAGGAATGTAGTAATTGTAAAAAGGAAGATGTTGTGTAAGGTCACTATGCATGGAGATCTTCTGCTTCTCCAATGAGTTCTTATCAGAAAGTGCCTTCTCTTACCTCCTGGGCCCATGACAGATAGCAGGCCCAGAGCTACACCAAGGCTTTCTACCAACCTCACAGTGTGAACTCCCAGGAAAACATGTCTTATCAACCTGAATTATGAATTAATTTGATATAGCATTGTTTGATATTTTCATCGAATTGCTTGAAAGGGTTATGTCTTCTTTGGTTGAATCAGAAACAGGGTAAAGCCCAATATTTATTTTTAAAGTTACATCAGTGCGATTCTGTTTTAGGAAACTTTGGAAGTTAGTTTGACAAATGATTTTTGATCAAGTATTAGTTTCCAACCTCACAAATGAAATAACTCTTGCTCTGTACTTGCAAGCCATATACTACATTAGAAATAGTCACATTGTTTTTACTCTGTAGTGGGCATAAAGAAGAATGTAACAACCTTTCCTAAAATAAAATTTTAAAAACTGTTTAATTTGCTGTTCAATTTAATGAGATGTACCTAAGATGCCTAACTCCAAGTTGTTATTATTATCTTTTTTATAAGATAACCTTTTTCTCAATTTTTTGCTCTTTGCAAGAGCTAAGTACAATCTGAATAAACAATATTAAATAACAACAGAAAACCATTAACTTTTTCCATGAGACATTTCAGGAATGCAAGAACTCATTTTCGATCATTTGCCAACGTAAGGCTATCTGATCCTTGGAAGCTTTCTCTGTTAATTGAATGGCTTGTACAACTATCTACCTCTTTCCTCAGCATCCAACCCACAGTGTCATTCTTAAAATAATTCTTACCGTTTACTTTACAGAAAAAGCAGAGGTCATCAGTATAAAGATTTTGAACTAACTTCCCCTCCTACTTCTGTTGCTCCAACCATAGATGGACTTGCATTTACTGTCATTGCTGACTCTCCCGGGAAAGTCTCTCCAATTTTGCTCTGGATCCACTCACTTGCAACTTCCTCACACACTGTACCTTATCAATGGCCCTCTCTCCTACACACTCACCTCTCTCTCTTTACATTTAGAAGCACTTAAATACAATACAGACTCTATCATAATAAAAGTAATAGGCTCATTTCTTTGGCCCTACATATTCATCTACCAAATTTCTAGGCCAGAGATTCTCAAACATTTTGGTCTCAGAAATACTTTCCATCCCTAAAAATTATTAAAGGCCCCAAAGACCTTTTATTTGTAAGGGTTATATTCATTGATATTTACTGTATTCAAAGTTACTGTATTCAAAGTACTGTATTCAAAGTTAAAACAGATATTTAAATAATATTTATTCATTTTAAAATAACAATGTTAACTAGGTAACATCAATAACATGTCAAAAATAACTATATTTTATAACAAAACATTTAGTTAAAAGAATGGCAAATTTCTTTAATACTTGGGTTAGGAGGACACAGCTATACTCATGTCTTCTGCATTTAATTCCTCATGGGGTTTTTGAAGTACATGAAGAAATCTAGCCTCATACAAATATGTAGCAAAAAAAAAAGACAAGATTATCTTAATAGCCTTTTCAGATAAGTGTGGATAGTCTTCTTTGATGACTTACCAAAATTTGAAAAATGGCAATTTCTGAAAGGTTGGTTGTGATGTGAAATCTTTGTTTGGTATTCTGTTATATTAAAAATTAAAATCAATTCATGTATCTTGCTATTTGAATGGATCTTTTACCCATGTATGATTTTGTAACTTTGTGCATCAAATGTTTCCAATATATTGGCTCACTTAGTTATACAGAGCTTCCAAATATACATTGGAAAATTCCCCCACATACTCATGAGATAATGAAAGTGAAAAAAGGCAAATAACACTTTAATATTAGTATAAAAATAATGTTGATTGTTTCCAGACTGTAGGGCCTAGTGATTAAGAGAGCAGGATCTGGTGTCAGACTAATATGTACAACTATAAGCTCTGCCCACCTTAGGAAAGATACATGCCTCCATTTATCATGGGTATAATAAAATATCTACATCATTAGAACTGTTGTTATGTTGAGATGACATAATACATGTAACATAATGGCACACAGTAAATGACCAAGAATGACGGTTTTGCTTTGTTTTTTAAAATGTCCTTTTAGTTCTGATTTTCTCCTGTGCTTTCAATTTATATTCATGTTCTCTATACCTTTACTTTGTCCTCTCTTCTGGGATCTGACATTCAGGGTAAATGTGTCCTTAGGTCCTGACTGAAGAAAACGTTCAGGTTAGAATCTTCAGCTAAATCCAAATTGGACCAGAAGACAACTTCATTCATGCTTTTTAGGAAGTGAGACAATTTCTAGAACGTGGAAAGCAAAGCAAATTGAGTCATTTAATCCCAGGATCCAGAAGTTTCACAGGTGAAGGATATGACTTACTAAGGGAAGGATATGACTTATTAAGAGAAATCTCTAACTATGTATAGGGGCTCCTCGGACATATTTGTGATAGGAAGCAGAGTTTCTCTTTCAGGCTGCTTGAGTTAATGGAACATTTGGGAAGAGCATGATGTTAGCATGGGAGAATAGTTGCATTTAGCTCCTGGGCCATAGAAAGAAAACAGCTGACTTCAGTCCTTTGTAAGAAGTCTGGCGCAAGTTGGATTCAAATTTCCTGTTCTGGTTACAATTGCTGTGTAACAAATCACCCCAAAATCTGGCAGTGCCACTTACAACCACCATTTTATTAAGCTCACAGATTCTGGCCTCAGAAATTCAGAAAATGCACAGTAAAAACAGCTTCACCCTGCTTCTCCTTGTCTGTGGTGTCAGCCAGGAAGATTCAAAGGCTGAGAGAAAACTGAAAGAGCTGGAATCATCTGAAGGCTCATTCACTCACTGTTGGGCTCAGTGCCTATGCACAGTCTCTCCAGGGAGCCTGAGCTAATTCACAGCAGACAGCTTCAAGGTAGTCAGACTTTATATGGTGGCTTAGAACTCCAAGAGTGAGTGTTCCAGAAACAAACTCGAAACTGCACTTCCCCTCATGTCCCAGCTTCATAAGCCACACAGTGTCATTCCCACCACACTCACCTGGTTGAAACATTCACAATCACAAGACTACCCATATTCAAGGGGAGGGGACAAAGACCCCATCTCTCGCTAGGAGTAGTGTCAAATAATTTTTGGCCACGTTTTAAAACTACCTGAGTGCTAGACAAGGAAACTATTAAGTGGAGTTTAATGTGAAGAACAATTTAATCCCGTGAGCGTGGACCCAGGGACGGAGAACAAACAGAAGCAACAAAACATTTCTGAGCCCAGGAAGTCAGAGGTTAACTTGGATACTTCAGGACTTGGCTGACTTGGGCTGGAGAAGCATCAGAGTTTCTTTGGTAGCAGAGCTGGATATGAAGAGACCGAATGCGGAAGCTTGGCAAGGAAAATGGGAGAACAGAGAATAAAGAAAACAAAATCACTCAGAATCCAACTCCCCAGAAGTAACTGGTCTTTACATTCTGATGTGTTTCTTTTAGTGTTGTGTCTGCAATATATGTATATTTATGATTTATGTTGTGTGTATGTAAGCAAGAAAGAACATGCATGTGAAGCAACATTGCAATCATACCATATAAACAATTTTATGTCCCATCTTTCAACTCAAGAATTGGCTTACTTCTCATTGGCATCCCACCCTGAACAGATTTACATTTCAGTTCTGTTCACTTCTGCTAAATCAGCTAAGTTAGTCTTGATAGAGTTCCTGTGTGCCTAAGTTTCTCTGTCCATTGCCAACAACTTGCCACTGAGTTTTTGTTGTTATTGGTGTTTTAAGTATTTACCAATTTGAAAAAGGCTTTCCAACCAAGAAAGGAACAAAGTCATTAATTACTCCTGTCCATAAACCTAAGGGCCAAAGCCTCTAATATATTAAATAACAAAGTTTCTGCCTTATAAAGCAGACTCTGCCATCTTGCACCAATGCACCATTCCTGGTGCAGAAGCAACAGCAACAGCAAAGATTACAAGCAAATAAACAAACACAAACCAAACTGCTACTGCAATCATTGCTCATCGCTTCCAGAAATATTGAGAAGGACCCAGGTTACATATTTGGCCACCTAAGGTCTTAGGTGGTTTTCTCCTTGTAACAAATGCCTAAAACAATATAATTGACTCCCATCCCCTCAACTGGTACCCTCATTTACCAGCAACCGATTGTTATGAGATAGAAACAAGGCCAATTAACAGCTCCCAAGCTTCCTGTGTTGACTTCTGAGACACTCGCTCCATTCCTAACCTCCTAACCCCCTGCTCTATTCCTAACGCTTGCTCCATCCCTAACCTCCTAACCCCTTCTGAAAGCAGGAACTGCAGAGCAATTGAGTGAGGAGAAAAATTATTCCTAGATTTTTATCAGAGGACAAAACTTTAGCCAGGTGTTAAATATCTCTTGCTAAAAGGCTTAGAAAAGCATAAGAAGAGAGAGTCAAGCTGAATATAGAACGTGTTGCATTTTTAAACAAAAATGCCTTTTTTTTTCTTTTGGCCAATGGATATTTCCAAATAACTAGTGTCTGCTTTAAAGTAACTATCATGACTGGGAACACAATAATTCTAATGATGCTATTCTTATCCACAGCCTTCTAAATGTGTCATGTGAAGTTATCTTTATAGAGATGATCATATTATTTTGCTTATACTCAATGGCATTTATTCAACATTTGTTTCGTCCCTACTTCTTGTTAGTTACTGCTATAGGCAGTGAGGATATAGGGCAAACATAACACACAGTATCTCTGCCTTTTCAGAACTTATAAACAAGCAAACAAATTATATTTCTTTTTTTCCATAACTTATTGGGGTACAGGTGGCATTTGGTTACATGAGTAACTTCTTTATTGGTGATTTGTGAGATTTTGGTGCACCCATCACCCAAGCAGTGTACAGTGTACCATATTTGTAGTCTTTTATCCCTCGTCCCCCTCCCACTCTTCCCCCCAAGTCCCTAAAGTCCATCGTATCATTCTTATGCCTTTGTGTCCTTATAGCTTAGCTCCCACATATCAGTGAGAATATATGATATTTGGCTTCCTATTCCTGAGTTACATCACTTAGAATAATAGTCTCCAATCTCACCCAGGTCACCACGAATGCTGTTAATTCATTCTTTTTATGGCTGTGTAGTATTCCATGGTATATACATACCATGGTTTCTTTATCCACTCGTTGACTGATGGGTATTTGGGTTGGTTCCACAATTTTGCAATTGCGAATTGTGCTGCTATAAACATGCATGTGCAAGTATCTTTTTTGAATAATGACTTATTTTCTTCTGGGTAGATACCCAATAGTGGGATTGCTGAATCAAACAAATCAGTAAGAAAGAAAGAAACAATCCCATCAAAAAGTTGGCTAAGGACATAAATAGACAATTCTGAAAATAAGATATACAAATGGTCAACAAACATATGAAAAAATGCTCAACATCACTAATGATCAGGGAAATGCAAATCAAACCACAATGTGATACCACCTTACTCTTGCAAGAATGGCCATAATCAAAAAATAAAAAACAGTAGATATTGGTGTGGAGACGGCGAACAGGGAACACGTTACTGCTGGTGGGAATGTAAACTAGTACAGCCACTGCGGAAAACAGTTTGGCAATTCCTTATAGAACTAAAAGTAGAACAAGTAATATTTCTGATGGTGTTACCTGCCAAGAAGAGAGAATGACGTGAGGGACTGGATGGGTCTGGGCATGTCTTCCTGAGGTGGTGACATGAAGAAAAGGGGTAAGCTACCTGAAGACGTAAGAATGATCTAGGACCCTTCTGGGAAACAAAGCTTTGTGAGTAAATGGAAAGCCACTGGTGGTTTTCAGAATGGAGTAATTTAATTTGGTAAAGATGGGTTTAACATAAGTGAGTGAATATGGTGAGTGTTTCAACTGAAGCATAGAGTTTATGACACGAATTCTGTTTTGTAGTTTGCAGAATAGGGGGTCATTTCTAAAAGATGAGTTCCAAAACTGTGTTAACAAAAGAGACCTTAGGAAATTATGCTCACCAGGCTCTCACCACAACTAAAGTCCTGACAAAGAATATTTTGTTACACACACACATGAGGGCAGATAGGTTTGCAAACAATTCAGTGTGTTTAAAACCCAAACAAATGAGTTATCTGTAGCTAGATAACTTGGCTACTCACATTGCTTTTCTTTTCTTTCTTGGAGGGTTAAATATGATGTTTGATTTTTTAAAAAATTCCTCATGAAAACTTTAATGGCATATAGAGTCTAGAGTTTGTCCAAATGATCACATTCAAACAGAGGGGCCCAAGGTAAGGCAGTCACCTGAACTCTAAAAACAGAAATGGGTCATGATTCACTAGGGGAAGTCTTGCTAACATGGACATACGGAAACATAGAATCCATACACATTTTTTTCACCATTTCGTTTACCACTCAGACTTTGGGTTTCTTCCCGTAAGTTTGTCTGTGACTCAGTTTTAGTTTCAGATGACTTAATGCTTCCATCTAATCAAGGGAAGCGAACATGATTATTTAACATATCCATGATCCCCAGTTACGATGCCAGGAGCCTCTAAGAGGGCTAATCTTGTGGCCTGGCATTTTTCATTTTTTCTTTTTACTTAAAAAAAAAAAAAATCATTGCTTACATGTGGCCTGCTAACCAAACATTTCTTTTATCCCTTGAGGATATTTCTGGGTCCATTTGCCTTGATAGCTCATAAAAGCCTATCCAAGAGCCTAAGTTACCTTGTATAGAGCAAAACTAGACCAGTTCCTACACTTCCTTCTTTGCTTTTACTTAGTAAAAATGCTAATGTTTCCAAGGGCCAGCCTTATCCACATACATTATCTCATTTTAGTTCTCACAATCACACTGTTATCAAAACAATTCAGGCATTATGGCTTTAATTTACAGATGCAAAAGTGGAAGAGCACAGAGCTTCGTGTCCTGCCTAAGGTTATTAGTAAGGCTGGCTGCTACACTCAAGCCAATGTCTGGGCCCCACAAAATTTAGTACAGTTTAATACATCACAATGTTTCTGTAGAACACATCCCAAACTTTATATATTATTTCCTACCCCAAGATGAGTATTAGACACTTATAACTTAAGTGTTTGACGTGCTCTTATTGTATATTTGTTATCTATCATCACAGTTTGTGTGGTTGATAGAGAATTCCAGAAAATGAAGTGTAACAGTTGTTAGAGATAATAGTCCTTCCTTCTCTCTCTAGACCATTATGGAAAGAGACTCTGTGGTTTATATTTGAAAATGGCACTGAAAACAGCAGTTAGGAGATAAATTTATTTTATTTTATTATTATTATACTTTAAGTTTAAGGGTACATGTGCACAATGTGCAGGTTTGTTACATATGTATACATGTGCCATGTTGGTGTGCTGCACCCATTAACTCATCATTTAGCATTAGGCATATCTCCTAATGCTATCCCTCCCCCCTCCCCCGACCCCACAACAGTCCCCAGAGTGTGATGTTCCCCTTCCTGTGTCCATGTGTTCTCATTATTCAATTCCCACCTATGACTGAGAACATGTGGTGTTTGGTTTTTTGTCCTTGCGATAGTTTGCTGAGAATGATGATTTCCAGTTTCATCCATGTCCCTACAAAGGACATGAAGTCATCTTTTTTATGGCTGCATAGTATTCCATGGTATATATGTGCCACATTTTCTTAATGCAGTCTATCGTTGGACATTTGGGTTGGTTCTAAGTCTTTGCTATTGTGAATAGTGCCGCAATAAACATACCTGTGCATGTGTCTTTATAGCAGCATGATTTATAGTCCTTTGGGTATATACCCAGTAATGGGATGGCTGGGTCAAATGGTATTTCTAGTTCTGGATCCCTGAGGAATCGCCACACTGACTTCCACAATGGTTGAACTAGTTTACAGTCCCACCAACAGTGTAAAAGTGTTCCTATTTCTCCACATCCTCTCCAGCACCTATTGTTTCCTGACTTTTTAATCATCGCCATTCTAACTGCTGTGAGATGGTATCTCATTGTGCTTTTGATTTGCATTTCTCTGATGGCCAGTGATGATGAGCATTTTTTCCTGTGTCTTTTGGCTGCATAAATGTCTTCTTTTGAGAAGTGTCTGTTCATATCCTTTGCCCACTTTTTGATGGGGTTGTTTGTTTTTTTTCTTGTAAATTTGTTTGAGTTCATTGCAGATTCTGGATATTAGCCCTTTGTCAGATGAGTAGGTTGCGAACATTTTCTCCCATTTTGTAGGTTGCCTGTTCACTCTGATGGTAGTTTCTTTTGCTGTGCAGAAGCTCTTACCTAGGAATCCAACTTACAAGGGATGTGAAGGACCTCTTCAAAGAGAACTACAAACCACTGCTCAAGGAAATAAAAGAGGATACAAACAAATGGAAGAACATTCCATGCTCATGGGTAGGAAGAATCAACATCGTGAAAATGGCCATACTGCCCAAGGTAATTTGTAGATTCAATGCCATCCCCATCAAGCTACCAATGACTTTCTTCAAAGAATTGGAAAAAACGACTTTAAAGTTCATATGGAACCAAAACAGAGCCCGCATCACCAAGTCAATCCTAAGCCAAAAGAACAAAGCCGGAGGCATCACGCTACCTGACTTCAAACTATACTACAAGGCTACAGTAACCAAAACCGCATGGTACTGGTACCAAAACAGAGATATAGATCAATGGAACAGAACAGAGCCCTCAGAAATAATGCCACGTATCTACGACCATCTGATCTTTGACAAACCTGAAAACCACAAGAAATGGGGAAAGGATTCCCTATTTAATAAATGGTGCTGAGAAAACTGGCTAGCCATATGTAGAAAGCTGAAACTGGATCCCTTCCTTACTCCTTATACAAAAATTAATTCAAGATGGATTAAAGACTCACATGTTAGACCTAAAACCATAAAAACCCTAGAAGAAAACCTAGGCAATACCATTCAGGACATAGGCATGAGCAAGGACTTCATGTCTAAAACACCAAAAGCAATGGCAACAAAAGCCAAAATTGACAAATGGGATCTAATTAAACTAAAGAGCTTCTGCATAGGAGATAAATTTACTTGAATTTCACTATCCTCTAAAGCTTACATTTCCACATCAATAAAAGTGGTATGATACATGGAAAAGGGGTCACAATAGTTCTGCAAACCTATACCAGCTAGTCTATATGTGCATTTTCTTGCTTTGCAACCTTTTTGAGTGGTTCAGGAAAAAAATATTAGCAAAAACTGTAATAGGTTGAATTGATCAAAAGGAGGAAGGTGTGAGGGTAGGGATGGAAGTAATAAAAGTGGAGTTTGGGAGTTGCCTACTTATTGAGTTGAGTGAGGGCATACAGCAAAGAAACTAAGCCAGTTGTTATAATAAAGCTTAAGACTATTCAGGAAAGGAGATGAATGAAGACTTCTAGGAGGTATTACTGGGCATTAGCAAGGTGATTCCTCTTTGCTTTCTCCTCAGTGTTCAGTCTCCTTAACACTCCTTTACATACAGAGAAAATTTACATTGATCTTTAGTGATTTTTAGAGTACTGCTGTGTTTTGTTTGTAGGGTTGCCAGATTTGACACATAAAAATATTGGGAAATACAGGAAGTACCCACCCCAATTAAATTTGATCGCATTCAAGGACATTCAGATAAACAATGAATAATTTTTCTGTGTGTCTTAAATTCTGTGTGTCTTAAAAATATGACATTCTTTTACTAAAAATTGATGTCTGAAATTTACATTTAATAGGAACCTGTATTTTATCTAGCAACTTGGCTAAAAACACAGATAAAAGCAAGAGAGTTTATTTTATTGGCTTACATGCAAATTGAGGGAAAGTTTCCTGGAGGCTTTCAGGCAGTAACAGCTGTTCCCAAACTTGTCTCGACATTAGAATCACCTGAAGAACTCCAGATGCCAGTGCAGTGGCTCTGGAATTCTGCCAGGGTGTGGGATTTTTTTTCAAAGTATTCCAGGTGACTCATGTACAACAGTGAGGAGCTGGTGACTGATGTCCAGTGCTTCTTAACTTTCCCTACATGTAACAAACATCTGGGGAACTTTTAAGTATACCCATGCCCAGATCCCACCAAGAACAATTAAATCAATGTCTACAGGCAAGACCCTTGTATTGCTATTAGTATAAAGTTTTCAGTAAATTTTAATGTTTCTTCATTAGAGAGCCCTAAATTGTAGCCTAAAAATGGCATCCCATGGCCTTTCCAGGTATAGAAATGTCATTTCTAGTTATAATATATCTCAAAAAGTTTAATTTTTTAAATTATGAAATTAATATTTTTCTTATAAATTCAAGCAATGTGGAAAAATCTAAAATAAATATGAACTCCCAAAATCTACTTTCTAGAGGTATCTGCTATTAAAACCTTGATCTATTTTTAACTTTTTAATTATTTTTAATCATTTACCAAAATTTTTAATCATTTACCAAAATATGGAGAATTATATGCTTATACTCTGAAAAGAATGTGTCATAGATAGAAAAATTGTAACAATCAATTAGGTTAAATTTATCAACCCTTAGATACATTTTTTAAAATGAACATCTGACTTAGGGCTTACATATTTTAAAAGCTTGTATGTTGGGAGATAAGTATTTTATTATTGGGTTTAGATGCAGATAAGAGAGGCCCCTCCAAAAAATTTTATTTAAACATTTTATTCCTTAAGTGAAAACAGTCTAGGAATCATATGGCAGCTCTGTGGTAACATTACTTTATCTGAGAAATCCTCAGCAACCCAAGTTTCTTCTATCGTGTTGTTCTACTATTCATGGTTCACATTCCCAAGATCAGCTCATGGTCCAAGAAAGGTGTTTTGCTGCCAGCCTTCACATTGACACTGGAGTCCACAAGAAGCAGGAAAGAATAAATAGCAGCAAAAGATACACACCACTTATCTTTTAAAGAAGTTGCCACACTTCACTTTTAATGGGCCAGAACTTTGCCATGTTTCTACACCTAGCTGAAAGGAAATACTGTGTTTATTCCAGGCTTCAATGTGAATCAATGAAATCAGAAGCTATAACATTAGGGAAGACTTCAACAGACAAGCACACCTCTCCCACAATCATTCCCCACTCCTGACATTCCCATGTGAGATAGTGACATTACAGAACACTCCTGGCCATTCTCTGCCCTCTGAAAGAAAAAACTGAGCATGAGTAGTTCAATTCCTTCTTTTTGCCTCTCTTTGGGGAGGCAGCCTGTCTGAAGGGCACACATAGTCCTACCTACTCCATGGGGTAGTATTAGAGAGACAAGCCTCTACCAGGAACCCCTCTGTTTTTCCACCTCTGCCTGAGACAGGGAGGGTAACTGATTCTATATCATTCTGCAAACCTATTGTTGCCAGAATATATGGCATATCCTTATAACAGCCTTATCAGGATAAAAATGATTTCTGTTTTCCTCCGATACCTATTTCTCAATGGATTTCACTGACAAAGTAATCTCTCAAAATACCAGCAATATAAACATAGTTTCCTTTTGAAAGTTACAGAGCTATCATTGAAGTAAACGATATAATCTCTCCCTGATTTCTATGTCCAGGCAGGCCCTCTGATTGTAACTCAAACAGGTAGCATGACTACTCTGTAAACAGAAATGCATAAAGCCATATAGAATTAAGAGAGATACACAAACACAACAAACAGAAAAAAAAATAGAAATGTTATAAATATTAGAAAAAAACAGTAATATCTAAGTAATTCAAAGGAATAAAATGAACCCTGAACATGGCCAGGAAAAATCTTCATGGCTGTCATCTGATTTGCCAGACTTTTGAAAAAATATCCCCACATCCCCAGCCATATTGTCCATTCGATGTCATCTATCAGGCCAGTAGGCAGCCTGGGTCATATGTGGGCAGATTGTATTCCATGCCCATTAGCCATATTTTCCTTTTCCTATTCAAATAATGGCTTGATTCTGTCTGTGCCCATCTGACATTCTCATTTTAACTATCAATTACATCCCTTCAAAGCAGGAAAATCTATCAATTAATAGTTTTTAACAAAAAATGTAAAAATACATATTTTAATAAAGAAATTGAACTCAGATGTGCATGGTGACTACGGAAGAAGATAAAGGTATATCAGTGTGTGAGTGGAGGAATAAATAAAAAATACTCTATGTTACCTAGGACATACACATTTTAAATGTTTTGTTGTTGTTTTTATAACATAGTAATTTCATTTCTCCTTTATAGTTAGAAAACCTCTGAAATTAATCTGATTTATTGAGGTAGACACCATGAGTATGTGCTTAAAAAAGATTTTGAACATTAGAATAATTTGAAACTGGGTTTTATTTTTTTCATGCTTAAAATCTCAATGTTATGAAAGATGTTGCTTTAAAATGTTTTAAATCTCTGCTAAATTTTTGCTGTGGCGGCACGGAAACTGGAATAAAAATGGCGATCTGTGTTTTTAGTTCTGGTTTGATTACTAGTTAATTCTCAATGTAATTTTAGACACATAATCTGGGCCTCTCCCACTTCCTTCATTTGTATATTAGAATGTAGAGCAGATGGTCCTTAACACTTCTTCTGATTTTAAAATCCACTGATACTATTCATTAAAATTTATAGATTGGTACTGATAAATTCTTGGATTAAAAAATGAGCATAGTTTAACAAAAAAATCCATGAGCTGGTGCTGCCCCCTATTGTAGCTTGTTTTATTCAGCTTTCTGACATGGAGCGGGGAAAGGCAGCAAAGCGAGATAAATATTTTGTCACTCTACTTGCTTCTCCCTGGCACTCTCTACTTGTTTATTTCTGTAAAATCAAGAGGTTTTAAAATGGTTTGATTTCTAACTATGTTATCTTTTATCTGTTATAATGAAAAAAGTTAAAACTCATGTAAACTATGTTTAGTGATTGTTAACTAAGACAATTTGAGCAACATGTTTTCAAAACTGTTTAAGGAAAAGATTGCTCCTATAATTTCCTAAAATAAATTTGCCTAAGCCTGGGTCATAGAAGAGCTGACACAATTTTAAATAAATGTCTTTTACTTAACAGTAGTACTAGAAATATTAAACATTTTAAGAGAATCTGGAACTCAATAATATGATGATAGATAACTCATCTCAAAGAGAAAATATTTAGTTGTAAGTTAGGTATAACAAATAGTAATAAGTTGCAAGTTTCAATATTATATGATTATATTTATGTTAAAGAATTTTCCTCTGAATATTTCACATAAAAATCATGTGCAGTTTAAAAAAATAGGTCACTCACATTGCTAGCAATGTTGCAAATTAGATAATCTTAAAACCCCTCTTTCCATAGAATATATAAAGTGTGGCTGAAATATAACCAAAGGGCTTTTAGATGCAAAGTGTAGATTTTGGGAGAGTACAAGATTTTAGCAGAAGTTAAAAATAAAGAAAAATTGGAAACGTCTGACTATTAAGCTTAGTCTGGCATTTTCTTTGGCTTCTCAAATGGAAGGAGTCACCAACGTTTATTAGGAAGGGGCTTTGATTTTACCCACCACCATGAGGCTGGAAGTGAGGTCTTGGGCTTAGGCAAGGGTTGATATTAGAAGAGAGACCCCCAGTAAAGTGGAAAGTCTCAAAGGGACACACTCCAGTGTAAAAAGTGAGATAGAAAAATTGGCAAATAGAAATTAAGAGAAAGCTTGATTGTTTTGACCTCTGCTACAGGTAGGGAAAATTTGTTCCCTGAGAATTCATAAACCAGGATATGTCCACATCATTTAGGGGTTCATATTTGAAATACATACATGACTTGGGAAACACCAAACTGAAGAAATAATATAAAAAAATGGTCATCAGCTGGCAACACCACTGAGGCACCAATAGGAGCAAAGGTAAGCCTCTCTGGAGACAGCTACCCTCAGACAAGACTTCTGAGTCTCTTGCGTTTCCCGGTCATAGTCCTAAATTTTAAAACACATGAAGTAGCATGCCACCTTTCTCCTCTATTTCTGTTTCCCTGTATTTCTGGGTTAACAGACAAAGAAACCAAATATTACACAGAGATGAAAGAAAAACAGGGCATAAAAATTTGGAGTGTAGCCTCTGGATGTTTATACCGGTACTATGATGTTTTGGTTACTACAGCTTTGTAATATAATTTGAAGTCAGGTTATGTAATGCCTCCAGCTTTATTCTTTTTGCTTCTCAGTGCTTTGGGCAGTCACATAACGGCTTTGTGGATATACAGCTAGCTGAGTGGCCTTGTGCAAGATACCTAAATCTTCATTTTCTATTTTGTAAAATGGGAATCATTATAGTAATCTAACTCATAGGGTTATGAGAATTAAATGGGTTAATATATGGAAAGTCTTTAGAACTAGAACAGCGTCTGGTTTGTAGGAAGCATTAAATAGAGCTGGCTGGTTTTATAGTCTTCATCATTTTCACTATTGTTATTATAGGTAGTTGCATCATCCCACCTATCTCATGATTAGGTTGCTTTTTCTCCATGTGCCCCAGATGAATGTCCAACATCTGGCCTAGAATTAAATCTTTGGGTAAAGATAGCAATTATATATCCCCAAATTACATGATTTCACAACTGGCTTCTTTGCTGAGGAGCAGTACAAGTAAGAACGGCAAGAAATGTAATAGGCAACTATTAAGCTAGCTAATGGCAGTACATGTTTTCAGAATTTGCAATTTAAGTTTTTTGTTTAGATACTATGTGCAAAGGCATTACCATCTCCCCAGCTCTAGCACCTTCCCCACCCTCATTACACACACTAGTGAACACTCACCACGAACCTGCTCTGGGCAGCTGGGACACAGGATTACAACGATTGGCCTCATCAGATTTCTGGTTGGAACCTTGAGACTGCGCAGCTCTAGAAATTCTTGCATTAACTAAGTTCCACCGCTAGGTGGAAGTAGCTCCTCTAGCTCTAGGAGATTTCGTGTATCTCACCTTTTATCCAACCCTTTGGTTTTCTTTCATTACAATTATAGCAGGGACTCCTTATAGCATTTCATCTTCTTGGTACTATCACCTCTTGATGAGGTTTACTCTTCCTCTGAAAAATGAGATTGATGTTTACCTCATGATACAGTTGTGAGAATCCAGTAATACACATTTAAAAAAAAAAACACTATTTTATGTAATAATTACTTAGCTTTGTGCTACAATTATTTATCTACTTGCTTTATCCTTGCTGAGGGATAGACTGCATGTTCCTTTCTATCTTCTTGAACACCTAGCACCGTGTCATACACATATTTGAATTTTTTTCATTCATTCACCAATATTTATTGAGCATCTTAGATATACCAGACACTGCCCTGTACTCATGGTTTACCATAATAAGCAATCGATCCCTGCTTTGCTTGATGAAATTAGAAAGACTGACATTTTCAGTTACACCCACCATGCATTCAGCTTGCAGACATAGCTATAAAGTGCATCTTACTTACCTCCAGCAGGAACAGGAAGTTCCGCTGGACATATGGCACAGCCTGCCTTAACTGTCTCATTAAATGGGACAAAAATATATTATGCAGCACTTGAGATGGTGCTAATGACATGGCCTTTATTGAGTGTGCCAACATTCCACTGAGTATGTGTTCATTGTTGTCCTAAAAAATGTGTGTTTTGTTTGTTTTAAAGTCTATCCTGGCCCGGTGCGGTGGCTCACGCCTGTAATCCCAACACTTTGGGAGGCTGAAGTGGGCAGACCACCTGAGGTCAGGAGTTCAAGACCAGCCTGGCCAACATGGTGAAACCCTGTCTGTACTAAAAATACAAAAATTAGCCGGGCGTGGGGCGGGCCCTTGTAATACCAGCTACTCAGGAGGCTGAGGCAGGAGAATCGCTTGAACTCGGGAGGCGGAGGTTGCAGTGAGCTGAGATTGCACCATTGCACTCCAGCCTGGGGGACAAGAGCTAGATTTTGTCTAAAAAAAAAAAAGAAGTTAAAAGTCTATCTTGCCCACTAGCCTGTGAGCCCCTGAGAGTATTAATTATATATTTTAACCTTTGTATTTCTCTCTGCCTTAAGAAATAGCTCAGTGTCTGAATTTAGTAAATGTTCAGTAAAGTATTGATGGAATGAAATAGTGGTAAGGATGACAAGAAGTTTTACTGACAACTATAGCAAATATTTCAAATATATATCTACTTACTATATTTTAATTCATTTAGCAGACACTGAGTAAATACCTACCATGTGCTATTATTAACCATGCCAAGTATTATCACATAGTATATTATTCTGCCTCACTTGGACTGATTTGGAGTGTATCACTCTGCTTTTCTCTTTTTTGAGATTTACAATTTAAGAGGCCTAGAGGAAAATGGGAAATGCATTCTGTGAAGTTATGGAAAAAGATCCATTTTTAACATTAGCTATCACTAGCCAAACAGATGAGTTTGATATTAGTTTATTAAATCCAGACTTCTTATGGGTTTTCCAAGCTTGCTTCTTTCAATATAAATTAAATCCGACCTTGAACACTGGGGGAAAAAAAGACTGAAAAGCAGCCAGCTGCTCCAACAGGATCAATATACCATACTCTAGAATCACTCTGATTATTCTATACCTGAATTTGATTTAATATCTAGTTGGTCAGAAAAAATAAGTCTTGTAACCTGATTTTTGTATAATTTCTGGAAAAAATGGTCATTTAGAAAAAATGTTTAAAATGCATTCTTCACTGATGGTTACAAATTCTAGCAATTTTCCTTCATGATATACTGACATTGAAATTATACTTGAAATTTAAATGTATCTTAGGAGGATTAGAAATAAGCATTTACAAATAACTTGGTCATATAAGAAAGCTAGTTACCACTAAGCAACACTACAGAAATGACTTTTTATATATATATATATATATATATATATATATATATTTTTTTTTTTTTTTTTTTTTTTTTTTTTTTTTTGAGACGGAGTCTTGCTCTGTCGCCCAGGCTGGAGTGCAGTGGCGCGATCTCGGCTCACTGCAAGCTCCGCCTCCTGCGTTCACGCCATTCTCCTGCCTCAGCCTCCCGAGTAGCTGGAACTACAGGCGCCCGCCACCGCGCCCGGCTAATTTTTTTTTGTATTTTTTTTAGTAGAGACGGGGTTTCACCGTGGTCTCGATCTCCTGACCTCGTGATCCGCCCGCCTCGGCCTCCCAAAGTGCTGGGATTACAGGTGTGAGCCACCGTGCCCGGCTGACTTTAATAATTTAAAATTTATTAAATTAAAAATATATAAATTATATTTTTATATATTATAAAAATATATATAATATATATTATATATAAATTATATATATTATATATAAATATATATAATTAAAAATATATAAATTAAATATATATTAAATATATAAATTAAAAATAATTTAAAATTTATATTAGAAAGCAAGGGCCTTGAATAAACCTAATAATCAATAAAAATTACTTCAAAATCCCTGTGAAAAAAGTATTTGAAGATTCAAAGTCAAAAAATAAAACAGTGTTTTACTATTAACCATTGTATATTTATTTAAAAGCCATAAAGAATACGAAAAAGCATGAACGCACAAATTCCAGAGAATTTGTTTTTTAATCAATCCGATCAATTTTACACAACAAAATATCATTAAGAAACATAGAAATCATGTGAATTGTATTAAAACTATGACATATGACAATATTATATAAAGAAAATTTTAACTCTAAGAGACAAATATAATTTTTTAAAAAAGAAATTAAAAATATCACGTCTTATGCTAAATATATATAGATATATTTATTATGATGCAGCAGGTTTTGGAATACAGGGATTTAGGCAAGTTAAAAATAAAAAGTTTATATGCTTAAACTTTCTGAATATTGTTTGTCTGATTTCCTATTTAAATATCAGACATCATTATAGGAAATACATAGTCTACTTACGATTGCAATGGCACTTTCAAATATAAGGCAATTAATATTTTAGAAAGCAGCAACTTTTACTTTTTTTAAAAAAAAAAGCTAGTAGCAGCATGTAAAAATGAGCATTACGAGAAACTCAGAAAAACAAATTTACCCTGAAAAGATGAATATAATTAAAAAACAAAGCACCTTTCATTTCAAAAAGAACTGTAGGCTAAGACCCTCATCTCAGAATAACCCCATCTAAGAACACTCAGGCTTTCTTTATTTAATAAGCAGCAGCAGAAGAATACATCCCATTCTACATACTGACTGTGTTAAAAAAAAAAAATGCAGTCCATATGCAGGTAGAAAACTAAAGTGCAACAGAAGCAAGTTAATTAGAGTGTACTCACTTATACACTATGCTTTTAATTAGTTAACACAAAAATGTGTAATTGATAATTTATTATTGGTCCTACATATTATTTACTGGCATGCTGTAGACCATAGAGAAATAGAATGTTTACTGTGTTTTATTATTATTACTCTGTGTAGATACATATTTATCTATCATGTCAATAAAAAGAAGCAAAGCAGTATTAAGCAGCGGTGGAATTTGTCGCTTTCACTTTTTATAAAGTGCTACATAAAATGTCATATTTCCAAATTTAAAAACATAACTCCAGTTCTTACCATGAGAACAGCATGGTGATCACGAAGGATCTTCTTGAAAAAAACAAAAACAAAAACAAAAAACAATGATCTCTTCTGGGTATCACATCAAATGAGATACAAAGGTGTACTAGGCAATCTTAGAGATCTGGCAACTTATTTTATATATAAGGCATCTGTGACCAAGAGACGTTATGAATTAAATGTACAAATGTATTATGTATAAATGTATTAAATGCAAGCTTCATATAATGACACCAATGTCTCTAAGTTGCTCAGAGATCTTGACTGGCTGTGGCCCTGGCCAGCTCCTTTCCTGATAGTCTGATTCTGCCTTCATATATAGGCAGCTCCTGATCATCCATGCCAGTGAATGAGAAAACAAGCATGGAATATATAAACTTTAACATTAAAAAATGTTTTATTTTGTAATAAAATCAAATTTCCCATTGAAACCTTCAAAAACTTTGCAGAATGAGGTTTTGATATATGTGTACAAGTAGTACCTTCTTAGTGCAAGAAAACATCATTATTTCTGTCTGCCTGCCTTTTTGTTTTTAAAAATGAAGACTATCATTGAAACAAGTTTGTCTTCAGTATGAGGACATGTTGACGGAGAGGAAAGGTAGGAAAGGGTTAGGGATAGAAGCCAGGTTATTTTATGCCAACAAAGTCTGCTCTAAAAAGCCTTATTGTTTCACTACCTATTAATATGAGAACTCTGGATTCATTTTCCCTTATCTCATGTTTATAGTGTTTTAAGCTTACTTTGTATATGTTTACTGGGTTAATGAGTCACAGCTTTTCAGGATGAACTCCTATTCTACTAGAGAGATACTCAATTGAAACACACTTTTAGATTGTGTTCTTGCAAGCCCACTCTCAGCTGTCAAAGTTAACACCCAATAAAAATACTCTACAAAGCAAAGAAATACACTTGCAAATAACTGAGTGCTGACTGTAAGCCCAATCCAACTTTTCCATTTTTCAAAATTAACCATAGTTGATGGCTTGCTGTGTCTCTCTATCTTGAACGTTGTGGTGGAGATCTTTCAAAATACATGAAGTCCTGAAATTGGAAAAAGAATTATATGTAGATATATAGATAATTAGGTATAATGCATGCGGTATTATCCTTTGTAATTTATTAGGGGATTCCCCCATTCCAGTTAAAATACATAAATTTAGGGAAATATTTATGAAGAGCACCTACTGTGAAGAGCAGCAGTTACAAATTTGGAACTGTTAGTTTTCCATTTGAAGTGCCAATTAACTGAATCTCATCATTAAAAAGAGGAAAAACTTCATAATCTCAGGATTGGACAACCCCAAAGAGTACAGTGACAGGCAGAAAGGAAGGAGGAATGGGACATCCACTTTAGAGTTATTTCACTAAGAAATCATAGGCTAGGCATTTTTAAGTAGTGACAATGACAAATAACATGCAATGATGATAATTATACCCAATGGATACCTAATGTTATCTAAGTACTCCCCTGGTCATTTTACCATGATAGCTAACATTCATAACCCTGAAAATTATAAGTATTTTAATCTCCATTTTACAGATGAGGAAACTGAGGCTTTCAAGTGTAAACACTTTCTAAACCATGTAACTAGTAAGTGGCACAGAGATAAGTTGGATTGGTTTCAAGGCTTATTCTTTATACTACACTATACTGCTTCTCCATCAGAAAGAACAACTCTCTCAGGATAACTCAAAAATAGAAGGCTTACAATGAGGAAGCAAGCTCCAAAAATCATGGCTTTCATCTTCACATCCAGGTCTAGTGGGAAGTGAATGTCAAAATGGTCAGCATCTGCCATTGCTGATAACAAACCATTCCACTTCCGGATAATACTGCCGATGTTGGATATGCCATCAAGGGATTTGACCTGGAATGACAAGAATGTGCCTTTATGATGATTGAAACGCATTGAAGCATGTTTTAATGTTCTGCTTATGTTCAGATAACATAAATACAATGCAGAAAAAGACTATGTAATTATATAATTTGAAATGAGAAAATAATGGCCAAAAAGGGTTAACTGCCTTGCAACTGGTTAATAACTGAGCTAGGGTATTCTTAAAAGTCTCAGACTGCTGCTCTTTCTTCATCTTCAAATGAGTTATTAAGGGACCTTTTAAGAAGAGGTATGATTTGAACTGATTATGAAATTCTTCTCAACATAGTAAAGGGTGGGAATTGGGAGAGAGTCACTTCCAAACTAGGGAAACCTATGAGCAAAAACCGGGAAACAAGTACTGTTCACTTCACATCACTTAAGTTTTTGTGAGTGAAATTCACCTTGTCTTCTTAATATACGGCCAGATACCAACGAGCTTCAGTTTCTAAAAGGGGAAACCTGGCACTTGTCACAGGGAAAATATCCAAATACTAACTTCTAATGTCACTTGGCAATGGGAATGATCACACACACCCTGCCCTAGCAATCTGGCTTATCTACATTGCTCTTTTAATAAATAAGCAATGCTTAACGATACAGTAATAGAAAATAAGAACTAAGGAAAGTTTCTTGAGTATCATAGGAAACATATGAGCAAGCAGTTTTGAAGATGATGAATCTTGCCTAATTGCAAGGCATTCAAAAAATATTCTTTAAGAAGCCTAGGAAATATTTCTAGGAATTTCCTGTGTCAGACTCGTAGGGTAATGAACCAGCATTTTGTAGCCAGTGAGATAAAGGCAAAACAAAATAATTTTTCTTTTTATTGAAAAAAATGTTAAAACTATTATAAGTTTTATCCATATTGTTAGTGTTATCCGATTTCTTGAGGATGCTGACAGACTTGTATCCTGCAAATAAGTATTTCCACAGCCTAAGGAGTACTTGGTATGTTCTGTGACATGTTGGGCACTTGCATTACTTAGAGCCTATATTCCCAGCCTAGAAATCTAGGGAAAAAAATGGTTAATTACATATAGCCAACAATAGAATAGATGAATTAGGTCAAGCTATTTACTCTCAGAATATTTAATGTATTAAATGATTTCTTTTTATTTTTATCAAGTACTGAAGTCATAAAAAAAGCTTTCATTTTGGAAAACCTCAATCTACTCACAATAACTTTAAAATCTTTTGATGTCAACTGGTTAATTAACTCTTTCCTAACACTATGTTATTCATTCACATTAAAAAAAAATGTCTACAACCAGATCTTTCCATGGTCTGTTAATATGAGTAGGAAAAATATCAGAAACACTATTTTTACATAGTTTCACCTCAAAAACAGAATCTGAACCACAGCCATAGGTTGAGCATGGCCCACGAACTCTCATCACATTTTCTTTCTTCTCATTTTGGATGCTGTACACCGCCCTGCACAGGTTCCAATGTTCCGCAACAAAGCCAATGGTGACACCAGGAGGACACTGCACCTCCAGCTGCAAACAAAACAGTGACAGAAGTTAGGATGCTACATGCATACACATACACTTACACATACGCACATACACAATCTAGATGTGTCCTCACTCATTCAAAGACTAGGGAAATTATTGTTGGGAGTGACAGCCTTCCATCTCACCCAGGCCATTCTTCAGGTTGGATTTCAGTGAAAAGCTTTAACGGATGAGGTCATGTTTGCCTCTGGGATAGACAGCAGGCTTAATTAGGGCTTGTTACATAATGGCCAGTTGTCCAAGTTCAGTGTTGGCAAGCTGCATAAACAGCTGATATTTATAACTCTGAAAAATATAAGTATTTTAATCTCCATTTTACAGATGAGGAAACTGAGGCTTGCAAGTGTTAAACACTTTCTAAAACATGGAACTAGGAAGTGGCACAGAGATAAGTTGGCTTGGTTTCAAGGCTTACTGTTGATACTACACTACACTGCTTCTCCATCAGAAAGAACAATTTTCTCAGGATAAGTAAAAAATAAAAGGCTTACAATGAGGAAGCAATGGGCTTCTCCAAGTCAACCTCAGAACTTGGAGATGAGGGGAACCTACACACTTATGCTGCTTGCTGTGCTGTAAAACGGTCCTCTGTCTCCTTCCTAGGAGTCTCATTTCTTCTGACTCAGTCTATTAAACAGTTAAGCTGACTTTTTAGATTTGAAATTGGGTAAAATCAAATCTCAGACATGAAAATTATAACAGAAAACAAAAAAGAGGCATTTTGAAAATTATATATTGTGAAAACAACAAAATGTGTACATGGGTTTATAAAGCCATTTTTTAAAAGTTTTAAAATATTGTCCACTACCCTGTTTTTAGCTATTTATCTTCAACAATATTATTTTGTGAATAATTAAGATCTTCCTGTTTAATAATAATGAGTCATAAAGATTAAATTATTTGGTAAAAGCCCAAAGTGAAAATTTTATTGACTATTTCTCTGGTGTTACATGTACTTTCATAAGAATTTGGGGAAAGGATTACCCAGGACATGGAACAGGACTGCACAGCTTCATAAATTATTAAATTAAGGTATTATTGTTCATATGTATAAATTCACACCTATATACAAATATATAAATTTGAGAGTATCATAGAGCTCTCATATAAGTTTAAACCTATGAGATAAAAATAAAAATGTACAAAAATAAATTCCTTAAAAATTCATACCATGGTATACTACTCAGCCATAAAAGGGAATGAACTAGTGGTAACAGCTTGTACGAATCTCCAGTTAATTACTGTGGATGAAAAAGACCAATCCTGAAAAGTTACATACTATATGATTCTGCTAAAATAACACTCTCGAAATGACAAGATTATAAACATAGAGAACAGATTAGTGGTTCTGAAGGGCTAGGGACAAAGAGGAGGGAGGAATGTGGATATGGTAATAAAAGAGGACTTTGGTGATGATGGAACTGTTTGGGATTTGTATTGTGCTGATGGAAACAGGAATCTACACAAATGATAAAACTGCACAAACTAAATGTATACACACACACACAAATTAATACAAGTAAAACTGGAGAAATCTGAAGAAAAACCTAGGTAAAGTTATGAGACAAAAGTGTCATAAATTGGACTAGGCTTGTAATTTTTTTTAGGAGTAAGGGTCTTTCTCTGTCACCCAGGCTGGAGTGAAGTGGTGTAATCACAGGTCACTGCAGCCTCGATATCCTGGGCTCAAGTGATCCTCCTACCTTAGTCACCCAAGTAGCTGGGACCACAGACACACATCACCAGGCCTGGCTAATTTTTTTATTTTTTATTTTTGTAGAGATGGGGTTTTACCATGTTGCCCAGGCTGATCTCAAACTCCTGGCCTCAAGTGATCCTCCCACCTCAGCCTCTCAAAGTGTTGGAATTACAGGTGTAAACCATCCTGCCCAGCTGTAATTTTGATTTGCTTTCCTTTATTCTGGCTTCCTATAATTTCAGAAGGCTGTATCTATAGGCTTTGATTAAAAAAAAATCTAACTCATAAATATGAAGATAAATGCCTACTATATCCAAAAGGATCAAGGATAATAGGTATTCACTTCACATATAAGGCTGTTATCACAAAGACAATAATAACAAAGGAGTAAGATTTCTGAAAAGAGAAAATATTCATTGAGTACTATACTATTTGCTAGGAACTGTGCAGAAGAATTGACTTAATCCCTAAAATGATCATCCTATCCGATAGGTACTATTAATATTTCCATTTTACAGGTAAATAAGGCCTGGAGACGGTTGTAAAAAATTAATATTTAGTAAAGGATGTTATTTAACAGATCATTTAAGTATTTCAGTAATCCTATGATGTATTATACTACCCAGTTTATGTATAAGAACACTAAGGCTCAAACAGGTTAATTAAATTTTACAGATTTAAGTAGGTGACATATCTAGAATTCAGACTCTGTTTGGTTTCTCTCCAAAACCGCTTCTCTTTTCCCTACAGAAAATAACTTGCTTAGAAATGCAAGATAATGAGTAACCACACTGTAACTCAGCACATCTGTATTCTAGTTCCAGCCCTGTCCTTAGCCAAATGTAACACCTCAGCCATTTAGTAATTTTGAGCCACTCTTTATCTGTGGCAAGGTATGCGTTGTGATGGGTACTCTAAACATATTTAAGTCCCTTCCAATTCTAAAAGCATATGTTTATCTTTAGCATTGCTTTATCTAGTGATAGGTACGTACATTTAGATAAATGTGGTAGGTAAATTTCTAATTAAGTAGATGCAACTGATGGAATCATAATTATTGACTACACATATGTCAATTGTGCTTGACCCACTTATTTAAGCACTAAAAAGTAGTAACCAAAAAGAAAAAATCCTCTATGATTTTCCTTAGGCGAGACAATTTGGTTTCCTCCCTCCCCACTATCTTCTTCCATTCTGGCTGGCAGGGCCAGGGAATATCCTCCCTATGTAGTGGAAGGAGCACACTATGCCATGAAGAGTTAGATCAGAAGCAAGCTGTGGATCAGACTTCCATTCTCTGACCTCTTGTCTGGCAGAGGGGCAACAGAAGCAACAGCAGGTGCATCTGAAGGGTCTCTGCATTGTCATGATTTCTCGGCCCATACAATCAGTGACCCGGAGGACGAAGGGCCTTAGTGTCCGATAGGCATTCCTGGTAAAGTCATCTGTGTCTTCGGTTACAATGTAAACCATCTGGTCTGAGTTGTTTTTAATATCATATCTATTATTAGTTTCAAAACATGTCATCACTAAAAAATAAAATGAGTAAGTCTATATTAGAAACATTTAAAATGGGCCTCAGAAAGTCCTTGTTTAGTATTTCTTAAGGGCTTAAAGCAACATAGCTTTTTTAAAGTTTCAGGTGAAATATGTAGAATTGATTAGAGTACCCCAAAAATCATATTATCTAAAAGTATTTAAGCAATTGTGAAAATTTAAAACATTTCTTTTAAGAAGTTCAGTGTAAACATTAAAAAAATTTTACATAAAAGAAAAGATTGAAACAACCCTTTTGTTTCAATTCCTGGAGTATCTGAATTCAGAAAACTTTAATTATAAAACCATTTAAAAAAATTATACATTTGACCATTAATTAATCAGTTCACGAAACATGCTTGGAGGAGTAGGGTCATTACTAATTACAAACAAGAGAACAAACCAAGAAAAGTCAAAGGCCCTATGTGGTGGCCAAATGAATGTGCACAGCTGGTTTAGTGAGGGTCAGTACTCTTGTAGGATGAACTGAGAACAGGCATCATTTTGACTGAGATCTTTTCTTCTTACTTCCAAAGCGAGGGCACTGCACTACGATTTGGCAGATTTGGATTCTATTTCCAGCTCTGCCACTGATTAGCTGACTGTGGTTTAAATGCTATTTCCTGATCTGGAGGTGATTAGCTGACTGTGGTGTCCCTGGCTAACTCATTTAGTCTCTTGGCTCCTTTTTTTACTCATCTTTGAAAGGTAAATGTGGAGTAGGAACAATGGGTAAAGTGTAGGGCTATTGACCAGATAAAATGTAAGCCCTTTTCAAATCTAAGAGCTTATGATTATATGATGTATAGAAGGATAAAATTATACAAAATAATTCACTTTATTACTTTCTTGAAGATAGGGTAATAGAGCAGTTTTTTTTTCTTTGAGCCACTAAAACATGATCAATATAAAGAAGGAACTAGATATTGGATAATGCAAATTTCCATCTGATTAAAATACTGCTGAGCACTACAAAAATTATACATACTTTCCAGAGGCTCAAAATGCTGAAGAACATGTATGTTGTCCAACTGTTGGGATAAAACAAAGCAATCAGAAGACAGAAATAACAGAACTAAAATACCACTGTAAAATAAACTGATGAAATAGATATTAAAATGCATCAATTGATACCAAAATATATTTTTGAAAGTCAATAGAATCAAAAAAATTTTACCAACTGAAATTAGCTTATCTGCATCTGATCGGATGGATATTAGCAGAGTTGTCCATATTAGAAAAACACTTTCTTTCAGTACCACTTTAAAAAAGTTGTCTGCTATATCAGAAAAACAAAACATCTACTTGCTGTAGTAATCACATCAGAAGAAGCTGTGCTTATAGATTGTTCCTAGATAAGTCCCTACTCACTGGTCTCTCTACATGTCATCCATAGCCTGTAGTTGTTTAGTTAAGTTCAGAACGATTAACACGGACCAGCCATAGAAAAGGGAAGTCTCTCAGTGGCTTAAGGAGAACAAACAAGCCAGGGTGAACCTCACATGGAGTGTCCCCATTTTATATTATTTTACAGGTACCTCCAGCAGAGGTTTATAAACTGACTTGCATTCACTTGATCTACAAAGGCCAGGGTCTTCCCCAAGTGCACACTTTAATAAGGGAAGGGTCTATTACACTAGGAAGCATGTGAACAGGATTAGGGGAAGAGAAAGGAAACATTGTTAGATGGCAACCCATGAAAAGGACGGCTGGGTATATACCATTAGAGAAATTTCTATCTTAGGAATCATTCTAAAGATGAGCAGTTTGATGGGCACATTATCTGTTACATGTGAGAACATTCTAGCAGAAGAAAAGAAACCTTCTTGAGGACACACTGATTATATTTGTATAATTTTACATCATTTAGACCATTAGACCATTCCTAATCCCTGAGCCCAGAACACTGCCTGAAGTGCCATATTTCACCAAACATTGGTTAAGTACATTAATTAATGAAGAATATATGAATGCAGTAATACATGAAATTAAAATAATGTACCTAAACACGAATGTTTTATGGTGTGATTAATTACAGGAGGGTACAAAGGGCACAATCTATGCTTAATTAAAACCTTTTTCTTACATAAAAACACAATGACATAAGGAGACATAAATATGCCTCATAAAATACCAAAAGTGACTACTAAAATGGTTTATAGTCCATTTTAGAAAAGTAGGGTATTAAAATCTAGAAGTGAAAAGTAAAAATATAAACTACAGGCATACTCTGAAGATACTACAAGTTTGGTTCCAGACCAAGGCAATAAAGCAATTATTGTAAGAAAGTGAGTGACATGAATGTTTTATTTTCTTATTGAATCTAAAATTATGTTTACACTATAATGTAGTCTACAGTGTGTGTAAGAGTATTAATCTAAAAGAAGTATATATCTTAATTTTAAAAAACTTTATTGCTAAAAACTGCTAACAATCATCTGAGACTTCAGCTAGTCACAATCCTCTTGCTGGTAGAGGGTCTTGTCTCTATGTTAATGATTGCTAAATGGTCAGGGTGGTGATTGCTGAAGCCCAGGTTGGCGGCAGCAATTTCTTAACAAAAGATAATGAAGTTTGCCATATCAATTGACTGACTCTTCTCTGCATGAAAGATTTCCTTGTAGCACATGATGTTCTTTTTAGTACTTTACCACAGTAGAACTTCCTTCAAAATTGGAGTCAATCCACCTAAAAACTGCCACTGCTTTATCAATTATATTTGTGTAGTATTCTAAAACCTTTGTCATTTCAACAATGTTCACAGAATTCTCACCAGGAGTAAATTTCATCTCAAGGAAGCACTTTCTTTGCTTATACATAAGAAGCAAGTGCTCATCTGTTAAAGTTGTATCATGAGTTACAGTAATTCAGTCACATCTGCAGGTTCCACTTCAAATTCTAGTTCTCTTGCTGTTTCCATCATATCTGAAATTACTTCCTCCACTGAAATCTTGAACCCTTCAAAATCATCATAAAAGTGGCAATCAGCTTCTCCCAAACACCTGTTAATGCTGATATTTTGACCTCTTCCCATGAATCATGAATGTCCTTATTGGCATCTAGAATGGTGAATCCTTTCCACATGGTTTTCAATTTATTTTGCCCAGATCTGTCTGAGAAATGACACCATCTATGGCAACTATAGCCTAACGAAATTCATTTTTTTAACAATAAGACTTGTAAATTGAAATTATACTTTGACCCATGGGCTGCAGAATGGATGTTGTGTTAGCAGGCATTAAAACAACATTAATCTCCTTATACGTCTCCATCAGAGCTCTTGGGTGACCAGATGTGTTGTCAGTGAGTAGTAATGTTTTGCAAGAGACCCTAACAGGGAAGTCAGTCTGTCCTTTGAAGTTTTCACGTCAGGCGTTGACTTCTACTTTTTAGCTATGAAAGTCCTAGAAGGCATCTTCTTCCAACAGAAGGCTGTTGCATCTATATTCAAAATCTGTTGTTTAGCAGAGTCACCTTCATCAATGATCTTGTTATAGTTAGGATCTTCTGAAAAACTTACTGCAGCTTCTACATCAGGACTTGCTGCTTCACCTTGCACTTCTATGTTACAAAAGTGCCTTTTTTCCCCCCTTAAGCCTTGTGAGCCAACCTCTGCCAGCTTCAAACTTTTTTTTTCTGTAGCTTCCTCACCTTTCTCAGCCTACATAGAATTTAGGAGAGATAGGGCTTTGCTCTGAATTATGCTTTGGCTTAAGGAAATGTTGTGACTGGTTTGATCTTCTTTCTAGACCACTAAAACTTTCTCCATATCAGCAATTAGGCTCTTTTACTTTTCACCATTCATATGTTCATTGGAGTAATATCACTTTCAATTTCCTTCAAGAACTTTTCCTTTGCATTCACAGCTTGGCTAACTGGTGCTAGAAGACTAGCTTTTGGCCTATCTCAACTTTCAACATGCCTTCCTCATTAAGCTAAATCATTTCCAGCTTTCTTATTTACAGTGAGAGATGTGCAATTGTTTCTTTCACTTGAACACTCAGAGGCCATCACAGGATTATTAACTGGCCTAATTTCAATATTATTGTGTCCCTTCCTGGAACTCAATAATATGTGTCTGTTAAGGGGTAGTTCTTTGACAAATTGGTAAAGTCACTGGTAAAGCCAAGACTCTGAAAATAATATAATCGTGCTAATTTGGATGTTTTAGGATTCTTGGGAACCTTGATAAAGATTCATGTAATCTTCATGTGAGATCTCAAAAAGACTAGGGTAGATAGAGGAAAAAGATTGGCTCTATGTCTTGCATTCACACATAAGAAGGTATTTAAGCTAATAACAGCCACATAGCTTTCATCCATTGGGACGGCCCTTTATGTCAAAAATATTAGGCACATTGTGACCCTTATCTCATTAAAAATTCTCCTAACAATCTGGTAAGGTAGGTATTGATAATACTATTTTATAGATGATAAAATTCAAGCAGCAAGAGGTTAGAAATTTTATCAAAGTTTTTGAGTTACTAGAGAGTAGGACAGAATTAAAAAACCAGGTTTGCCTGGGTCCAAACCTGTGTTTTGTTTATTTTTTCACTTATTTCTTTAACTCTAAATATTCCTAAAAGGGAAAACTCATAAAATACGTTAAATTAACCTCTGTCAGAATCATAAAAGAAATTAAGAAACAAGTTTTTAATATTTAAATAAACAAAGCTATACAATTTGAAAAGAGAATTGACTGTAGAAGATGTTAGATTCCCAAGAACAACTTCTGTATTTATCACCAAGTATAGAAATGAGACTTTCTAAACTTGATAAGCTACAAACATTTTATTATCTTCTGAAATAATGTAGATGTTTACTCTAGCACTTCACCTGAATGAGTTTTGCATTTTGTCAAAATTTTGTCCAAATAATAATTTAGGATAAATTTTGGCTTTTGTAAAATCCAAATTTTCCTGATCCAACTGTATTGACTTCTATACACCAATGTTATAATATTATACAAATAGTTTTCAGCACACAAGATTATCAGGGTCCCTGTCAATATACAGAATTGAAAAGAGAAATGACAGAACTCGAGGAAATACTTGGCTGTTGACCTGGGGAGGTAAGTATTAAATTGGGAAGTTTCTTCTTTATAATGTATTTCAGCACTTCCTTTTTCTATAAACAACAACAAAAAAGATTCAGAAGGTTCTATGGAATCTCCAATAAAGTAGTCTCCCTCTTATCCTCAGGGGATACTTTCCAAGCCCTCAGTGGATACCTGAAACCACAGATTGTACCAAATCCTGTATATACTATGCACAAATTTTTCTTTTCTTCTTTACAATTTCATGGACATATTAATTTTACTATAGATCTTAGTAACCTTAGCATAGGAATTTTTTTATTATTAAGTAAAAAACCTTCACCTTTACATGGAAAGGAAGACCTTATGGCCTCTCTTTGGTCTTTCCTTGACATATCCAAATTCCCAGCATTACTACTCTTGTGCTTTGGAGACATAATTAAGTAAAATAAGTTACTTCAATGCAAGCACTGTGATACTGTAAGTCAATCTGA